>NC_000019.10:54115874-54740874 GCF_000001405.40 Homo sapiens
GGGTCTTTACAGCTTGGTTTTTGTTTTTTTGTTGTTTGTTTGTTTTGAGACGGAGTCTCGTTCTGTTGCCCAGGTTGGAGAGCAGTGGCGCGATCTCGGCTCATTGCAACCTCCGTCTCCCGGGTTCAAACGATTCTTCTGCCTCAGCCTCCAGAGTAGCTGGGATTACAGGCGCCCGCCACCACCCCTGACTAATTTTTGTATTTTTAGTAGAGACGGGGTTTCCCCATGTTGGTCAGGCTGGTCTCGAACTCCTGATCTCGTGATCCGCCCGCCTCGGCCTCCCAAAGTGCTGTGATTACAGGCATGATCCACCGCGCCTGGCCAGTTGTTTGTTTGTTTTGTCTGAGACGGAGTTTCGCTCTTGTTGCCCAGGCTGGAGTGCAGTGGCGCGATCTCGGTTCACTGCAACCTCCGCCTCCCGGATTCAAGCGATTCTCCTGCCTCAGCCTCCCGAGTAGCTGGGATTACAGGCGCGCACCACCACGCCCGGCTAGTTTTTTGTATTTTTAGTAGAGACGGGGTTTCACTATGTTGGCCAGGCTGGTCTCCAACTCCTGACCTCAGATGATCCACCCGCCTGGGCCTCCCAAAGTGCTGGGATTACAGGCATGAGCCACCGCTCCCGGCCTTTTACAGCCTGTTTACCCAAAAGTCTTAATATGCGCCTACCATGGTGTGGCCCTGGGGATGTGGAAGGAGCAAAAATTGTTCGCTACCCTCTTAGAGCTTTGGTTGATGCCTGGCAGACAGGCTTTATCAAATAATTACTTCATTAATCACAAATGTGTGAAGTGCCTTACTGTAGACACGCAGAGCGTGCGGGACACGTTATCACAAAGCAACCTCCTGTAGTCTAGAGTGGGGCGTGTGGGTCAGGGAGGTGGAACGTGAGAGCTGAAGGCTGAGGAGATGCTGGGCTACTAAGAAGTGAGGAGAGCCAGACGCCATGGCTCACTCCTGTAATCCCAGCACTTTGGGTGGCCCAGGCGAAAGGATCGCTTGAGCCCAGGAGTTTGAGACCAGCCTGAGCAACACAGTGAGACCCTGTCTCTACAGAAAAATTTAAAAATTAGCCGGGCGTGCTGGTGCGTGCCTGTCATCTCAGCTATCGGGAGGCTGAGGCGGGAGAATCGCTTGAGCCCAGGTGATCGAGGCTGCCGTGAGCTATGATGGCGCCACTGCACTGCAGCCTAGGTGACAGAGCAAGACATGGTCTCAAAAAAAAGAAAAGAAAAGAAAAAACAAAGTGAAGGAAAGGGCCACTTTAGTTACAAGGGACTCCTGTACAAAGACCTGGAGGCGGGAAGAGACCGATAATGTAACCAACTCAAGTTTCTGCTACTCAGAGGCAGAGGAAGTGGGGGGTGGTGAAAGTAAAGCAGCTTTACTGATCAAATGCTCGCAGATGAGAAATGGCCAAGCTAATGTCTTTAGAAGACCATTTCAAGCTTTAGGCTGGGGAGAGGGGCTTAAAAAGGGGAACTTTGAATGGGAGGCATACAGGAGTGGTGCTGGGTACAAGGTATGTGTGTCTTGCTCCGAAGGCTGTCTTGAGTCACGGGCCACCTGGAGCATGGGCTGGTGTCAAGTCAACAATGGCCACGTTGTAGATTGATCGCCTTGAGGTGATCTCTGGAGTTTTGCAGCTGGGTTTCCATACCTAGTTTGTTTCAAGATTAGCCCCTGCGGCGAGGCGCGGTGGCTTACGCCTGTAATCCCAACAGTTTGGGAGGCCAAGGTGGGTCGCTCACTTGAGGTCAAGAGTTCAAGACCAGCCTGGCTTACATAGTGAAACCTTGACTCTACAAAAAAAAAAAAAAAAAATTAGCTGGGCATGGTGGCAGGTGCCTGTAGTCCCAGCTACTCAGGAGGCTGAGGCAGGAGAATCGCTTGAACCCAGGAGGTGGAGGTTGCAAGTGAGCCAAGACTGCGCCACTGCACTCCAACCTGGGTGTCAGAGCCAGACTCCATCTTTAAAAAATAAATAAATAAAGATTAGCCCCTGGAACTTCTAAGTAAGCACATAGATAAGCCAGCAGTGCAAGACAGTATCTAGTGGGAAAGGAGGGAAACAAAGAATTTCAAAGTATGTTTTCAAGGCTAAAGGCAAGAAAGGAATAAGAAAGTTTGCAAATGCATTTGGAATCTACACCACTTGGTTCCAGTAAGTCTTAGCAAGGTGGCGGTCATAGGGGTGTGCTGCGTCTTGCACAGGTCGGAGCTGGAGACTCGCCAGTGAACAAAACAAACTAAAGCACCTGTTGTCGTGGAGCCTGCATGCTAGTGGGGTTGATAAAGAAGGACCAGGGTCTTCTGGGGGAGAATCATCGCTCAGTAATAAGGAGGGACTTTGTCGGGGCAAGTTTTTAGGGAACGCTGCTGTCCCTCCCCAGGCCTCGGGATGTCTCTGGCAGATGAGCTCTTAGCTGATCTCGAAGAGGCAGCAGAAGAGGAGGAAGGAGGAAGCTATGGGGAGGAAGAAGAGGAGCCAGCGATCGAGGATGTGCAGGAGGAGACACAGCTGGATCTTTCCGGGGATTCAGTCAAGACCATCGCCAAGCTATGGGATAGTAAGATGGTAAGAGGACAAGAGGTGTTCCTAGCAGGGGGCTCTAGACAGAATCTCCCAGAAGGGGGTGATACAGGCTTCTTTTTGAAGAGTGCTGGATTCTGACTGTCTTCTCCTTTCCTACAGTTTGCTGAGATTATGATGAAGATTGAGGAGTATATCAGCAAGCAAGCCAAAGCTTCAGAAGGTGCTTCCTCCCACTCTGTGCCCCTCCCCATCTCCTGTCTCTCCTGCCAGGCCCCCTGGCTCCCTGGCTGCTTGTGGCTGGGTATATCTCCTTCTCAGCCTTTTCCAGAGCCTTCTTTTTTTTTTGTTTCACCCCAACCCGTTCCCTTTTCCACTAAATATATATTGCATTGTAAAGCTCATGCTTCTTAAGTCCTTCCTGTGTGCTGAGCTTACTGATCATGATAGGACTCAGCTTGAGGTTTCCCAGACTTCACTGATTCACATGACCGGTTACAGGGTTTTTGCCACATCTATAAGCCGCTTATCCTATTATTTGCTTAACATATTCTTTGAGTCTAGGACTTTTTTTCTTAAATTTATCTGAGAAGGAAGCAAATTGCTACCATGAATGGAAAACTGGTATCATTTGGCAAAGACAAAGTCACTGTATAAAAATAGATATATAATTATTTAGGAACCACCTAAGGCCGGGCGCCGTGGCTCACGCCTGTAATCCCAGCACTTTGGGAGGCGGAGGCAGGTGGATCATGAGTTCAGGAGATCGAGACCATCCTGGCTAACACGGTGACACCCCGTCTCTACTAAAAATACAAAAAATTAGCCAGGCGTGGTGGCGGGTGCCTGTAGTCCCAGCTACTCAGGAGGCTGAGGCGGGAGAATGGCGTGAACCTGGGAGGCGGAGCTTGCAGTGAGCCGAGATCGTGCCACTGCACTCCAGCCTGGGCGACAGAGCAAGACTCCGTCTCAAAAAAAAAAAAAATAACCTAAAACCTTTTCTCATGCCCAAATTGAGAGAACACTAGCTTATCTCATGAGTGCTCAGACTCACTCTTAAGAGGGCAGTCCTGTTACCATTCCTATTCTTTTTTTTTTTTCCTTGAGATAGAGTCTCCCTCTGTCGCCCAGGCTGGAGTGCAGTGATGTGTTCTTGGCTCATTGCAACCTCCACCTCCCGGGTTCAAGCGATTCTCCTCCCTCAGCCTTATGTATAGCTGGGATTACAGGTATGCAACACCATGCCTGGCTATTTTGTATTTTTTAGTAGAGATGGGGTTTCACCATGTTGACCAGGCTAGTCTCGAACTCCTGACCTCAAGTAATCCGCCCACCTCGGCCTCCCAAAGTGCTGGGATTACAGGCATGAGCCACTACGCCCAGCCTTCCCATTCTTCTTGAATGGAATTTGTTGATGACAGGAAGCCATAGGAGGTTTCTGGGGAAAGAAGTGTAGTGAGAGGGCAGAGTTTCGGGAGACTCACTGCTTGCTTTCTTTAACGTTTACCTGGGCACCCAGTTGAATCGCCCAGGTCTTTGCTCTCAAAGTACTCAAGGTCTAGTGGAAGAGGCAGGCCAGGTTCCAGACAGCTATCAGTGGTGGTACCAAGCTGGGGACACCGGAGCCACAGGAGGGACTGGCTGACCCTGCCCCAGGTGTCAGGAAGAATCGATAGCTGAATTGGACTGTAGAGCATGAATGCATGTGCCAGGCAAAGAAAGGGAGAAGGGGGCCCAGGGAAAGACAGCGGCAGGCCCGGGGCCTCAGATATCCGGAGAGAGAATCCTGCAGAGTTCCAGATGCCAGGCCAAGGAATTTCTCCCTCCAGAGGGTTATGGGACACAGAAAGTGACATTTCCTGATGTCAGGCCAGGCTCAGGGATGGAGTCAGACCCCGTCACACCCGGTGTCTGGTTGAGGAGGCAGAGGTGAAACATCTCACAAGCTGTGGCAGTCCCTGTTTACTGGAGGTGCACAAGTGCTGCGGGTACACAGAGGAGGCGTCTGATCCTTCCAGAAAGGGAGGGAAGGATTCTGAGTCGCTGCCTGAGTCTTAAGGACTTAAAGAGCCATTTGAGCATCAGGGTTAGGAGTGCAGACTCTGACGCCGCCCTGCCTGGTGTCAGATCTGAGCTCTGCCTTCTACTGGCTGTGACATCAGGCAGTTAGTATTTGCATGACTTTTAAACACAACATCTTTTTGTTTGTTTGTTTTTTGAGACAGGGTCTCACTCTGTCACCCAGGCCAGAATGCAGTGGCACGATCCCAGCTCACTGCAGCCTTGACCTTGTGGGCTCAGGCGTTCCTGCCTCAGCCTCCCAGGCAGCTGGGACCACAGGTGTACACCACCATGCCTGGCTAATTTTTTTTCTTTAATTATGTGTAGAGATGGGGTCTCCCTATGTCGCCCAGGTTGCTCTCCAACTCCTGGGCTCAAGCAGTTCTCCTGCCTCAGCCTCCCAAAGTGCTGGGATTACAGGTATGAGCCACTGTGCCTGACCTCTTATTACTAAAGCACAAAGAAGCGTTTTCCAGAAACAGACGTGGGGTAAGGGATGCTCTGGGGAGAGGGAGCAGCACATGCAGAGGCCAGGAGGGGTCTGGCGCGGTGGCTCACGCCTGTCATCCCAGCACTTTGGGTGGTCAAGGCAGATGGATCACCTGAGGTCGGGAGTTCGAGACCAGCCTGCCCAACATGGTGAAACCCCGTCTCTACTAAAAATACAAACAAACAAAAAAAATTAGCCGGGCATGGTGGCACATGCCTGTAATCCCAGCTACTCAGGAGGCTGAGGCAGGAGAATCGCTTGAACCCAGGAGGCGGAGGTTGCAGTGAGCTGAGATCATGCCACTATACTCTAGCCTGGGCAACCAGAGCGAAATTATGTCTCAAAAAAAAAAAAAAAAGGCTAGGAGGAGTGGGTGTCTGGGGCACTGTGATCACTCCTTTATGGCTGGAGTGGAATAAAATGAGGTGTGGTGAGAGGATGGGGCGGGAAGGGCGGGAGGCCAGACTGCAGAGCTGCTGAGTCAGCAAACAGGAACGGGGGAACTCCCTGTGTGCCAGGTGCTGTCCTGGGTACTCGGCTGTGGGTACAGCCAACGCAGGCACAGCACTGGTCCCTGCAGAGCTTCCGGAGTTGGGGAGGCCCTGAATGTCAGTCTGAGGACTCGGTCATTAGCCTTGGGGCTGTGGGGAGCCGTAGGAGGTTTCACACGGTCAGTTCTGGGGTAGATGGGGTCAAGTCTAGACTGGTGTGGAGGGAGAGGGATTGAAGGCAGGAACACAAGTTCAGGGATGTCTGCAGACATCAGCCTGTCCCTGGTTTACTCTTCAGCCCCTCCTTCCTGACCCCTCCCAACTTCATCCTCCGCCTCCTCCAGCTGCGGGACCCGAGAGGGGGTAGGGATTTAGATACTCACACCCATGCCTCCGTGTCCTCACAGTGATGGGACCAGTGGAGGCCGCGCCTGAATACCGCGTCATCGTGGATGCCAACAACCTGACCGTGGAGATCGAAAACGAGCTGAGTGAGTGCTGGGGGGCAGGCGGAGACAGCCCCGTGTGACGTCCCTCACGCCCCCTCTCCCTTCCCCACTGGCCTTTCCCAGGGTCCTGCCCCTAAGCCCAAGCTCAGATCGAGGTTGACCTGCTGTCACAGAGTGGCTGAAATAAGAAGGAAGTGCGTTCTCTCGCGTATGAGTCTGAGGAGCACTCGGGGATGGTGTGGCCGCTTGGCTGCCTGTAGGGCCCCGGCTCTTTCCATCCTGTTGGTCGGCCACCTGCCTCACGGTGCGAGGTGACTGCCCCACCTCCAGCCATCACCTCCGCATTCCCACCAGCAAGGCGCTTCTTTTCTTTAAGAACATGTCACTGCAGCTCACGTTTTACAGACCAGAACTAATTCCCCTGGTCACACCTAGCGGTAAGGACGGCTGAGAAAGGCTGTATGCTGGTGCCCGTGTGCCAGGCCACAAGCCAGGGCTTCAGTTACTAAAGGAAGAAGGGGACATGGGTGTTAGGGCCAACCAGCAGAGTCTACCTTCCATCTCACCCGACAACCTCCTGTCCCGTTTACCCTAGACATCATCCATAAGTTCATCCGGGATAAGTACTCAAAGAGATTCCCTGAACTGGAGTCCTTGGTCCCCAATGCACTGGATTACATCCGCACGGTCAAGGTGAGCGCAGAGAAGGTGGGGTGCTTCTGCTGGCGTGAAGGGGCAGGCGGGGCTCACTCTCGGACCCCCTCCCAGAGGCCTGAGGGTCTGGAGACGATGGAGAGGAGTGGACGAGGGCTCAGTGGTCTGCTCTGCCCAGCGTGGGAGGGACGGAGCCTGGACAGGACTTTCTCAGGGCTCCCCTCCAACCCCAGTCTCCCGAGAGGGCTTCCCCGCTGGCCTGACCCACGCTGCTCCCGCTGTGGTTGGAGCCGGTGGCATTGGAGTTGACATCCGAAGGTTGACACAGGGCAGGCACACGGAGATTTGGGGGAGAGAGACGTCTAAGTGCAGAGAGCTGGAGAGGGAACAAGTGGGGAGGAAGTGAGGCGGGGAAGGAGGGGACGGGGAAGAGGTCGGATCACGTCCAGCCTTTGGGTCTTAGGAGAAAGCCAAGGAAGGGTTTCGGAAAAGAGGGGCAGGTGTGCGTGAGGGCGGGGAGAGGAGGAGGTCCCCACGCATGTCCAGGAAAGGATTAGGATGGCGGTGGGGAAGCCCCTGCAGGGAAGCGAGGCCGCGGATTTGCACTCCGACTTGACGCAGGCCAGAGGCTTGTGAGGCCACAGTCTTTCCAGACGCCACTCTGCCCGGGCTCCGTTTCCAGGTCAGCGAAAGCAGGGCAGATGGTGTGGATGCTTGACGTGGTGGAGGCAGGAATGGTGTGGATGCTTCAGGCGGTGGAGGCAGGAGAGGCCCCCAGTGCAGAGACCCTGACTGTCCCAGTGTCCCTAAGAAGAGACCTGAGGAGGTGCTGAGCAAGAGAGGTTCTCGAGCCTTCCTGAGTTCCCGAGCCTCCCCTATCTTCTCTGCTCGCCCCCAGGAGCTGGGCAACAGCCTGGACAAGTGCAAGAACAATGAGAACCTGCAGCAGATCCTCACCAATGCCACCATCATGGTCGTCAGCGTCACCGCCTCCACCACCCAGGGGTATGTCCGCTTCGAGGGAGGCGCCGGGCCCTAATGGGATTGGGGATTAGGCTGGAGCTACACACGCAGGTGTACACACGCACACACACATACACACATGCACACACACACACAGAACCGAGAGGGCTGGGGCTGGGCACACCAGGCAGGCGGGAGACCCAGGAGGCTGGGCCCACCCGCCCCTGCAGGCAGCAGCTGTCGGAGGAGGAGCTGGAGCGGCTGGAGGAGGCCTGCGACATGGCGCTGGAGCTGAACGCCTCCAAGCACCGCATCTACGAGTATGTGGAGTCCCGGATGTCCTTCATCGCACCCAACCTGTCCATCATTATCGGGGCATCCACGGCCGCCAAGATCATGGGTGAGTCCCCGGGCTGGGTCCCATGGAGCGGGGGTCTGCTGACACTGTGACCTTGGGAAAGCTACATCCTTTTCTGTAGAATGGGGGCTTTGGCACCTGGACCTCAGCACCCCGTCTCCCTGGACATCACAGAGGTCAGCCAGCCTGGCACACAGCAAAGCCTCATCTGTGGGAAAAACACTCACCCACAGCTCCTTCTCCCTCCCCTGTGCCGGAAACCCAGAGATGACCACACCCAGGCCCTGTTGTCAGGGAGCTCCTGGTTTGGTGAAAATGGTTCCAAAACACAGCCATCCCTGGAACGGCGTTAGTGTGGCTTAGCACAAACGTGGTGGTCAGCTTCCTGTTGGGGGCCTCCTCCCTGCACCCCCAGGCCAGCTGCCCTCCCTCTCTGAGCCTCCTTTGCATCTGCCCCTTGCGGAATGGGCCAGGTCGCCCGCCTGGCAGGGCCATCGAGGAATCCAACCAGAACTTCATGTAAAGGTGCCCAGCACACGTCGAGCCCCCAGGCAGATTTACTCACCCCCACCTCTCTGCTTTCTTCTGACCGCCCCCCCTTCCTCCCTCCCTCCCACCGCAGGTGTGGCCGGCGGCCTGACCAACCTCTCCAAGATGCCCGCCTGCAACATCATGCTGCTCGGGGCCCAGCGCAAGACGCTGTCGGGCTTCTCGTCTACCTCAGTGCTGCCCCACACCGGCTACATCTACCACAGTGACATCGTGCAGTCCCTGCCACCGGTGAGCCCACTGCGTCATGGCCCCTCCCCCGGCCCCCCTGGAGCCTTCCGCTGTGCCCAGACAGCCTGAGCAGCCACCCACCATCTGGCCCAGCTGACGGTAGCACTCAGGAGCTGGGAACAGGGTGGCATGGGACGTGAGAGCCAGGGCTCTGCAGCAGACCAGCTCCAGCACCCACCAGTCAGGTGACTGTGGGCAAGAGGCATGAGCGCCCTGTGCCTCAGTCTCCTCCCCTATCAAATGGGAGCACAGCGCCTGCTTCATGAGTTGGGACGAGGGCTCAGTGCACATGAAGCACTTACAGTTCAGGCCTAGCTCACGACAAGCAGCGTCGGGTTAGCGTGCAACTGCTCCGAAGACCACCCTCAGGTTTGACCATTCACTAGAAAGACTCACAGAATCCACTGAGGGCTGCACATCAGCCATGGGGAGAGACACACAGGAGGGGCAGGAGAGGTCACCAACCTCGGAGCTTCCCGGGTCCTCTCCCTGCAGTCGGGACACATCACCATCCCAGCATCGACGCCTGACAGCACACACACAGGCCCGCTAGCCTGGCGGGGCGCAGTGGCTCGTGCCTGTCATCCCAGCACTTTGGGAGGCCGAGGCGGGCAGATCACCTGAGGTCAGGTGTTCGAGACCAGCCTGGCCAACATGGTGAAACCCCATCTCTACCAAAAATACAAAAAACTAGCTGGGTATAGTGGCACACACTTATAATCCCAGCTACTTGGGAGGCTGAGGCAGGAGAATCGCTTGAACCCAGGAGGTGGAGGTTGCAGTGAGCTAAGATCATACCACTGCCCTCCAGCCTGGGTGACAGAGTGAGACTCTGTCTCAAAAAAAAAAAAAAACAAGCAAGACAGGTTCTGGGACAGACAGGCCTGGGTCCAGACCCTGCTCTGTCCAACTGTGGCGAGTTACCTCAGGCTCACGGCCCTGTGCCCTGCCTGGCCTCCCCCAGGGATGGGGAGAACAATAGCACTGATGGCCAAGGCTGGGCAGGCACTTCCTGGCCCCACCCCCCAGCCCTGTGTGGGGTTTTTTTTGTGGTCTTTTCTGCGACCCTTTAGGTCAGGCACTGCTACTGGAACACACCCAGGGAGGCTGGCAGGTCACCCCATCCTGGGAGGAGAGAGAGTGGGCGATAGAACCCAGGACGGGTGGGCCTGGGGCTCGGGGCTCCAGCTGCCTCACTGCACCCCTGCCATCGCCACCGCCTCACAGCCCTGGGCATATGGGTTAAACCTGCCCCAGGGAGCCTGATGTCTTGTCACCCAGGCCTCTGCCTCTTCATTTGGCCATCTCACATCGGTCCAGGCACAGGCCGTAGACACCACAGGCCTGTAAGGGAGGCCAGGGCTGGCCATCGCTTCACTGTGGCTGACAGCTGGGCTCTGTTTGCAGTTTGGATTGGAACCCTGGCTCCATCACCTGCTGGCTGTCTCCCTGGCCACATGACTTGAAGCCTTGGTTTCCACATCTGAAAAGGGGGTGCAATGATCACACCAGCCCGATATTTGAATATTTGATGAGATGATCCGAGGGGCGTGCTTAGCATGGGGCTGGCATCCAGGCCGAGTGCACTCCCCCCGGCGTCTCCACAGTCACCACCGTCCTCGTTGTCAGCGTGCCTTACTGTCATCCTTACCTGATGGCCACTTATCAGCTGGGACATGGCTCTGTGCCCTGCCCTCATCCCCTCTTCCTGTGAAGTAGGAGCTGAGAGCACACACCTCTAGAGCCCAAGGGTGGAAAGCCCCCTTCCAGGACCCCAGGTAGAGCCAGAGGAGGAGCGCGCGCGGTTGCTTTGCTGTTACCTCTGTCTGTCTGTCTCACACAGATTCCACCCCCGTTTTCCGTTGCTCCAGGATCTGCGGCGGAAAGCGGCCCGGCTGGTGGCCGCCAAGTGCACACTGGCAGCCCGTGTGGACAGTTTCCACGAGAGCACAGAAGGGAAGGTGAGGAGGGAAAGGTGAGGGGCGGCCGGGCGTCTTTTCCTCTGGGCCTGGGGTGTCTCTGCAGGGAGACCCTCAGCAGGGAGCCCACCCCAGCGAGCACTGTCCTACCAAGGCGGAGGCAGTGCTTCTGCCCACCCTCCCTGGGGTCAGGCACCCCCTTCCCCAGTGGGGTTTCCTAGGTCTGCTGTTGGAAGGTAGCATGAACCTACTGGCTTAAAACAGTGCAGGTGTGGCCGGGTGCAGTAGCTCACGCCTGTAATCCCAGCACTTTGGGAGGCCAGGGTGGGCGGGTCACAAGGTCAGGAGTTTGAGACCAGCCTGGCCAACATGGTGAAACCCCATCTCTACCAAAATTAGCCGGGTGTGGTGGCACGCACCTGTAATCCCAGTTACTCAGGAGGCTGAGGCAGGAGAATTGCTTGAACCTGGGAGACGGAGGTTGCAGTGAACTGAGATTGCATCATTGCACTCCAGCTTGGGTGACATAGCGAGACTCCATCTAAAAACAAAAACAAAAAACAGTACAGGTTTATTATCTGTGGTCCTGTAGGTCAGAAGTCCAAAATGAGTTTCACTGGGCTGAAGTCAGGGTGTCATCCTGGAGCGTTCCTTCTGGGGGATTCAAGGGATAATCCATTCCCTGGTCTTTTCCAGCTTCTAGGGGTCACTGGCACCCCTTAGCTCGTGGCCCTCCCTCTGTCTGCGGAGCCAGCCACATAGCACCCTCAGACCTCTCTCTGACTCTGCTTCTGTCTTCATATCTCCGCCTCTGTTTTTGTTCCCCTCTTCTATTTTAAGGGCCCCTGTGGCTATACTGAGCCTACTCAGATGGTCCAGGATAGTCTTCCCAGCTCACAATCCTTAAAATCCTTCTTAACCTCTTCACGTCCCTTTTGCCCTGTGATTCTGGGAATTAGAACATGGGCCTCTTTGGGCATGTGTGTGTTGGTGGGGGCGTAATTTGCCTTCCACACCAGGATCTGTCCCCGCTGCAACAGGGGATGTTATTCAAGTAATTATTCAGTTACCTTCTGTCTTCCTTGGTAGATGTACTCGGGAGAGGAGACGTTTTCTGTCTTGTGAACTGTCGTTTGCCAAGCACCCGGCCTGGCACAGCGTTCAGGTGTTCCGTGTCCCCTTCTCCTTTCCCTCTCCCCATCTCACCCCTGGTCTGGGTGTGGGGGTGCAGCTGTGAGTAGCACAGACAGGACCCCTGCCCCGTGGCGTGGACATTCTTGTTGGGGCCGGGTCAAAGAGACAGTCAACAGGTGAACTCTGTCCTGCGTCTAGCGGTGCTAAGTCAACACCAAGAAGAAAAAGAAAGGGGGTGGCGGTGAGGCAGCATTAGGTGCTGATTTAACTAAGGCACGTGGATACTCGGGGGGCCCGCTCAGAGGAGGCCTGGGTGGGCAGCCCACGCGAGCAGCTGCAGGACCTCCCCCTCGCCCTCCCCAGGTGGGCTACGAACTGAAGGATGAGATCGAGCGCAAATTCGACAAGTGGCAGGAGCCGCCGCCTGTGAAGCAGGTGAAGCCGCTGCCTGCGCCCCTGGATGGACAGCGGAAGAAGCGAGGCGGCCGCAGGTGAGGGGCCCTGGGGGTCCGGTAGGCATGGGGGTCATGGAGGGGAGAAGCCGGCGTCCTCCTCCCAGCCGACTCCCTGGCGCCGCCCACCCACCCGTCCCCAGGTACCGCAAGATGAAGGAGCGGCTGGGGCTGACGGAGATCCGGAAGCAGGCCAACCGTATGAGCTTCGGAGAGGTCAGACTCCCAGAGCGCCCTCCTCAACCCCACAGCCAGCCAGCCGCCACCGCCCTCTGCCTCCTGCCACCGCCCCTCCTCTCGTCCTGTGGCCCTGGCTCATGTCTAGGGCGCTGCCCCAGCCTCCCCCCCCCCGGCCTCTATTCTCGTTTCCATCCGTTCAGCCCCAAAGCGACCCTCGCGACCCTTGGAGCCTGTGTCTCCGCTGCTTAGAGCCCCCGCGGCTTCCCATCGCCCCGGGCTCCTTGGCCGGTTCCTCCCTGCCCAGAGGCTCCTTAGTGCCCTGCTGCACGGCCGCCCCGTCCCTGGGCCCCGCCAGTCTCCTCTGTTATCCCAGCGTCATCCCCTTGGTCCTGCAGGACCGAACTCAGAGGCCACCTCATCCTATTAAACCTGTTCTGGTTCCTGACATCCCCCGACCCACACGAGTAAGGAAGGAATGGCCTCCCAACTCTGAGCTCACAGAGCAGTGCTGGGACCGGGCCCCTCTCAGGCTCCCCAGCATCCCCCGCGTGTGTGGGCCCCCAGGCCTCAGCCGGGCCGAGTGGGTACCGGAGCAGGTGCCCGTGGGACCGGCCGGCTGGTGACCGCTGGGCTTCGGGCTGGTGGAGGGGGTGCCTCGGTGGCTGGAGGGCAGGGCCTGGTCGCTGAACTGCAGGGCGCCTCCTCTCCCCCCTAGATCGAGGAGGACGCCTACCAGGAGGACCTGGGATTCAGCCTGGGCCACCTGGGCAAGTCGGGCAGTGGGCGTGTGCGGCAGACACAGGTAAACGAGGCCACCAAGGCCAGGATCTCCAAGACGCTGCAGGTATGGGCCAGACCCAGGTGGGGCTGGGGACCGAGGGACACAAGGTGGGGGGAGCCCAGATCGCAGCCTCCCTGTCCTCCCCACAGCGGACCCTGCAGAAGCAGAGCGTCGTATATGGCGGGAAGTCCACCATCCGCGACCGCTCCTCGGGCACGGCCTCCAGCGTGGCCTTCACCCCACTCCAGGTACCTCCCCTGGGCCGGCTCTGTCCCCAGCCCTGAGACCTTGGCAAGGCCCCTTGCCCTCTGCCCCTGTGAAGAAGGCCAGGATGAGTCTCCTCATGGGGCTGTTGTGGAGGGTGTGGTGACGAGGTATGCAGAGGACGTAGACAGCTCCTGGCACACAGGAAGAGGTTAGCAGAGACGAGAGCCCAGCGCTGAGCAGTCCTCGTGAGCACGCACTGCTTTAGAACCAGGCCCACAGCTGTGTTCAGGGCACCCAGTTCCTCTGTCGGGCTGTGAGCGGGTAACACTGCTCAGCCTCCAGGCCCTCCAGTTCAAAACGGCCAGGACGGTTAAGGTAACCTCAGGACCCCACTCGAGAAAGTTCCCGGCTAGGCGGGCTTGGATGTCAAGTGTGGGTCCAGGCCCCAGCCAGTCAGCAGTGAGCAGCGTGGAGCATGGCAGTCACCGCATCGTCGGAGCCTCGGTTTACCATCCACAGAGCAGGGCGAGCCTGCACCACGGAGGCGAGACAGCAGCGAGCTCATCTGCCCAGTCAGCGGGTGTCTACGCAGCACCTGCTGAGTTCTGTCAGTGTTCCCGGCTCTGGGGATGAAGCAACGAATGAGAGACAAGTCTTACCTTCTTGGAGCCAGTGGGTGGCCGGGCGCAGACAGCTCAGTAAGATGTCCAGTGTAGGAGAAGGCAGAAATGCCAGGCCGGGCGCAGACAGCTCAGTAAGATGTCCAGTGTAGGAGAAGGCAGAAATGCCAGGCCGGGCGCAGACAGCTCAGTAAGATGTCCAGTGTAGGAGAAGGCAGAAATGCCAGGCCGGGCGCAGACAGCTCAGTAAGATGTCCAGTGTAGGAGAAGGCAGAAATGCCAGGCTGGGCGCAGACAGCTCAGTAAGATGTCCAGTGTAGGAGAAGGCAGAAATGCCAGGCCGGGCGCAGACAGCTCAGTAAGATGCCCAGTGTAGTAGAAGGCAGAAATGCCAGGCCGGGCGCGGTGGCTCACGCCTGTAATCCCAGCACTTTGGGAGGCCGAGGCAGGTGGATCATGAGGTCAGGAGATCGAGACCATCCTGGCTAACACGGTGAAACCCCGTCTCTACTAAAAATACAAAAACTTAGCCGGGCGTGGTGGCGGGCGCCTGTAGTCCCAGCTACTTGGGAGGCTGAGGCAGGAGAATGGCGTGAACCCGGGAGGCGGAGCTTGCAGTGAGCCGAGATCGCGCCACTGCACTTCAGCCTGGGCGACAGAGCCAGACTCTGTCTCAAAAAAAAAAAAAAGAAGGCAGAAATGCCAGGGAGGGGAGGAGGTGGAAGGTAGGAGGTGGGACAGGGGAGGCTCTCGTTTCGGAGCAGCCAGGGAGGGCCTCTTTGAGAAGATGAGGCCAGTGGCTGTGCCTTTCCAAGCCTCCCCTCCTCCATCATGAGGTGCTCAGGACTGAAAAGAACGCACAGGAAGCACTTGGCACTGGGCTCACCATTAGAGCCCAATGACTGGGTCCTGTTATTATTTTTAGAGACGGGGGCTCGCTCTGTTGCCTTGAAAATATTTAGGAAGTGCCAGCCAGGTGTTGGCTCCCATTGCTGCCACTATGATCGTCAGTGGTGTTGGTGTGATTTGTGCTAGGACCTCGGGCCAGCCATGTCCCCCAGGGACTCAGTTTCCTTATGCAGAAACTGGGCAGGATTGGCTGTCCTCAAGCATTGGTTGTTTTTAGCACCCCTGAGGAACTTCGTACAAATCCAGGCGCCCTGGTTCCTCCCCACCCTCTCCCTCTAGACCCACTGAGTCAGAATCTCCCAAGACAGGGCAACTCCAGGGACAGGCAAACTGTCTCATGCCCACCAAGGCCTGAGTGCCATGGGGAAGGGCCTGGGGGGCTCTGATGGGTCACAGTTGGGGCCTTCTCCTCACCTAACCCATCATCCTCTCTCCCTCACCTGCCCAGGGCCTGGAGATTGTGAACCCACAGGCGGCAGAGAAGAAGGTGGCTGAGGCCAACCAGAAGTATTTCTCCAGCATGGCTGAGTTCCTCAAGGTCAAGGGCGAGAAGAGTGGCCTTATGTCCACCTGAATGACTGCGTGTGTCCAAGGTGGCTTCCCACTGAAGGGACACAGAGGTCCAGTCCTTCTGAAGGGCTAGGATCGGGTTCTGGCAGGGAGAACCTGCCCTGCCACTGGCCCCATTGCTGGGACTGCCCAGGGAGGAGGCCTTGGAAGAGTCCGGCCTGGCCTCCCCCAGGACCGAGATCACCGCCCAGTATGGGCTAGAGCAGGTCTTCATCATGCCTTGTCTTTTTTAACTGAGAAAGGAGATTTTTTGAAAAGAGTACAATTAAAAGGACATTGTCAAGATCTGTCCTTGGGGAGTGATCATTTTTCAAACAGCCGGGGCAACTAGAAGAATCAGAGCTGTGGAGCTTTGAGAAAAGAGCTTGGCCCTCGGGTCCAAGCGGTGTCTAGGCCCACTCCCTTCCCCGTTACTTTCTCGTCATGGGATCCCAGAAGGAAAAAGCCCTCTCCAACCCCCTGGAGAGCCGCAGTCACTTTGATAGCAAATGATGTGGCTGCCAACAGCCGCAGATCTCAGCGCAGGCCGACCGGGATTGCTGTCCACCTCAGGCCAGCCTCCTCACCTTTCCAAGCCTCCACACCTACGCCCAGGTGCCCAGGACTGGAAAGAATGCACAGAAAGCACTTAGCATGGGACTTGCCATCAGCGCCCTATAACCAGGTCCTGTTATGATTGGGTTTTTTAGAGACGGGGTCTCTGTTGCCCAGGTTGGAGTACAGTGATGCGATGAAGCTCACTAAAGCCTCAAACTCCTGGGCTGGGATTACAGGCATGAACCAGCACAGCTGGCCTCCTGGTTAATTTAAATTTTTTTTTTTTTTCTGAGGTGGAGTCTCGCTCTGTTGCCCAGGCTAGAGTACAGTGGTGCAATCTTGGCTCACTGCAACCTCTACCTCCCGGGTTCAAGCAATTCTCCTGCCTCAGCCTCCTGAGTAGCTGGGATTACAGGCATGTGCCACCATGTCCCGCTAATTTTTATAGTTTTTAGTAGAGACAGGGTTTCGCCATGTTGGTCAGGCTGTTCTCGAACTCCTGACCTCATGATATGCCCACCTCAGCCTCCCAAAGTGCCAGGATTACAGGTGTGAGCCACCACCCCAGCCCCATTTTTAAATTGTTTATAGACAGGGTCGTGCTCTATTACCCAGGCTGGGCTTGAACTCCTGTGCTCAAGTGAGCTTTCCACCTCAGCCTCCCTAAGTGTTGAGATTACAGGCTTGAGCCGCTGTGTCTGGCCTCTTATTATTATTATTATTTTTTTTTTTGAGACAGAATCTCACTCTGTTGCCCAGGCTGGAGTGCAGTGGGATGATCCTGGCTCATGGCAACCTCCACCTCCCGGGTCCAGGTGATTCTCCTGCCTCAGTCTCCTGAGTAGCTGGGATTACAGGCGCCCATGGGTTTTGTTTGTTTGTTTGTTTGTTTGTTTGTTTGTTTTTCAGACGGAGTCTTGCTCTGTCACCCAGGCTGGAGTGCAATGACATGGTCTTGGCTCACTGCAAACTCCGCCTCCCAGGTTGAAGTGATTCTCCTGCCTCAGCCTCCCGAATAGCTGGGATTACAGGCGCCCGCCACCACGCCTGGCTAATTTTGTATTTTTAGCAGAGACGGGGTTTCACCATTTGGGCCAGGCTGGTCTTGAATTGCTGACCTTGTGATCTGCCCGCCTCGGCCTCCCAAAGTGCTGGGATTACGGGTGTGACCCACCGCGCCCGGCCGAGATGGGGTTTTACCATGTTGGCCAGGCTGGTCTCGAACTCCTGACCTCAACTAATCCGCCTGCCTCGTCTCCCAAAGTGCTGGGATTACCCTGTGCCTGGCCCAGCCTCTTATTTATAACCAGTGTTGAGGGACTGTGTGGAGCCGGGCACAGGCGAAGCAGGCAGGCTTCCTGCCCTGGTAGGACCTGGTTGCTATAAAAGTCCTGCCAGGTGAGCAGAAGGAGCACACTTCCCCTCCCCTGACCTCCAGTCACTGAGTCTCGGGAACCGGGGCTCGGCCAGGAGCGCCTTTACTTGGACTGAGGGGAATGTGGCCTGCAGACAGTCAGGAGAGTTTCCAGGGGACAGCAGGGGCTGTCCTAGCGGGTGGCATGAAACCGTCTCCCTGGAGAGGTTAAGGAAGAGCAACTCCAGGGGTTCCATTTACTATGTGCTCCGGAGCTGGGCTACACGGTGGTACTAAGGAGGCAGCGCTAGTCACCTGACCTACAAGGTCGGGCTTCTGTTAGTTACCTAAGAGATGTTACCAGGACAAGCAGCAGCCTGGTGGGAAGATGATGCCTCCAGGTCTCTACCTCCTCTCTCTCTCCCTCCTTCTCTCCACCTCCCCTCTCTCTCCCTCCCTCTCTCCACCTCCCCTCTCTCTCTTCCTCCCTCTCCACCTCCCCTCTCTCTCTCCCTCCCTCTCTCCACCTCCCCTCTCTCTCTCCCTCCCTCTCCACCTCCCCTCTCTCCACCTCCCCTCACTCCACCTTCCCTCTCTCCACCTCCCCTCCCTCTCTCCACCTTCCCCTCTCTCCCTCCCTCCCTCTCTCCACCTTCCCTCTCTCCTCCCCTCTCCCCCTCCCTCCCTCTCTCCACCTTCCCTCTCTCCACCTCCCCTCTCCCCCTCCCTCCCTCTCTCCACCTCCCCTCTCCCTCCCTCTCTCTCCTCCCCTCTCCCTCCCTCCACCTCCCCTCCCTCTCTCCACCTCCCCTCCCTCTCTCCCTCCCTCCCTCCCTCTCTCCACCTTCCCTCTCCCTCCCTCCACCTTCCCTCTCCCTCCCTCCACCTTCCCTCTCCCTCCCTCTCCACCTTCCCTCTCTCCTCCCCTCTCCCTCCCTCTCTCCACCTCCCCTCTCTCCCTCCCTCCCTCCCTCTCTCCACCTTCCCTCTCTCCCTCCCTCTCTCCACCTTCCCTCTCTCTCTCTCCCTCCCTCTCTCCAGCTCATGCTATCTGGGTCTCCCTCTGACTTTCTAGGTCCTGTCTGAGATTTTGCTCTTTCTGTTCCCCTCTCTGGGCCTCCCCGTCACCACTCTGTGTATCTCTGGATCCCTGTCCTTCAACCCAGAGCTCTGTCTCTGGACCTCAGTGGCAATCTCTAAATCTCTCTCCTTCCTCAAGTCAAAAAGTCGACACACTCAGGAGGTTCCCTTGAGTGGCTGAACTACCCCAGGTTGTATAACTCAAGTCTGTTTTCTCAATGTTATCCCTGACCCTCTGGGTCAACCCTGTTTGAAAATGACAACCTTTGCTGATCTCTACATACTGGTCTGCCAGGGAAGGACCCGTGGTCCACAACCCTGTTCAGAATCCCCCATCTCCCTTGGCCAAAATATCCGGCATCTACCAATGGGGCTGTGGCATGAGGGTGTCAATCTCAGGAAAGGAATCTTGAGTCGCCTGGGCCTGCAGCCCTCGTACTTTCAGAACAGAGGTTCTCAGAATTTAATGCGCTTCAGAATTACACTGAGGACTTGTTAAAACATAGTTGCTGGGCCCAGAGTTTCTGATTCAGTCTAGGGTGGGGCTCAAAAATGTGCCTTTCAAACAAGTTCCCAGGTGATGGGTACGTGCCTGACCCAAGGCCACATTTCAGAAGCACTGCTCTAGAAAAGAAGACTCTGTAAGCGGCTCTTACGCTGGGCGCGGTGGCTCACGCCTGTAATCCCAGCTACTTGGGAGGCTGAGGTGGGAGAATGGCTTGAACCTGGGAGGCAGAGGTTGCAGTGAGCCGAGATGGCGCCCCTGCACTCCAGCCTGGGTGAGAGAGACACTGGCTCCCACCTCAAGATCGTTTTAGTTGGTCCAGTGTAAGCCTGGGTATCTGGACTTTTTTATTTTTTATTTTTATTTTTTGAGACGGCGTCTTGCTCTGTCACCCAGGCTGGAGTGCAATGGCGCAATCTCGGGTCACTGCAACCTCTGCCTCCCAGGTTCAAGTGATTCTCCCGCCTCAGCCTCCCGAGTAGCTGGGATTACAGGCACATGCCACCATGCCCAGCTAATTTTTGTATTTTTAGTAGAGACGGGGTTTCACCATGTTGGCCAGGCTGGTTTTGAACTCCCTACCTCAGGTGATCCGCCCACCTCGGCCTCTGAGAGTGCTGGGATTACAGGTGCAATGGCGCAATCTAGGCTCACTGCAGCCTCTGCCTCCCGGGTTCAAGTGATTCTCCCGGCCCGGCCTGGCCTCTAATTTAAAAAAAATTTTTTTTTTTTAAAGTTCCTCAGGTAGGCCAGGCGCAGTGGCTCACGCCTGTAATCCCAGCACTTTGGGAGACTGAGGCGAGCGGATCACCTGAGGTCAGGAGTTCGACACCAGCCTGGCCAACATGGTGAAACCCCGTCTCTACTAAAAATACAAAAATTAGTCGGGCGTGGTGGCGGGCGCCTGTAATCCCAGCTACTCGGGAGGCTGAGGCGGGAGAATCACTTGAACCCCGGGAGGCAGAGGCTGCAGTGAGCCTAGATTGTGCCACTGCTCTCCAGCCTGGGGGACAAGAGCAAGTCTTCGTCTCAACAACAACAACAATAACAACAAGTTCCTCAGGTGACTCTGATGTGCAGCCAAGTTGGAAAGTCATCGCTAGATCCGCGGTGTGCAAAGTGAACTGCGGACCGTGGACTGCGGCACTTGTTAGAAAAGCAGAATTTGCATTTTAACACATTCCTAGGTGATTCCGGAGATGTCTGAGAAGCGATACTTTGTCCAGGGGCCACAGTTTGAATAGCAAAGCTCTAGAACAATAACTCTAGGCTTCATTCCCGTTGTCTGTGTGTGGGCCTACGAATATGCATTTTCGCAAGCATTCCTCCTCCCCCTTGCCTCAGACCATTCTGATGCGGGTGGTGCTGAACGGCTCCATCCTCCTTCACGTTCACCTCTCCCTGGGATTTATCTTACTTTCCACCACCTAGACAGGAAGGGGCGAATCTGGCTTCCCATCTCGGTTGTGTGACCCTGGGCAAATGCCTCCCAGTTCGTGGAAGTCTCAGTGTCTAGTTAAGTTTTCAATCACAAGTCATTCCTCACATTCATTCATCTATTCCTTTGACAAATGGTTACTGACTACTTCCTGCGTGCTAAGTGCTGGAGATGCAAAATCCAGACAGGGAAACCGAATAATTACGAAAATGACGGTAGACGTACAAAAATAAATCCTAACGAACAAGGCGCGCAGGAGCGCTCCGCCCGGGAGGGAGGTCAGGGAAGTTTTCTCTCCAAGAAGACAACAGAGCTGAGACCTGAAACGAGCAGGCATTAGGGAGCCACCCGTCTCCTCTGTACCTTCTGCAGCGTCCTCAACACACTAAGGAAGCGGAGACGCAGAGGAGAATGACTGTCCCACCATCTGGTCGCCTAACCAGGCAGGGGCAGGACAAAAACTCCATGCCTCACGCTTCCCAACCAATTCTGCTATGCACGGTGCCAGAGACTTAAAGCAGTGTCTCTGGTCCCTTTCTTCTTTCACTCAGCAAATAATGAATTTCAGAGATGTGCCAACATAGAGGCACTTGGAGAAAGACGAGGCAGCTGAGAGGGAAGCTGCTTACCTGGCCGGGACGCAACGGTTGCGACCAAGTCCCACTTCTGCCAGCTACATACACCCTCTTTCACACGCTCTACGAGCAGCTACCGCCCACTCGCCACGCTATTGGTCCAACTAGCATGAATGATAACTTTTAGGGCCAACGAAGAAAAAGGGGTGGACTTTCTTGCCCAGCTCCTCCCACTTGGCCCTGTGGCTGTTTTGATTGGCAGATGACTTCGGCTCGGCCCCCGCTTTAAAGGCACCTGTCTGTCTCCCATTAGGTACGCGGCCCCTAACGCCCACACTCCATGCCTTCCTCCGCTTTCCCCACCCACTTCCAGGACCAACCAATGACTTCAAGGCAGAATATGCCCCCGCAACCAATTAAAAAGAGCTCTAAACTTGACGGACGACTTCCCGCCCCTGGACTGTCGTAGCTCCTCCCCCAGACCAATTGTTTTAAGAGAGGGGGGCGGATACATCCAATCAGCACGACACAGGTCTCTTGATTGACGTTCGGGTCCTCGCGCTGGCGTGTTGTGCCCTGAGGCGGGAGGAGGAGGAGGAGCGGGGAGGAAAACCTGAGCCAATCCTAGCAGCCTGCGCGGGAGGCCAATCGAACGCCGCGCCTTGGAGCGATCACCCAATCCGCGAAAGGGGGCAGGGCGCATCCCTGCCAGGAACCAATAGAAAGCCTCCAAGGGTCAGGAGCGACGTTCAGCGGGAGCAATGACTGGCCTATATTCGGGACTCGGGGGCGGGTCGGCGCCAGAGACGAGAAGAGAGGAGGGGAGGCCTCCTCCGCCGCCGCCATCTTGGACCGGGCCCGGTCAGCTTCCGCGGAGCCATCGGCAGACGCCGCGGCCTCCCTTGAGCCCCGACCCCCGTCGTCAGAACAACCCCGGGCCCACTCCCCCAACCCCACTTCCGCTTCGCGCCGCTATCGCGATAGCGCCCGGGCCCGGGGCGCGAGAAAAAGGCGGCGGGCGCTCGCCTCCCCCGCCTGTCGCGATACGCTCCTCAGCGGCGGCGCCAGCTCCTGTGGTGAGAGCGTCAGGCTCGACTGGGCCGGACCCCTTCCCTTCCTCCCCCCGGCGCCATCGGCCGCCCTCCCCGCCGCCTCCCGCCCTGGCGACACCGCCGTCTGTCGCGACATGGCCTCCCCTCGCCTGCCCCCTGCCGCCGCCTCTGCAGCGCGGGGCTCCCGGCGGGGGGCGGCTCCCTCCCTCTCGCCCTCCCGTTCCTGCGCCTCTTTCACGTTCCTCAGCGCCTCCCGGGGGTCCTTCCGCGACCCGGACCCCGGGCCCCGCCCGCCGCCGCCTCCCCGCGTGGCATCGCGTCGGGCCCCCCGGTAGGGGTGTGAGGGTGCGAAGCCTCCCGGGCGCGAGGTGCCCGCCCCTCTCCGCGTCGGTATTGGCTCCTGGCTGGAAGGATGGAGGCGCCCCTGGTCCCAGGTGCCCGCCCTCTCGGGGCTCAGGTGCCTGCCCCCCTCGGCCTCGGTCCTTCGCGTTGTGGGGCAGCCTCCGCGCCGGGGCTTCTCCCTCGACGGTGGCGGGGAGGGGGGGTGGTGGTCGGGACGAGGACCCCAGCTGGGTGGGGGAGTCACCCTTCCCAGGACCGAGGCCGCCCTCCGCATCCCTCCTCACTGCTCCCGGGAGCGCAGCCTCCCCTGGATCTCAGGTTCCAGCTGCCCGTCTGTATCGGATGGGAGCCTCTTGGGAGAGGAGTGGAGGAGAAACTCCCCGTTAGTTGGAGCCTTTGCCGAAGTTTCCACCTCTGTAGTCTGCAGCTCTTCCCTCTCATAGCGAGTAGCGCCCTGGGTGGCTCCAGCCTCGCCATCCCGCTGCACTGGGCGCCTGCCTTTTTGGGGGAGTTTGGCTTTCCCCCACCTGGGGTACAGGACCGTCCTCAGTGTGGCCCACGTCTGGTCTCAGCTCTCACACTTCTTTGATCCTGGCGTCTGCCCCTGGCTTTGCAGCCTTGAACTCCCCTGCATCGTGACTCTCCGACCTTCTGGGTGTGGGCGTCTCCCAGTGATATCAGGACCACTGTGGTCTTGTTGCTGGGGGCTGCTGGGATCCCCTGGCGCTCAGGTGCCTGGTGAAAGACACTAAGCCGCCACGCTGTCCATGTTAGTGAGCTCCCACTGCGGGCAGCACCAGCCCCTCTTTCTGAGCAGTCCCTGCCTCTCAGTGCAGGGCGGCCACCCACCCCGGGGTGAGCTCTCCTGTCCTTTTGGTGAGGGGTTTTGATGTCTCCCCTCCCTCCCTTCACCCCTGCCTGAGTATGAGGCTTCTTCCATCTTCACACCAGTCTCCTCCTTTAGGGTGTCAGCTCTCCAAGGACCAAGAAGCCCACTGCCCTTGATATTTGCATCAGATCCCACACTGTGGGTTTGTTGACTTCCCATCTACCCTTACGCTGGGTGTCAGCAGTTGGAGAACAAGGGTTTCGCCTTCTGGCCCCGCTGCTGGTACCCCATGAGAGTAGGAAGCTTCCTAGACCCGGGTTCCTGTACTGCGAGGTGGGGGCTCTTCCCTCTGGGGCTGTGCCTTCTCTCCAGGGTAAGGACCCTTTCTTGGTGTCACCTCCCCCAGGGATAAGGTTCTTGCCATCCTTGGTATTGGTATGGCTGCTTTTCTGGATTTGAGGTGTCCACGCCTCTGCATGTGTCCCCACCGTAAGGCTGAGGACCCCTCTCGGATGCAGGTGCCCCCGGCTAATGCTTCCAAAACCCCCTCTTGATTTGTCACTGTATGGGGTAAGGCATAGTTTCCTGGCTGTGTGGATGTAAGATACCTGAGTCTCAAGCGGGAGACTCCACTGTAGACCCTGTCCCTGGGACCAGAGACTTCTCTGGTGTAGACTTTCCAAGGTGGGAGATTCCAGCCCCCCACCCTTGGCATGGGGCATCTCAGTGGAGATGACTACCTCTACCCCAGGCCCTAACGCATCCTTCTTCTGGAGTCTCAGAGCCTCTGTGTGGCCACGTCAGCAGCCACCTGGGTTAAGGATCACCCTTCAACATCACTTCTCAGAGCTCCTTGCTGCAGAGGCGGAAGCTCTCCCAGATCAAAGGTGCCTCATGACAAAGACCACTCTGTGGGCACATGACGGCCCCCAAGGTTAAGGACCACCCGGTGTTAGTTTCCCAGGGCTGACCTCCTGCCCCTCCCTCCTCGAGTCTTTGTGTGGTGGTATCATCTTCCCTGAGATGAAGTCTGGGGGGCTCTTCTTTACTGGTTTTGGCTCTGATTTTAGCGTGTTGGCTCCTGTGAGGCTGGTGTCCTGCTCACCTCCCCCCACCCCGCCACCCGCCTTGTGGGTCCCTTCCCTGTGGGGATGTGTGTTCCTCTTGGGTAAGTCTCCTCCTGGGCCGAGGTTCCCAGATTCCTCAGTGCTCTTGGAGAGCCTTTGCTGCTGGAGCACAGGTTCTTCACGCCTGAGAGTGGACCTGCGATCACCACCTTCCTTGGAGGATCTTGGTGGATGCCCCCCTGACTACAGCAAATGGGGCTCTTTCTTCTCTGGCGGCGTCTCTGCTTCGAGACTCAGGCTCCAGCTTCCCTTCTCTCTGGTCCTTTGCTGGGGGGACCAGAGGTACAGATACCCTCATGATATAGGGATTTTCTTAGCGGGGAAGGTGTTGTCTCTACTGTGGCTAAGGCTCCAGCCTCTCTAGGGGACAAGTACCCTGGGCCTCTGGCACTTGCCCCTTCTCTGTGGAGGAGCTGCCTCCTCACTGGGTCTCAGCTGTAGCCGACTTCGATGTCACACTGTTCTGTCTGAAACATCACCTCCCTGGGTTAGCGCTCTTGTTCCCCTCCTCCTGGCTTGTGACCCCTCCAGGACTTCCTTCTCTTGCTGCCACAGTGTGGTCTCCTGTCTGTGGGTATTCTTCCTCTGCACTAGGATACCAGTCCTTTCCGTGTGGAGACACAGGGAGGGCGTCACCTGCCTAAGGTGTTGATTGCCTTGTTTAGGGGTGTAGACCATGAGACCTCTTCTCTCTCTGGGCTGGAGCACCTGCCCATGACCCTCTGTTGGGTTCTTGGGATGGAAAGAGGGAGTGTAAACTCTCGTTTCACATTCTTGTTCCCCCTATGCAGTAAGAGGCTTTTCTGTGTTGGGGTGTTGGACTTTGGTGAGGATCCCTGCACACCTGAGCTCTGGTGTCCAGGCCCTTGCCTTGTGTGAGCTCCCTGGGTCAAAGAGGCTTTCCCCTCCTCAGCCTGAATCCCCACTGTGGCACCTTCTCCTGGGTCCTTTTGTTGGTTGCTTTGCCTTCTTAGAGATTCCCCAGGTAGGGCGTGATAGCTGACCTGGGCGGGGGCTGCTGCGGCTTTCTTTAGGTTGGGCCTTTTACTGAGGAGATTTAAATTCCCTCAAGTGTAAGGTAGCACCCCTACCTATTATCACCCAGAATGGGTCCCTGCGGTGTTGGGAAAATTCTCCCTGGGGGTAAGGTACCAGCCCTGTCCTTTGTGGGCTTCTTGTTCTAAAGCATATCCGTCCCATATGGTTGCTGCTAGTCACATGTGGTGATTAGTAACTAGTTAAAAATGAAAAATTCAGTTCCTCCATTACACTTGCCACATTTCAGATGTTCAGTGGCCAACAGATATGCGCAAATAGAGTGTTTCCAGCATTGCAAAGTTCTGTTGGATAGCACTGTTTGCCAGATGTTCCCTTCTTTGTGGGTGAGGACTCTTTTGGTGTGACTTCCCTCTGTATTGAGGCTCTTGTTCCTCAGTATGGGGCTGTTTCTGTCTTTACAGTAAGTGACTACTCCAGGGTTCCCTGCCCTGCACACGTAGAGTGGGAGCGGCCCGTGGATCCCAGGGAACTGTGCTTTTCATTGTAGGCCCCCTCCCTGGAGGGGAAGAGGGCAATCTCCGCTGGTATCTCAGAAGTCTTCTTCTGAGGCATAAGCCTCTCTTCCCAGGGCTCCCCTGGTCTCGCTGTCAGGCCCTAAGGTATGTCTTCCCTTGGACTAAAGCTCCTTGGAACTCCCTTTTGACCTCAGTCTTCTCTGGGTTCCAGGTAACTTCCTTTAAAATAAAGACGCTCCTCTCTTGAAGTTTTGGGTTCCTGCCCTGATGGTCTATGTCTCCCTGACTCTAAATTACCAATCCACTTGCTATGGGATTCCTCCGTGAGTGCAGATCGGCTCCCTCACAGCTGCGGTACCTTTGCACCCTCTTATCTTAGTAAGATTTCTGTCTTCTCCCAGGTCTCTCTTGGGTACTGCCTTCTGCCCCCAAATCTCTAAGCCTTCTTGGTATTAGCTTCTTTGGGTTAGGAGTGTTATTTCCTTTTGGTTTAAGGATCCTGCTCTGGAATAAATGTCTTGGTGGTTTGAGTCCCTTCTACTTGGCATTCAGCCCTGTCTGCATGAGCGGGTTCAGCTCTTCACAGCTTTCGGCATCTCTGCTCGCCGTCGTTTTCCCCCACCCCCAATCTTTCTTCTCCTACCTACAGCTTACACACACACACACACACGCCCTTCTCTGTGAGCTGCCAGTTTCATTTGTCTCCTGACTTGTCTGAGGGATGACCTCTCCTAGCCACCTCTGCCCAGCCCCTCTGAGTAGGAAGTGTGATCTCCAGGGCTAATGCCTCCATCCCAGTCATCAGCTGTGTGCAGCATGACTGTCCTGCTCTGAAAAACCTTTTTGAGTGTATTCTGGGGAGAAGGTACTCCATGCTCTAGGAATTTTCCACTTCCTGAGTCAGAGGCACACAAAAAAGTATGTAACTTTTCTTGTTTCAACAAACTTATGGGGTCCCCTGTTGGCCAGACACTATGCTGGGCAGTCAAGCGAGCATCAGGAGAACTGGGGCTGGTCTCTTGTCAGATAGCAAATGCTTCTTCTCTTTACCAGTCCCACCTACCTCACTATGCTGACTAGGTCCATGTCTCTGGGTTTTTACCAGCCAGGGAATACGTGTTAATTCCTCTCCAATCTCTCCTAGCAGCGTCCGTCTCCAAGAGAGTATGAAGAGAGTGCGTCTGTAGGGCAGGGAAGATGGCGGACAAGCGCAAACTCCAAGGTACTAGACTGACTTCCTGCTGCACCTGTAGCCACATGCTCCCTCTTCTGAGGACTGCTCTTTAGATACCTGCCACCTGGGCAGGATTCTCACAGCCTTGTTCCTCCCTGGCCAGGTGAGATTGATCGCTGCCTCAAGAAGGTGTCCGAGGGCGTGGAGCAGTTTGAAGATATTTGGCAGAAGGTACAGGGGCTGAGACCCTAATAATCTGGGTCTTCAGAGAGGAGGGCACAGGAAGGCGGCTCAGGACCTCTGGGTGTTGACCAGCGGGAGGGGCTACATATGCAGATGCTGAGGACCTAAGAGAATCAGCTCTAAGATGGATTGGGGGTAGGGGTTGGGGGGGGTCCTCGAGTCCCTAGCATAAGGAAGAATCACTGGAGTGGGTACTGGGACATCCCCTCCCACACTGACTTCTCAATTCTCTCCATCCCTCAGCTCCACAATGCAGCCAACGCGAACCAGAAAGAAAAGTATGAGGCTGACCTAAAGAAGGAGATTAAGAAGCTACAAGTGAGGGGGCTGGGGGCCTGGACGCCTTTGTCCTGAGGGTAGAGGGAACTGGGAGAGTGGACTGCTGGGTCCCAGGGAGAAGGAGCTGTGGGCCCCAGTTCCTGGGTCCTGAGGTCTGACTTTCTTGCTTTTCCCATCTGCAGCGGCTGAGGGACCAAATCAAGACATGGGTAGCGTCCAACGAGATCAAGGACAAGAGGCAGCTTATAGACAACCGCAAGCTCATTGAGACGGTAGGAGCCCAGAGCCTGAGTCCCAGAGAGGTGGGAAGGTCACCAGATTCTTGAGATCCCAAGGGGCGGAGGCAGAGCGGCCAGACCCCAGAGGTCCTCAAGAGAAGTAAGGTTTCTGCACCTAAGGGAAGTGAAGAGGCAGCGGACTCAGAGCTCAGAAAGTAGGGTCACGAGGCTCAGGTCGGAGTGTCTGCTGGCCCTTAGTCAGCTCCTTTCCCACCTTTGAGAGCCCCCCTGCCAACTGCACTCTCTACAGCAAATGGAACGGTTCAAAGTTGTGGAACGAGAGACCAAAACCAAAGCTTACAGCAAAGAGGGCCTGGGCCTGGCCCAGAAGGTAGATCCTGCCCAGAAGGAGAAGGAAGAGGTTGGCCAGTGGCTCACGGTGAGTTGGGGTAGAGAAGAGGAGGTGAACTCTGAGGATCCTGAGCCCTGGGTGTAGGCGGAACCCTAGCTGATGGGCTTCCTCTTCCTCTCCCTCCCCTAGAATACCATCGACACGCTCAACATGCAGGTGGACCAGTTTGAGAGTGAAGTGGAGTCACTGTCAGTGCAGACACGCAAGAAGAAGGGCGACAAGGATGTGAGTGAGGGAGACCCGACACCTTTGGGATGGGGATGGGCATGGGAATGGGCTGGCCAGCAGGAGGCCAGTCATTTATGCTCCTGGGAGTTGGGGCCTGGATTCCTCAGGCGGACAGGGCCAACAGCCGGGATTAGGGATTTGAGAGACAGGATTGGGAGGGCTTAGCAGCTGCACGCGTGGGGCAGGAAGGAGGTCAGACAGAATCTCAGGGTCCCCTGGGTGTCTGGGTAGACCGTGGGGCCTTTGTGAAGAGGAGCGACTTGGGGGAAGGTGAGTGCAGGTTGAGCTTGGGCCACAGAGTAAAAGTGAGACCTGAAGGACACCCATGGCAAGAGGCCTCCTGGCACCCAGAGGGCCCTGGTCCTAGGGAGAGCACAGTGGGTAGAGACAAGGCAGAACATGGAGAAGGCAGAGAACCAGGCCTGAAGGAAGACAGGAGTCTGGGACAAAGCTGGATGTTGGGGTCCCAGGTTCTAAAATCCGGGATTGTGGGGTATGAGTTCAAAGGGATACAAACTGTACAGACTTGCTGAAACCAGAAAGACAGGGAGGGGAGAGCCGGGTCCTCAGGGAAGCTGTGGGTGGGAGAGGGTCAGGAAGTGGAAGATGACAGGGTTGGGTGTCAGACTCTGAGGGGTTTGGGAACCAGGGGCTTTCGGGGAGATGATGGGTCCTTGAACAGAGCAGAGATTTGGAACCAAGGCTAAGATGTTAAATCCTAAAGGGGCCTTGAGGGGAGGGCAGGAGCGAGGCTTAGGAATCTGGGCTCTCTCAGGGATAAATGGGTAGGGTTGGGGGCCTAGTGATGACAGATATCACAATTCTAAACAGCAAGCTCCTCACAAATGGGGGTTATCATTGTTACTGCTGGAGCAGGTCGGAGGGTATCTGTATGCCAGAGGCAGTCACAGTGGTGGGCGGGCTCAGTTGAGAAATCTGGGCTGTCAGGTGAGGTGCAGATGGAGGCCAAGTCGTGGGATGGCACAAGGACCTCTGGGTCTTTTAGAGGTTTCCAAGGACTCCTGGAGCCAGAAAGGTGTGGGGAGAGGAGGGAGCAGTGGGATCCCAAGATGTCAAGGCTAAGATTGGTCCCCACAGGGCTCAGAGGGTGGGTGGACCCCATACTGCCCCACCCCGAAGGGGATGGCGTGGAGGCTTTGGGTCTCCACAGGGGTCAGGGACTGAGGACAGGTTCTGTGGGGGCAGGAGGGGCCAAGCAGGTGCTCTGCAGCCCCTGAGCCTGGCCCTGGGCTCGCCAGCAGAAGCAGGACCGGATTGAGGGCTTGAAGCGGCACATCGAGAAGCACCGCTACCACGTGCGCATGCTAGAGACCATCCTGCGCATGCTGGACAATGACTCCATCCTCGTTGACGCCATCCGCAAGATCAAGGACGACGTTGAGTACTATGTTGACTCATCCCAGGACCCCGACTTCGAGGAGAACGAGTTTCTCTACGATGACCTGGACCTCGAGGACATTCGTGAGGCCCTGGGGCTGATCGTGGCACAGGAAGTGAGGGCCCAGAATGGGCTGTGTGAGCCAGCTAAGCATGCCCTTCTTCTGCCCCCACAGCACAGGCGCTGGTCGCCACCTCCCCCCCCAGCCACAGCCACATGGAGGATGAGATCTTCAACCAGTCCAGCAGCACGCCCACCTCAACCACCTCCAGCTCTCCCATCCCGCCCAGCCCAGCCAACTGTACCACGGTGAGGCCCCACGGGACACTAGTACCTTGTGTTTCCAGCAGGGCAGGACTCGAGGAGACAAATCTGGGTCACTCCAAAGTGGCTATGGGAGCGTAATTGAGGAAACACAGATCTAGGTATCCAGGGTCTAGGCTCTTGGAGCACACGCTAAGGTCCTATATCTGGGTCCCTAAAGGACATAAAGAGCAATAGGGTGCATCCCGCGCCAGTTTAGGTCCTGGATCTGGGAAGTGGGAGGGGCCGGTGCCTGGGCTGCCTGAGGAGGCTGGGTAGCTGGCCACCTTGGGCAGGGATCCAAGGGTTGGCTTCCCTGTGGAGAGCAGGTTCCCAGATCCTTAAGAGGCTGGTGGGTCAGTGCTGGCTCCCAGAAAACAAGAAGACTGGAGAGCCTGAATTGAGATGGTTTCTCCAGGCAGATTAAGGACAGCCATTTGACCAGCTCTGGGGCCGCAATGGCAGTCAATTGGGCCCAGGTCCCCGGGGCATTCAGAGATTGGCGGTTCTCCATCAGAGCCCCAGAGGTCACACAGGTTTCTATTCTGCCTCCCCTACCTCAGGAAAACTCTGAAGATGATAAGAAGAGGGGACGTTCCACAGACAGTGAAGTCAGCCAGGTGGGTGTGAGCCTGGACCGGGTGGGCACGCCATTCACTCCTCTGTTGCTTCCCAAAGGCATCTTGAGGCCTGAGCGCCGGCCACTGTGCTGGGCTGGTGGACACAGGTGGCTCAGAAATCAGTGCTGCCCTGAGGGCAGGTGGGCAGGGCAAGTGGACAGGTGACTGGTGCTGTGGTCAAGGGGGTAGCACACAGGTCACCCTTGGCCTGGCCAGGCAGTCAGGAGATGCTGCTGTGGAGTGCCCTGGGCTTCACAGTCAGGTGAGTTTGCCTGGCAGGGAGAGGTGGCAGCCAGTAACATGGGCAAGTTGTGACAGAAAGTTTGGAAGTGAGGAGAGATGAGTCTGGCCAGGTCTGCAGGGCCAGGGGCCCAACTGTGAGCACAGGGACTGGGACTGTCAGGCTGAGGGGCTCAGGCTTTGTGGACCTGAGTGGCCTCCAGAGTCCAATAAGCCTAGGAAGCGATGGGGCCTTTGCTGTGCTGATAATACACACTGCAAATTTCTGAGAGGAGACGGTGGCGGGCAGTGCTTCTTCAACTCCTTTGACATCTCCCAGGACAGGAGCACGCTTTCGGAAACGCTGCTACAGAACAATGTTAGGCAGGAGCAGCATGGGCCTGAGGCCCCTCTGTGGGCTAACGGGATGGATGGTTCCAAGGGGACACCCTGAGTGGGCATTGAGGAGGCTGGTGTGGAGACTAAGGGGACCCGCAGGTAGTAGTGAGGGCGGGCAACAGGGCCAGGAGGTGATGAGGAGAGACACTGAGGCAGGTACTCCAGGGGCCAGGCTGGGCTCTGCCACCTTCCCAGGCCCCCACTGCCAAGCAGCGATGCCCAGGAGAGAAGTGGGTAGTCAGTCCTGTTGGGCGCTTGGTAAGCGCAAGGTGCCTGTGGGGTGGCTGGAAAGAAGCCCAGGAGGTGGTTAGGCTCAGCAGCCCGAGTGCTGTCCGCAGATTGCCTGCGGTAGGGATACCATGAGCACATTTACCCTCCCACCACTTTCTGGAGTGCTGGTAACTTCCAGCCCTGTGAGTAGCTTCTGTGACCCTTCAGGTGACATTCAGAATTACTATCCAATTTCCAGCTGTTTTTCCTTCTACTCTTGGACATTAGGCGGCTCCAGCTAATCTCATATTGAGAACACTTAAGTGTTTCCCACTAGTCCTCTGGCTTCCAACAGATGGATCTTCTCTGGCTGACAACCTAAGTTGTGTGTCAGATCCCTGTGGGGGTGTCCATGGGGCGGTGTCCAGGCAGGACTTGGGAAGCTGGGCAGGCTGGAAATCAGTGTGAGTGTTTTAAGCATGAAGGTGATTGAAGCCATGAGGGTGAGTAAGGTCACCCAGGTCCCCAAGAGGGCAGGAGCAGGTGGGGGCAGCGAGGCCAGAGAGGAGGCTGCTGGGACAAAGATGGAGCCTGAGGTGGGGGTGGTGAGGGAGACCAGCTGGCCCACTGGGTCCTGACCCTCTGCTCTCTCCCACCCGCAGTCTCCAGCCAAAAACGGCTCCAAGCCTGTCCACAGCAACCAGCACCCTCAGTCCCCAGCTGTGCCGCCCACCTACCCCTCCGGCCCCCCGCCTGCTGCCTCTGCCTTGAGCACCACTCCTGGCAACAATGGGGTCCCCGCCCCCGCAGCACCCCCAAGTGCCCTGGGCCCCAAGGCCAGTCCAGCTCCCAGCCACAACTCGGGCACCCCTGCTCCCTATGCCCAGGCTGTGGCCCCACCAGCTCCCAGTGGGCCCAGCACGACCCAGCCCCGGCCCCCCAGCGTCCAGCCTAGCGGAGGCGGAGGCGGCGGCAGCGGAGGCGGAGGGAGCAGCAGCAGTAGTAACAGCAGTGCCGGTGGAGGGGCTGGCAAGCAGAATGGCGCCACCAGTGAGTGAGGAGGCAGCGGGGTGGGGGGCGTGGGCGGGGCTGGGCAGCAGGCAGCAGCCCTTTCCATTTACTCTTTGTTCCCAGGTTACAGCTCAGTTGTGGCAGACAGCCCGGCAGAGGTGGCTTTGAGCAGCAGTGGGGGCAACAATGCCAGCAGCCAGGCCTTGGGCCCCCCTTCCGGCCCCCACAACCCACCTCCCAGCACCTCGTGAGTGTCTCGGCCATCGGCAGGGTTGGGATGGCAGCCTTTTGAAACAGAGAGGCGCAGGCGCCTCACCCCCGCATCGGTGGGTTCTGAACCCCCCGCCCTTGCTGCTGGGAATGGCCAAGCGCTATCCTCCATCTCCCTCGGGTGTTACACCCCCACTTCTTTCCAGCAAGGAAACTACATCAGCCTCCCTGCTTTGCCCTTCAGAACATTCTAAAATACGTTCTCATCTAAGTGGAAGTTTTCTCAAGAGCCCCATACCCTTTCCTCCCCATTTCTGTTACCTGCCTGAGGCCAATTGACTGCCACCGGAGGGTCACTGTTTCACTTTTCAAAGTGAATTGTCCCGAAGTCCTTATTCCTCTGCAGCCACTCCTTCAAATCTTAGCTCAGACCATTCCACTGGGTCTGCCTGTTTCCCGAAGAATGCCCTAAGAAAGATCAGTGTGCACAAAGGAAAGGCCTGCTTCCTGCCCCCTCACCCCAGCTCCAGCTGGCCTGCCCAAGGGGGAGTGGGCCCTGTGAACACCTGCCCAGGGCAAGTGGTTTTGATCAGCCTGTGGCCTGGTGGAGCACCCGAGAATCCTCACCCCCACCCCCACAGCTCTGCTCTGCTGATGAGAAACCATTCCAAAGATTGGGCTCTGCCTTTGTTTGCCCAGAGAACCACTTCTTTCTCCCATCTGTCTGCCCTCACCTGCCCCTCTCAGATCCCATCTGATCTGTGCAGTCTCCCCTCTCTCCAGCCAGGCCTCTCTGCCCATCCCACCCTCAGGGACCCTCCTCTCAACCCCCTCTTCCATGCTCTCTCTCCAGGAAGGAACCCAGTGCGGCAGCCCCAACGGGGGCTGGGGGCGTGGCCCCAGGCTCAGGGAACAACTCAGGGGGACCCAGCCTCCTGGTGCCACTGCCTGTGAATCCTCCCAGCTCCCCAACGCCCAGCTTCAGTGATGCCAAGGCAGCCGGTGCCCTGCTCAATGGGCCTCCACAGTTCAGCACCGCCCCAGAAATCAAGGTGGGCTCCTCGGACATCCCCCGAGCCTCTGTGTCCTGACTCTGTTGTTTCTTTCCTCCAGGTCTCTAGCTGCACCCCTTGCCCCCACCCTCTTTCTGGATCTCTCTCTGGCTTTCTGTCCCCTTCTCACACTTGCTCTTTCTCCAGGTCTTTCTGTACCACCCTCCCCGTGACCTTGATCTCTGGGGGCTCTCATACCTCCTCTCTTGTTCCCTCCAAAGCTCTGTTTCTCTGGGTCTCTTTTCCTTTCTCTTGGTTGCACTTGTTGCTTGCTCTCTCTGGGTCTCCATCTTCATCCCCCCCGCAGGCCCTCAGTTTCTGTCCCCGTTTGTCCTCACAAGGCATAGACTGGTGTACTTTCTGCACAAGTAGAAAGACTGGTTGGGTGAATGCAGCCTGGTTCCACCCTTTAGGAAGCTTCCCTGCTGGGGCAGCTGCAGGGAAGGTTGCGGTGGGCCCACCGAGGGGCATCTGACCTGACCTGGGAGACAGGCCCAGGAAGGTCTGAGAGGGGGTGATGTTTAAGCTGAGACCTGGACCAGGCAGGGGGGCTAACAGCTGCAGGAAGGGCTTCAGGAGGTGCTTTAGGAGGAGCATGCATCTGCCTGTGTGCTTAGGAAGCTGGGCAGGATGCAGCAGAGAGGAGAGAGGTGTCCACTCTGCAGGAGACAGTGCCACCAGCTGCAGGGCTGAGATAGTGGGTGTAGCAGGATAGGACGGTGGGGTCCTGATCATCGAGGGTCAGGAGCTGGGGCTTGGCTTGTGAGCCAGTATACTGTAGCGCAGCTTCCATGGGGGGACCAGTGTGTATGCCCAGGCTGTCCAGGAGGCAGTGTGCGCGCCCAGGCTGTCCAGGAGGCAGTGTGCGCGCCCAGGCTGTCCAGGTCCAAGTCTTGGCATTGTCCTTTCTGTGCCTTCATCTGGGAAACGGCAATAGTCACGATTATACCTACTATGTAGGGTTATTTGGAAGACTAAATCATCCTCATAAAGCTCTTGGAACAGTTTCTGGCCCAACAGAAGCATTAATTTTTTTTTTTTTTCTTTTTTGAGACAGAGTCTTGCTCTGTCACCCAGGCTGGAGTGCAGTGGTGCAATCTCAGCTGAATGCAACATCCGCCTCCTGGGTTCAAGCGATTCTCCTGCCGCAGCCTACTGAGTAGCTGGGATTACAGGCGCCTGCCACCACGCCAGGCTAATTTTTATATTTTTAATAGAGATGGGGTTTTGCCATGTTGGTCAGGCAGGTCTTGAACTCCGAACCTCAGGTGATCCACCCACCTTGACCTCCCAAAGTGCTGGGATTACAGGTGTGAGCCACCGTGCCCGGCCCAAATTTTAGAAGTAGGTGGACAGGATATTTATAGTGCGTGCATTTTTCTGGAAAAAGGGAAACAGCAGCTTTGAGATTTTCAGAAGGGGTCCATATCTTTTAACACCACCAACAACAAAAATGAATCGCTGGGGTGGGTGGTCGGGAACCATGGCAAGGTTTGGAGTAGAGAAGGAACAACATGACTTCATTGGAAAGGTCCCCTGGGGCTGGTGAGGACAGGATAGAGGGAGGGTGGTCTGGGCAGGAGAGGACAGGCCTGGGCTGTGTGGGACATGGTGGCACGACAGGGAAGGGAGCCATCCAGTGGGGTTTAGAAGCAGGACGGATAGCTGGGCGTGGTGGCTCACACCTGTAATCCCAGCTCTTAGGGAGGCAGAGGCGGGAGGATAGCTTGAGCCCAGGAGTTTGAGACCTGCCTGGGCGATATAGCGAGACAGGATGGATAAGCCTTGGCGACTGACTCGTTGTGGAGAGTCCAGCACAGGGCTGGGGTTTGGGACAGCTGCACGTGGCTGGAGGAGATGGGAGGAACCAGCCCTGACTTTGGGGAACAGAAGCCTGCTGTAACCTTTGTAATAGGAAACGAGGCTGTGGCTGCGGGGCTGGAGACCCAACCTACCTGTTTCCAGCAAGGAGACTGAAGCCTAGCCGGGCTGGGCCCACCCCGATTCCAGTCACCCCATGCCAGTCACAGGCAGACAGCTGAGCATGTAGACCTCCTGCCTCCTTCAAGACAGGCGGGAGCTCTCCCAGCGTGTAGGTGTCCCTAGTGAAGGAGCGTGTACTATTGGCACATCCTTTGACAAAAATGGTAGCGCACTGTACATATTCTGCAGGTTGGCGTTTACTTCTGTAGTATGTCACGAACTTGTATTTTGAAAATCTCGGCGTAGTATTCCATGCTGCAGAGTCCCACTCACGAGACGTTCCTCTGCTGATGAATGCGTCGTGGTCTCCGATTGTTTCCCTACAGTTTGATGCTTTTACCTGTCATGGGTAGATTGTGGGGAGTGGGTCGTTGGCCCTCCACGGCCCCCAAACAGGGCAGGTGAGAGCATCTGGGGCCTGTGTCAGGCTGCACTTGCTCCTGCAGCCCAAGTGCTCAGGCCAGGCCTCTTGTTTCCTCCCCAGGCCCCTGAGCCTCTGAGCTCCTTGAAGTCCATGGCGGAACGGGCAGCCATCAGCTCTGGCATTGAGGACCCTGTGCCAACGCTGCACCTGACCGAGCGAGGTGAGGGACCCAGGATGGTGGGGAAGCAGCGGGCCAAAGAGGAGGGGCTGCCCCTGACCCATCCTCACCACTGAGGGGGCCGGACCCCCACCCTCCCCACAGACATCATCCTGAGCAGTACATCAGCACCTCCGGCCTCAGCCCAGCCGCCCCTGCAGCTGTCAGAGGTGAACATACCGCTGTCGCTGGGTGTCTGTCCACTGGGCCCTGTGCCCCTCACCAAGGAGCAGCTCTATCAGCAGGCCATGGAAGAGGCCGCCTGGCACCACATGCCTCACCCCTCTGACTCTGAGCGTATTCGGTGAGGGGCCACAGGGAAGGGGGATGGTCTGGGACTTGAGTCTTACGGAGGAGGCAGTGGCTGAACCTGTGAGGCTGTGGGTAGAGCACCAGGCCCCTGACTTGGGCTCTCCACTGAAGGTCAGCACCGCCCTGGGTCTTTCTGTACCACCTCCCCCCGCAGGGATGCATGTCTGAGCACCCTTTTGATCACGACAGGACTAGTAGGCAGCTGGCACTGACCTTCCTGTTGCTCTCACAGGCAGTACCTCCCCCGGAACCCCTGTCCGACGCCCCCCTACCACCACCAGATGCCACCCCCACACTCGGACACTGTGGAATTCTACCAGCGCCTGTCGACCGAGACACTCTTCTTCATCTTCTACTATCTGGAGGTACAGCAGGGCCCCCGGGGCAGCCTCGGGCCCCCCGGCTTCGCCGCCACCGCCGCCGTCCCCCCTCGGGCTGGAGGGGTGAGGTGGGTGCCCCACTGCGGCCACTGGGACCGCACCCCCTCCCTATTCCCACTCCTGGGCCCCTGCCCCAAATCCACCTGTCCCCGTCCCCGCCTTCCAGCCCAGAGATGTTAGAACTGCTTGGGTTGACAGCGAGGCTGGTCCACTGAGGCACACCTCAGCCCCGCTTCCAGTTGCCCACTGGCTCACCCGCGGCCCCTCCCCAGCCCTGCTCCAGCAGCCCCAGTCTAGGCCGACCCCACTCTGCTCATTGGCACATTCTCAGGCCTCCCTGGAGACCACTGGGGAGCTGTCCAGCCCCCTCCCAACCCCAGTGAGTCATGAGTGACCTCCACCCTCATCCCCACTTGGGAAATTTTCTAAATTGCCTCCTCTCTCAGCTCTCATCACACATTAGTTTTTCTTCCTTCTCAAAGCTTCTCTGAAAGCAATTTTCACCTCCTGTCTCATTTTCCTTCTCCTGATCAGCATTGGTATGTTCTGTGCCCCCAGCCCCATCTCCAAGAGGATTGTCCAGCCCAACTGTGGTCTGTGGCGGGGGCCGGGGTTCAGCCCTGATGTCCTGCCCCATTCCCCTGGCTCCCCACCCAGTTTGGGGGCCCCCTGATCCCCCTCTCCACTGTTCCTCCCCCAGGGCACTAAGGCACAGTATCTGGCAGCCAAGGCCCTAAAGAAGCAGTCATGGCGATTCCACACCAAGTACATGATGTGGTTCCAGAGGCACGAGGAGCCCAAGACCATCACTGACGAGTTTGAGCAGGTGAGGGCCCCGCCCCCTCTCTTCCCGCTGCTAGGGTTGGGGTAGAGTCCCCAGGCTCCAGGCAGCCCCTGCTGGCCTCTGCTCCCTTGCCTCCACCTTTCAGCTGGCGCAGTCCCTCAGCCTGACCAAGTACTCCTCCCTCTGGCTGTCTGCTCAGCCTGGAACACCGCCCTCTCATCCTCCACTTGGCCAGCTCCTAGGCCTCCTGTAGGTCTCAGCCCAAATGTCCCTTCCTCAAAGAAACCTTCCTGGAGCCACCCAGCCCAGTGCCTCCCCTTTGCAGTGCTGGGCACACTCGCCTGGGGTGTGGGATTTTCCCAGTATGTGTCCCTGCACCAGGCTGTGGGCTCTGCTGCCGAGGGACCTTGATGGCCCCCACTTCACCTCCAGGTCCCAGCACTCAGCAGGGCAGGGGCTCAGTGCGGAAACTATTTTTTTTGAATGGGCTTCTCAAGTTCTAATACTGGGAAATTCCTGCTGCTTGCAAACACTCTGGAACCAACCTACCTGGGTTTCAGCCCAGTCCAGCTGGGCGACTCTAGGCAAGTCACTCGAACCTCTGTGTCTCAATTAACTTATCTGTAAAAATGGGGGGAAGACCACCTACCTAATGCAGTTGTTATGAAGATTAAATGAGTTAATAACATGTAAGTACTTAATGGTGACTGCTACATAGTCAGTGTCATGGATTTTTTTTTTCAAATTACTTTCAGTTGGTGTGTTCTACAGTGATGTTTTTTTCCACCAAATACTTCCCTGATGCCGAGCCCCTTCATGGGGATGAAGTAGTACAAGGTCCTTGTCCTCAGAGAACTCAGTCCCCTCTCCTGGTTCTCCCAGGTTGCCATCTTTGAAGCACTTAAGACATTCATTTAGAACCTAGGTCCTCTCCCATTGTGTCCTCAGATGTTAACCACAGACTTCCTGTCCTTTCCTGGTTTGGCCCAAAACCATCCTCCAAGTTAGTACATTTCAGGGCATCCAGTCATTCAGAAATTCCCACACCACTTCGTCACCAATAAAATGTCCCTGCAGAGTGCTTGGATTTAGACTCTGAGACTGTTCCATTCTCTAGAACAAGGGTGACAGTACCCACTGCCTCGAGGTCTTTGTGAAGATTAAATGCTAGGCTGTGCATCCTGTACTCACGTGAGAGGTGCTCAAAAGCCACAGCCCTCGAGGAAACGAAGGCTGTGCACTCACACCTGGGGCTGGGGCCCCGTTCTGGCAGCTGGCTTCGGTGGAACCTCTGCGGCCCCCTCCGTTTCCTCCTCGCTGAAGTGGCATGATAACATTTCCTACCCAAGAAGAACCTTGTGAGGATGGATGAGAGTGTGTGCGTGCAGGGCAGCTGGCCCGGTGCCTGACACATCCACAGCCCTAAGAATTGTCCCCTTTGTCTGTTGGTCCGGCCCAGATCCCAGACCACCTCCTCGTCCACTCACTGACCGCCTTCTCCCCCGGCCAGGGCACCTACATCTACTTTGACTACGAGAAGTGGGGCCAGCGGAAGAAGGAAGGCTTCACCTTTGAGTACCGCTACCTGGAGGACCGGGACCTCCAGTGACACCGGCCCCTCCCTCTACCCACCCCCTTCCCCCGCATGCTGATCCCCCTGCCCAGGTGAGGGCCCTGCCCTGGAAGACTGGAGGGAGGCCCCAAGCCACGGGGCATCCCCCTCTCCCAGGAAGCAGGGAGGGGGCCGGGAGGTTTTCCTCTCAGCCCCACCCTGGGGGCCCGGGGGCGAGGGCTGCCCCCTCCTCCCCTCCCCAGTGAGGGACATTTTTTGGTAAACCTATTTTCATTTTGGAAAATATTTATGAATAAATAGTTTTATATGACGGCTGGCAGCAGCGGCCTCTCCTGTACCCCCTCAGGAGTCAGTGAGTAAGGTGAGGGTCCTGCTGGCGGGGGCGCCGGGCCAGCTGGGGGTTGAATTGGGAGTTGTACCGCCGCCGCCGGTCATCCGTCTCGTCTTCTTCCGGCTGACCCTCCTGTAGTGCCCGGCCTTGGACCCGGGCCAGCAGGGCCTCTGCCCGAGACCTCTCAGCTGCTTCCCTCCGCAGACGTTCAGCTCGAAGCTGGTCCAGGGATGGAGGCCTGTGGGGAGAGGAGTGAGGTCAGAAAGCTGGTAGCCCCTAGGAGGCCATTCCCCCAACCTCTCCCATAGAGGGAGCTGCCGCCTGGAAGCCCCGCTGCATCCAGCACACCCCAGCCTCAGCTCCTTAGGCCTGCTGGAAGCAGCCACTTGGTGCTGGGACGCCATGGGCACGTCTCTGGCCTTCCCTTCTGTGGGCTTTGGTCCTCCCCAGTCTTTAAAATCTGATGCTTCTCCAGGTCAAGAAAGCACACTTAGCAGCCCCCTGGCCCTCAGTTTCCCTTTCTAGAGGAAAGAAGACTACAGGCAGTGTACCCCCTCTAGACCAGGGGTGCAGCATCCTGGAGACAGAAGCCTGCTTTTACTCTCTAACCCAGCAGCTCTCAAACTCTTTGGTCTCAGGACCCCTTTATACTCTTAAAAACCAAGGACCCCAAGAGCTTTTGTTTAAATGGGTTCTCTTAATATGCTGCAAATCATTAGTGAAAACTAAGAAAGTTTGGACACAAGCATCTGCCATTGGCCATCAGAGTGAGGGTGTCTCCCCATCACACAGCCTCTGGAAACCTGCACTACATGCCTGAGAACACGAGTGGAAAAGTCCACCAGTGTCAGGAAAATAGGCTTGACACCACAGCACCCCGGGAAAGGGTGTCAGGACCCCTAGGGCTCCCTGGACCACATGCTGAGAACCACTTCTCCACCTAGCCAGCCCTTCACGGAGTCCCTGGCTGTCCTGACCAGAGACGCTGCAGTGCCCATGCTGGGCTGCTGCCAAGCCCTGAAGGTCTGGGCCCTGGTCTGCCGAGGTGGGGTCTTCTTACTCCTTGGGTCGCTGCTTCTCAGACCCCTCCTTTTCCTTTCTGCTGCGACTGCCTTCATCACCGCCGTGCTGTCTCTTCTTCCCCAGATGCTTCTGCATCTCCCGCAGAGGGTCCAGACGGCTCTTGATCTTCTCATCTGGGGCTGGGCCGGGCGGGGGGCCCCCTCGCCCTGGGGGTAGCTGGTACCAAGGGGGTTGAGTCTGTGCCTCCGCTGCACTCTGGCCCAGGTATGTCAGGATGCCCAGAGCTTTCTCTTGCCTCTCCTGAGGGGGCCAGGAAATACAAGAGATGTGATATAATCTTTCAAGGTGTCAGGTGTGTCTCCCTGACACAGGTATCTAAGCGAACAGGTATCTAAGGCTTGTTATGAACCAGTTGGACCAGGTGCTGGGGATGGAAGACAAACAGAGGCAAAGCTCCCCCTGGGGGGACAGTAGCAGGTACAGTAACAGCAGGGGAAGGAGGGGACAAGTGGAGCCACTTGAGTGTTCAGAGGCAGGCATCTTTGCAGAGAGACTTGAAGAGAAGCCTGAAGGGATCAAGCAAAGCAGAGGAGCGATGGGTGGGGTCAGCAAGTCCAGAGACAGCAGATAAATGACAAGAGCTGATGTACCTCTTTTTTTTGAGATGGAGTCTCGCTCTGTTGCCCAGACTCGAGTGCAGTGGCACGATCTCGGCTCACTGCAACCTCTGCTTCCCAGGTTCAAGCAATCCTCCTACCTCAGCCCCCCGAGTAGCTGGGATTACAGGCACACACCACCATGCCCAGCTAATTTTTGTATTTTTAGTAGAGACGGGGTTTTGCCATGTTTGGCCAGGCTGGTCTTGAACTTCTGACCTCAGGTGATCCACCCACGTTGGCCTCCCAAAGTGCTGGGATTACAGGCGTGAGCCACCATGCACAGCCACTGATGTACCTTTTACACTTGATCTTAGCCAAAAAGCAAGAGGCGATTGATTCACTTTTTGTTTGATTGTTTTGAGATGGGGTCTCGCTCTGTCACCCAGGCTGGAGTGCAGTGGCGCAATCTCGGCTTACTGCAGCTTCCACCTCCTGGGTCAAGCGATTCTCCTGCTTCAGCCTCCCTGGGATTACAGGCGCGCACCACCATGCCCGGCTAATTTTTTTTGTATTTTTAGAGATACCATGTTGACCAGGCTGGTCTTGAACTCCTGACCTCAGGTGATCCACCCGCCTCAGCCTCCCAAGGTGGTGGGATTACAGGCGTGAGCCACAGCCGGCTGATTTAAATTTTTAAAAGCCCATCAGGTTTGAGACTCCTCCAGTTTGGAGAACTGAGCGGTTTGCCCAGCAGCTGGGGACCTCTAGCATCTACCTCCAACCCCTGTGGGCGCCCAGACGGCAATAGCCAACGCTTTTTGAGTGTCATGCCTTGGTATGGTCCTAAATTCTGTGTGTTCACTCTTGTTTGACCTTGGTCACAACCAATGGCTAAAGTGCCCCCTCCCTCCAACTCGATTCATGGCCCCTCTGATGAAGTGGGTGAGGCCAGCTTACTTTCTCCTGTCGCTTTTCTTCCTTGTACTCTTTATTGCCTCTGATCACTCCTTTCCCTTCCTCCAGCAGCTCCCGAAACAGGTCCACAGGGCCAGAACCTGGGGCTCCCGCCTCTGCTGCTTCAAGCTCAGGCAGTGAGTTCTGATGTCTGGCTTTCTTCCGTAGGAATTCTGTACGGGCCTGGGGAGAAAGTTATAGGCAGGACATTCAGAACCTAGAGGTAATTCAAGAACTGTGAGTCTGGTGCCCACCACAGAAAATGGCAGTCCAGGGTGCTGGGGTTATGAGAAAGGGAGCACTAGGCGCCTAAAAGAGGCACCTGTCCTAGCTGGGGGTGAGGGTAGGCAGATGAGGCAACGCCTGGGTTTTGTAAACTCCCTTTCAAATAGTAAACCACGGGTCATCAAGGATGTATGGGAGGAGGTCCCTGGCCTAAACCAAAGGGGTTCCTAACCTCAAGTGAGACAATTAAAACAGCCATAAAGGTATGCATTAGGCCAGACGATCTGAATTCTAGCCATGGCTCCAAGTGACTACCCCAAGTCTGCTGAAGCCCTGTCCCCTGCCTTCAGGACGCGGATTTCAAACAGCGCTCAGCAGCCTACTGAGATTCTAAAAACCTAGACTACCTCCCACCCACGGCGGAGGATCAGACTAGCTAAGGAAATGAAAGTTGGGTGTACACCAAACAGATTTAAAGAGCCATACGGAAAGCCCGTGTTTGTGTGTATGTGTCTAGGGGGCGGTGCACGAAAGGGCTCGCCCGATGGCGTGGAGCCTGGCTGTCCGCCTCTCCTTAAAATGTGCCTTCCCCTCACTGAAGCCATCTCACTTCGTGCAACAGAGATGACAGTGCCCCTCTAAGAACGAACAGTGCTTATTGGGGATTCCGCAAGTCAGGTGCACGGCATGTAGTTAGCATACAGTAGATGCTCAATAAATAGGCTGTGCAGGCAAACTAAAAAGTGATCCGAATTTCCTTGAACTGTCCAAGGGTTCACGGATTCATTAAATGTTAAGCTTCTCTTTTGTGCTAGACACTGTTCCAGCCATGTGAAATACATCAGTGGGGGAAAAACTAAGACGAGGGCGAGATCAAGGAAGGTTTCGTGGAAGTGGGCACAAGGTTTGCGGGGCAACGTCCTCGAAAGTGGGATCGGCGCCTGGTCCCGAATTTCACACGGGGCACATTGAGCCTGCGCAACGCCTCCGCTTCCGGCCCCCAACCGCGGCGCCTGCGCGCTGGGCCCCGGAGCGCCGCCCTGCCGGCTTCCGAGCTTACCTCTTGCTGAGCCAGCAGCACCCTCCGCTCACGCTCCTTCTCCTCCTCCCGGGCCTGGGCCTCGTCACGCCGCACGCGGGCGACATTGTCCTTGTTCCGGACGTGCCAGCTCTTCTTGGGCAAGATATTCATGGCGTCGTAGCTGTCCAGGGACTGGCACGCCCGCCTCTTTGCACTTCCGATTGGCGAGAGGATGCCCCCCTTTTTCTTGTCCCTACTTCGACCGCGGATTGGTTCCGAATTAGTTGGTACGGCCCCCTGGCCTGTAGCGACAGGTGATTGGCTGAGACGCCCTTTATCACAGCGAATGCTAGGCGTTCGGCTCGTGGTATCCCCTAGCAACCGCCTCTTGTCACAGATCTGAACCAATCATAAGTTGGCCCGCCCCTGATGCTACCAGATGCGGCCGTCGATTGGCCGACATGACCGACAAGTCTCCTTGCGGAAGAGCGCTCTGCACCGACAAACATGCCCGTACATTTGATTGGCTCCTGCCCCGCTGTAGCCCTGCCCCCACCTTCAGGACGCAGATTTCAAAGCGCGCTCAGCAACCTCGGCTGTATTTATTGATACAAGGAAGATCACCCGAGAGTCAGGGACGTGGCGGCGAGGGGCCCTGGAAATCTCCAGATACCAAAGCTGGAAGGGCGTGGAGTCTTCTCCAGTTCTCCTAGTTTACAGATGTTGTGACCTAGGCTTACAATGGGCCTGGGGTCTGAAAGCGGGACGTGGGCTGCGGGGGTCAAAGAGCCGGTTTGGTGGAGGTCAGCGCCACAGCGCGCCGTGCCAGGAAGACTTTATTCTGCGCCTCCTGGGGCAAAGAGAGGTGGAGGTGAGACAATCCTCTTCCCCAACCCCTTTCCATGTTCCCCAGGGGCCCTCTCAGGGACCCGCCTGGCTCACCGTCTCTCTCTGACGTTTGAGCTCAGAGATGAGGCGTCCGTAGGAGTTAGCCAGAGCCACAGTGTACGCCATCAGGATGCTGAAGGAGACAGGAACGGAAGCCACTCCTGACACGCTCTTCCATTATATCCAAACGTCTGGCTCCTTCGAAGCCAGGGATGTGGACGCCTAAGCCCCTCCTCGTCTGGGCTCAAGGAGTTCAGTCTCCCAGCCCCTCCGCCTTCAGATCCAGGAGTCCTACGTCCCGCCCACCTCCTCCTTCGGACCCAGCAGTCCAGGAGCCTAGGCCTCCTCCCTCAGACTCAGTACGTTGCCTGCTCCCACGCCCAAGCCTCTCCTCTCTTGGACGCAGGTGGTGGCCCCCAGATCACACGCATTCAAACCCAGACCCAGAAGTCTGGGCCGTCTCACCTGGAGATCAGCAGAAGGGGCACAGCAAAAGCCTGGGTCCCCAGGAAGAAGAGGAAATTCTGGGTGGTCTCAGGGAGGCTGGAAATAGACTCAGGGATCTGGGCCCAGATGGACGACTGCCCCCGGAATGGACCACACAGCTTAGAAGGCGGGATCCTGAAGTCAAGACAGGCTGGGCTCACATAGTGCCAGGAGTCTGAACACTGAATGGGGAGAGAGGGAGGGAGAGAGGCGGGAGCCTCTCGCACTTACAGGAAGATGCTGTAAAGCAGGGGAACGCTGGAGATGGCCAGACCCAGGAGAAGGACCAAGGGGAAAAAGAAATTCGCCGCGGAGGCCCGGAAGGTGCGGGCAGCCGGGGAGCAGGTGGAGAAGAGGGTAAGCTGGTGGGGGAAGGCACGGAGAAAAGGGCTCTGAAACACAAGAGTCTGTGCCTCCATTTTTTTTTTTTTTTTTTTTTGAGACAGAGTCTCGCTCTGTCGCCCAGGCTTTTTTTTTTGAGACAGAGTCTCGCTCTGTCGCCCAGGCTGGAGTGCAGTGGCTCTCACTGCAGCCTCCCCTCCCGGGTTCAAGCTATTCTCGTGTCTCAGCCTCCCGAGTAGCTGGGATTACAGGTGTGCACCACCACTCCCGGCTAATTTGTTTTGCTGTTGTTGTTGTTTGTTTGTTTTCTCTTTTTGAGACGGAGTCTCGCTCTGTCGCCCAGGCTGGAGTGCAGTGGCACGATCTTGGCTCACTTCGACCTTCACCTCCCTGGTTCAAGCAATTCCCCTGCCTCAGCCTCCTGAGTAGCTGGGATTACAGGCGCCTGCCACTAAGCCCGGCTAATTTTTTTTGTATTTTTAGTAGAGACGGGGTTTTGCCATGTTAGCCAGGCTGGTCTCAAACTCCTGACCTCAGGTGATCCACCCGCCTTAGTCTCCCGAAGTGCTGGGATTACAGGCGTGAGCCACTGCACCCGGCCTACCTGCCTCTCCTTTTTTCCGAACCAGGAGTCTGAGCCCCTTCCTCATCTAGGACCCCGGAGTCTGAGTCCCCAGATCCTCAGACATATAAGTCAGAATGCCCTAGACCCCTCCTCTCAGATGCAGTAGTCTGTCCTCCAACCCCCTCCTCTCTCAGGACCGAGTAATCCAGGCCCCCAGGATCTTCCTTGCCCTTGACCCAGGAGTGCGGGCCCCAATACCTCCTGCCTCAGACCCAAGGGTCCCCCCTACCCCTTACCTTCTTCAGGTAGAAAAGCAGCAGGAACTTGACCGTGTTAAGCAGGGGCAGTAAAGGGCAGAAAAAACTCCCCACCCAGACCACCGTCTGCGCGTAGATGAGCCCCAGCACCTCGTCGGGCACCTGGAACTCTTGGGTCCCCGCCAGACGACCCAGCGCCCCAGGACAGAGGCCACAGAGGAGCCTGAAGGACGGGGCGGGGCCGGGCCGGAGTCAGGGGAGTGGCGGCCTGGAGTTTCCACGCCTCCACCGCCCCGCCCGCCAATAGGAAGCATGCGTATTGGTGGTGGGGGGGGGGGGGGCGGGACTTTCAGGACTCCACGTGGAGGGGGTGTGTCCAGAGGGCGGGTCCTGAGGACTAGAAGGGACCCAGATGTCGCCGCCGTCGGGGCCAGAGGGAAGTAACCCACTAAAACAAGGGCGGGGAGCGGGGAGATCTGCGGACCTAGGGCAAGCAAAGGGAGCAGGCAGAGGCGGGAATGGTAAAAAGGTGCGCGGTGAAAAGAACAGCGCGATGGGGCACGGCCTCGTCCTAGAGGGGCGGGGCCACAGCAAGGGGCGGGGCTCTCACTTTCTAGGAAACTGGATGAGCAGCGCGACTGCCAAGACAGTCAGCAGATCAAAGAGCAGAAGTTTGTACATTTCCTGGCCCAGGACAGTCTCCCAGCACTGAAGAAGGAAGAAATATATCAGAAAGAACTCGGGACCCGGGCACCTGGAGGCCCACGCGTCCGAGTCTCCACATCGCAAGCCTATGAGACCCTGTCAATACTTTCTCTGGGGGTCCTCGTTTTTCAAACTTTCATACCCTTGGGAGAGTGTTCCAGCACCCCAAGCTCCCCTCTCCGCCCAAACCAAGAGTCTGGACCCACCCAGCTCCATCTTTCCTTCAGGGACCCAAGAGTCCCACGCACACCCATGCCGTTCTCACCGGAAGTTGTTTGTAATTGTAGCCACAGGTTTTGCAGTCCTCAGCCTCGGAGTCGCCCCCACAAGTGATCTGATTCCAGAGAGAGAAGAGCAGGACCACCAGGGAGGCGAGGCGAAGAAACACGGTCCTGAAGGGGGGAAGGCAGAGAATGGGCCCTGACCCGGTACCCACCATGTGGCAGTTCCCTTCTCAGTGGAACGCGCCCGCATTCAACCCATCTCACAGATGAAGCTGAGGCCCAGTGACAGAATCAGGATTTCTTTCTTTCTTTCTTTCTTTTTTTTTTTTTTTTTTTTGAGACAGGGTCTCACTCTGTCACCCGGACTGGAGTGCAGTGGCGCGATCTCAGCTCACTGCAACCTCCACCTCCCAGGCTCGAGCCATTCTCCTGCCTCAGCCTCCCGAGTAGCTGGGACTACAGAAGCCACTACCGCCGGGCTAATATTCGTATTTTTACTACAGACGGGGTTTCATCATGTTTGTCAGGCTGGTCTCGAACTCCTGACCTCAGCCTCGGCCTCCCAAAGTGCTGGGATTACAGGTGTGAGCCACTGCACCTGGCCAACAGAGTCAGGATTTGAATCCCTGGATTCGGTATCAGCAGGATTTCCGTGTCTTACCTGTCAGCGCCAACATCCCTCTGACCGCCCCCACCCTTCATCATTCCCAGCCATCCCCGTGAGGCTGGAACCTGAGCAGGATAAAAACGATCTGGCGACTCCGAGTGTAGCCCTCCAGTGGAGCAATGAGCTTGAACACGGGCGGCAGCACAAAATTGACCCCAGCGATGAAGATGGACGGAAGGTAATTCACCCCAAGCTTCAGCAGTGGCAACTCCTGGACAAGGGGCATCTCCTGGGAGCGGGATGGACCATGAGTAGAGGCTTGGGGTCCTGGAGGAGCCAAGCTTAAGGTCCTCCCCCCGGCCTCTTCTTCTTCTTCTTCTTTTTTTTTTTTTTTGAGACAGAGTCTCGCTCTGTTACCCAGCCTAGAATGCAGCGGTGCGATCTCGGCTCGCTGCAACCTCTGCCTCCCGGGTTCAAGTGATTCTCCTGCCTCAGCCTCCTGAGTAGCTGGGATTACAGGCGCCCACCACCACGCCCGTCTAATTTTTGTATTTTTAGTAGAGACTGTTTTTCACCATGTTGGTCAGGCTGGTCTGGAACTCCTGACATCGTGATCCGCCCGCCTCAGCCTCCCAAAGTGCTGGGATTACAGGTGTAAGCCACCGCGCCCAGCCTCTCTTTTTCCTTTAAAATCCCTAAGTCCAGGGTCCGAACATACCCTCTCCCATACTTCCTCTCTAAGATCTCTGGCATCCCAAACTTCCGTCCCCTCCCTCCACCGTTGGAAATGTAGGTTCCAGGACCCCCTGGCTTCCTCTTCCAAGACCGTCCGCACCTGCAGCTCCACGGTGCACCCCGTAGCCCAGTAGACGCCATAGAAGGCTGCCCCCAGGAGCGCGACCACCAGCAGGTTGAGCAGCACCCGCACCAACCAAACCCTGGCTTGCTGGCCCAGCGTCCGCACCGCAGCCTGGCGCCGCACCACTGTCTCCTCCAGCTCCACCTGAAGGCAGGAGAGATGCCCGCTTGGACTCCATTTCCCAAGGCGCGGGCCTCCCGGTTCCCCAGGTCTGGCTCTCCAGAGATCCTCCTTAACGTGAACTGATGCAGCCGTCTCCCCACCCGCTAACAACCTCTGCAGTCCTGGTTCCACCTGCTCCAGGAAACCAGCGGCCCTTTACAGCCCCGCCCCTTCGCGGCCGGATCCAGCAACCCAAGCCCCCATCCCTCCGCGGTCAATCTCAGCACCCCAGGCCCCGCCCCTGAGGCTCCGCCCAGCATCCCAAGACCCGCCCCTGGTCAGCCCTGCCCATCAGAGGCTCCGCCCCCAGGTGGCCCTGCGCTTTATTCCTGGCCTGAAGTTCCAGTTCAGCTGTATCAAGACGCCCTGCTGGCCGCTCCCATCACTTAACTTTGAACCAAATTGCCTTAGGCCCCGCCCGCTTCTTGTGCTTACTTAAAAAAAAACAAACTTTTTTTTTTTTTTTTTGGTAGAGAGGGAGCCTCCCTATGTTGCCCAGGCTGGTCTCGAACTCCTAGACTGAAGCGATCCACCTGTCTCGGTCTCCCAAAGTGCTGGGGTTACAAGCATTAGCCACCGATCCCAGCCCTGGCGCATCCTTTTCCTACACGCTTGGAGCTCGGGCAGCCCTATCTCGGCCTCCTCTCAACCTTCTCATTCCCCAGGACCTGCCTTTCTTGGAGAAGGAGCTGCTTAGCATCTCTCCGGAGGCCCCATCACCGAGTTAGGCCCTGTGCGTTATCTCAGCCCGGTCCTGTCTGGTCCCTACCCAGTTGCAGACCCCGCTCCCTAATCGCACCTTTAATTCGTACAAGATGATGCGCTGGCGCAGCCGCACGTGGACGTCCCCGCAGAGACCGAAGTCCCAGGCCGAGAACACCCGGTGGCTGTAGCTGGTCAGAGCCTCGGACTCCGCCAGCAGTGTCTGCTTCAGCCCAGACACCGAGCTGAGAGGGGAGACCCGGGAGACGGGAAGTGAAAGGACAGCCAGGAACGGGGGTTATGGGGAGACCCCTCATATTGGGACAAATGGGGAAGATGAACCCTAAGGCCTTGGGTACTAGGCGAGTTCCCACCAGACCAGATGGGGAAAGAGTCAAAGAGGCGGAGACACAGTCATTGAAGGCAAAGTCCAAGGGAGATTCAGAGACAGTTCTGGGGTGCAGGCACCCCAAAGAGAGGCAGAAACCTAGGAGACAGGGACAGAGCCTCGGAGCGAAGGGGGCAGAAACCCAGAGTGAGAGAAACAGAGGCCCTGAGGAAGACAGAGATGTGGAGGAGGGACAGAGGCCCCAGAGGGAGATTCGGAGAAAGGGAGAAAAAGACAGTGAGAAAGGGGAAACTACATCTACAAAAGATGGGGGTCAAAGACCCATAAGAAGTACAGGCACACAGAGAAGGGAGCTGCGGCGGGAAGAGCCGAGAAGAAGACAGAGACCCAGAGAAGATGGCAGGTAAAGACTCAAGAGAGGGGGCAGGCCAGGCGCCATGGCTCACGCCTGTAATCCCAGCACTTTGGGAGGCCGAGGGGGGAGGATCACCTGAGGTCAGGAGTTTGAGACCAGCCTGGCCAATGTGGTGAAACCCCGTCTCTACTAAAAATACAAAAATTAGCCAGGCGTGGTGGTGCATGCCTGTAATCCCAACTACTTGGGAGGCTGAGGTGGGAGGATCACTTGAACCCAGGAGGTGGAGGTCGCCTCCAAAAAAAAAAAAAAAAAAAAAAAGACCCAGAGAAGACGGGCAGGTAAAGAGACTCAAGAGAGGGGGGCAAAGACCCAGGAAGGAGATAGAGAACCCCAGCAGGGGCAGAAACAGAACTGGACAAAGAGACCATGTGCACCTTCACTGCCCTGGCCCCGGCCCCCATCATCTCTCATGTGAACAACCACAGAGGGCCCTCACATGGTCTCCTTGCTTCCACTTGTGCCCGCATATAATCCATTCTCAGTTCTTGAGCCAGTGGGACCTTCTTTTGATGCAACTCAGACCGTATTCCCCTGTTTAAGACCTATTCCAGGGCTTTTCCCTTCTCTTAAAATCGAGGCTCTTTGCCGGGCGTGGTGGCTCACGCCTGTAATCCCAGCACTTTGGGAGACCGAGGCGGGTGCATCACCTGAGGTCAGGAGTTCGAGACCAGCCTGACAAACATGGTGAAACCCCATTTCTACTAAAAATACAAAATTAGCCGGGCATGGTGGCACATGCCTGTAATCCCAGCTACTTGGGAGGTTGAGGCAGGAAAATTGCTTGAACCCGGGCGGCGGAGGTTGCAGTGAGCTGAGATCGCACTACTGCACTCTAGCCTGGGTGACAGAGCGAGACTCCGTCTCAAAAAAAAAAAAAAGTTGACTTTTGGCCAGGCACATTGGCTCATGCCTGTAATTCCAGCACCTTGGGAGGCTGAGGTGAGCAGATCTCTTGAGCCTAGGAGTTTGAGCGCAGCCTGGGCAACATAGCAAGACCCTGTCTCTATAACATTAAAAAAAAATTTTTAGCAAGACATGGTGGTGCACCCCTGTGGTCCCAGCTGCTCCCGAGGCTGAGGTAGGCGGATCAGTTGAGTTCCGGAGGCCCAGGCTTCCGGTGAGCTATGATTGCACCACTGCACGCTAGCCGGGTGACAGAGTGAGACCCTGTCTCAAAAAACAAAACAGACTGGGTGCGGTGGCTCACACCTGTAATCCCAGCACTTTGGGAGGCCGAGGCAGGTGGATCACCTGAGATCAGGAGTTCGAGACCAGCCTGGCCAACATGGCGATACCCCGTCTCTACTAAAAATACAAAAAATTAGCTGGGCGTGGTGGCCGGAGCCTGTAAACCCAGCTACTTGGGAGGGTGAGGCAGTAGAATCGCTTGAACCCGGGAGGTGGAGGTTGCAGTGAGCCAAGATCGTGCCATTGCACTCCAGCCTGGGCGACAGAGTAAGACTCTGTCTCAAAAACAAACAAACAAAACAAATGAAAAACAAAAACAAATCCCAAAACCTTGATCTTTTTTTTTTTTTTAGATGGAGTTTCTCTCTGTCGCCCAGGCTGGAGTGCAGTGGCGCAAACTCGGCTCACTGCAAGCTCCACCTCCTGGGCCACCGCTCCTGGCCCAAAACCTTGATTTTAACTCACACAGAATAAAGGGTTACACAGCAAGACCGAGGATTCTGGGGCCGGGCGCGGTGGCTCACGCCTGTAATCCCAGCACTGTGGGAGGCCGAGGCGGGTGGATCACGAGGTCAGCAGTTCAAGACCAGCCTGACCAACATGGTGAAACCCCATCTCTACTAAAAATACAAAAAAGTTAGCTGGGCGTGGTGGCGGGCGCCTGTAATCCCAGCAACTTGGGAGGCTGAGGCAGGAGAATCGCTTGAAACCGGAAGGCGGAGGTTGCAGTGAGCCGAGATTGCGCCACTACACTCTAGCCTGGGCAATAAGAGCAAAACTCCGTCTCAAAAAAAAAAAGACTGAGGATTCTTGGGGAGGGGGTTTCTGCCACCACCACTTGCTTCCCCACCCCAACCCGTCCCGTCAGGGGTCAGGGGTGCAGGTGCCACTGACCGATGCAGGATGAGCAGGAGGCAGATGAGGCCAACGGCAAAGGCCCAGCACAGGTAGGTGACCGCCAGGCGTGGGCGGGGCGGGTAGAAGCCATAGAAGAGAGGGGACCATTCCAGGTAACCCTGTGGGGGGAAGGCGGCGCAGGGGCCACTGTGGGAGGAGGCGGGGCTCCTGGAGCTGCACAGTCAGGGTCTGGGGTCAGGGTTTGAGGTTCGTGTCATTGAAGGCACTGGGGTCACAGGTGGGCGGGGAATCCCCCAGGGACCCAGGCACCTACCTCACCCGAGAGCAAGTTGAAGAGCTGGGTGGCAAAGGTGACCAGGCCCTGGGAGTGGGGGTTATAGGAGCCGCAGGGCGAGGAGATGTCGGGGCCGGGAGGGCCTGGGGGAGCGCCTCCCAACCAGGTGGGCAGCAGCGTCATGCAGGCCATGAGCACAGAGGCCAGCACGTTAAGAAGGAGCAGGAAGCGCAGCAGGGAGAAGTAGGACTCCGTGCCGGCGCCAAACTGGCCTGCAGGGGGCAGCAGAGAGAGGCTCAGGTTCCTTCCCGGGAGCAGGACCAGCCCCTCCTACCCCTGGACTGGGGTCCAGCCGCGCCTTCCTTTCTTTCTTTCTTTTCTTTTCTTTCTTTTCTTTTCTTTTCTTTTCTTTTCTTTTCTTTTCTTTTCTTTTCTTTTCTTTTCTTTTCTTTTCTTTTCTTTTCTTTTCTTTTCTTTTCTTTCTTTCCTTTCTTTCTTCTTTCTTTCCTTCCTTCCTTCCTTCCTTCCTTCCTTCCTTCCTTCCTTCCTTCCTTCCTTCTTCTTTCTCTCTCTCTCTCTCTCTCTCTATATATATATATATATTTTTTTTTTTTTCTTTTCTTTTCTTTTCTTTTTTTTTTTTGAGACGGAGTTTCGCTCTGCCGCCCAGCATGGAGTGCAGTGGCGCGATCTCGGCTCACTGCAACCTCCGCCTCCTGGGTTCAAGCAATTCTCCTGTCTCAGCCTCACGAGTAGCTGGGATTACAGGCGTGCGCCACCATGCTCAGCTAGTTTTTGTATTTTTGGTAGAGACGGGGGTTTCACCATGTTGGTCAGGCTGGTCTCGAATTCTTGACCTCAGGTGATCCACCCACCTCGGCCTCCCAAACTGTTGGGATTACAGGCGTGAGCCACCGCGCCAGGCCCAGCCGTGCCTTTCTCAGACCCAAGAGTCCAGACCCCCAGCCCCTCCTCCCTCAGACCCAAAAATCCAGGCCCAAGCCCCTCCTCCCTCAAACCCAGGAGTCCGTCCCCAGCCCCTCCTCCCTCAGACCCAGGAGTCCAGGCCCTGCCCCCAGGACACCACCCAAACCCCACCGCACCCCCGATCCTCTTCAGTGTCCACGCCCAGGGCTGCAGGCTTCGCAAGCCTTCCTTTGTTTTCTCCTTGGACCTCCGAAGTAGCCGCGCCCATCGGTCCGTCTTAGTTCCAGAGCCATAGACCACCTGGTCCCTGCTGGCATTTCTTTGCCTGGGAGGGAAACAGGCAGAAAATGAGGGGTTTCGCAGCCCCAGACTGGGAACCATCTGAATGTAGACACAATCCAACAGTAGAATGGAGAAGTAAATTGTGGCCTATACATAAGATAGAATACTCTGTAGCAATAAAAAAGAAACCAGCTGGGTACAGTGGCTCAGGCCTGTAATCCCAGCACTTTGGGAGGCCGAGGTGGGTGAATCACCTGAGGTCAGGAGTTCGAGACCAGCCTGACCAACATGGTGAAATCCTGTCTCTACTAAAAATACCAAAAAAAAAAAAAAATTAGCTGGGCCTGGTGGCGGGTGCCTGTAATCCCAGCTACACGAGAGGCTGAGGCAGGAAAATTGCTTGAACCTGGGAGGTGGAGGTTGCAGTGAGCTGAGATGGCGCCATTGCATTCCAGCCTGGGTGACGGAGTGAGATTCCAAGAAAGGAAAGAAAGAAAGAAAAGAAAGAAACCTAATGCTAGGCAGAAGAAGCCAGCACAAAAGACTGAAGACTGTATGATTCTATTTGCACAACGTTGCAGAGCACAGCTTGCAAAGCTCTACAGAAAAGCAGGAGGCTGGAGTGGGAGGATCGCTTGAGCCCAGGTGTCGGAGGCTGCAGTGAGCTGAGACTGCACCACTGCACTCCAGCCTGGGCATCAGAGCAAGACTCTGTCAAAAAAAAAAAAAAAAAGGTTAGGGAGAAGAGGTTACCTTGTATTTGTGAGGAAAAAGGGGGTGTCAGGGGAGGGACGCACAGGGTGCTGTCATGCCGTGTCACTTGCCCTAGCTGGAGTTTATCTGGGCTCTCACTTTATGAATACAGCCATCCCTCAGTATCCATGGGGGTTGGTTCAAGGACTCCCCAAGAATACTGAAATCTGTAGATGCCCAAATTCCTTATATAAAACGGTATAGTATTTGCATACAGGCTACACACATCCTCCTGTGTTTGTTTTATTTTATTTTATTTTAATTTTTATCTGATTTTTACAGACAAATGTCTCGTTTTGTTGTCCAGGCTGGAGTGCGGTGGTGCAATCATAGCTCAATGCAGCCTCAAACTTCCAGGCTCAAGCAATTCTCCCGCCTCAGCCTCCCAAAGCGCTGGGGCTACAGGTATGGGCCACGACACCCAGCCCTCCAATGCACTTTAAATCACCTCTAGATTACTTATAACACCCGGTACAAGGTAAATGTTATATAGATAGCTGTTCTTTTAACTTGTATTATTTTTTGTCATATTGTTACTTTGATTATTACTTTTAAAAAATAGAGATGGGGGTCTCGCTATGTTACTCAGGCCGCAGTATAGTGGCTATATTCACAGGCATGATCCCACTACTGATCGGTGTGGGAGTGTTGATACATTGTTATTTTTTATTGTTTTTTCCATATATATACACATATATATACATATATATGTGTATATATATACACACATATGCATATATATACGCATATATATTTGAGATGGAGTCCCGCTCTATCACCCAGGCCGGAGTCCAATGGCACGATCTTGGCTCACTGCAACCTCTATCTCCCTGGTTCAAGCGATTCTCCTGCTTCAGCCTCCCGAGTAGCTGGGATTACAGGCACCCGCCACCACACCCAGCTAATGTTTGTATTTTTAGTAGAGTTGGGGTTTTGCCATGTTGGCCAGGCTGGTCTCGAACTCCTGACCACAGGTGATCCACTCGCCTGGGCCTCCCAAAGTGCTGGGATTACAGGTGTGAGCCACTGCAATGGGCCCATAATCATTTTTGAAGGAGGGCACCTGCATTTTCATTGTTCACCAGGCCCTGCAAATTATGCAGTGAGAATGGGAAAAGAAAGAAGTTAAAGAGAGGGAGGCTTGGAAGAGGAGGCAAAGATGAAGGAAGGTATAAAGCAGAGAGAAATAAATATTAACAGATTTTGGACACACACACAGAGAGAAACTGAGGCAGAGACAGGATTGGTGGAGACCAGGGAGACGGCAAATCCCAGAGAGAAGAGACCCCAGAGCCATCGAAAGGCAGCACTCACCTGGAGTCCGAAGTAGAGACAAAGATGAGGGGAAGAAAGAAACCAAGAGAGGCAGCTCTGAGCGGGGCAGAGAGAGGCCCCAGAAGCCAGGAGCGGCAGAGGACAGAGGGAGGAGACCGAGTCCAGGGTATGGGAGAAGGGCCCGGTCCGGGCTGTGCGGGTCCCAGCTGGAGGTGGGGCCTCACCTGTGTGCCCGTCTGGCCTGCATGGGCCAGGGCAGTTCCCGGGAAGGGTGAGGGTCCTGCAGCTCTGTCTGGGTGACTTCTGTGAAGGCCTTTCTGCTCCTTCCTCCATCCTCCTCCTCCTCCTCCAGCGCCCCCCAAGGCAGCACCCCAGGGTCTCGGTACCGAAGGGTGGCAGCACTGGGCAGCTCGTTCAGCACAGAAGACAGCGATGGGCCTGGGGAGGAGCAGGGGGCTGGGAAGACCCGGGAGTCTGGGCCCTAATTCCTCCTCCCTCAGACCAGGAAACCAGGTCCCCGGCCCCTCCTCCCTCAGACCCAGGAGTCCAGGCCCCCGGCTCCTCCTCCCTCAGACCCAGGAGTCCAGGCCCCCGGCTCCTCCTCCCTCAGACCCAGGAGTCCAGGCCCCCGGCTCCTCCTCCCTCAGACCCAGGAGTCCAGGCCCCCGGCTCCTCCTCCCTCAGACCCAGGAGTCCAGGCCCCCGGCTCCTCCTCCCTCAGACCCAGGAGTCCAGGCCCCCGGCTCCTCCTCCCTCAGACCCAGGAGAACAGGCCCCCGGCGCCTCCTCCCTCAGACCCAGGAGTCCAGGCCCCCGGCTCCTCCTCCCTCAGACCCAGGAGAACAGGCCCCCGGCCCCTCCTCCCTCAGACCCAGGAGTCCAGGCCCCCGGCTCCTCCTCCCTCAGACATAGGAATCCAGGCACCCAGCCCCTCCTCCCTCAGACCAGGAAACCAGGTTCCCAGCCCCTCCTCCCTCAGGCCCAGGAGTCCGGGTGCCAGCCTCTACTTCCCCTGGACCCAGGGGTCCACAGCCCTCAACTCCATCCCCAAGCGTGGAACCCTCCTACTCCAGGGCAGTGGAGTCCAGGCTTTAACTTCCTTTTCCCTCTAGCTCAGGAGTGTGGGAACCCAGCCTCTCCTATTCCCAAGACACCCAAACTCCCAGCCCTTAGCCCTCCCCTCCTCCCAGACTAGCCTGGTTCTCCAGGCTCCTCCTCCTCAGACCCTGGAGTTCCAGCCTCCAGTTCCCTTCTCCCCCATAATATCAGGAAGTGGAACCTTCTCTCTTTAGCCCTCAGACTCAGGAGGCCAGGCCTCCCCTTTCCTCCTCCAGCAGGACTCCCACCTAGCCTGAAGGTCGGATGGATCTGAGCTTCTCCTGGCATTCCCTACCTCCTCTGGCCTCCCGGGGGGCCAGCCACTCCCTAGAGGAGCCCCAGGCTTCTGATTCCAAGGTCGGGTTTTCTTCCATGGCCCCAGGCTGGGCTGTCTCTAGTGGCCACCAGGCAGACACTGCCCCAGGTAAGGGAGGGGCCAGGGGCAGGTGTGTACCTGGCCAGCAGGTGGCCCGGAGGGAGTAAGGTACACTTCCTGTGGTTTCTCAGGGCCGCTGATGCGAAAGGTCTCCTGGGAGCTGAAGTCCCCGTGGTGCCCCGGGCCTCACAGTTTGGTTCCTGGGCTGGGCGGGGGGGCTGTACCTCACCCTGGGACTTGGTGGACTAAGTCCTTCCCACCGTTTATCACCCAGATACCTGCACGGACACGATGCCTTTGTGCAACACTTTATTGGGAAAGATTTACACACGGTGACCTGTCATAGGCCAAGCGATGAGAAGAGGGCGCCAGGAGTGCTGGGGTCCCGAGGTGGCTCAGATGGAAGCCATGGGACGGCCGTCCCCAGGCCCGCGCACCCGCACCTCAGTTTCCCCTTTGTGAAATGGGAAGCTTATGCTTCCTTCCAAGTCTGCAATATTGGTGCGATGAGCTAAAAGTGGAGCGAAAGACACAAGGAAGAGGCTTCCCACTCCCAGGACCTGCCCCCAAGCTCCGACCCCACATTGTGGATGCAAAGAAAGGGAATTTGCCCAAAACCCACTGCCCAGGGGCCCCTTCCGTTTTGGGGAAGTGCAGTGCTCTCTGGATACCCAGAAGCTGGAGCAGGGGCCAGTGACTCTTGTCTGGACAATACTTTGATTTTGTAGGAGTGGAGGTGGCCTCTGGGCAGAGGGCAGGGAGGACACCCCCGGGTCTGCTTCAGTTGCAGGCAGGGTATTTAGCTGGGGAAGAGGAAATTCTCTCCAGGACCCTCTCCAAGGTAAGGACTCTTTCTGGGGAGGAGACAGCAGCCTGGTTCACAGAATTCCCGGGACCAGCTGGCAGAGGGAGCGTCGTGACAGCTTACTCCTCCCGGAGCTTCTCCGGGGCAAGGCTGGTGGGCTGGGATGCTGCCTTCCGCCGGCTGGGGCTGCCCCCACCTAAAGCCAGCCCCAGCCCCAGGGCTGCCAGGGCCAGGAAGTGGATACAGAAGTAGATGGAGGCCCAGTACCGAAGGGTGTCGGCCAAGGAGAGCAGCACGAAGCCCATGCACATGTAGTCATAGGCGCGCATCTTCAGGAACCAGTGCACCCAGTCCCAGGCCTTCTGGCCCCCTGGGCTCAGCCGCCCCCGCAGGGCTGACTCCAGCCGGCCCTCGGCAGCCAGGCACAGCGGGATGGTCAGGAAGCTCAGGTAGTAGCCCGGGTGGAGGCCGTGCCAGTAGGCGCTCAGCAGCATGGTCCAGGCGCTCCTGAGGAGGAGGCTGGGAGTCAGGACCTACGAGTCCAGGTCCCCAGTGCCCACTGCCCCCAGATCCAGGAGTCCAGGACCCCAGCCCCTCCTCCCTCAGACCGAGAAGTGCAGGCCCAGCCCCTCCTCCCTCAGACCCAGGAGTCCAGACCCCACCCCTTCCTCCCTCAGACCCAGGAGATCAGGCCCCAGTCCCTCCTCCCTCAGACCCAGGAGACCAGACCCCACCTCCCTCCTCCCTCAGATCCAGGAGTCCAGACCCCACTTCCCTCCTCCCTCAGATCCAGGAGACCAGACCCCACCTCCCTCCTCCCTCAGATCCAGGAGACCAGGCCCCAGGCCCTCCCCACTCAGACCCATGACCCTAGCTCCGGAAGGCGGAGGAGGCTACAGGCCTCTGTCTCCTTCAGGGATCCAGGAGCTCGCAGCCTTCCATACACACTCAGTCCTATCAAGACCCTCTTCTTCTTTAAAGATTTAACATTTTATATTCCACTGCCCTTCCTCTCCCAGGACCAACAAGTCTTAATTCTTCAGCCCAGTGGTTTTTTTTTTTTTTTTTTGAGACAGAGTCTCGCTCTGTCGCCCAGGCTAGAGTGCAGTGGCGCGATCTTGGCTCACTGCAAGCTCCGCCTCCCAGGTTCACGCCATTCTCCTGCCTCAGCCTCCCGAGTAGCTGGGACTACAGGCGCCTGCCACCACGCCCGGCTAATTTTCTTTTCTATTTTTAGTAGAGACGGGGTTTCACCGTGTTAGCCAGGATGGTCTCGATCTCCTGACCTCGTGATCTGCCCGCCTTGGCCTCCCAAAGTGCTGGGATCACAGGTGTCAGACACCACACCCGGGCAGCCCGGTGGTTCTTAACCTGGGGTCCCAGGTCTGGCATCAGCATCACCTGAGAACTTGTGAGACATACAAATCCTTGTCCCCACCCCTTTTGCACCAGAAGCCCTGGGGGTGGGGCCCAGGAGAAGTCTTCCAAGTTAACAAGTCCTCCAGTGACTCTGATGCCTGTTAACATTTGACAACTCCTGCCTGGCTCATGAAGATCCAGAAGTCCCTGGCCTGTGGTCCTTCCTTATTCTGGGCCCAGGAGATATGTTCCTCTTCCTCCAAGGCCCAGCACCATCTTTCCTCACTCTTTTTATTTTTTTGGAGACAGAGTCTCGCTCTGTTGCCACACGACAAGGCTCACTGCAGCCTCTGCCTCTTGGATTCAAGCGATTCTTATGCCTCAGCCTCCCAAGTAGCTGGGATTACAGGCAAGCGCCACCAAACTCAGCTAATTTCTGTATTTTTTGTTGTTGTTGTTCAGACGGAGTCTCGCTCTGCCGCCCATGCTGGAGTGCAGTGGTGCAATCTCGGCTCACTGCAACCTCTGCCTCCTGGGTTCAAGTGATTCTCCTGCCTCAGCCTCCCGAGCAGCTGGGACTACAGGTGCCCACCACCATGCCAGGCTAATTTTTGTATTTCTGGTAAAGACGGGGTTTCACCATGTTGGCCAGGATGCTCTCAATCTCTTGACCTTGTGATCCACCCGCCGTGGCCTACCAAAGTGCTGGGATTACAGGCGTGAGCCACTGCACCCAGCCATTTTTGTATTTTTAGTAGAGATGGGGTTTCACCACGTTGGCCAGGATGGTCTCGATCTCCTGACCTTGTGATCCACCCACCTTGGCCTCCCAAAGTGCTGGGATTACAGGTCTGAGCCACCGCGCCCAGCCTCTTTTTTTTTCTTTGTAAAGATGGAGTCTTGCTATGTTGACCTGGCTGGTCTCGAACTCCTGAGCTTAAGTGATCCTCTCACCTTGGCCTCCCAAAATACTGGAATTACAGATGTCAGCCATTGCACCTGGCCAACTCTTGTTTTCTTGAGAAGGGAGGACCATTGGCTTTCTGGTTCTTCAAGAGTGCGGAGGCTGGGTGCAATGGCTGGCACCTGTAATCCCAGCACTTTGGGAGGCTAAAAATACAAAGATTAGTCTGTCATGGTAGCACGTGCCTATAATCCCAGCTACTAGGGGGGCTGAGACAGGAGGATTGCTTGAACCTGGGAGGGAGAGGTTGCAGTGAGCCGAGATCACGCCACTGCACTTGAGCTGTAAAATAAACAAAAACGATGGATCCTGTGCATTTTAAGGTGTTTAGGAGCATCCCTGGCCCCCACCCACGACATCCGACTAGCACCTTCCAGTTACAACAACATGTCTCCAGGGATTGCCATGTGTCTCCTGGGGGTGCAGCAGCAGCACAGTTGCCCCCAGTTGAGAAGCACTTGTCTAAACACTGGGGTGCTTTGACCTGGCCTCAGCCCCAGAGCTTTAAGCGTCATCTATACCTGGCCAGATGCAGTGGCTCATGCTTGTAATCTCAGCACTTTGGGAGGCTGAGATGGGAGGACTGCTTGGGGCCAGGAGTTTGAGACCAGCCTGGTCAACACAGTGAGACCTCATCTCTATACATTTTTTAAAAAGTAAAAAAAAAATAATAATAATACTTAAAAAATTTTGGCCGGGCATGGTGACTCACGCCTGTAATCCCAGCACGTTGGGAGGCCGAGGCACGCGGATCACTTGAGGCCAAGAGTTCGAGACCAGCCTGGCCAACATGGTGAAACCCTGCGTCTACTCTTGGCACGAGAATCACTTGAACCCAGGAGATGGAGGTTGCAGTGAGCTGAGATCACAACACTGCACTCCATCCTGGGTGACAGAGCATCAAAATACTAATACTAATACTAATACTAATACTAATAATAATATCCTTCTTACTCCCAAAACTTACTCTTCCTGGGTCTTCCCCTTCCACATTTATCTAATTAAATTAAATTAAATTAATAATTATTTTTGTTTGTTTTTTGTGTTTTTTTGTTTGTTTGTTTTTGAGACAGAGTCTCGCTCTGTTGCCCAGGCTGGAGTGCAGTGGCGCGATCTCGGCTCACTGCAAGCTCCGTCTCCCGGGTTCACACCATTCTCCTGCCTCAGCCTCCCCAGTAGCTGGGACTACATGCACCCGCCGCCACACCCGGCTAATTTTTTGTATTTTTAGTAGAGACAGGGTTTCACCGTGTTAGCCAGGATGGTCTTGATCTCCTGACCTTGTGACCCACCCACCTTGGCCTCCCAAATTGCTGGGATTATAGGCATGAGCCACCGTGCCCGGCCTATTTTATTTTATTTTGAGACAAAGTCTCTCTCTGTTGCCCAGGTGACCTTGGCTCACCGCAACCTCCGCCTCCCGGGTTCAAGTGATTCTCTTGCCTCAGCCTCCCTAGTAGCTGGGATTATAGGCGCCCGCCACCATGCCTAGCTAATTTTTTGTATTTTTAGTAGAGAAGGGGTTTCTCCATATTGCCCAGGCTGGTCTTCACCATATTGCCCTGACCTCAAGATGATCCACCTGCCTGGGCCTCCCAAACTGCTGGGATTACAAGTGTGAGCCACCATGCCTGGCTATGAGTTCTACTTCTGTTTTTTTTTTTTTTTTTTTTTTTTTTTTTTGAGACGGAGTCTCGCTGTCGCCCAGGCTGGAGTGCAGTGGCGAGATCCCAGCTCCCTGCAACCTCTGCCTCCCGGGTTCAAGCCATTCTCCTGCCTCAGCCTCCCGAGTAGCTGGGACTACAGGCGCCCACCACCACACCAGGGTAATTTTTTGTATTTTTAGTAGAGACAGCATGTCACCATGTTGGTCAGGCTGGTCTCGAACTCCTGACCTCATGATCCACCTGCTTGGGCCTCCCAAAGTGCTGGGATTCCAGGCGTGAGCTGCCGCACCCGGCTGAGTTTCTGCTTCTAAAGGCTGCACAGATAACAGTGTCAAGCACAGAGTCTCCACTCGAGAAATATTGGAAGAATGAAAAACAATAAAAATGAATACACAGCACGCACTTACCTGTCAGGCCTCACATTAAATACATTTCACATTTTATCACATTTAGTCCTTCTATCTACCTATGAAACCAGTAATAAATAGCATTCACTCCATTCAACACTTGAGGCAACTAAGAGGTCAACTAACTCCTCAAGGTTTCTCCATAACCTGGACGGCCAAGATTCCAGGAAGGCTGGCTATTGAGTCCACAGGACTCAGTACATTGCTTCTGCTGAGTGAGGCTGACTTTACAGAAGTAGCAACTGAGGCCCCGAGAGGGGGAACGATTTTACACCGGCATGCTGCCACTATAATTAGAGGCAGGGCAAAACCAGGCTAAACAAACTACAATTCCCATGAGCCTCCGGGGGCAGGGGCCCAGCCAGGGACGCTGCAGGCTACCCTGGGGCCTGCTGGGAGATGTAGTTCTGCAGTGTCACCTGAGACTGGGCGGGCTCACTCACCGCAGGACATAGGAACGGGCAGGTGCGCTCTTGTAGATATACTGCGCCAGCCACCACTGCACCGTCATGTTCCAGTACCGCATGCCATCGCGCACCCGCACGCAGAAATCTGTGCTGTAGCAGTCGATGTTGCGGATGGTCTCATAGTCATACTCCAAGGAAGCCGCCTTCTCCGGACTGGGGGGTGGAGGATGAGGGTGGGGGACAGACATGCAGCTCAGCCAGGCCCCCTCCCGACGCCTGCTAGTGTCCCAGCCCCGGATGCTAAGGAAGGGATCCTGGCCAGGCAATGGCCCTCTGGCTGTCAGACTTGCTAGGGCAGCAAGGGAGGGTGGCCCAGAGGGTGCCTGTAGGGTAGGAAGGTGGGTGGGCTGGGTGGTACAGTCCACTGACAATGGGGTTCTTCTTCTTTTGGTACCTAATGGGGCCCGCCACAGCCATGAAAAGCCTTGAAGGGCTATGGTTGCTAAGCTATGAGTCCTTTAGCAACCAAGCTCAGTATATTCAGAGAAGCCGCCAAGGATGGTCCCTTCTAAATTGTCGGACACTGCAGTTGCCAGGGAAGTTGTGGTTATCATCCCTAATAACAAGGTGCTTCACGGTTGCTAGGGAGATGTTCCAGGCGCCAGTGGGGTCCCCATGATCTTTGTTGCTAAGGAAAAGGCATTCCTTAGCAACAATGCCTAGGATGTTTAGAAAGGCTTTTAGGAAGGGGCTTTTTTCCTGGTCGCAGTGATTATTGGAGAAGTGTCACCTCTAGCAATACAGTGGCTCCCTCATCACTCATGTCGACAGCCCCAGCAGTGGGAAACACTGGCCCATATGAAGCCTTGGTGGCCTCTGATGACAGGAGGGGAGCCATCCTTTAGGAGTGAGGACCGAGCAGATTTAGAAAAACCTTCAATTCCTGCTTGGCTTTACTAGGGGGACATCCTCTCTCTAGCAGCTGGAGGTCAGGGCACGGTTATTAGGGCAGTGGTAACAAATTCCCGTGGGGGTGTCACTACCCCCACAACAGAATGGCAGTTTGTGACGACTAGGGGACAACCCTAGCAGGGAGTAGTAGTTCATCATTTACATCAACAGGCTGTTCCCCCAGCCGCAGTCCAAGCCCCTGGGGGAAGGCTGACTGCAGCTGTCAGGAACACAAGGGCAGTCTACTCCTGGTTGCCGGGGGTGCCATCTCCCTAGCAACACGGGGGCAATACTTCCTCAGCCACAAGAGAGTCCACAGCTATGGCCGTGCGACTTGCCTAGCAATGCAGGTGCCGGGGGGTGGAGCCTCTCTGGCAACAAGGGTCAACCCATAGTTTCCAGGGGGAGGTTTGGCTTCCTTAGCAACAGTGTAACTGTAGTTGGTAGGAATGGCGTGCCCTCTGCTGGGGAACAGCACTGGTCAGGGATTGGAAATTGCTATTTCCTTGCAGAGGGCTGCTGAGGGCTGCTATGTGAGGACATCCCACGGGGTGGAGCAGTGCTAGCTCCTAGCAACAAAGGGGCAGTGCAGGGAGTGCCGTATCTGCAGCAACAGAGCAAAACTTCTGGTAAAAAGGAGGTGAGCTACTGTTGCTAGGGATCCTGCTTCCCTAGCAAATAGTGGCGTTCTGTTGCTAGGGAACCGTTTCCCTAGCAACAGAGGGTGACCCACCACTAGCAAAGGATGGCATCCCCAGCAAGCAGGAACAATCTGGTTCTGGGGGGTGACACTTCTGTGGCAACAGAGGGGTGGCACAGGGTTGCTAAGTTACCACCTTTTCCTAGCGACAGGGGGCAGTTCACCACACTGCGGGGTGACAAGCGCTAGCAACAAGGGGCATCTGTCAGTACCAGGGATCTTTTCCCTACCGACAGGGGCTGGCAGGCCATGGTTGCCGAGGGGGCGACACTCTGCTCAAAAAGGTGGTGGCCCTGGCCCCTTGCTCCCCGCTCTCCTCCCGGCTAGGGGCAGAGCCAGCCCTTGGAGGTGGGGGCTGCTGGGTCTTGGGAAGCCTCCCTCGCGCCGCCTGACCTGCTGGGGGGTGGGCATTGGAGGGTGGGGCCGCCTCCGGCCCGGGCTTTGGCGGCCACGGGGTAGGCCCCAAAGCCGGCGGCAATGCAGCCGCACTCGGCGGCAATCCAGGCCACGTAGAAGCGCATGCGGAAGGCGAAGAAGACGGGGATCATGTAGAAGAGGCGGGCGGGCAGCGGGCGGGCGTAGAAGGCGTCCTCGCGCACGGCCTCCAGCGGGAAGAGGTGAGAGGAGAGCAGGAACAGCAGGCCGAAGAGCGGGGCCGGCCAGGCGCGGCGCAGCAGGGGCCGCAGGCTGGGCACTGCCCCGGGGAAGGGCTGCTCCAGCCAGTCCAGGTAGGTGCGGTAGCGGAAGAACGGGCCTGTGGGGCGGGGAGGGAGGGCCGCGGTCAGACAGGCAGGTGGGCAGAGCTCAAGTCTGCAGGAGGAGGACAGGGAGCTTGGAAGGAAGGTGGGAAGAGGGAGTGAGAGGGGCAGAGACTGGGCGCCGGGGAGACCCCAAGGGTAGGGACTGAGACCCTGAGAGATGGGGATAAGGAACGAGAGACAGGGGGGACAAGAAACTCAGAGAGACAGAGACAGTAACAGAAAAACAGACAGAGGGGCCGGTGCGGTGGCTCACACCTGGAATCCCAGCACTTTGGGAGGCCTAGCTGGGAGGACTGCTTGAGCCCAACAGTTGGACAGCAGCCTGGGCAAAACGGCAAGACCCCATCACTACAAAAAATAAAAATCAGCCAGGTGTGGAGGGCACCTGAATTCCCAGCTACTGGGGAGGCTGAGGCGGGAGGATCGTTTGAGCCCAGGCTGCAGTGAGCAGTGACTGAGCTACTGCATTCCAGCCAGGGAGGGAGGGAGGGAGGGAGGGAAGGAGTGAAGAAGGGAAGAAAGAAGGGAGGGAAGGAGGGAAGGAAGGAGGGAGGGAAGGAGGGAAGGAAGAAGGGAGGGAAGGAGGGAAGGAAGGAGGGAGGGAGGGAAGGAGGGAAGGAAGGAGGGAGGGAAGGAGGGAAGGAAGGAGGGAGGGAGGGAAGGAGGGAAGGAAGGAGGGAGGGAAGGAGGGAAGGAAGGAGGGAGGGAGGGAAGGAGGGAAGGAAGGAGGGAGGGAGGGAAGGAGGGAAGGAAGGAGGGAGGGAGGGAAGGAGGGAAGGAGGGAGGGAGGGAGGGAAGGAGGGAAGGAAGGAGGGAGGGAAGGAGGGAAGGAAGGAGGGAGGGAAGGAAGGAGGGAGGGAGGGAAGGAGGGAAGGAAGGAGGGAGGGAAGGAAGGAGGGAAGGAAGGAAGAAGGGAAAAGGGAAGGACGGAGGGAAGGAGGAAGGAAAGAAACTAGGAGATAGCTGTGGCACTTTAGCTACAATATGATGGTGGTCTGGCCTAGGGAGGAAGCAGTGTGATTCACAGAAGGGACCGGGGTTAAAATTTTTATATGTTCACAAAGGCCGTATGTTTAGGTCAATGTAGCATGGGAAGATAAAAGGAAAAAAAAAACAAATTAAAATAAATAAATAAGACCACATGTTGTATGATTCCATTTGTAAGCGCAATGTCCAGAACAGGCAAATCTTTACAGATAGAAAGTCAATTACTGGTTACCAGGGATGGATGGAGGTTTGTGGGATGATGGACATGGGGTTTCTTTGCAGGGTATGAAACTGTTCTGAATATAACTACACAGTGGTCATGTCTGCACAACTCGGTGAATATACTAAAAATCAGGGAGTTGTATGTTTTGTGTTTTGTTTTTTTTCAGGAAATTAAAGAAGCCAAGAGTTGTATGTTTTAAGTGGATGAGTATGTGAATTAGAGTTCCCTAAAGCTGTTATTGGAAAAAAAACCTTTGATGAGGTAAACATTAATGAAAAATATTTTCTTTTTAAAATTTCACATATATATACACATACACACATACATATATATACACACATGCACACACACATACATATGTATTTTTTGAGATGGAGTCTTGCTCTGTTGCCCAGGATGGAGTGCAGTGGTGTGATCTTGGCTCACTGCAAACTCCGTCTCGTGGGTTCAAGCGATTCTCCAGTTTCAGCCTCCCAAGTAGCTGGGATTACAGGCACACACCACCATGCCCGGCTAATTTTTGTATTTTCAGTAGAGACGGGGTTTCACCATGTTGGCCAGGCTGGTCTCAAACTCCTGACCTCAGGTGATCTGCCTGTCTCAGCCTCCCAAAGTGCTGGGATTACAGGCGTGAGCCACTGCGCCCGGCCCTTTAATTTTATATTTATTTATTTTTTAAAAATAAAGGTTTAAAATAAAGGGACGGGATCTTGCTATGTTGGCCAAGTTGATCTTGAACTTTTGGCCTCAAGCAATCCTCTCGCCTCAGCCTCCGAAAGTGCTAGGATTATAGGCATAAGCCCCCACGCCCAGATGAAAAATATTTCCTTAAGCTGAAAGTGGACCCTAAGCCGTGAATATTTGTTGTCTGGGAAGCAAAAACATCAGGTTGACATAGATCTTTACCTCCTTTATCTCTTCTCTTTGCTCCCAATACGCTACAAGGAGAAGAGCAAGGAATTGCTTAGGTTGAGACAGCCAGCTTCTACCCCAAAGCAGCTCTGGTCCAGCGGAGGTGTGAGACGTAGACCCAGACACATGCCCACCCTCACAGCAGCAGATGCTAGGATGGAGGTTGCCCTGGGCAGGGCGGGAACACAGAACAGGCACTCAGGGCGGAAGGGGACACAGGAGACAGAGCGGCAGAGTTGTTAGGGCAGCCCCACTCACCTGTCATGATTCCCACGTAGCAGTAGCTGTAGCTGAGTGTCTCCATCAGGGAGGGCACGTCGGGCAGCAGCCCCAGGGTGGGCCCCTTGCTGAAGCCTGAGGCCATTTCCTTCCTCTGGGCCAGATGCAGGTCCTGGACTTCACTGGCCAGGCTCACCAGCTGGGCAGAAGGGGGTGGGCAAGGGGCCAGGTCAGACTCTGGGCCCTTCCCCACACCCATCTCCCTTGCGCGGCTGCCCTCGGCAGCCAAGGGGTGCTGGGTGCCCGCAGCTCTGCCCATCTAGGTTGTGTGTAACGCCTCTAGCTGGGCGGTGTTCCCCAGGGCTCAGTCCCAGGCCCTCCTCCCCTTTCCCTGTTCTGTGCTTACCTGCTCTCACGCAATCACGGAGGTTTCGATACTATCCACACGCTGAGGACGCCCAAACGCTACCCCAGCCCCAGACCTATCCAATCAAGTGGCTTATTGGCATTTATACTCGGATGTCTCCAGGCACCCCAAACGCACTGGAAACGGAACATGATGTTACCCACCCCACAAGGTAGACCCTCTTCTAGTGTCACCCCTCAAACAACAGGCCACCAAATTGTTCAAGCCAAAAATCTCCCTCACTCCCCAAATCCGATCCTTTAATCTCTCTCTCTTTTTTTTTTTTTTTTTTTTTGAGACAAGTTTTGCTCTGTCACCAGGCTGGAGTATACTGGTGTGATCTCGGCTCACTGCAACCCCCACCTCCTGGGGGCGCAAGCAATTCTCATGCCTCAGCTGGCCAGGCTGGTCTCGAACTCCTGGCCTCAAGTGATCTGCCCGCCTTGAAATCCCTTAAGTTTGAGTCTGTTGCCTCTTTCCATCTCCACTACTGAGCTGAATATGTTGTACTCTCCACCCTTTCCCACCAGTCCCAAGGTCCACCCTATATCAATAGATCTCCTTCTTCCAGCTTGTGGCTGGGTTGTCAGTAGAAATCCCTGGCTGGAGACAAAGTCAGGAGAGGGAGGGTAGGGCTTTTATTCCCTTGTAAGATGGCCTTGGGCTGGCTGTCACCCTTGATAGATCATTTCAAGGTGGGTGGCTCTACACACCCTTTAAAAAAAATAATTTTGGCCGGGCGCGGTGGCTCACGCCTGTAATCCCAGCACTTTGGGAGGCCGAGGCAGGCGGATCACCTGAGGTCGGGAGTTCGAGATCAGCCTGACCAACATGGAAAAACCCTGTCTCTACTAAAAATACAAAAAATTAGCCGGGCATGGTGGTGAGTGCCTGTAATTCCAGCTACTCAGGAGGCTGAGGCAGGAGAATCGCTTGAACCTGGGAGGCGGAGGTTGCGGTAAGCCAAGATCGTACCATTGCACTCCAGCCTGGGCAACAGGAGTGAAACTCCGTCTCAAAAAAAAAAAAAAAAAATTTAGGGCCAGGTGTGACGGCTCACACCTATAACACTAGCACTTTGGTTGGCCTAGGCAGGCAGATCACTTGATGTCAGGGGTTTGAGACCAGCCCGGCCAACATGGTGAAACCCCATCTCTACTAAAAATATAAAAATTAGCAAGGCGTGGTGGTGGGCGCCTGTAGTCCCAGCTACTCGAGAGGCTGAGGCAGGAGAATCGCTCGAACCCGAGAGGCAGAGGTTGCAGTGAGATCACACCACTGCACTCCAGCCTGGGCAACAGAGCGAGACTCCATCTTTAAAAATAAATAACATTTAAAAAATTAATTTTTTGTAGAGACAGGGTCTCACTATATTGCCCAGGCTGGTCTTAAACTCCTGGCCTCCAGCAGTCCTCCCACTATGACCTCCCAAAGCGCTGGGATTATACAAGTATGAGCCACTGCACCAGGCCTACACAACCCTTTTTCCATCCAGGTACCACAACCTGACCCATTTCCCCTGGGCCTAGGGTTGGGAACGGCTCCTTCTGCCGGGCTGGGGTTCAGGCACCATCCCTTCTTGCTCTTCTACATCCTGCCCAATTGGTGGCCACTCCTTCAGTCATCCTAAATGCGCGTTTCCTGCTGCAACTCAGACCTACCCACAGCCAGCCAACGGCCTGTATCAAGCCACCACAGTTTGTCACCTGGACTCGGACAAAGGAGGATCCCTTTATCTGAGTCCATCCCATCTTGCCCTGTTCCACTTCAATTCTCCTTCAGCATCCAGAACGAGTTTTCTTTCTTTTCTTTTCTTTTTTTTTTGAGATGGAATCTTGCCCGGGAAGGCCCAGGCTGGAGTGCAATGGCGGGATCTTGGCTCACTGCAACCTCCACCTTCCAGGTTCAAGCAATTATCCTGCCTCAGCCTCCTGAGTAGCTGGGATTACAGGTGTGAGCCACCACACCCGGCTCATTTTTGTATTTTTAGTAGAGACGGAGTTTTACCATGTTGGCCAGGATGGTCTCAAACTCCTAACCTCAGGTGATCTACCCGCGTCAGCCTCCCAAAGTGCTGGGATTACAGGCGTGAGCCACCCGCAGCTGGCCTAGAATGAGTATTTCTATTTGTTTATTTATTTTTGAGATGGAGTTTTGCTCTTGTTGCCCAGGCTGGAGTGCAATGGTACGATCTCAGCTCACCACAACCTCCGCCTCCTGGGTTCAAGCAATTCTCCTGCCTCAGCCTCCCGAGTAGCTGGGATTACAGGTATGTGCCACCACGCCCAGCTAATCTTTTGTATTTTTAGTAGAGACAGGGTTTCTCCATTTTGGTCAGGCTGGTCTTGAACTCCCGACCTCAGGTGATCCGCCTGCCTCAGCCTCCCAAAGTGCTGGCATTACAGGCGTGAGCTACTGTGCCCAGCCAGAACGAGTATTTTTAAACATTTAAAACTGGTCACATTGCCTCTTCTGGCAGCAAACCAAAAATCCCCTCTTCCAGCAGATCTCAATCCTCCACGGGAAGAAGTCCAATGTCCTCACGGTCTCCAGCCAGGCCTAGCACGGTGTCAGCCCTGCTGCCTGTTCCCTTTTGCTCGTCCCAGAAAGTGGATGTGGCTGGTGTAGCCTGTGGAACCCAGCCTGCTCCCCTCCACACATCCTGCGGCCTGAAATGCTCCTCCACGAACCCCTCTCTCATCCAACCTACTCCTGCCACCACTGAGCTCCCACAGGGCACACTGAATGCTGGGAAGGCCACTCCCTACCTAGCATGACTGCTGTGTTCACGGATAAGCCGCCAGTAGGAAACCATGACTCTGTGGGTCTGGGGTGGGCCCTAGGATTCTGTTTTTACCCCTCTTCCCAGGTGATTAGGAGCCAGACCTGGATGCCCTAGTTTTGTTCCCTTCACCAAGTACCTTCTCCCCAGAGCTGGTTTTTCTCCTTTGCAAAATAGCTGGCTACAGAGATTCAAGGACAGCATGTTGGTAAACCACCCAGCTGGGCCTCTGGCACACCGCAAGCACCCAATGGCACCTACTGTTACCCTATGTGGGTTATTTCCTCACCCCAGGAGGAGCTGGGAGGTGAAGACCTGCCCAAGGGCATGTGAATGGGGAATGCTGTGCCCAGGGCAGCAAGTGAGGTGACGTCCCACCCCCAGGGTGTGTTGGAGGTAAAATCCCGGGGAGCCACTGAAGGGGGAGGTAAAGTGGGAGGTGAAGGGGCCCACAGGGAGGCTGGAGGGGAGTGGCAAGCCCCGAGTCTGACCTTCAGCGTCAGCAGCAGCTGGACGGCATTGGTGAAGGGCGTGGGAGTGGGCAGGCCCAGGAGGCTGAGGGCTCGGAAGAACAGGAGATAGGAGAAAGTCCAGGCCAGAGCCAGGGCGTGGCAGGAGCTGGGCAAAAGCAGGAGGCGCACTGTGTTGGGCACAGAAGTCTCGGCCTTGGCCACTCACTCCACGAGTCCAGCCACCAATCCTCCCCCAGCTCTCCCCATTCGTTTAGAGACAGAAACACAGAAGGGCAGAGAGGACAGGAGGGTGGATGTAGGGACCGAATGAGTATGATTGAAACAGTGGGAGAAGAGGCTCAGCCACATAGAAACACACACCAACAGAGAATGAGGTTAAGAGAAGCTTCGGGTGAAGACCCTGCAATCCTCCACTTTTTCTTTATTTCCGAGGTCCAGGGCTCAAGAAGAGAGAGGTGGATATGAATGAATATGAACGGTGGCCAGGCCAGCAGACACACTGTCCACCTCTCTCCATGACATGGATGTAGCGGACTGGGACAAACACACAGGGACCAGACGCAGAAGGCAGGGGAGAAAGAAAAGCAGATGAAGGCCGGATGCGGTGGCTCACGCCTGTAATCCCAGCACTTTGGAAGGCTGAGGTGGGCAGATCACAAGGTCAGGAGTTCGAGATCAGCCTGACCAACATGGAGAAACCCCAGCTCTATTAAAAATTCAAGATTAGCCAGGCATGGTGGAGCATGCCTGTAATCCCAGCTACTTGGGAGGCTGAGGCAAGAGAATCGCTTGAACCCGGGAGGTGGAGGTTGCAGTGAGCCAAGATCGTGCCACTGAACTGCAGCCTGGGCAACAGGAGCGAAACTCCATCTCAGAAAGAAAGAAAGAAAGAAAGAAAGAAAGAAAGAAAGAAAGAAAGAAAGAAAGACAAACAAACAAACATGAAACAGAGAAATGAGCTGATCAACAAGAGACAGCTAGACATGAGGCAGAAGCTGAAAAAGACTCAAAGAGGAAACAGGTTGCTTCCCCCTCTCCCCTCCTCTCCCTCTCCTCCCTCCACCAAATTCTCACCAGGGCTGGGCCTGAATGAGGGCCCAGGTCCCGAGGATGGTGACCAGAGAATGCAAAGTGTGGGGGCCACAGGTGAACAGGGTGAGCCCCAGGCCCACAGCGGCTGCTCCCCATCTCTTCAGCCCAGGACCTGCAGGGGGAAGGGACAGCATAAGCCTGGAACCTTCCAGAGGGTCCCCCCCCTTTATTTTCCACTGGGGAGGGAGCCTGACTCACCGGCTTTCTTAAAGAGGAAGCCGATGGGGATGGAGATAAGAAGAACCACTAGATACGTCCATTCTTCAGGCGACATGGTCTGGGGGAGGGGCAGAGATTCACAGTGAGAACCCAGGAATCCAGGCCCCCTGCCTCCTCCCTCTTCGAGGATCCAGGAACCCAGCCTTCTAGACCCCAGTTTTTGAGGATGATGGAGTATGAGCCTCAGCTCCTCTCCTTTGAGAACCTAGCAACCCAGACTCCAGCCCCTTCCTCCTTGGAGGAGACAGGAATCCACCCCCAGCCCCTCCTTTGAGCGCACAGGCCTCCAGCTCTCCTGTCCTTGGAGAACCCAGGAAAGTGTGGGGATCTCCCAGCACCCAAGCCCCTCCTTTGCGAACGCAGAAATCAAAGCTACTCCCCGCACCCATACTGGGGACCCAGATTTGAAGACGCCCCTCTTTTAAAAACCCAGAAACGGCACCCCTCCCGGACCCTTCCTCTTCGACAGCCCAGGAATCTAGACCTCCGAGCCCCCTCTTCCAGCGAGGATCCAGGAACCCAGACCCCCTCTTTGGATCCCCCATCCCCCGGCCCTTGTGAAACCAGATATCCGGACCCCCCAGCCCTTCTCCTTCGAGACCACCCAGAGGAGCCCGGGTCTCCAACCTGCACCTCCTTCGGAGCTCCACACCCCTCTCCTACTGAGAACCCGGGGATCGAACACCCTCCCCTCCCCAGGCCCAGGCCCAGGCCCAGCCCCAACCCGTCCCGCGCACCCCAGCGCATCCCCGGCAGAGCCACAGGCGGTTGCGCCAGCCCCGAGTTCCAACGCGCCTCCGGGGCCGCCCCGCACCCGCCAGCCCGCAGAGACCCTGCCGCCGTGTAACCTCGCCTCGCCACTGGGCGCCGCCACCCTGGCCCACCTGAGCTGCTCGCCGGGCAGGAGGCGGCCGAGCAGTCCCAGCCCGCTTGCCGCCGCAGCTCCGGCCACGCCTCCCCCGCCCAGCGCGCCCCCGCGCCGCCTGCTCCTTCTGGGCGCCCGCCGGGCTGCGCAGATCAGGCCGGGGAAGAAGCCACGGTCAGGGCCCCGGGCGGGCAGGGAAGAAGCCCCGGAGCAGAAGCCGAGAGCGCGAGTCGGCAACGGGATTCGAGTCCAGGTCCACACTGGGATCCGAGCTCCGAGTACGTGAAGGGGCGGGCCTTCGGGCTCGGAACAAGGAGGAGCCAAAAGCTTTGGACCCGAAGGGGAACAGACGGGCTCTGGAAAGGAGGCGGGGTCTGGAGCTCGGCGTGAGGAATGAGGCGGGGTCTCCCTTCGGGTTCCTTCGGGCACAATCGGGAGCTTGAGTTCTCCGGAAGCGGGGCCACAAACTTCGGCTCACTTCGGCAATAGTCGAGAACGGAGAGCTGAGGCCACTGTGGGCGGAGCCACATGTTTCGGCTTTCTTCGGAGGTAGTCGAGTCCTTAGGGTCACTGTTCCGATGTGGGCGGGGCCACAGACTCGGCCGGATGTGGGTGGGGCCACAAGCTTCGGTTTACTTCGTAGATAGTTGGGTACAAGTGACGCTAGGATGATAGGCGGAGTCAACAGGTTCGCCAGACACCCATGAGTATTTACAAGGGGGCGGGGCGAAAGCGACTTGCCCTCAAAGGGGCGGAACCCCGAGGGCCGGCGTGCGCCTACGGGACCGGGCCAGGATGACGATCCTCAAGTTCCCAAGTAGAGGAGAGGAAGCGGCAGAGGGAGGTGCGCTCAGTGGGGCGGAGCCAAGGTGGCCCCCGCGGGAGGAGGGCGGGGCTTCGGTCCTGCGAGGGGCGGGACCTGACTTCCCGCGGCGCTGATGGGGCGGGATGACGAAGTTGACGAGGGTGTCGGCATGAGGGGGTGGAGCAAGGAGCGCGTGGCGCGGTGCGCAGTGGGTGGCTCCACCTCGACTGCGAATTACTGTTTATGAGGTGACTCGCTGGTTCTATCGGTGGACAGTGGGACATTCTGAAGGGAGGCAAGGAGGCGGACTGAGCGCTCCCAATTGGGGTGAGCCCGCCCGAGCGGAGAGTGGACGGCGGGTGTCCAGGGGGCGGGGCTTTCGGCTGTGGGGTTCGGTCGTAGGGCGGGAACTCCCCAACTGGGGTGCGCTGGCGCTCGGAGGGGGCGGGGCCACAGGCCGCGAGGCTGCCGGGAGCCGATGACGCCCGAACGCCGAACCTATTGCGTCCGGGAGGAGGCGGGGCTACGGATTCGGCCGAGCCGAGAACACCCGAACGTCAAATTGCTGGCGTTCGAGAAGGGGGCGGGGCTGCGGATTCGGTGGAGCCGAGGACGCCCGAACGCCGAACTTCCTGTGCTCGGGAGGGGGCAGGGTTTTGTACTGTGGGAGTCTGAGAGCGAGGAGGTCCGAAAGCCGAATCACAGTCGTTCGGAAAGAGGAGGAGCGAAGGCTCGAGCGTCCGGAAGAGGGTGTGGCCTCGGCGGTGCCTTAGCCTCCAGAGCTTCTGACCGCTGACGGGAACACCCGAAGGGGGACGCCCACTTTGCAAGAGGGTGGTGCCAAAATGGACCTTTGTAAGGGGGCGTGTCGCCGCGCTTGCGGAGGTTTGTTTTTCACGCTCCAAGGCGCAATGGTAGGTACGGCAGTGCGGGCACAGAGCGGGTGCCGACCGCAGGGTCACAAGGGTAGAGCGGGACCCTGGGGGCTTGGCGAGGGGAGAGGGTCGGGGGCTTGTCTCCGGCGTCTCGTCTCCGGCGGCCGCGAGGCCTGGTGGGATCGCCCGGGGGCGGGGCCTGGCGCTCGGGCCCAGCAGGTGGTGAACGGCGGCTGAGCGAGGCCCCGCCCCCTGAGGCCTAGGGGCGGGGCTTCGCCGAGACCCCGGAGGCTTTGGGTGCGCTGCAGCGGTCCGCGGCGCGCAGCTGTTTCGGTAACTGCTTTGCCTCCCGGCTCCCGCAGGAGGATGCTGGTGGTGGAGGTGGCGAACGGCCGCTCCCTGGTGTGGGGAGCCGAGGCGGTGCAGGCCCTCCGGGAGCGCCTGGGTGTGGGGGGCCGCACGGTAGGCGCCCTGCCCCGCGGGCCCCGCCAGAACTCGCGCCTGGGCCTCCCGCTGCTGCTGATGCCCGAAGAGGCGCGGCTCTTGGCCGAGATCGGCGCCGTGACTCTGGTCAGCGCCCCGCGTCCAGACTCTCGGCACCACAGCCTGGTAAGGGGGCGGGGCTCGAACTCGGGTTCGGTGGGAGCGGGACCTGGGAGTCAAGTTTCCTGGCTTCTGAAGGGACCATAAGCTTGGAGGTTCCAGCGAAGTGTGCTTCTCAGGCCCTGACATCCTTCAAGCGCCAGCAAGAGGAGAGCTTCCAGGAGCAGAGCGCCTTGGCAGCTGAGGCCCGGGAGACCCGTCGTCAGGAGCTCCTGGAGAAGATTACGGAGGGCCAGGCTGCTAAGAAGCAGAAACTAGAACAGGCTTCAGGGGCCAGCTCAAGCCAGGAGGCCGGCTCGAGCCAGGCTGCCAAAGAGGATGAGACCAGTGATGGCCAGGCTTCGGGAGAGCAGGAGGAAGCTGGTGAGCATGGGAGGTGGAGTCCAGGGACCACGGGAAGGAGAGGAGAGATCTTTTAGGAATTTTAGCTGGGAATCCAGTGCCTGGGTCTCCCTGAGGGTGAGAAGACTTTACCCCTTGAATTTACCAAACTCTTCTCTGTACTCCCCACCAGGCCCCTCGTCTTCCCAAGCAGGACCCTCAAATGGGGTAGCCCCCTTGCCCAGATCTGCTCTCCTTGTCCAGCTGGCCACTGCCAGGCCTCGACCGGTCAAGGCCAGGCCCCTGGACTGGCGTGTCCAGTCTAAAGACTGGCCCCACGCCGGCCGCCCTGCCCACGAGCTGCGCTACAGTATCTACAGAGACCTGTGGGAGCGAGGCTTCTTCCTCAGTGCGGCTGGCAAGTTCGGAGGTGACTTCCTGGTCTATCCTGGTGAGTATGGGTTGGGGCCTCTGGTTGCTGTGCCTTTCCATACGATCCCAATGTATTCTGCGTTTTTCTTTTTTTTTTTTTTTGTCTTAATAGAGGTGGGGTCTCTTGTTGCTTAGGCTGGTCCCTATTCCTGGGCTCAAGCAATCCTTCCACCTCGGCCCCCCAAAGTGCTGGAATTATAGGCCCAGCTGCATTTTTCTTTTTTGTCTCACTTTCTCTTAGCCTCTGAAATTCATAGACAGACAGGAAACATTTGGGAGCTCCCGAACTCATTGGGCAAGCAGTTTAACGACTTTTATTAAATGATTACTGTGATCCAGAAGATTCACTTAGAAGTAGTTAGACATCAGGCTGGGCGCAATGGCTCACGCCTGTAATCCCAACACTTTGGGAGGCCAAGACAGGTGGATCACCTGAGGTCAGGAGTTTGATACCAGTCTGGCCAACATGGTGAAACCCCATCTCTACTAAAAATACTAAAACTAACTGGGCGTGGTGGTGGGTGCCTGTATTTCCAGCTACTCGGGAGGCTGAAGCAGGAGAATCATGTGAACCCAGGGGGCAGAGGTTGTAGTGAGCCAAGATCGTGCCATTGCACTCCAGCCTGGGGGACAAGAGCGAGACTTTGTCTCAAAAAAAAAAAAAAAGCCTAGAAGTGGAATAGTTGTGTCCAAGAGCATCTGTTTTAGAGTATCTATAGTGATGGCTGAAATGATCTCAGATCTCCTCCCAGTGGTCGTTCCCGTGGCGTCCAGCCGTCTGCCATTGGTCACTGCTTCAGTGCCTCTCTCCTTCCCCCAGGTGACCCCCTCCGCTTCCACGCCCATTATATCGCTCAGTGCTGGGCCCCTGAGGACACCATCCCACTCCAAGACCTGGTTGCTGCTGGGCGCCTTGGAACCAGCGTCAGAAAGACCCTGCTCCTCTGTTCTCCGCAGCCTGATGGTAAGGTGGTCTACACCTCCCTGCAATGGGCCAGCCTGCAGTGAACTCCAGAGACCTAGGGGATGTGGCTGTGTCGGCAGCAAGAGCCTTTCTGGATGTTCCCCAGCTCTTCTCTGGGAGTCTAGAACATCCTCCTACCTTTCTCCGCGGTTAGTTTTTGATTCCAGGTTTTCGAACACTACATCTTTTTTATGTTCTTCCTTGTTTCAAAGCACTTATTGGCTGTGTTTTTGTAGTTACCTATTTTCACACTGTGAGCTTCCCGAGAATGGGGCCTGGGTTTGATTCATCTGTTTTCTACAGGGTTTAAGTCTCAGGAGGTCTCAATAAACTTGGTATATAAATGTTCATGATTTGAATGTTTGCGACAGTCCTGGAACCCGTGGATGGTCTCATCTGCATGTACAGGTGAGAAAAAGGCCTGGAGGAGGGGGACTGACTTGCCCAAAGTCACACACTTAGTAAATAGCAGGCCTGGCCTTTCAAAATTGGTTTTTCTGACTCCTAAATCTGCACTCTTTCTACCTCACTAAACTTCCTTTTGAAAAGATTTCTATGAAATTTCCCAGATGCATACAAACGTTATAAATAAAAATATAGGCTGGGCACGATGACCCACACCTGTAATCCCACAGAACTTTTGGAGGCCAAGGCAGGGGGATCGCTTGAGCCCAGGAGTTTGAGACCAGCTCTGGCAACATTGTAATACCCAGTCTCTACAAAAAATAATTTAAAAAAAAATTAGCCAGGGATCCCTTGAGCCTGGGAAGTTGAGGCTGCTGTGAGCTGTGATTGCACCACTGCCCTCCAGCCTGGGAGACAGAGCAAGAACCTGTCTCAAAAAATATATATATGTGTGTGTGTATATATGTAAATATACACACATGTATGTATATATATGTGTGTGTATATATATATATATTATGAAAGGAAATGAGTATTGTAATTTTAGGAGTTCAGAGCCTGGGGAGAAAGGAAGGACTCTGGAAGGCGTTCTGCTTTTTCATGGCCTGGGTAGTGGTGAATTTTTTTGATACTGTATATTTATATTTTAGACTCTTTTTTGGATGTGTTATATTCTGCAATTTTTATAAAAGCTAAAACACATGTATTTGTAAAAAATTTGCACTTATGAAATCATTTACCCATGTTTTTGCTTAAGAAAGTACTAGAACACTACCACTATTCCAATAATTACACCTTTATCTTATCAATGTGCAGTTTTATTTTGTCACGTTTATTTTGTCAGTGTAATACATTCACATGGTGAGTCTGGGCGTGGTGGCTTATGCTTGTAATCCCAGCACTTTGGGAGACCAAGGCGGGCGGATCATGAGGTCAGGAGTTCCAGAGCATCCTGGCCAACATGGCCCGCCTCTATGAAAAATACAAAAATTAGCCGGGCGTGGTGGCGGGCGCCTGTAATCCTAGCTACTCCGGAGGCTGAGGCAGGAGAATCACTTGAATCTGGGAGGTGGAGGTTGCAGTGAGCCAAGGTCACGCCACTGCACTCCAGTCTGGGCGACAGAGCTAGACACTGTCTCAAAAAAACAAAAACAAACAAAAACTTCCACATGGTAAAATTCTGGGGCTGAAAGTCTCCACCTCTAGTTCTTCCATTTCTTCCCCCCATGTTTCATTCTTTCTCTTTTTTGTGTGAATTGAGCAGCCTCTGGAACCAGAATAGGTTTAGAGAGACTCCCATCTCCCCTCTTTCTTGCCATTCCCAGTAAACAGACTTCATAGAATCTCAATTTCCTGTAAGTTTAGATTAATTTAAAATATGACACTGGGCCAGGTGTGGTGGCTCACACCTGTAATCCCAGCACTTTGGGAGGCTGAGGTGGGCAGATGAGTTTGAGATCAGCCTGGCCAATATGGTGAAACCCCATCTCTACTAAAAATACAAAAAAAAAAATTAGCCGGGCGTGGTGGCATGCGCCTGTACTCCTAGCTACTCAGGAGCCTAAGGCAGGAGAATCACTTGAATCCGGGAGGCAGAGGTTGCAGTGAGCCAAGATCGCACTACTACACTCCAGCCTGGGCAACAAGAGCTAAACTCCATCTCAAAAAAATGAAAAGAAAAAAAATGACGCTAACCCCTGTCTGGCCAATACTCTCTTTGTGCCTGCTTCATAATTGGCTTTGTAAGTCTATTCTCCACCCTTTCTCCTCTCTACAACAAAGTACTTAGAAGTCTCATTCCCTCTGTCATGAGTCTCTCCTCTGAAAAGTTCCTCATTTAAAACTCCTGTGGCCAGATGTGGTGGCTCAGACCTGTAATCCTAGCACTTTGGGAGGCCAAGGTGGGAAGATCAGTTGAGCCGCTGAGCTCAGGAGTTTGAGACCAGCCTTGGCTGAACATAGTGAGACCTCATCTCATCTCTATTTAAAACAAACAAACAAAAAAAAACTTTTGTGACTGGTGTCCCCCCATGTTGTCAGTCAACAAATTCTATAGGTGCCATGTTCAAAGCACTGTGGATCCACAGTTAGGCCCCACCCTCCACCTTCACTGCCAGTATCTTAGAAAAACCAAACCATGGCTCATTTGATATTGATAGCTTCCTAACTCATCCCCTGCCTTCCATTCTTGCCCCTCTGTTGTCTGTTTTCAACAGAGCAGCCAGAATCATCGTTTTTTTTTTGTTTTTTTGTTTTTTTTTTTTTTTGAGGCGGAGTCTCGCTGTCGCCCAGGCTGGAGTGCAGTGGCGCGATCTCTGCTCACTGCAAGCTCCGCCTCCCAGGTTCACGCCATTCTCCTGCCTCAGCCTCCCTAGTAGCCGGGACTACAGGCGCCCGCCACCTCACCTGGCTAATTTTTTGTATTTTTAGTAGAGACGGGGTTTCACCATGTTAGCCAGGATGGTCTCGATCTCCTGACCTTGTGATCCACCCGCCTCGGCCTCCCAAAGTGCTGGGGTTACAGGCGTGAGCCACCGCGCCCGGCCAGAATCATCATATTAAAAGATAAGTCAGACCATGTCACAGCTCTGTCTAAAACTTTCCTGGAGTTTTCCATCTCAGAGTAAAACTCAAAGGTCCTACTTTGCAGCTTCCTCATGAACTGGCCATGTGCATTCTCTTCCTTGCTTATTATTATTATTATTATTTATTTTTTTTATTTTTGAGACAGAGTCTTGCTCTGTTGCCCAGGCTGGAGTGCAGTGGCACAATCTCGGCCCACTGCAGCCTCTGCCTCCTGGGTTCAAGTGGGTTCAAGCGATTCTCCCACCTCAGCCTCCCAAGTACCTGGGATTACAGGCGCCTGCCACCACGTCAGGCTAATTTTTTGTATTTTAGTAGAGACAGGGTTTCACCATAATTGCCCAGGCTCGAACTCCTGAGCTCAGGCAATCCGCCCACCTCAGCCTCCCAAAGTGCTAGGATTATAGACATGAGCCACCGTGCCCGGCCAGCTTTGTTCCTCTTTACTGCTGGATATTCCATTGTATGGACATAACCCCATTTTATTTATCCATTCATCAGGTGATTGGCATTTGTTTCTAGTTAAGGACAAGGTTTTGGTTTTGGTTTTTCTTTTATTTACCCTTGTTCATGCAGTATCCCCAGGTCCAAGAACAGTTCCTGGCACACAGCAGTCAATACATTGTTGCTAAATAAATGAGTGGCTTAAACTATAATTTTTAAATCAGGGCTGAGACAATTTGGAAATTATAATTTCTCCTACATGACTTTCTAAGCATATTTTAAATAAATATACATACGTTAAGGTCATTTTTATTAATGAAAATTGTAGCATACTATGCACACTTCTGCATCTTGCTTATTGGATATGCCCAGGCTTGTCTCATTTTTGCCAACAGCTACATGGTTTTGCGTCCTATGGATGGGGCATAATTAGATTTTATTACACTTGTACAAAAGGAAAGGAATTCAGCTCCCCAAGCATGCCCAGCTGGTCCTTGGCAACCCATGATGGAAACCAAGGGTTCCTCTTATATTACCCGTGCTCCTTTCAGAGAGGAAGGGCTAGAGGGCTCCAGCCTGAGTGAGAGAGAGAGAGGAGGAAGCATGAGGGGTTTGTGGAAGAGGGCCTGGTGCCATATGACTGGACCATGCTTCTGAAGAGGATCAGGGTGAGGCCAGATCTCATCAGTTGACCCTTGAGCAACATGGGTCTGAACTGCTCGGGTCCACTTTTATGCAGATTGAAAAAAGTAAAGGTTACACAGAGCATGCCTGCCTCTCCTGCTTTGCCTTTTACCTCCTCCACCTCTGGCACCCTGAGACAGCAAGACCAAACCCTCCTCTTCTTTCTGCACCTCTGCCTACTCAGAATGAAGACAAGGATGAAGACCTTTATGATGATCCACTTCCACTTAATGAATAGTAAATATATTTTCTCTTTTTTAGAATTTTCTTAATATTTTCTTTTTTTTTTTTTTTGAGACGAAGTCTCGCTCTGTCACCCAAGCTGGAGTGCAGTGGCGCGATCTTAGCTCACTGCAAGCTCCGCCTCCCGGGTTCACGCCATTCTCCTGCCTCAGCCTCCCCGGTAGCTGGGACTACAGGTGCCTGCCACCACGCCCGGCTAATTTTTTGTATTTTTAGTAGAGATGGGGTTTCACCGTGTTAGCCAGGATGGTCTCGATCTCCTGACCTGGTGATCCGCCCGCCTTAGCCTCCCAAAGTGCTGGGGTAACAGGCATGAGCCATCACGCCCGGCCAATATTTTCTTTTCTCTAGCTTAATTCATCATAGGAATACAGAATATAATACATATAGCATATAAAATATGTGTTAATTGACTATGTTATTGGTAAGGCTTCCAGTCAACTACGAGTAATGTTTTTTTTAAATCCTGAGACAGTGTCTTGCTCTGCCAGCTGGGCTGGGGTGCAGGGGCATGATCTTAGTTCGCTGCTGCCTCAACCTCCTTGACTCAAGCAGTCCTCCCACCACAGCCTCCCAAGTAGCTGGAACTACGGGCACACACCACCACACCCAGTTAATTTTTCTGTTTTCTGTAGAGTCTGGGTTTTGCCGTGTTGCCCAGGCTGGTCTTGAACTCCTGGGCTCAAGTGCTCTGCCCACCTCAGCTTCCCAAATCCCACCTGGGGTTACAGGTGTGAGCCACGGTGCCTGGCCTAGTAGTTAAGTTTTGGGGAAGTCAAAAGTTATATGCAGATTTTCTTTCTTGATTTTTTTTTTTTTTTTTGAGGCAGTCTTGCTCTGTCGCCCAGGATGGAGTGCAGTGGTGCGATCTCGGCTCACTGCAATCTCCACGTCCTGGGTTCAAGTGATGCTCTTGCCTCAACCTCCTAAGTAGCTGGGATTACAGGCACCTGCCACCACGCCTGCCTAATTTTTGTATTTTTAGTAGAGACCAGGTTTTGTCATGTTGGCCAGGCTGGTCTCGAACTCCTGACCTCAGTTGATCCGCCGGCCTTGGCCTTCCACATAGTGCTGGGATTACAGGCGTGAGGCACCGCGCCCAGCCTATATGGAGGTTTTCGGCTGAGCTGGGGGTCAGTGCCCCTCGCCCCCAGACTGTACAGAGTCAGCTGTGTTAAGATATTAAGCACCTTCAGTACACAAGACTCTGTGCTGGTTTTCTTTTCTTTTTTTTTTTTTTTTACTCTAAATCATCAAACCCTATGAGGAAAGTCCTGTTACTTTCTCCCATTTAGCACTCTTGAAGAGGCTAATTTGCCTAAGATCAAGAGCTCGTCAGTGACTGCTGAGGTTCAAACGCAGATCTTTTTTAAGACTTGAGAACCTACAGGTTCAACCACCATTATAAAACCATCTCTGTAATCACGAGGCACCCGGAATTTGTGGAGCTTGGACTTCATCCTGAAGGGAGTGAAAACTTATGGAAGTTTTTTCCTTCCACGTTTCCCCCTTCCAGATGAATAATATACGCGTGTTCAAGATACAAAAATGCATAAAATTTGGCCAGGCATGGTGGCTTACACCTGTAATCCCAGCACTTGGGGAGGCTGAGGCGAGTGGATCACTTGAGCCCAGGAGTTCAAGACCAGCCTGGGCAATATGGCAAAACCCCGTCTCAAAACAACAAAACAAACAAACAAAAAACCCATAAAACTGAACAAGGTAGTTTGTAAGATATGGAAGTACAATGCAGATGACAATAATGACGATGGTAGCTACCACTAGGCGCTTTATTTATGCCACTCTCCTCAACACTGGATAGACTCTCACTTAATCCTCACAAGCTTATGAGGTAGGCGCTACCATCATTCGCCGTTTTACAGAGGAGGACGCTGAGGCACAGAGTGATTGAGAAACTTGTCGAAGGCACTGCAGCTGGCAAGTGGTGACGTGGCATTTGAATCCAGGCATCCGGATGGTGTGGATGCCGTGGAAGAGAAAGGGGCGGGTGGGACTGCTTCCTGAGGAGATAGTGACTGCCGAGGCAGCAGCGTAGGGAAGACAACTGAAGAACACGAGCTGTGGAGACAGACCATCGCATTCGGAGTGGAGAGATGGGTGTACAGACAGACAATAACCAGACTATATATAAAAAGAGAACTCTAGGTCAGGCGCGGTGGCTCACACCTGTAATCTTAGCACTTTGGGAGGCTGAGGCGGGTGGATCACTTGAGGTCAGGCGTTGGAGACCAGGAGTTCAAAACCCCGTCTCTACTAAAAATTTAAAAATTAGCCGGGCATGGTGGTGGGCGCCTGTAGTCCCAGCTTCTCGGGAGGCTGAGGCACGAGAATCGATTGAACCCGGGAAGCGGAGGTTGCAGTGAGCCGAGATCGCACCACTGCACTCCAGCCTGGGTGACGAGAGCGAAAAACTCCGTCTCAAAAATAAAATAAATTACTGATAATAGTACTAATACCCCTTAAGTGGCTATTGATAATAATAGTACCATGGGTGGGGGGGCAACTTCTCTGAGAGTGCTCTGTAAGTATGTATTGAAGATTGAGTAAATACATTTAAAATTCTTAGAACAGTATGTGGCACATAGCGTTCCAGAATGCCACATTATTGTTAGTGACAGAAATAATCTCGGCTGGGCGCGGTGGCTCACGCCTGTAATCCCAGCACTTTGGGGGGGCCACGGCGGGAGGCTCTCTCGAGGCCGGGAGTTCAAGACCAGCCTGGGCAACATGGCAAGACGCCGACTGTTAAAAAAAAAAAATGCTACCCGGGCGTCGTGGCGTGTGCCTGTAATCCCAGCTACTGGGGAGGAGGTGGGAGGATCGCTCGAGCCCGAGAGGTTGGTCGGGGCCTCAGTGAGCCGAAATCACGCCACTGCACTCCAGCCTGGGCGACGGAGCGAGACCCTGTCTCAGAAAGAAAAAGAAAAACCACCGTCCAGGGGCGGAGAAGGAAGGTTCTCCCTACTTCTCAGGTTTCCACTCCCTGGCCGGAAAAAACCTAGTCCTCCCAGGTTAGCACGCCGCTCTAGCCCAGCCTCACGTCTCCACTGCTTCTCAGCCAGCCAACGCCTCTTCTGATTGGCTCTGACGTGCGTGGTGCGTGAAAACGTCACGAGACGCCGGCGTTACTATAAGAGCGCAGCCGTGGCGCTTCCGCGCCTCTTTCTCAGTGACCGGGTGGTTTGCTTAGGTGAGGTGCGGTGGTGTGCTTTTTCTCTAGGGTTTGGGTTGGATGGTGGCCCGGGCCTTCCGAGTTTCCATGAGTAAGCTAAAGACGTTAGGAAACAGAGCAGGGTGGTTGAACGGGAGTGCAGCACGGTTGTGGGGGCAGATACTGACTATGAGAGCGTTGGAGGTTATTCTCGCGAGATCGGATCTGGGCTCCGCGAGGTTTTGGCGTAGTTGTGGGACTGCGCAGGCGCCGTTTGGATCCCTTACGCTCACACTTCTCTCCCGCGCAGGCGCAGACGGGGAAGCGGAGCCAACATGCCAGTGGCCCGGAGCTGGGTTTGTCGCAAAACTTATGTGACCCCGCGGAGACCCTTCGAGAAATCTCGTCTCGACCAAGAGCTGAAGCTGATCGGTGAGTGGCCAAGGCTTCCGGGAAGTGGTTCGGCTTCCGGGAGGCGGTTAGCACGTGGATGAAGGTGCCCATGTACTCTATCTAGTCCGTCCCCTAAATTTGGTACTATTCGTGGTTTAGGAAGGTTTTGTGATTCCAAAGCTGCCAGTCTAGTTGTTGTGCCAGTACGTGGGACTACACTTGTCCACCCCCTTCTCCCCACCAGGCGAGTATGGGCTCCGGAACAAACGTGAGGTCTGGAGGGTCAAATTTACCCTGGCCAAGATCCGCAAGGCCGCCCGGGAACTGCTGACGCTTGATGAGAAGGACCCACGGCGTCTGTTCGAAGGTGCGTATGGGAGTCCACAGCAGAGGGATGGGGTGCAGGGCTTGTGAGGTTCATTCTCCCTTCTGTTGCCTCTGTTCCAGTGATGAGAGTTGTGTCATTGGATAAATGGAACCAGCCTTCTAACTTTTAGTGGCACTTGTGGAGTAGGAAAAGTGTATCTGGATCAGTCTTTGCCCTGTTTCTTAGGTGTGTGGCTTTTTTGCCCAGTTATTGGACCTTCAGTTTAGTAATGACCAGAGCTAAAGATAGGCCTGGCACACCTGGGCACCCGTCTATATCTTTATATTCTGTTTATGTGGCCTGTTTGCTAGTGGATGAGAGTAGACTATGAAGTGGAATTTCTGGGCTAAGTGATGGTGATAACAGGGTTTGCACATTTGCTTGGTTTATTGTTTTTTTAATTAAGTTTTCTCGTTTTATTTAGTCTTTTGAGACGGAGTCTTGCTCTGTTGCCCAGGCTGGAGTGCCGTGGCGCCATTTCGGCTTACTGCAACCCCCGCCTCCTGGGTTCAAACAATTCTCCTATCTTAGCCTCCCAAGTAGCTGGGACTACAGACAGGCGCACGCCACCACACCTGGCTAATTTTACTTTTGAGACGGAGTCTCGCTCCATTGCCCATGCTGGAGTGTAGTTGTCGCAATCTTGGCTCACTGCAAACTCCGCCTCCAGAGTTCAAGCGATTCTCCTGTCTTAGCCTCCTAAGTAGCTGGAATCACAGGCATGGGCCACCAAGCCTGGCTAATTTTCTATTATTAGTGGAGATGGGTTTTCACCATGTTGTCCAGGCTGGTGCTTGTTTTTTTAAGCTGGTCAAGGACATTTAGGTGGTATTTAGCAAAGGCCTGAACAGGAGAGAACCTGTAAAATGTCTCAGGGAACAGCATTTCAGGTGATGACTTTAGGAGGGCATGCAGATCACATAGACTTAGGCTTACTTTACTAATTGTGGTGAAATACACATTAAATTGAAAATGTACCATCTTAACCATCTTGTTTTAAAATCTACTCTGAGATGCGGTGTTATTGGAGTGCTTTCTACAGCAGATTGGCATGACCAAGATTGGCATTTGTATATCCTGAGACGCTGCTTTTGCCTGAGTTTGGGTAGTCATGATTTATGGTGAAAAGCAGTCTCTACACCTGAGCCCTGACTGTTAGGCATGAGAGTGGTCATCCATGTTAGGCGTTGAGAAAGTCCTGGCGCATGTTTAGCTACAGATTATCACAGTTTGTCCCAGGCTTGCAGATGTTAGAAGCTTTTTCTTTAAATAGGCACAGGATCTTGCAGTGTTGACCAGGATGGTTTCCAACTCCTAACCTCAAGTGATCCATCCACCTCAGCTTTCCAAAGTGCTGGGGTTACAGGTGTAAGCCACCGCACCTGACCCTTTCATTCTTTTCGTCAATTTGTAGACCCCGTTGATAATCTCATGAAAGTGCTGGAGATCCCTCCCCCATAGATACTGATGCTGGGTGGGAATTCATCCCAGGGTTCTGTGGGGAGTGGGCTATAGCTGGTTCTGGTTTTAGGGAGGACTTTCTGGACATAGATCCTAATTGCAATGAAACTTACAGTCATGTGAGAAAGCGGTGCAGGTGTCTGAGGGTTATTTGTGGTTTTCCAAGGCAGAAGTGAAAATTCCCAAGGGGTACACAGTTGTTCAGGTGAGTACACTTTCTAGTAAATGAAGCCATCTAGCCTAGTCAGGGACAGGAAGGAGGAGCTTGGATGTTTGCTCTTTGGTGTAATCCTGCCTTGATTCAGATCCTGCCTTTCCCACTAAGATGTGTGACTAGCGAGATTCTGAGTCTCGTCTGTTAAGACTGAACAGCCGCCAACATTTGGCTGGCAGTTAATAATCAACAGATAGAGGCCAGGCGTGGTGGCTCATGCCTGTAATCCCAGCACTTTGGGAGACCGAGGTGGTCGGATCACTTGAGGTCAGGAGACCTCAAGTCAGAGACCAGCCTGGCCAACGTGGTGAAATTCCATCTCTACGAAAAATACAAAAATTAGCCGAGCATGGTGGTGTGCCTATAATCCCAGCTACTCGGGAGGCTGAGGCAGGAGAATTGATTGAACCTGGGAGACAGAGACTGCAGTGAGCCGAGATCCGCGGCACTGCACTGGGTGACAGCGAGACACAAAACAACACGAACTCCCCCCCCACCCCCCAGCACAACTGTGAAGAAATGTAGGAGTCATGTCCATTTTTCAGATCAGAAATGAAGGCATTGTAATACCTAACTGCCTTGTATGATGACAAGGACCTGTTTCCCACTGAGGTCCTCCCTGGTTTGCATTTTTAAAGCATTTTAAATTCTCTTGGTGCATTGGCCCAGTGGAGCCTCAGCAGTAGGACATGCTTTTGTTGAAGGTGTAAGGTTTATTGTGCTGTTGAAAACTATTGTCTTCATACTTAAAGGTTTTGCCTGTGGCTGACTCTCCTGTTCTTTTTCAGGAGATAGATGGTTCAATAAATGTGGGCCTGAGTGCAGTGGCTCATGCCTGTAATCCCAGCACTTTGGGAGGCAGAGGCAGGCGGATCACCCGAGGTCGGGAGTTTGAGACTAGCCTGACCAAAGTGGAGAAACCCCTTAGTCTCTACTGAAAAAATACAAAATTAGCGGGGCGTGGTGGCGCATGCCTTTAATCCCAGGCTGAGGCAGGAGAATCCCAGGAGGCGGAGTTTGCAGTGAGCCGAGATCACGCCATTGCACTCCAGCCTGGGCAACGAGAGCGAAACTCTGTCTCAAAAATGATAATAAATGTGAAACATTTTTTTAAAATCATGCCTTTGTTTTGCCTAATGGTGACGATCTCACTTTGTCTCCCGGGCTGGAGCACAGTGGCATGGTCGTGGCTCACTGCAGCCTGGACCTCCTGTGCTTAAGTGATCCTCCTCAGCTCTAGTAGCTGGGACCACAATCCACCATGTACCACCATGCCCGGCTAATTTAGTTTTACTTTTTTGTTTGTTTTGGTACAAATGCGGTCTCACTGTGTTGCCGAGGCTAGTTTCAAACTTCTGGACTCAACTGATCCTCCTGCCTCAGCCTCCCAAAATATTGGGTTTATAGGCCAGGCATAAGGGACTGTGCGTGGCTTAAGTTTCCATTTTCTAATGTAAAGACAAAAAGGCGTGAAGTGTCCAAAGAGGTAAATGGTCCCAAACTCATTTTCATTGCCTTTTGGACATGTTTTTGTATTTTGATATTCAGGTGTTTAAATATCCTCTGATGTTGAGTTAAAAAAGAACAAAAATTGAAGCCATAGTATGACATAGGATGCTGGAAATGCACACAGCTGGTGTTTCCATTTTGATTCTCCCTACCTGTAACTGCTCCCTACTGGGAAAACTTTGGGTCCTCACAAAGTGAGCTAGCTTTCTTTCAAACTTTGCTTGGAGGGTAACAGTGCCAGGAATATCAGAAGTGCCTGATGCATGTAGATCTATTTATGAAAGCTTGCTTGAATGGTTTGCTGTAACTAGTAAGAGCCACTTTTTATAAAAGTGCACATAAGGAAAAAAGGTTGAGGTGTTTACCCCAGTCAAGGGGCAGTTGATTTGCTGAAGGCGTGTGGGATTATAGCAGTGAGCGGGAGCCTAGGGGATGGCGTTTGCCCCCAGGGCCCTGGGGCTGTGGGCAAGGGCAGTCCAGAGTATTAGCTAGAAGCCATGGCTTTGGACAGGGTAAGGAGCAAGCCGTCCTGAGCCTGGGGTTGGAAGAAAGGTGTAGTAGGGCATCTGTTGGATATTTTATGCAGTGCATTGTTAGGTTATATACATACTAGATATATTTTTGGTGGAAAATTTTGTACAGAATAGTAAAATGAATGACATGTACCTAGCTGGAAAAATTCTAGTGTTAGAAATTACTTTTCTCTCCTTAAAAGATGTAGATACTGCTATTTATGGCACGGAATGTGATTCAATCTCACATCTGCTTAATCAGAAGAGCTGTCTGGGCTGAGGATATGAACTCTTCAGCACTGTGCTTTGTTACGGTGGTAGTAGCTTAATAGCAGCTGCATTTGGTCTTTTGCAGACTGAGTCCTTGTAAGGAGGTGATTTCCTTTACTCTTGCTAAGAATGTGGAGCGAGGGATGTATGCTCTCAGATGAGGAGGCAGGTGTATTTTGCCCTCCTGTCATCTGCAGTTTACTATGAATGATGACCTGACAACCATAGGGTAGTTTGGTTTTTTGTATTGTTTTGTTTTGTGACAGGGCCTCACTCTGTCGCCCAGGCTGGAGTGCAGTGGCCCCATCTCAGGTCACTGCAACCTCCGCCTCCTGGGTTCAAGCAGTTTTCCTTCCTCAGCCTCCTGAATAGCTGGGATTACAGGCAGTGCGCCAACGGCCTGGCTAATTTTTCGTAATCTTAGTGGAGACGGGCTTTCGCCATGTTGGCCGGGCTGGTCTCTCAAACTCCTGACCTCAAGTGATCCGTCTCGGACTCCCAAAGTGCTGGGATTACAGGTGTGAGCCACCACTCCCAGCCCGTAGGGTGGTTTTGACAGTGACATGGGTCACGGTGATGGCGCTGTACTACTTGTGCCTCACCGCCGCGGCATGGAGCTACCAAGAGGCGGAGCCAGGATTTGAACCCAAGAAGCCTGAGGTCAGAAGGCGGAATCAGTGTTTCCTCCCACTCTTCCCAGGCAACGCCCTGCTGCGGCGGCTGGTCCGCATTGGGGTGCTGGATGAGGGCAAGATGAAGCTGGATTACATCCTGGGCCTGAAGATAGAGGATTTCTTAGAGAGACGCCTGCAGACCCAGGTCTTCAAGCTGGGCTTGGCCAAGTCCATCCACCACGCTCGCGTGCTGATCCGCCAGCGCCATATCAGGTACCACCTCGGATGGGCACCTGAATCTTCCTCCACCTGCCCCTCTGATGGTTGCCCTCACTAAGCCTGCTGTCCCTATCTCCTATGCAGCCCTCGGAGGTGATGGGTGTGAACTCACCCAGAGGGTACAGATTCACCCTTGCACACAGCTCACCAGGGAGCTGGGGCAGCCTCTTGCCCCAATAGCCCAGCGCAAGGGTCACTGCGGCTCTAGCCGTACACCTTGTGAAGGCCTCTGCCAGGCATGTGGGCAGCTGGACAGGTAACAGCTCTTGGTGTCCCCAGTGGAGGGAGAGAACCAGCCTCACCTCGCTTGGGTGGTGGGTTCAGCTGTCTCCTGGCCCGCTTGTGAAGTTGATTCCAGACCCCGATCCATGACTGCGTTCTGGGTACTCAGTGTGCCCTTTCTGTAATGTGGCACCATTGAGGGGGAGGAGCTGTACAGAAAGAGGGCAAGATGTTTGCGTTTAGAATCTTCGCCCCAGCCCTTCACTAACCCTGTGAGCCGTAGGCAGAGCCTTGTGTGTCAATGCTTTCGTCGGAGACGTAGCCTCGGGTTGCTGTGTTATTGTGGGCATTGCTGCTGCACGTGGTAATACAGCTCAGTGTCAGGTGTGGGGTTCACGATATTTCAGACTCGGAACTTGGGGGCTCTCACATGGCCATCTCATTTGCTTTGTGGTCTTAGGTGGGATACTTTCGGATTTCTCCTATAAAATGGGGTTGAGAAAGTCATCTGAAGCATTTTTGGGGATTAAGGTGATACCCTAAAACCCCGGAGGGCGCACGTAGGATCAGGTGCACCCTTCCTGCAGCGCCTTGGTGTCTGCAGCCGTGGCGGCCTCACGGGGTGGGTGGAGAGGAAAGAGTGGTGCGGTAGCTGGGGTTAGCGTCCGTTTCTCCTCCAGTCCACCTCACCTTGTCGCTGCTTCCAGGGTCCGCAAGCAGGTGGTGAACATCCCGTCCTTCATTGTCCGCCTGGATTCCCAGAAGCACATCGACTTCTCTCTGCGCTCTCCCTACGGGGGTGGCCGCCCGGGCCGCGTGAAGAGGAAGAATGCCAAGAAGGGCCAGGGTGGGGCTGGGGCTGGAGACGACGAGGAGGAGGATTAAGTCCACCTGTCCCTCCTGGGCTGCTGGATTGTCTCGTTTTCCTGCCAAATAAACAGGATCAGCGCTTTACAATTGGTGTGTGGGGGTCTCTCATCCTTGACTCTTTCCCCTGCTCTAAACATGCAGCCTTCCCTGGGAGGCTCACTCACTTGGGAGTGCCTACCAGCTAGTGGTCCCTGGCCTCTCAGTACTATTCTACAGTAGTGAACACACATCTTTACCAGAAACTTCTGTCATCAGGGGAGAGACGAGTGGTATTTTTGGAAAAACTGTGTCAAAACCAGAAGGAAATTCCAAGTAAGCCGGTGTTTGCATATAGGGGTGGGAGGGAGCCGGTCATTGCTAGGCAGGGCAGGCGCCGAGTGGAGGTGGGGGCCTTCCCTGCCTGCTGGCCCTGGGACCCTGACCCCGCCAGGCAAGAGACAGGTGGGACGGGAGCTGACCAGAGGCTGACGGGTTGCTGGGGAAGGTGAACTGTTGGTGATTGTTGGGGAACACTTCACAGAATTTGCTTGCTAGTTTCAAAGCTTGTGATGCAGTTGATGTTGGGCAAGTTCCCAGTTTTGTCTTCACATGTAGGGGAAGTGGGTTAGCGTAGGAGAAGGGGCGTTGAGGGAAGTCTGTTCCTCCTCTCCGCGTTCAGTGCTTCTGTGGACTCACGGTCAAGAGGTTGGCAGGCTTCCCTTTTCTCAGCCTTGTTGATCATCTGTGTTGGGAAGGGGTTTGGTTTCTGAGGAAGTGAGAAACCTGAAATTGTGCAACCCCCTCAGGCTGCAGGCTGTAGTTGATTGGGTCCTTATCTGGAGGCCTTCAGGGTTTGAGGTCAGGGCAGGGACAGTTCTGGAACACAGCTAAGTTACTGTAAACCACGTGGAGAAGTCCATTGCGGCTTACTCAAGCTAGGTGGTTGGCCCTTCCTTCCCTCAGCGTTGCTACTTGGGAAATGACGGTGGTCTTGTGTCCATGGGGCCAGCTGCTGCACCATCTGGGCTCACTGTGGTCTCCTTCCTTGGAGCGTGGGGTCTGGGCTAGTGGATGGCCGGGGCAGCGTACTCACTGGGCTCCTGGGAGCTCCCCTGGGAGGAAGAGACTGCAGTTGTCTCTGGTCTGAGAGGTGGTGGCTCACCTGGGTGTAGCTCACAATTGCGGAGCTCCACGGCAGCCTGGAGGGAGGGGAGAGTGGGAGTTGAGGTATGCGGTTCTGGGGAGAAGCCTACGGGCTTGGAAAGGAAAAGGGTCTTCAGGGCTCTGTCTACAGAGGCAGCGAGCGGGGCAACAGAGGGAGACTCCATCTCAAGAATTTGTAGAGATGGAGTCTCAATGTGTTGCCCCGGCTGATCTAAAACCCTTGGCCTCAAGCAATCCACTCGCCTCCCAAAGCGCTAGGATGACAGGTGTGAGCCACAGTGCCTGGCCTGCGTGGGTCTGTTTAATCTCCGGGCCTCTTGCTCTCCCTTTCTTGGTGATCTCCTTGGACCACATCCCTGTATCATTCTCTCTCTCGACCCTGAGCCCAGGGTCCAGAGCAGAGAACGGGATGGGGTCTGGGTAGGGGCCCCTCACTTGCAACCAGGATGTTGGGTGGGGGCGACGGGGGACCGACCTTGGGCAGGAGGCATTGTGTCCACCGCAGCATCTGTGCTGGCCCCCAGGGGGGTGGCTCGCATGGCCCAGGGGGACGTCCAGGAGGTGCTGCCCATCTAGGCGCTGGCGGGCTGGGAGCCCCTTGTCCTGGTCAATGCAGAGCTGTCAAAACCGGCCTCTGAGTGATGCTGAGGGGTCAGGCTGTCTCCAGAGAGCACCGGCGATCCCGGCTGTGCTGAGAGGGAGGGCTGAGGGCTGCCTGGACGCCCCTGAGATGAGGCGACTGGTATTTAGGGGATGCGTACTCTCTGGGGCCCGCTGGGGCCTGCAGGGAGAGCTCTCACCGGTCTCAACTCCATGCCTTCTGCCTTGTGCTTCTGGCCCAAGAGGTCGGGGTCACTGACCACCCCGTGTCCACCTAAGGCTTCCCTGGACACACAGCAGGGAGATGGGCAATGAGGGTGGGGGTTGTGGCCCTGCCTGTCACGGTCCCCAGCAGTGCAGATGAATTAGACCATTGAGCCACAGAGCCTGGAGGGCAGATGGGTGTGCTGGTATAAGGAGCCCCGGGCTCTGTGTTACAGGTCATGTGTTCTCACCAGTGGCCTTGCAGGAGGGGAACAGCCCCTTCCCCAGGGCCTCGCTCTGCTCCCCCTGAAGGATGGGGCTGAGGGGACAGCAGGCTCTGGGGGCCTTTCAGACCACATTTGAGTCAAAATTTGACTTCCCCATACTCTGCCTGCTTCCACCTCACCCAACTCTCATCCAGGGGTGACCCTTGTTCTAGCACATGAGGCTGAGGCCAGAGAGGGCAGGGCCTTAGGACACAGCCCAGTCACTGTTCTAATTCTAGAGGCAAGCCCCTTCCATGTCCTGAGCTCTGTAATGCATCTTTTCTTTCATGAGCCTTGCGATCAGGCGATGTTTATTCAGTGGTTACCACATCCAGGCATGCTGCCAGGAGGAGGGGAGTCGTGGGTGAAGCTGATAGGATTCCTGCTGGACTCACAGAGCCTGGGTTAATGACACATTACCCATGTTTAGATAGGAGGTAATTCTGCTCCGGTTTCGACAAGTTGTAGGAAAGGAGGAAAACATGCTCATAGCAGGTGAGCAGCGTACACCTGTCATGGGAGTGAGGGGTCCTTCTGGGGGATGGAGAGACCAAGACGTGAACAGTGAGTGTGGCACGCAGAGTGTCCTCCACCAGAAACAGTGTGGGCTGTTCTCAGACCTGAGAGTGAGCCAAAGGAAGCTGGGACCTTGTCATTCAGGGGACTTGTGCACCGTGAAGATTTATTGGATGCTATGTTTAAGAAAATGGAAAATCCGGCCCGGCACGGTGGTTTGCACCTGTAATCCCAGCACTTTGGGAGGCGGAGGTGGGTGGATTATGAGGTCAGGAGTTCGAGACCAGCCTGGCCAACATGGTGAAACCCCGTCTCTACTAAAGACACAAAAAATCAGCCAGGTGTGGTGGTGGACGCCTGTAATCCCAGCTACTCGGGAGGCTGAGGCAGGAGAATCACTTGAACCCGGGAGGTGGAGGTTGCAGTGAGCCGAGATCGCGCCACAGCACTCCAGCCTAGGTGACAGAGTGAGACTCCATCTCAAAAAAAAAAAAAAAAAACCGGGGAATCTTTAGAAAGCACAGTGGAAACAGATGTCTGTTTTTACAAGCCCATCACTGCACAGAATGCAATATGGGAGGGTTTCACTAATGGTTAACCATAACCACACTCCAGCGTGAGCCCAGCCACTAGGCAATGTGCTGATAAGGATTCTAAGTGGTTTATGTGGACTCCTCATGACCTATGACACACATACGTTTACAGTGGAGTGGAACGAGGCAGGAGGGCTTCTCTTTGTCATAGTCTACCAGCTCTGCAGAGGTGTCAGCTACATCCGGATTGGCTCAGGGAGCGGCCGTCAGAAGACTTACACGTGTTTAATAACTGAGGTTGTGTGTGTGTGGCAGGGGGTGGGTAACTGTGATGAGTTTGGTGTGGCAGAGGGGGAGCCATAGCCTGTGAAGCTGGAAAGTGTATCAGGTTTGGTCATCAACAGGCTTGAACATGAAGTACAGGAACGTGCATCTTATTTTTGGAAGATGGAGCCCCGTTGGGGGAATTTGAGCAGTGGAGGGTCACAGCCAGGTAAGATGGTCAGAAGAGGCCTCGGAAGTGATGAGAGGGATGGACTGGAGTAGGGATGGGAGCCAGTAGGGGGCCAGGAGGGAGGTTGGTGCAGTGCACAGACAGGGCGTCCTCGGTCCCCAGCTGAGCTTAGACTGTGGGGATGGACCAGCGGACACGGGTGGAGCCGGGTGAGGAGGGATGTGGGCAGAGAGGTTTGGATTTGTTCACTGTGTGTGAAGCAGAAGAGTGTGAGGAGCTTTTCCACTCTCTGCCTTGGTTGATGGGAGGAACCAGTGGGGCTGCCGCAGGACAGACGACCCGCGTGGGAGAAGGAGGCTCGGGGAGATGTTTCTAAGACTTAACTTGCTCACAGAGGGAAGCACAAGCTTCCTTCGAGCCTGGGCTTTGTTTTCCCAAACAGGTCCCTTCACTGACTTTCTTTTTTGAGACGGAGTCTCGCTCTGTCGCCCAGGCTGGAGTGCAGTGGCGCGATCTCGGCTCACTGCAAGCTCCGCCTCCCGGGTTCACGCCATTCTCCTGCCTCAGCCTCCCGAGTAGCTGGGGCTACAGGCGCCCGCCACCACGCCCGGCTAATCTTTTGTATTTTTAGTAGAGACGGGGTTTCACCGTGCTAGCCAGGATGGTCTCGATCTCCTGACCTCGTGATCCACCCGCCTCGGCCTCCCAAAGTGCTGGGATTACAGGCGTGAGCCATCGCGCCCAGCCAACTTTCCTGTTAATGAGTAGCACTCTTTTTTTCTTTCTTTTCTTTCCCCCTTTTTTTTTTTTTTTAGACATGGTCTTGCTCTGTTTCCCAGGCTGGAGTGCAGTGGCGTGACCTCAGCTCACTACAACCTCCACCTCCTGGGTTCAGGTGATTGTCCTGCTTCAGCCTCCCAAGTAGCTGGATTACAGGCACGTGCAACCACGCCTGGCTAATTTTTGTATTTTTAGTAGAGACAGAGTTTCACCATGTTGGCCAGGCTATTCTCGAACTCCTGACCTTAAATCATCCTCTTGCCTTGGCCCCCCAAAGTGTTAGGATTACAGGCATGAGCCATCATGCTCGGCCTCTTTTTTCTTTTTCTTTTTTTTTTTTTTTGTTTTTGAGACAGAGTCTTGCTCTGTCACCCAGGCTGGAGTGCAGTGGCGTGATCTCAGCTCACTGCAGCCTCCACCTCCCAGGTGCCAGCGATTCTCCTGCCTCAATCTCCCAGTTAGCTGGGATTACAGATGCGCGCCACCATATCCAGCTAAATTTTGTATTTTTTAGTAAAGACAGAGTTTTACCATGTTGGCCAGGCTGGTCTTGAACTCCTGACCTCAGGTGATCCGCCCGCTTCAGCCTCCCAAAGTGTTGGGATTACGGGCATGAGCCACCATGCTCGGCCTCTTTTTTCTTTGCTTAAAAGATGAGGCCTGTTGCCCAGGCTGGAGTGCAGTGGCACTATCATAGCTCACTGCAGCCTTGACATCGTGGCTCAGGTGATCCTCCCACCTCAGGCTCCCGAGTGGCTGGGACTACAGACGTGCACCTCCACAGCCACTACTTATTTTTGTAGCGATGTCTATCAGCTGGTGAATAGAGAAAGTGTGGTATATCCTTACAACAAAATATTATTCAACCGTAGAAAGGAATGAAGTACTCATACATGCTACATGTGTGAACCTTGATAATATACTAGATAAAAGCAGTCAGGAAAAAAAGGTCACATATGACGTTATTTCATTTATAAGAAGTATCCAGCCTGGGTGTGGTGGCTCATTGCCTGTAATCCAGCACTTTGGGAGGCCAAGGCAGGTGGATTGCCTGAGTTTAGGAGTTTGAGACCAGCCTGGGCAACATGGTGAAATACCATCTCTACCAAAAATACAAAAAATTCACCCGGCATGGTGGCATGTGCCTGTGATCCCAGCTACTTGGGAGGCTCAGGTGGCAGGATCGCTTGAGCCTGGGAGGCAGAGGTTACAGTGAGCCGAGATCACACCACTGCACTCCAACCTGGGTGACAGAGTGAGTCCCTGTCTCAAAAAAAAAAAAAAAAGGTATTCAAAGAAGGCCAATCGATAGAGGCAGAAAGTAGGTTAATTGTTGCATGGGATTAGGTGGGAGTGATTGCTTGATGTAAACTCGGTTTCCTTCTCGGTATGATAAAAATGTTTCGGAATGAGATAGAGGTGATGCTTACACCATATTGTGAATTTACTAAATGCCACAAAATAGAGTTGTATCTCAATAAAAATATATTTGTTGGGCCGGGTGCGGTGGCTCACGCCTATAATCCCAGCACTTTGGGAGGCAGGCAGATCAAGAGGTCAGGAGTTCAAGACCAGCCTGGCAAAACCCTGTCTCTACTAAAAATATAAAACTTAGCCAGGCGTGGTGGCATGTGTCTGTAATCCCAGCTACTCGGGAGGCTGAGGTAGAATGGAGCGAGACTCCGTCTCAAAAAAATATATATATATATGTAAATATATATATGTTGGGCATAGTGGTGCACACATGTAGTCCCAGCTACTTGGGAGGCTGAGGCAGGAGAACCACTTGAACCTGGGAAGCGGAGGTTGCAGTGAGCCGAGACTGCACCATTGCACTCCTGCCTGGGCAAAAAGAGTGAAACTCCATCTCGAAAAAAAAAAAAACCACACACACACACGTAGATAAAATCAAATATTCTGTATTCCATAAATATGTACAATTATTATTTTTCAATTAAAAACTCTTAAGCTGGGCACAGTGGCTCATGCCTGTAATCCCAACACTTTGGGAGGCGGAGATGGGAGGCTCTTGAGCCCACAAGTTTGAGGCCAGTTTGGGCAACATCGTGAGATCCCATTGCTACAAAAAAATTTAAAATATATTTTTAAAAAACTCTAATACAGTAGTCCCCCTTTATCTGTAATTTTCTTTCTGTGTTTTCAGTTACCTGGTGGTCAACCATGGTCCAAAAATATTAAATAGAAAAGTTAAGGAATCATAAGTTTTTTTTTTTTTTTTTTATTGATCATTCTTGGGTGTTTCTCGCAGAGGGGGATTTGGCAGGGTCATAGGACAACGGTGGAGGGAAGGTCAGCAGATAAACAAGTGAACAAAGGTCTCTGGTTTTCCTAGGCAGAGGACCCTGCAGCCTTCCGCAGTGTTTGTGTCACTGGGTACTTGAGATTAGGGAGTGGTGATGACTCTTAACGAGCATGCTGCCTTCAAGCATCTGTTCAACAAAGCACATCTTGCACCGCCCTTAATCCATTTAACCCTGAGTGGACACAGCACATGTTTCAGAGAGCACAGGGTTGGGGGTAAGGTCACAGATCAACAGGATCCCAAGGCAGAAGAATTTTTCTTAGTACAGAACAAAATGAAAAGTCTCCCATGTCTACCTCTTTCTACACAGACACCGCAACCATCCGATTTCTCAATCTTTTCCCCACCTTTCCCCCCTTTCTATTCCACAAAACCGCCATTGTCATCATGGCCCGTTCTCAATGAGCTGTTGGGTACACCTCCCAGACGGGGTGGCGGCCGGGCAGAGGGGCTCCTCACTTCCCAGTAGGGGCGGCCGGGCAGAGGCGCCCCTCACCTCCCGGATGGGGCGGCTGGCCTGGCGGGGGGCTGACCCCCCCACCTCCCTCCCGGACGGGGCGGCTGGCCGGGCGAGGGGGGAATCATAAGTTTTTAACAAATCAAAATATTTCTAAAAACCTAGAGTAGGCAGGAAAGGGGAAACAACACACAGCAGAGGAGACAAACAAAAAGGCACACCTGAACACAGTCATGCACCGCATAACGATGTTTCGCTCCACTACACATTTCATATGTGATGGTATAGCCTATGTATGTAGTAGGTTATACCACGTAGGTTTGTGTAAGTAGACTCTATGATGTTCACACGACGGTGAATTTTTTTTTTTCTTTTTTTTGAGATGGAGTCTCATTCTGTCTCCCAGGCTGGAGTGAAATGGCACGATTTTGGCTCACTGCAACCTCCGCCTCCCAGGTTCAAGCGATTCTCCTGCCTCAGCTTCCCAAGTAGCTGGGATTACAGGCATGCACCACGATGCCCGGCTAATTTTTGTATTTTTAGTAGAGACAGGGTTTCACCATGTTGAGCAGGCTGGTCTCGAATTCCCGACCTCTGGTGATCCACCCATCTTGGCCTCCCAAAGTTCTGGGATTACAGGCGTGAGCCACCACGCCTGGCCAAAATTTTTTAATGATGGCTTTCTCAGAACATATCCCTGTCATTAAGTGACATACGGTTGTAATGTCATCAGTGATTACATTAAATATAAGTGATCAAAAAGAGATTACAAGATTGGAATTTTTTTTTTTTGAGACAGAGTCTTGCTCTGTTGCCCAGGCTGTAGTGCAGTGGTGTGATCTCGGTTCACTGCAACCACTGCCTCCTGGGTTCAAGCAGTTCTCTGCCTCAGCCTCCCTAGTAGCTGGGATTACAGGTGCCTGCCACCACACCTGGCCAGTTTTTGTATTTTTAGTAGAGATGGGGTTTCACCATCTTGGCCAGGCTAGTCTTGAACTCCTGACCTTGTGATCCACCCGCCTTGGCCTCCCAAAGTGCTGGGATTACAGGCATGAACCCCCGTGCCTGGCCTGTTGTTTATATTTTATCACATTAAAAAAGCAGAAGGATGAAAAATGTATTATGCAAACACTAATCAACAGATAATTTCACCGGCTTGTTAGTTGTTTTGTTTTTTTGAGACAGGGTCTCGTCCAGGCTGAAGTGCTGTGGTGCGATCTCGGCTCATTGCAGCCTCGACCTCCTGTACCCAAGTGATCCTCCCACCTCAGCCTCTCAAGTAGCTGGGACTACAGGTGTGTGCCACCACGCCGGACTGGTTTTATTTTTTGTAGAGATGGGGCCTCACAATGCTGATCTGACTGACTCGAACTCCTGAGCTCAAGCTATCCTCCCCACTTGCCCTCCCAAAGTATTGGGATTACAGGTGTGAGCCACTGCACCTGGTTATGCTTCTTTTTTATTTTTTTTCTTTCTTTTTTTTTTTTTTTCGAGACGGAATCTCACTCTGTCGCCCAGGCTGGAGTGCAGTGGTGCGATCTCAGCTCACTGCAAGCTCTGCCTCCCGGGCTCATGCCATTCTCCTGCCTCAGCCTCCTGAGTAGCTGGGACTATAGGCACTCGCCACCACGCCCGGCTAATTTTTTTGTATTTTTAGTAGAGACGGGGTTTCACCGTGTTAGCCAGGATGGTCTCGATCTCCTGACCTCATGATCCGCCCGCATCAGCCTCCCAAAGTGCTGAGATTATAGGCGTGAGCCACCGCGCCCGGCCTATTTATGCTTCTTAATTTTCCCATGTCATAAGTTCGATGTATAATATTTACATTATCATTCAGTTTAAAACATTCACTGTTTTTTTTTTTAGAGACAAGGTCTCGCTCTGTCACACAGGCTGGAGTGCAGTGGCACAGTCATAGCTCACTGCAGCCTCAGCAGCCTTAACTTCTTGTGTTCAAGGAATCCTCCCCACTCAGCCTCCTGAGTACCACACCCGGCCTTTACGTCTGTTTTTGTTTTTTGTTTTTTTGTTATTAACTCATTGATTGTTGAGAAGTCTGTTGCTTTATTTCCAAAATGGGACGATATTAGTCATCTTTGAGTCAGGTGAGTCCCACAAGTTCCCAGCGTCTCCTCATGGTCTGTGTTAGGGGTCCAGGCTGACTGGGGTTCACTGGTGTCCACTGGGGGCAGCTCCCGTGCCTTCAGCAGTCCTGAGTCTCCTTCTGCTGAGTGTGGGGTCTGCGTACCCCCCGGGCTAGTGGATGGCCAGAGTGGCGTAGATGCTGGGCTCAGCTGGAGGTTCCCCTTCCTGGGATGGAGGAGGCTCAGTTGCCTTCCGTCTAAGGGTCAAGCTGTGCAGCTGGGCGTAGGTCACATCCTGGGAGGCTTCAGATGCAGCAGCCTGCAGCGGGGGAGAGTGAGAGGTAAGGAACGTGGTGGGGGTGGGGGAGGCCTGGGGGCCTGGAGAGGAAAGGACTCACCTCAGTGTCCATCTGCCTGTCCTCTTCCACCTGTCTGTCCTTTGTGTCCAGGAATTCCCCAGACAGTGAGGAGGGAGGAGAGGCCATTTCTCTCCTAGGACTGGAGTGTTTCACCGGGGCATACGTCACTGCCTGGGGGTCTTCATCGTGTGGGCTCTGCTGGAGAGAGACAGTGGTGGGGGGTGTCCTTGAGTCCCCCTGACCTCCTGGAGTCAATTTTCCTCACTGTTCCCGGGGTGATCCGATTACATCCCTTTCCTGATGGAATCTCAGGGACGCCCTAAGGCCGTGGAGGGTCTGGCCGCTCCCTCCCTGTGGTTCTGGCCTCTGCTCCTCACTCTGACCTTGCCCATTTGGCTGCAGCCTCACAGGCCTTCCTGCAAGAGCTCGCTGCTGCCTGGGGGCCTTTGCACGGCTGTTTCCTCTGCCTGCAGGGGCTCGTCCATCAGAGGATCATGTGCCCCACTCTGTCCAGGCTTCTCAGATGACAGCTGAGCAGACAGCCCTCCCCTTCCATTCAGACTGGCCCCACTGCCCCACACTCTCTGCCCTTTCCCTGGTGTATGTTCCTTACAGCACGTTGCACTCCTGGACACGATGCATTTATTTGCATTTTGTCTCCCACCGTGAGGTGAGCTCAGGAGGCGGGGGCGGCTTTGCTCCCTGCTGTGTCTGCAGCTCCCATGGGGAGCCCCATCCACAGTGAGCTCCCTGGGAACACTCGCTGGATGAATGAATGAAGAGGAGCCCAGGGGACGGAGGTGGTTCATTTATTCGTCATCCTCCTGAGGCCTGGGGAGAGCTCTAACAACCAGACGGCCAAACAGAGGATGAGGAGCAGGAAGGGGACCCGGGAGGAGGCCCACGAGGTCCCAGGACAGCAGAAGAGAGTGAGGTCACAGCAGGCGGGAGGCAGCATGCTGGACAAGGAGGGGTCCACCGTGACGATGCTGAGAGCCGGGGGAAGGAGGACAGAGAAGTCCTGCAGGATTAGATCTGGCACCAGGAGGCCTTTGGTGCCTGGGACGGGGCGGGATCTCACCTGACTGTCCAGCTCCACCCTGTCCTCAGACTGTGTGTCCTTCACAGCAGCATCTGCTGGGGCAGAGCAAGGGGTTCGTCTCCTGGTTCTCTGAGACCTCTCAGTCCTGCTGGCCCCCTGCCCTGCTCCCAGATGGGGCCACCGAATGCAGGGAGGTCCCACAGTGTGGGGCAAGACCATCTTCCACGGAGCCCCAGACCCTTCCCAGCCCCTCCCTGTTGCTACTGAAATTTTGGGACTCCTGTCTCTCCAGCACCCCCATTTGTCCCCTCTCTTCCTCTTACAGAGGTTTTCTTCCTGGACGTCAGCAGCTGGGCTGGACCTGGAGGAGGACATGGGAGTGTGAGGGGCAGTGTATGGGCTGTGGTGGGTGGGAGTCTGTGGTCTTTGGGGCAGAATTACCTCCTCAGCAGGCCCCTGTCCTTGGGCTCTGTCTCCGCAGCCCCTGCAGGACGCTGGAAATCAGTCTTTCTCTGGTCTGGGTGAAGATGGACAGAGTCTCAGCCCTGGGAACATTAGAACTCCCATTCTACACATGCAACTTGAGGGAAAGAAGGAAAACTAAAAATATTCCTGCATGGATGTTCCAAATATTTTATGAGATAGAAAAAAACTCCCATGAATACTGAAGTTTGTAAATGCGTATTGAAATTACGTGCCCCTGGAACCGGTTTTCTAAACTGACACCCCTGTGTGTTTGGGTTCCCTCTGGCTGGTGCCCTGAGCCCACCCTCGGTCGACCCATGGGTCCCCCGCTTCCCTACTCACCAGATGTCCTGTGTTTGCTGTGACGCTGACGGAGGAGGAGGAGGAAGAGGAGGAGGAAGAGCAGCAGGACGAAGGCCACCGAGACCCCAATCAAAACCTCCAGGTATCTTCCCAGACCTTGACATGAGGACGTCAGGAGTGGGAATGATGTCATTGATGTGAGCACCTACTGTGTGCAGGCGCGAGCCAGGTCTTTCCTTCGTGACCTCCAACCCTCACAAGCAGTCGTGCAACATGGAATTGCCACCCGTACAACCCATTTCACAGATGCACAAACTGAGGCTCAGAGCAGGGAGTCGCCTGCCCCAGGCCTCCAGCGAGGAAGCGGCAGAGCTGGGAAGGGAGCCCGGGAGTCTGACCTGCAGCCCTTGTTCCTGCACCAGAGCCGAGACCCGGAGCTGCAGGGAAAGAGCCTGACCGTCCTGAACCACGGCCCTGCTCCCCTCCCCTGCCCCAGGTCACCGTCACTGCTGCAGGTGGGACGGGACAGGCCCCTGTGGAATCGGGTCTGGGAGGTTCCCTGGGAGGCCTCCTCTCCCAGGAGGTCACAGCTGGGGGTCAGAGCTGAAAGGAACTTTCCCACCCACAGGCCTCTCTCCTTTACACTTGGAGAAACTGAGGCCCAGGCAGGGGAGGGGCCTGTCCACATCACCACCTCCAGAGGAGCCTGAACCTAGGACAGAACCCACCCCTGCCTCCCCTGGACCCCGCCCATCTCCCACTCAGAGCCCCTCACTCACCATTCTGAGGGCCTGACCCTGGGGGGTTAAGGGGCTGGTCCTCAGGACCTCCTGGGTCAGGACAGGGAGGTGAAGGCTGGGGCTGTCTTGCCCCCCACATCAGCCCGGCTCCTCCTCCTGGCTGGGCCCCAACATCTCCCTCTGCCTCGACCCCCGCCCCTCACCAGCCCAGCCTCAGAGCCCCTGGGACACAAGCCCGTCCTTGAGGGGAGGGGAGTGGGATCCTTTGGGAGACTCAGACTGCCCTGGGGGAGGCGGCGCTCCCCAAGAGGCCTCAGTGACTCACCAGGTGTGGAGGGCGGCCCTGTGGGTGGGAGGCTGGAGCCTCCAGAGTGTCCTGGAAGGAGCACGGGAGGCGGGTGAGGGGCGGGGGCCGTCCATGGAGTGCACCCTTCCACTCCCACTCTCCTGCTTCCGCCCAGTGGATTCCCTGGAACCATCTCTCTGCCCACCTGGTGCCTTCTGCATGCCAGGCAGGGGAGAACGGGTGGCCACGCCTAGGAGAACCCCTGTTGGCCTCCTCCCCTCTGAGGGCTGGGTGCCCTCTGGCTAAGCCTCCCTCACAGCCTCCCTCGGTCCATCCCAGCCGAGAGCTCTCCTGGGGGCCTGGGCCGGAGCTGAGCCTTTGAGCTCAGAGAGGACGGGGTCAGCGCCCTCACCTGAGACCATGAGTTCCAGGGGCTCACTGGGGAAAGACAGCAGGTGGGGGTTGGAGCTGCGTGAGCCGTAGCACCTGTAGGTCCCCGCGTGGGCTGAGGTCACAGGACTCATGGGGAATTCAGCCTGGTACTTATGAGCTCCGTACATTGATCTCAGACGCAGTGGGGGATGGGCTGCCCCTTCTTTGGTCAGAAGGAAAGTGTCAAAATACCCCCGTGACTGACACAGCAGGGTCATGTTCTCTCCTGAGGCCACTGTGGGGCCCGGCTGTGCTGACAGGGAGACGGTGTCATAGATCTGTCCTGGAGAGAAGAAGGATGGGTGAGGGGCTGCCCCACCTTGCTCTGAGCTGACACCTCCCCAGGCCTCTCCCTGGGACCCTCAGTGTCTCTGTCCCTGTTTTCTCTGAGTCTCCCCTCCCCCCATCCCCTGTCTCTGTCTGTCTCTCCCTCCCTTGGGACCCCCACCCCTCATCCCGGCCATCACCACCTGGGCTCCCCCGGCAGGGCCTGTGCAGAGCCTGGGTCCCTGACTGAACCCGCTGGGCTCCTCACCTGTGATCAGGATGTCCAGGGGGTCACTGGGGGCCGACCACTCGGAGGAGAGGTTGTGTGCACCATAGCACCTGTACTGGCCCCCGTAGGAGCGGCTCACAGGGCCCAGGGTGAAGTTGGCCTGGGAGAGCCCAGCCTGGGGCTGCTGGCCAGGGCGCTGGAGGAAGTCACGTTCCCCCTCCTTATACAGAACAAATCTGTCGTAGCCGACATCAGAGCCACACTGGAGGGTCAGGCTCTGCCCAGGGGCCAGGACAGGGCCCTGCAGGGTCAGGAGGGAGGGCTTCCTAGACACGCCTGGAGGGAAAGAGGAGCCAGGACTGAGAGGGCTGGTTCCTCCCACGCCCCTTCCTTCTCCCGTCCTGGCCCTGCAGGTCTCACTGTCTCTCACGCTCTGAGTCTCTGACCCCAGGGCCTCCTTCTCACCCGGGGCTGTCTTGGAGTCATTTCAGAGGAGTGGGGTCTCCCTAGCCCTGGCCACTGTGCCTGATCTTTCCTCCTCTCCCTGAGAGCTGGGACCTCACAGCAAACACACCGATGCCTTCCTGAGTCCTCCCCTTCCAGGTGAACGTGGTCAAGGGCTCCTCCTCCCATGTCAGAGCCTCCCCATGGGGTCTCCCTCATGCCTTCAGCCCGTCCTTCAACACATCACTCTGGGTCCTTTCCAGATTCAGTCACCAGCCAAACTCCCCACAACCTGTCAGCTGCCCCGAAAGTGTGTTAGACAAGGCCGTGGCTCCCTCACCTGAGGGCAGAATCTCCAGGGGGTCACTGGGGTGGGACCACACCCAGGGGGTGTTTGTATAATAGTAATAGCATGTGAACCTCCACCTGTGGCTGGGGGTCACGGGGCCCACAGGGAACAGGGCCTGGAACCCCCCACTGTGGAGCTGCTGTGAGTCCAGGGTCCGGGGGAGCTGGTGTTCTCCTTCCTTCATCAGAACAAAATGGTGATATCCCTTCTGTGAGCCACATCGGAGGGTCATATTCCCCCCTGAGGCCACCACAGGGCTGGGCAGGGCTGAGAGGGTGGGTTTGTTGTAGAATCCTAGGAGAGAAAGAGGCACCGTGTTAAATGGGGCTCCCACCTCCCACATCATCCCCAGGGCTGGGCTGTGAGAGGGAGACGCCCCTGAGAGCCGACCCCCTTCCTGAGGGCAGAGCCTGGGGCTGGGACCCCAGAGTGTCCTCTCACCTGTCATCACCAGCTCCAGGGGGTCGCTGGGCTCTGACCAGCCTGCAGAGCTGTAATAGTGGCAGCGGTATCTCCCTGCATGGTGCTGTGTCATGGATGGGATGGAGAATCTGGCCTTGTTCTTGGGTTCCAGTGGGTTATTTCTGTCCCAGGGCTCTGGGCTTCCCTCTTTATCCAGTTGGTACTCCTGGGCCTCCAGGCTCCCCTGACACCAGATGGTCACGGGGCTCCCCCAGCTGATCACAGAGCCTGGCTCAGCCCAGAGGGTGGGTTTGGGGAAGGGCCCTAGATGGAAATCAGAGGCTGGATCCCAAGACATCCCCACGCTCAGATCCCAGCTCCCAGCCCCAGGACTTCCCCATCATCCCCATCAGTCACCCAGAACTACTGTCTCCTCCCCCAGCTGCCCATGGGTGGCCCCCTGTCCCAGTGAGGAGTAGGGACCTGGGACAGCTGGGGACAGACTCACCTGCCTGCATGCGGGTCCTGGGGCCCAGACTCAGCCCTGGAAGAGAGTTCCCTGTGAGGCATTTGCCCTGAAGCCTGAGCAGGTCCCCGCCCGGGTGCCTCCTGAGCTTTTGAGGTCTCCTGATGGACCAGGGCTTGTGTGTGGGGTGGGGTTCCTCCAAGACTCGGATCTCCCCCTCCCCATCTTGAAATCTCACCAAGGCAGAGCAGGGCTGTGAGGGCGGGCGTCATGGCGTCTCCTCCCGGTGACCCCGCGCTCTGCAGAGGGATGAGCCCTCAGTGCTGGCAGGACAGAGAGACACACAGGGTGTGGCCGCTCGGAGGCTGGGTCCTTCTTGTCATGGGGTTGTCTCATCCTCAGCCCACAGGAAGAGGAACTGCCACCCCAAGAACCTGGCTCTGATTTCCCCAGGGCTGAAGTGGGGGCAGGCACCAGGCTCTCTGCAGGCATTTCAGAGAGAAATGGGGTCTCCCTGCCCCCGGGCCACTGTCTGCCTGATTTATCTTTATCTCACTGAGGACGGGGACACAGCCGCAAATAGACCTGGTGCCTTCCTGAGTCAGCCCCTTTCAGGCGAGGGTGACCGTGGGCTCCTCCTCCCTCTCAGAGCCTCCCCATGGGGTCTCCCTCCCTCCTTCAGCTCGTCCATCAGTTCAGCGTTACGGGGTCCTTACCATGGCAGTCGTCTCTCCAGCCCTGGAGATGCTTCAGGGAAGACCCAGGTCCATGCTGCAGGCAGACTCAGATCAGCAGAGACGCACCTGACACCTGGCTGTGTAGTCCAGGCTGAGCTGCGTGTGGCAGTGAGCACAGAGAAATGCAGGGTCTACCGTGGTGGCTCATGCCTGGAATCCCAGTACTTCAGGAGGCTGTGGCGGGTGATGGCTTGAGGCCAGGAGCTTCAGACAGTCCTGGGAAACAGACTGTGACCCTGTTTCTACAGAAAAGAAAAAAGTGAGCTGGGCATGGAGGCTCATGCCTGTGGTCCCAGCTACTCAGGAGGCTGAGGTGGGAGGATCACTTGGGCCCGGGAGGCGGAGGCTTCAGGGAGCTATGATCACCCCTTGGCCTTCCAGCCTGGGCGACAGAGCAAGATCCTGTCTAAAAAGGAGAAATAGAGGGGATAAAGAGAAATATATATATATATGTTTCATTGTAATCTATAATCTGATTCTGGGGAAGGTGAGCTGATTTGTATTTAATTCCTGATTATCATCTAGGGTTTATGTGACTTTGGACATGAATGTCACCTCTGAGCCTGCTGTCATGAACCCCACTCATCACAGTGGCTGTGGGGGTCAGTGGTGCCCAGGACATGGGAGGCTCAGCCATGGTGAATTTCCAGACCAGTTCAGACAGGAGGGTGGGGACGGGAGAGGATCCTGGTGCTGGGCTCCACAGTCGAGGAGGATGATTGACGCCCCCACTCAAGAGCCCACATCGGCTCCAAATACCATGAAATTCTCCTTGTGATACGTCTGAAATATGCAGATCATCACAGCCACAGGCAGAGAAAGAGGAAAAACAGTTCCTCACATTGAGACGCATCCCCTTCCATGAGCAGAGTTCAATGCTGAGTGGCCACAGGTGTCTGGGACCACCGAGCGTCATTAGGGAGGAGGAGGCTCCCACCTCCATGTGGGACAGAAGAGGAACCCCACGTCCTCCCAGGCAGGGAGGGGTCAGGGCTCTGGGTGAGGCTGGAAGCGGTGGCTCCCCCTCCCCTGTGTGTGTGGACAGGCGCTGGGGGGTCTCTGCTCACTCACTGGAGGCCACGGTCAGCGCTCAGCCCCTCCCCTGTGTGTGAGAAACAGATTCGATCCACGGTGGTCAGACATGGGCGTCTGCCCCACAGGTGAGTGTGAGGCTGGCGTTGGTCCCATCGCTGCTGGGCACAATCTTGAGCTGACACTGAGTTTGGGGGAGTGGGGCAGGAGCAGCGGCAACAATCCCCTTCATCAGGCTGATGCCTGGACAGCCGTGGGAGAAACCCTTTATGAAAGGCCAGGTGCGTGGGAGGAGCCGCCCCACAGGAATGACAACCGTATGAGGACAAAATAGACAGTTGTTGAAATGCATTAGACAGACATCGTGAAGGTGAAAAACTATATTAAATTAACGCCATTAAAAAGGAATTTATGTCTGGGCATGGTAGTTCATGCCTGTAATCCCAGCACTTTGGGAGGTGGAGGCGGGCAGATCACTTGAGGCTAGGAGTTCGAGACCAGCCTGGGTGACATGGTGAAACCCCATCTCTACTAAAAATACAAAAAATTATCTGGGCGTGGTGGTGAGTGCCTGTAATCCCAGCTACTCGGGAGGCTGAGGCAGGAGAATCTCTTGAACCTGGAAGATGGAGGCTGCTGTGTGCTGAGATTGCGCCCCTGTACTTCAGCTGGGACAACAGGAGCGAAACTGTGTCTCAAAAAAAAAAGCAATTTACTAACCATATATACCTACTATGCAAACATAACAAAATCAAAGCATAATTTAATCCAGGGCAAGACAGCTGAAATAATAAATATATACATTGGGATAAAATATTCATGAAATTTTCCAGACTGTATCATGGAAAGAACAGAAATTGAACAATAGAAAATATTGATATATACACGAAGTTGAATGAGAAGAAAGAACGTGTCTGTCACGGTTTCAGAATGAAAGAAGGAAGAAGGATGTTAGTTCATGATATGCATGAAGAGCTAATGGTTGAAATTTTTACAGAACTGAAGAGAAAACATCAGTTTATAACTAAATTGAATATCTCGATCATGGTAAAGTGAAAACCATGAGGCATTAATTTAAAATAATCATAAAACTACCAGAGAAAATGTAAATTACCCTTGAATGAATGACAAGTTCATCGGGACTGGAGTTCCAAAGAGCAAACAGCAGCCCCAGAAGATACAGGAGAAACAACCACAAGCGTTTAACTGTGAGGAGAGAGTTCCTGTGCTGGGCCTAATTATTACTATTATAATTATTTATTATTATTATTATTATTATCTTTTGAGATGCAATTTCGCTCTTGTTGCCCAGGCTGGAGTGCAATGGCGCGATCTCGGCTCACCGCAACCTGGCCTAGTTATTATTAAAGGACCGAGTTGCAGTGTCAGCTGTGGATAAATCCTAGAACATAAGGAGACTCGGGGCACTCGTGACCCGTCAGGTCAGGCGGTGGCCTTATGAGGAATAAGGAGGGCGTTTTCAGTGTCCTTTTATCAGGTACTATGATAACAACAGAGAAAGAGAGAGATTGAGACAGACAGAGAGAGACGGAGAGACAGAGAGAGATTGAGACAGAGAGAGAGAGGGAGAGGGAGACACACACACACACACACGGAGAGAGACAGAGACAGAGAAGCAGGCATCGCTTGAGCTGCAAGGCTGCAGACATGTTTGCATCTGGGCTCTTTCTGAAAGCAATACTAAACAATGTAAATCAGGGAGTGGAATAATGAACCCCAAATGGAGAAGATGAGATGCTACTGTGAATAAGTCAACAGTACATACAAAAAACGAATAAGCATAGATCTATCTGTAATCTGTGTATATACAAGTATATGCATTTCTACTAAGAATCTGAAAGAGCAAGGAAATGGATTCGCGTCTCTGGAGCCTCCAGAAAGGAATGCAGCCACGTTATGGCCTTGATTTTGTCCTAAAAGACTGTGAGATAATGAGTTTGTGTTGCTGAAGCTGCTCAATACGTGTAATTTGTTATGGCAGCAATAGCAAACCAATACTAACACAAACAGCCTTTGAAAAGAAAAATAGATGATATTTCACACTTTTATTTATTTATTTATTTATTTTATTTTATTTTGAGACGGAGCCTCGCTCTGTCACCCAGGCTGGAGTGCAGTGGCGCGATCTCGGCTCACTGCAAGCTCCGCCTGCCGGGTTCACACCATTCTCCTGGCTCAGCCTCCCGAGTAGCTGGGACTACAGGCGTCCGCCACCACGCCCGGCTAATTTTTTACTATTTTTAGTAGAGACGGGGTTTCACCGTGGTCTCGATCTCCTGACCTCGTGATCCGCCTGCCTCGGCCTCCCAAAGTGCTGCGATTACAGGCGTGAGCCACCACGCCCGGATATTTCATACTTTTAAATCAGCAATCTGTGAAGAAGAGAAAGTTATACACTTTCACTCAACCAACCACATGTCCTTAAAATTTACAAAGCATCAATTGAGACACAGTGGAGGATTTGAAGAAATATTGATCAGACTTTGATAGATTAAGTGAACAAAATATTCGTGAGGGTTGCATGGCACAAATGTTCAATCTCATGCGCAAATATGATGTTTCGATTGTTTATATATTATGTAAATTTGTATAGAAACGTTTCTGGAATATACATATAGCAACAAAGTGGGAATGCATATTTCTTTATATATATTTTTTTGAAACAAGGTCTCTCTCTGTTGCTCCATCTGAAGTACAATGGCACTATCCCAGCTCACTGCAGCCTCGACCTCCTGAGGCCTAGGTGATTCTGCCACAACCATTTCCTGAGTAGCTGGGACTACAGGATCATGCCACCTTGCCTGGCTAAATTTTTTTAATATGTATTTTTTTGTAGAGACGAGGTTTCGCTATGTTGCCCAGGCTGGTGTCAAACTCCTGGGCTCACGGGATCTGCCCACCTTGGCCTTCCAAAGTGTTGGGATTACTGGTGTGAGCCACTGTGCGAGGCCAGGAATACTTATTTATGAAAACATATTGATCAGAAATATCTATCTTTTTTTTTTTTTTGAAACGAAGTGTAGCTCTGTCGCCAGGCTGGAGTGCAGTGGCACGAACTCGGCTCACGGCAATCTCCACCTTCCGGGTTCAAGCGATTCTCCTGCCTCAGGCTTGTGAGTAGCTAGAATTACAGGCGTGCGCCGCCACACCCAGCTAATTTTTTTGTATTTTTAGTAGAGACGGGATTTCACCATATTGGCCCAGATGGTCTCGGTCTCCTGACTTCTTGATCTACCCGCCTTAGCTTCCCAAAGTGGTGGGATTACAGGTGAGAGCCACTGTGCCCAGCCGTCTCTATCATTTTTACACAGCAAAGTAAGCATCCAAACTGTTACTACAGGTAACGTTTCCTGATTAGAAGTTCAATTAAATTAGCAGCCAACAATAAGAAGACATTTAGAGAAAAAGCAATACTTTGGAAACAAATAACATTCTAAATATTCATGGGTTATAGGCTGGATGTGGTGGCTCATGCCTGTAATCCCAGCACTTTGGGAGGCTGAGGCAGGTGGATCACTTGAGGTCAGGACTTTGAGACCAGCCTGGCCAACATGGTGAAATGCTGTCTCTACTGAGAATGCAAAAATTAGCTGGGTGTGGTGGCATGCACCTGTATTTTCAATGACTCGGGAGGCTGAGACGGGAGATTCACTTGAACCCAGGAGGTGGAAGTTGCAGTGAGCCGAGATTGTGCCACTGCACTCCAGCCTGGGTGAGAGAGTAAGACTCCATCGCAAAAGCAAAAACAAATATTCATGGGTTATAGAATCACACAACATTAAATTGATAGAACATTAACGAAAAATGTCAATGAAATTATAACATATGAACGTTTGTAGGATGTAAAGTAAGAGAGTGAGAGAGAGAGAGGGAGCACAACAATTACCAAATCAAGATGGAAAGAGGCACCACTACCCATCCTACAGACATAAAAGGACTAGTGAAGCAAAACTAGGAATCTATGCTAAGATGTTTTACAACTCACATTTAATAGAAAATATCTTGAAGTATACAAACTACCAAAATTTACTCAAGAACAAATATATAGTGTAACATTTCCTATTTTTATTAAAGAAATTCAACTGGCTGGGATTGGTGGCTCACACCTTTAATTCCAGCACCTTGGGAGGCTGAGGCGGGCAGATTACCTGAGGTCAGGAATTCAAGACCTGTCTGGCCGACATGGTGAAATCCCACCTCTACTAACAATACAAAAATTAGCCAAGTGAGGTGGCGCATGCCTGTAATCCCAGCTACTCAGGAGGGTGAGGCAAGAGATCTGTTTGAACCCAGGAGGCGGAGGTTGCAGTGAGGTGAGATCACACCACTGCATTCCAGCCTAGGCGACAGAGGGAGACTCTGAAAAAAAAAAAAAAAAAAGAAAAGAAATTCAACCTACACTCAGAAATCTTTCCATAGGGAAATCTGGCCTAAATGGGTACACTGTTGATTTCTACCAAATATTTGAGAAAGTAAGAATGACATGGAAACTCTAGCTATCATTCAGTTCTCACTAGGCTCATCGACTTCTTCATTCCAGTCCATGGGTTCTTATGGACACATCCAGCCAGTTCAGTCCAAGTTCCTTAGTGGGGCAGCAGTTTGGTGCTGTTGGTGTTGCTGGAAGCTCTTTGACCTCCTTTGGAACAGAAATATCAAACAGTGGTAGCTTGCCCCAAAGTAGAGTGGTTGATTCTGCCTTTACACAGGATACAAGATCCCTAAAAACACAATTATCTCAAGGTCCTTCAAGCGCTCAGTTCGACCCTTTGAGAAGAAGCCCAACCATGGAACAAGGAGTGCAGACCGCCTGGGCCCACGGACCTGCTCCAGCACCTGTTGGGAGAAGGAGTCCTGTATCAACCAGGCCTTTGCCATCTACCAGCCAAAAAGCAATAGAGAATCAGGAGCAGAGGTGAGCTGAAGCGCACAACGTTCCAAGGCCAGAAAATGAGCAACTCAGAAATGAAACAAGAGACAAGCAGCTCCAGGTGCTCCTTCAGCGCCAAGGAGAGGGCGTGGGGGTCATGGGGTGGCAGGGGAAGATTTGGTATTCGGCGAGATGGGCCAATGAAATTTGAGAATTTTTTTTTTTTTTTTTGGAGACGGACTCTCGCTCGGTCGCTCAGGCTGGGGTGCAGTGGCCCGATCTCGGCTCACTGCAAGCTCCGCCTCCCGGGTTCACGCCATTCTCCTGCCTCAGCCTCCCCAGTAGCTGGGACTACAGGCGCCCGCCACCACGTCAGGCTAATTTTTTTGTATTTTCAGTAGAGACGGGGTTTCACCGTGATCTCGATCTCCTGACCTCGTGATCCGCCCGCCTCGGCCTCCCAAATTGCTGGGATTACAGGCGTGAGAGAAAGAGTTTGACTTTGAAAGTGCAAATGCCCAATTCAACAAGGAAGAGATGGGCAGAGAGTTTCATAATAAACTTAAATTAAAAGAAGATAAACTTGAGAAAGAGGAGAAGCCTGTAAATGGTGAAGATAAAGGAGACTCAGGAGTTGATACCCAAAACAGTGAAGGACATGCTGATGAAGAAGATGCACTTGGACCTAATTGCTTTTATGACCAAACTAAATCCTCCTTTGATAATATTTCTGGTGATGACAATAGAGAACGGAGGCCAACCTGGGCTGAAGGAAGAAGATTAAATGCTGAAACATTTGGAATCCCACTTTGTCCAAACCGTGGCCATGGGGGATACAGAGGCAGAGGGAGGTCTTGGTTTCCATGGTGGCAGAGGGCGTGGTGGCAGAAGTGGTACCTTGACCACCCCTTGAGGATTTCGCGGCGGATTCAGAGGAGGTTCCAGGGGTCGGGAGTTTGCAGATTTTGAATATAGGAAAAGCACAGCCTTTGGCCCCTAAATAGTCTGAATTGATAGTACTGCTCTCTGAAAGAAAGACAACAAAGCTGCTGCATAGTCTACAAACAAGTCTTTGAAAACAGGTGAATTTCTAGCTCTTCATGGTACTGGAAACTGATTTCAGTCTTTGCGAAGAACGAAGAAGTGAATTGGCTGTATGTTTGCCATCAGCACTGGGTTTTTGTTTTTTGTTTGTTTTTCTGTTTAATTTCAGAGATAAAATGCAGTTAGTTTTCGGGGGAGGAAGCCTTATCTTAAGACATGAGGATTAAATATATTTGGAATAGCAGAAGGTTAAATAATTTCTTATGTATAGTTAAACTAAAGCAGTACTTCAGTGGGACTTATAAGTATTGTGTCATCACTGAAAGGTTTTTTTTTTTTTTTTTTAATCACTGAATTGTATTTGGTAATTCCAGGTTGCCTGCAGATAGGGCCGTGATACTGTGTTCTGAGCCAAGAAGGGAGGGTGTGTGTGTGTGTGTGTGTGTGTGTGTGTGTGTGTATCTTTCTCCTCCTTTCTTTTGGGGAATCTTGTAATATTAAATAGTCTATTTCATCAATTAATTAGGGTGCTGGATGGTAGAGAATTTTGTCAGTCAACTAGGTACACACGGTAAATACTGTTTCTTAGGCAAACGAACTTTTTTATACAGTTGTAAAATTCCATTATATTCCAATGCCAAAGAAACATTAAAAACTTTGTAAAGTTGTATAAAAAGCAACTAATTTTTTACAAAATAGATATCCTAAAGTTAGCCAAAAAAAAGAGAAAAGGGCAAAGTGATCATTTTTGGCGTAGGGTAACCCTTAGTTTCTTCCCTGGTAGTAATTTCCCACCAGGCAGATCGTCTAACCCCAAATCACCTAAAAGTGCAGGCCCAGGACGTGCTTATCTGCCCAGTGAGTCACCTGGAGGGGTGGTGATGGGGGCTGTTGATGACACGCTCCTTTCCTTTCCCAGCCCGTGTGTTCTACCTCTGAAAAGACATAGCATTTTCATTTGCAGAGCCCATTATAGAAAAATAAGAACAAAAATATTAGAAGGAAAAGACATAGCATCATTTAGTGTTCATTCATATGAATATGTATATTGTCTACAGCTATCTATATCTCTGTTTTATATCTATGTCTGTTACACCATCAGAGAGCACCTAAAGTGCAGAGTCTCATCCACAAACTGTTTCTTGCATCTACTGTAAGAGGCCATTCCGATGCTCTGTCAGCCCCAGCAGCACCCAACCACTACATGGCACGCATCCTATCTCAGATCATCCCCAGGATATCACGTGGCCCTGTTCTCATTGCCCCACTGATTTCATGGGCGTGCAGGTCCCTCGATCTGAGATTAAGTCATGAGATGCTCCATTTAAACAGGCGGGAGCCTCTGATTCCTGGCGGAGAGCCACAGTGAGCCCAGCAGAACCCATCTGAGCGCCAGCATCCAGCCCGGTCAGGAGGATTTGCTGCCCCCTCCTGGTGGAATGCGCGCCATGTCGTCAAGCGGCCACCAGATGACTCGCTCGCTGGTCCACTCAAAGGCATCACATCCAGAGCGCTCTGCTGGTCACAGGTGAGACTCTCAGCGACAGTGGTGGCTGCTTGGTCCTTGGTAAGAGGGAGTCGCTGGTGTTGGTTCCATGCATGTCCTTTTTTCTTTGATTCTTTTATTTTATTTTATTTAGAGACGGAGTCTCACTCTGTCGCCCAGGCTGGAGTGCAGTGGCGCGATCTCGGCTCACTGCAACCTCTGTCCCCTGATTCTCCTGCCTCAGCCTCCCGAGTAGCTGGGATTACAGGCACCTTCCACCACACCTGGCTAGTTTTTGTATTTGCAGTAGGGACGGGGTTTCGCCATATTGGCCAGGCTGGTCTTGAACTCCTGACGTCAGATAATCTGCCCAACTCGGCCTCCCAAAGTGCTGGGAATACAGGCGTGAGTCACTGCGCCTGGCAGCATGTCCTTTTTTTCTTGCTCCATGGCCACGACACTCACGGGCCCCTCCAGCACGCACTGGGGCTGCTGACACAGAGCTGGCTGAAGCTCACGGCATTAACCCAGTCATCAGCGGATCCTTAGATCTCCTAACCCCAGCTGTGGGCGCTCCTGCTAGCTTCTCAGGAGAAGCTCCTGGTCGAGAGCAGACGTTTCTCCTGTCCTCCTCCAGCCTCAGTCTCCGGCAGTTTCTGTGTGCCTGGGCCTTGAGGGTGGGTTTGTCTCCGTGTTTCTGTCCCCGCTCCTCATGGCAGCTGCATTGTATTGAGTAGGTTTGTTTGATGGGGACGGGTTTTCTGTCCCTATTCCAAATTTGCATATCTCTAATGGTATTTGTCTAGGATCACAGTCCAGGATTGTTCTCTGCACTCCTCCTAGGGTAGAGGGATTTTATGATCCACCTTCTTCCGGCCACAATGAGTCATTACCTGGGATCTGAGGTGGGCAGAATTATCTGAGCCTCTTCCAATGGCTTATGTCTTTTCCTCCATGTGAGAGAAACACCTGGGTGGGAAATGAGATTTCAGGCCATGCACAGTGGAAGCTCTTTCTGTCTGATCACTAATGTGGGGTCTCCATCTTGCTCCAAATCAGTTTTGTGAATGCACGGTTGAGACCCAAGAAAAAGAGCCTTTGGGTGAGTGCACAGCACCCCTCTGTCTTAGGTCCCCAGATATATCTCAATTTGGGCTTCTTCTGGAACATGAAACTATTTACTTTGAGTTTCCTACGAAAACATAGTGCTGGCCTTAGACTTCCTATCCTGAAACCCCACGTCTATTTCCCAACCTCATGCATGGAAAAGTGCTCGAATCTCCATAGGATCAGCAAGATCTCTATAGAATCTCCATGGGCCCTCCACAGGACCTCCATAAGATCTCAATAGGTTCTCCACAGGTTCTCCATAGGTTGTCCATAGAACCTCCACAGGACCTCCATAGGATCTCAATAGAACCCCCACAAGACCTCTATAGGATCTCAATAGAACCCTCACAGGACCTCCATAGGATCTCAGTAGAACCCCCACAGGACCTCCATAGGATCTCAATAGAACCCCCACAGGACCTCCATAGGATCTCAATAGAACCCTCACAGGACCTCCATAGGATCTCAGTAGAACCCCCACAGGACCTCCATAGGATCTCAATAGAACCCTCACAGGACCTCCATAGGATCTCAGTAGAACCCCCACAGGACCTCCATAGGATCTCAATAGAACCCCCACAGGACCTCCATAGGATCTCAATAGAACCCCCACAGGACCTCCATAGGATCTCAATAGGACATCCACAGGACCTCCATAGAATCTCAATAGAACCCCCACAGGACCTCCATAGGATCTCAATAGAACCCCCACAGGACCTCCATAGGATCTCAATAGAACCCCCACAGGACCTCCATAGGATCTCAATAGAACCCTCACAGGACCTCCATAGGATCTCAATAGAACCCCCACAGGACCTCCATAGGATCTCAATAGAACCCCCACAGGACCTCCATAGAATCTCAATAGATTCTCCATAGGACCTTTGCAGGACATCCATAGGTTCTCCGTGGATCTTCATAGGACCTCGACTGGATCTCCATAGGATCTTCACAGGGCCTCCGTAAGTTCTTCACAGGATTTCCAGAGTTGCCACAGGATCTGCCACTGCAGGGACCAGCCGGCATCCTCTACATCCCAAGATGCTGGAAATGACCACGTGGTGATAGTGGTTATGGATTTCCTACAGGAGAATGTGTGAAACCATGTTCCTGGGCAACCCTGCGGAGTCCCAATCTCCATTCAGATCCTCCAGGGGCCAGGCTGGAGGGGGTGTCTGGTGTGTCACTGTGTCTGTTCACACAGAATGGGGGCTTCTGCAGTAATAATGGGAAACCAGCCCAGAGATAGAGGCAGGGATTGGAGTTATGCTGTCATAATCCATGAAGTGCTGAGCTGAGGAAACCAGCTGAGCTTGGACTGTAGCGTTGGACAGGAGACATTGATAAAAAGGACTCTGTGGTAGAATGGTGTGGATTTGTTCATTGTGTGTGAAGAAGAAGATGCTCAGGGAATGAAAGCTCTTCCATTCTCTGACTTGGTTGACAAGAGGAACCAATAGGGCCATCACAGGAGCAATGACCCCATGTGGGAAGCAGACTGAAGGAGATGTATTAAAAACAGTTAACTAAGTCAGAGAGAGAAACAGAGCCTCCCAATACCTGGAAAGCATGGTTTGTTCCTCCCAAACTTCCTCCCTCTGACTTCTTTATTTCTCTACGTAGCAGCACCTCTTCATTTCTCCATCAAAGGCTCTGAGCTGTTTGAGTTCCTCATATATTCTGATGATCAAACCCTTGTTAGAGGAATAGGTAACAAATGTTTCTCCCTGCCTCTGTAGGTCATAACACCGTTGGTTGTTTCCTGAGCTCTGCAGAAGCTTTTTAGTTTGATACACCCATTTGTCTATTTTTGAATTCGTTTCCTATGCTTTTGAGGTCTTACTGATAGAATGTTTGCTTAGACCAATGTCTTGAAGCGTTTCCTCTGTGTTTTCTTCTATAGTTTCATAGTTTCAGGTCTTACTTTGGGTCTTATTCTGTCTTGAGTAGATTTTTGTATATCGTGAGAGACAGAGGTTGAGTTTTGTTTTTTTGCATATGGATATGCAGTTTTGCTAGCAGCATTTATTGAAGAAACTGTCCTTTACCCAATATATGTTCTTGGCATGTTTGTTGATAATCAGTTGGCTGTCAATTTGTGGATTTATTTCTAGGTTCTTTGTTCTGTTCCATTTGTCTATGTGTTTGTTTTTAAGCCAGTGCCTTACTGTTTTGGTTACTATAGCTTTGTAGTGTATTTTGAAGTCAGGTAGTGTGATGTCTCCAGCTTTGTTTTTTTTTCTCTACATTGCGTTGGCTATTTTGGGTATTTTATGGCTCTATATTAATTTTAGAATTTTTTATATTTCAGTGAAGAAAGACACTTGTATGTTGATAGGAATTACAATGAATCTGTAGATAGCTTTGGGTCCTATGGTCCTTTTTGTAAACATTTATTGTTTCAACGTGTGAACATGAGGTATCTTTCCAGTTTTTTCGTGTCCTCTTTAATTTTTCTTAGAGCTTTATAATTTTATTTGTAGAGGTTTTTACCTTGTCAGTTAAATTTATTAGCAGGTCTTTTATTGTTTGTGGCTATTATAAATGGGATTTCATTCCTGAATTCTTTTTCAGCCAGTTCTGTTCTTCAGGGTCAAGCATCATGTAAGTTCCCATGTAGGAAAGGAATCCGGAATGAACAGCAGCTGCACACAAATGCCTTTCTCTGATTTCCACCTCAGAGGGGTCCAGGAGGTGATCAGGCACATGGAGCATTGTCACATTTGGTACCAATCCCAGTGTGATCCCTAAAACACCACCTGATTGGGTTGAGCCTCATCTCTGAAATAACCAAGCCCTGTGTGATCCCTAAACCACCACCTGATTGGGTGGAACCTCATTTCTGGAATAACCAAGCCCTGTGTGATCCCTAAACCACCGCCTGATTGGATGGAACCTCATCTCTGGAATAACCAAGCCCTGTGTGATCATCCTAAACCACCACCTGATTGGGTTGAACCTCATGTCTGAAATAACCCCAAGGCCATGTTGGTGTCCTTCATCCCAGTTCTGGTGGTTTCAACATAATGAAATCAGAAAGTTATATGGCCACTTAAAAATGTCAAGTGCATGTCATGAAGTACTGGACAAGGTGTTTCCCTTTCTGAGGCCCATTCTTACCTGGGTAAGTGGCTCATTGTCTGCGTGGACTCAGGTGAGGTTGATCAGGCAGGTGGGTGTCATGTTGTGAATGAAACACAAAGTCAACCTGTGAGATCATTGCTCTGACAGGTCAAGAACCACCTGGTTTGCCATTTAGTGGCCAGTGCAGCCTGTGGCATTCACCACCACACTTCAATCTCAGCTCCCTAAATGGCATGACAAATAAAGATAGATAGGTACAAAAACAGAGATATGCTATTCCCTGGTTAAAATGGCTGTTATCTCTAAGACAAAAATTAACAGATGCTGTCAAGGATATGGAGAAAAGAAACCCTTCTACCTTGGTGGGAACGCAAGTTGGTGCAGCCAATATGGAAAACAGCATGGAGGTTCCTCAAGAAACTGAAAGTAGAACAACCACACCATCCAGTAATCGCACAGATGGGTATATTTCCAAAAGAAAGAAAATCAGTATATCAAAGAGGTGTCTGCATTGCCATGTTTATTGCAGCAGTATTCACAATAGCCAAGATATGGAATCAACCTATGTCCATCAATGGATGAATGGATAAGGAACATGTGGTCTATATACACAATGAAATAATATTCAGGCATAAAAAGAAGGAAATTGTACCATGTTCAGCAACACAGATGAATCTGGAAGACATTATGTTCAGTGAAATAAGCCAGGCCCAGAAAGAGGAGCATGTTCTCACTCACGCGGAAGCTACAAAAGTGGGCCTTGTGATGGCAGAGAGTAGAATGGTTGTCAACAGAGGCTGGCAAGGGAGTGTGGAGGACAGGGATGGAGAGAGGTTGGTGGACGGGTGCAGAAATACAGGTGGAGAGAAGGAGTAAGTTCCAGGGCCTGAGAGCTCAGTAGGGTGACCATAGTTAGCAACAGATTATTGTATTTTCCACATGAGTGAGAAATGAAGATTTGGAATGTTCCCAGCACAGAAATTATAAAAGTTGGCCAGGCATAGTGGCTCACACCTGTAATCCCAGCACTATGGAAAGCCGACGCTGGTGGATCACCTTAGGTCAGGAGTTCGAGACCAGCCAGAGCAACATGGTGAAACCCCGTCTGTAATAAAAATACAAAAATTAGCGAGGTGTGATGGTGCATGCCTGTAATCCTAGCTACTCAGGAGGCTGAGACAGGAAAACTGCTTGAACCCGGGAGGCAGAGTTTGCAGTGAGCCAAGATCCTGCCACTGCACGCCAGCTGGGCGACAGTGCAAGACTCTGTCTCAAAATAATAACCATAATAACAAATGTTCAGGGTGATGAATGTCCTGGGAACCTTTATTGGATCGTTACACATTGCATGGATGAATCAGATTACCACATGCTCCCAAGAAACATGTATGATTATTCCGTATCAAATTAAAATTATGTGATTTACCAATAACTCGAAGTGGATTGAGGGTCACCAAATGAAAGTCAGCGTTCCAGTGCCCGCGTCCAGTGGTCCTTGGAGTTTCCATGTTGAACAGAACCCTCCAGTATTTCCTGATGTGCAAGCACTATTTTGGATTACATAATCTATTTCCTTTATTTATGGGGTCTATTTTGAGTTTGCCTCCCTAGAAAATAAATGCTGCCTCTTTTTGAGCTTCATGTGCACACCTTCTTTTTATACTCTTGTTTCTTTACTCAACATCATGATGGAAGGTTGGTTTGCATTGCTCTTTGTAGATTTTGTCTGTGCCTCTGCACGGCCTCGTAGTATCCCTTGGTGGAATTGAACCACATATGTTTCCTTTGTTTTAGATGTATTTTTGGGTTTTATGGCTGTTGTGTAATATGAGCAGCAGTCCTGTCCATGTTGTTGTGAATGAAACCTCACCATATGAACACATTTTCCTCTAGGTTCTGTGCTTTGTGTTCATAGCTGTGTGTCTCTTCTTTTTTTTTTTCTTTTTTTTTTAGATGAAGTCTCGTACTGTCACCTGGGCCGGAGTGCAATGGCGCCACCTTGGCTCACTGCACCAACTGGCGCCAACTTGCTTCCGTCTCCCAGGTTCAAGCAATTCTCCTGCCTCAGCCTCCTGAGTAGCTGAAATTACAGGCACCTGCCACCACGCCCAGCTAATGTTTTGTATTTTTAGTAGAGACGGGGTTTCACTATGTTGGCCAAGCTGGACTCGAATTCCTGAACTCGTGTCCGCCCGCCTCAGCCTCCCAAAGTGCTGGGATTACAGGCATGAGCCACCGCGCCCGGCCATGTTTCTTCTTTTTCACTGGGTACTTCTGATATTTTCCCCAAATTGATTCAAGTAATTTGCAGTCCTACCATGGATGTATTGGATTTCTACGTGAGCCCTACTACCTCTGACATTTGATATTGTCATTTTCATCATGTGAAATGAATACCTCAACATTGATCCCTCTCTTCAGGAATGATCGACAGATAGTCCAGAAAGCATAGGCTGTAGATTTTGTTCCAGAACCTCCTGGGATCATCAGATTGAACACATGAGGGTGGGAGACTGCCATACAAGCTGGGAAGGAGGAATCAGATGATATTGTCATGAATTCCTCAAGAGTTAGTGTTTGCTGGCCTCCAAGAGGCAAGGATCTCTGGGAACTTAAGACAGAGAAGCACTTCACACTCACCCATGAGCTCTTTTCCGTGGGTCTCAACTGGGCATTCACAACATAGATTGGAAGTAAGGTGGAGACCCAAAATTTGTGATCAGACATGATTACCTTCCACAGTGTGTGGCCTGAAATCTCACCCCCCTCTGGAGGTCCTAGATTGTCCTCCAGAGCCTTCTGGGATCATCAGATCTGTCCCTGAGGCTCCACCACGCTGAAGGGTGCATTGTCCTCTCCGCTGTTCACCTCCCGGCTGCATCTTGGGGGTTTCTCTGGCTGTGCTGAGCCTCAAATAACAGAATCCCGAGGAACACCAGGACCAAGCCTGCCATGCCCATGCGGATGAGATTCTCCACTGTGTAATCCTTGGCGTGTGAGGCTGGGGATGGTGGGCAAAGAGGTCACAGAGGTCCGGGCAGATCAACTTCACCCAGGACCCCTGGATGCCCAACCCAGGGCACCCCCCATCCGCCATTGACAGAACCTGACCCTCTGTGCCCGCCCCATAACTGTCTGACTTGTTTTGTGATGGGGTGAGGGTCTCAGCTCCTCCTGAGAATCAAAACAGAAGGGGAGAGCCCTGAGCCAGCCTCTCCCCTGGGCTCTGCGTTCTTATTCTTCCAGGCCTCATGACGTGGCTTTTACGGAGTTCCTCAATAAACCCTCCCTCTCCTGCAGCAGGGCTCCCTCCAGTCTCCTCATGAAACTATTTCAGTTTTCCTGTGTTCTATGAATTTCAACGCTGCTCCTGAGCCATTTCCTCCCTCCCATGGGCTGGATTCTCCACCTTCACTCCCTTCTTTCCTAGTGTCCCAGAGCTCTCCTGGGTGCAGAGCCTGAGCTGAGCATTTGAGCTCAGAGAGGACAGGGTCAGGGCCCTCACCTGAGACCACGAGCTCCAGGGAGTCACTGGCCTGACCCTGGGGGGTTGAGGGGCTGGTCCTCAGGACCTCCTGGGTCAGGACAGGGAGGTGAAGCCTGGGGCTACCTTGCTCCCCACATCAGCCCGGCTCCTCCTCCTGGCTGGGCCCCAACATCTCTCTCTGCCTTGAACCCCCCACTCTTCACCAGCCCAGCCTCAGAGCCCCTGGGACACAAGCCCGTCCTTGAGGGGAGGGGAGTGGGATCCTTTGGGAGACTCAGACTGCCCTGGGGGAGGCGGCGCTCCCCACGAGGCCTCAGTGACTCACCAGGTGTGGAGGGCGGCCCTGTGGGTGGGAGGCTGGAGCCTCCAGAGTGTCCTGGAAGGAGCACGGGAGGCGGGTGAGGGGCGGGGGCCGTCCATGGAGTGCACCCTTCCACTCCCACTCTCCTGCTTCCGCCCAGTGGATTCCCTGGAACCATCTCTCTGCCCACCTGGTGCCTTCTGCATGCCAGGCAGGGGAGAACGGGTGGCCACGCCTAGGAGAACCCCTGTTGGCCTCCTCCCCTCTGAGGGCTGGGTGCCCTCTGGCTAAGCCTCCCTCACAGCCTCCCTCGGTCCATCCCAGCCGAGAGCTCTCCTGGGGGCCTGGGCCTGAGCTGAGCCTTTGAGCTCAGAGAGGACGGGGTCAGCGCCCTCACCTGAGACCATGAGTTCCAGGGGCTCACTGGGGAAAGACAGCAGGTGGGGGTTGGAGCTGTATGAGCCGTAGCACCTGTAGGTCCCCGCGTGGGCTGAGGTCACAGGACTCATGGGGAATTCAGCCTGGTACTTATGAGCTCCGTACATTGATCTCAGACGCAGTGGGGGATGGGCTGCCCCTTCTTTGGTCAGAAGGAAAGTGTCAAACTGCCACCATGACTGACACAGCAGGGTCACGTTCTCTCCTGAGGCCACTGTGGGGCCCGGCTGTGCTGACAGGGAGACGGTGTCATAGATCTGTCCTGGAGAGAAGAAGGATGGGTGAGGGGCTGCCCCACCTTGCTCTGAGCTGACACCTCCCCAGGCCTCTCCCTGGGACCCTCAGTGTCTCTGTCTCTGTTTTCTCTGAGTCTCGCCTCCCCGCCCATCCCCTGTCTCTGTCTGTCTCTCCCTCCCTTGGGACCCCCACCCCTCATCCCGGCCATCACCACCTGGGCTCCCCCGGCAGGGCCTGTGCAGAGCCTGGGTCCCTGACTGAACCCGCTGGGCTCCTCACCTGCCATCAGGATGTTCAGGGGGTCGCTGGGGGCCGACCACTCGGAGGAGAGGTTGTGTGCACCATAGCACCTGTACTGGCCCCCGTGGGAGGGGCTCACAGGGCCCAGGGTGAAGTTGGCCTGGGAGAGCCCAGCCTGGGGCTGCTGGCCAGGGCGCTGGAGGAAGTCACGTTCCCCCTCCTTATACAGAACAAATCTGTCGTAGCCGACATCAGAGCCACACTGGAGGGTCAGGCTCTGCCCAGGGGCCAGGACAGGGCCCTGCAGGGTCAGGAGGGAGGGCTTCCTAGACACGCCTGGAGGGAAAGAGGAGCCAGGACTGAGAGGGCTGGTTCCTCCCACGCCCCTTCCTTCTCCCGTCCTGGCCCTGCAGGTCTCACTGTCTCTCATGCTCTGAGTCTCTGACCCCAGGGCCTCCTTCTCACCCGGGGCTGTCTTGGAGTCATTTCAGAGGAGTGGGGTCTCCCTAGCCCTGGCCACTGTGCCTGATCTTTCCTCCTCTCCCTGAGAGCTGGGACCTCACAGCAAACACACCGATGCCTTCCTGAGTCCTCCCCGTTCAGGTGAGCGTGGCTGAGGGCTCCTCCTCCCATGTCAGAGCCTCCCCATGGGGTCTCCCTCATGCCTTCAGCCCGTCCTTCAACACATCACTCTGGGTCCTTTCCAGATTCAGTCACCAGCCAAACTCCCCACAACCTGTCAGCTGCCCCGAAAGTGTGTTAGACAAGGCCGTGGCTCCCTCACCTGAGGGCAGAATCTCCAGGGGGTCACTGGGGTGGGACCACACCCGGGGGGTGTTCATATAATAGTAATAGCATGTGAACCTCCACCTGTGGCTGGGGTTCACGGGGCCCACAGGGAACAGGGCCTGGAACCCCCCACTGTGGAGCTGCTGTGAGTCCAGGGTCCGGGGGAGCTGGTGTTCTCCTTCCTTCATCAGAACAAAATGGTGATATCCCTTCTGTGAGCCACATTGGAGGGTCATATTCCCCCCTGAGGCCACCACAGGGCTGGGCAGGGCTGAGAGGGTGGGTTTGCTATAGGCTCCTAGGAGAGAAAGAGGCACCATGTTAAATGGGGCTCCCACCTCCCACATCATCCCCAGGGCTGGGCTGTGAGAGGGAGACACCCCTGAGAGCCGACCCCCTTCCTGAGGGCAGAGCCTGGGGCTGGGACCCCAGAGTGTCCTCTCACCTGTCATCACCAGCTCCAGGGGGTCGCTGGGCTCTGACCAGCCTGCAGAGCTGTAATAGTGGCAGCGGTATCTCCCCGCATGGTGCTCTGTTATGGATGGGATGGAGAATCTGGCCTTGTTCTTGGGTTCCAGTGGGTTATTTCTGTCCCAGGGCTCTGGGCTTCCCTCTTTATCCAGTCGGTACTCCTGGGCCTCCAGGCTCCCCTGACACCAGATGGTCACGGGGCTCCCCCAGCTGATCACAGAGCCTGGCTCAGCCCAGAGGGTGGGTTTGGGGAAGGGCCCTAGATGGAAATCAGAGGCTGGATCCCAAGACATCCCCACGCTCAGATCCCAGCTCCCAGCCCCAGGACTTCCTCATCATCCCCATCAGTCACCCAGAACTACTGTCTCCTCCCCACCCAGAACTGCTGTCTCCTCCCCCAGCTGCCCATGTGTGGCCCTTGTCCCTAGTAAGGATGAGGGACCTGGGACAGCTGGGGACAGACTCACCTGCCTGCACGTGGGTCCTGGGGCCCAGACTCAGCCCTGGAAGAGAATTCCCTGTGAGGCATTTGCCCTGAAGCCTGAGCAGGTCCTCCCCGCCCTGGTGCCTCCTGAGCTTTTGAGGTCTCCTGATGGACCAGGGCTTGTGTGTGGGGTGGGGTTCCTCCAAGACTCAGATCTCCCCCTCCCCATCTTGAAATCTCACCTAGGCAGAGCAGGGCTGCGAGGGTGGGGGTCATGGCGTCTCCTCCTGGTGACCCCGGGCTCTGCAGAGGGATGAGCCCTCAGTGCTGGCAGGACAGAGAGACACACAGGGTGTGGCCGCTCGGAGGCTGGGTCCTTCTTGTCATGGGGTTGTCTCATCCTCAGCCCACAGGAAGAGGAACTGCCACCCCAGGAACCTGGCTCTGATTTCCCCAGGGCTGAAGTGGGGGCAGGCACCAGGCTCTCTGCAGGCATTTCAGAGAGAAATGGGGTCTCCCTGCCCCCGGGCCACTGTCTGCCTGATTTATCTTTATCTCACTGAGAGCTAGGACACAGCAGCAAATAGAACCAGTGCCTTCTGGAGTCAGCCCCTTTGAGGCGAGGGTGACTGTGGGCTCATCCTCCCTCTCAGAGCCTCCCCATGGGGTCTCCCTCCCTCCTTCAGCCCGTCCATCAGCTCAGCGTTACGGGGTCCTTACCATGGCAGTCGTCTCTCCAGCCCTGGAGATGCTTCAGGGAAGACCCAGGTCCATGCTGCAGGCAGACTCAGATCAGCAGAGACGCACCTGACACCTGGCTGTGTAGTCCAGGCTGAGCTGCGTGTAGCAGTGAGCACAGAGGAGAAATGCAGCGTCTACCGTGGTGGCTCATGCCTGGAATCCCAGCACTTCAGGAGGCTGTGGCGGGTGATGGCTTGAGGCCAGGAGCTTCAGACAGTCCTGGGAAACAGACTGTGACCCTGTTTCTACAGAAAAGAAAAAAGTGAGCTGGGCATGGAGGCTCATGCCTGTGGTCCCAGCTACTCAGGAGGCTGAGGTGGGAGGACCACCTGGGCCCGGGAGGCGGAGGCTGCAGGGAGATATGATCACCCCTTGGCCTTCCAGCCTGGGCGACAGCGCAGGATCCTGTCTGAAAAGGAGAAATAGAGGGGATAAAGAGAAATATATATATATATATATATATGTTTCATTGTAATCTATAATCTGATTCTGGGGAAGGTGAGCTGATTTGTATTTAATTCCTGATTATCATCTAGGGTTTATGAGACTTTGGACATGAATGTCACCTCTGAGCCTGCTGTCGTGAACCCCACTCATCACAGTGGCTGTGGGGGTCAGTGGTGCCCAGGACATGGGAGGCTCAGCCATGGTGAATTTCCAGACCAGTTCAGACAGGAGGGTGGGGACGGGAGAGGATCCTGGTGCTGGGCTCCACAGTTGAGGAGGATGATTGACGCCCCCATTCAAGAGCCCACATTGGCTCCAAATACCATGAAATTCTTGTGATACGTCTGAAATATGCAGATCATCACAGCCACAGGCCGAGAAAGAGGAAGAACAGTTCCTCACATTGAGACGCATCCCCTTCCATGAGCAGAGTTCAATGCTGAGTGGCCACAGGTGTCTGGGACCACCGAGCGTCATTAGGGAGGAGGAGGCTCCCACCTCCATGTGGGACAGAAGAGGAACCCCACGTCCTCCCAGGCAGGGAGGGGTCAGGGCTCTGGGTGAGGCTGGAAGCGGTGGCTCCCCCTCCCCTGTGTGTGTGGACAGGCGCTGGGGGGTCTCTGCTCACTCACTGGAGGCCACGGTCAGCGCTCAGCCCCTCCCCTGTGTGTGAGAAACAGATTCGATCCACGGTGGTCAGACATGGGCGTCTGCCCCACAGGTGAGTGTGAGGCTGGCGTTGGTCCCATCCCTGCTGGGCACAATCTTGAGCTGACACTGAGTTTGGGGGAGTGGGGCAGGAGCAGCGGCAACAATCCCCTTCATCAGGCTGATGCCTGGACAGCCGTGGGAGAAACCCTTTATGAAAGGCCAGGTGCGTGGGAGGAGCTGTCCCACAGGAATGACAACCAAGATACGTGAGGAAAACACAGACAGTTGTTGAAATGCATTAGACAGACGTCGTGAAGGTGAAAAATAGTAAATTGAATTAATACCATCGAAAAGTAATTTAATAAATATATACACCTACTATGTAGCCATAAAGTGAAAAATTTGACCGGGCGTGGTAGCTCATGCCTGTAATCCCAGCACTTTGGGAGGCCGAGGTGGGCGGATGACCTGAGGTCAGGAGTTTGAGACCAGCGTGGCCAATATGGTGAAACCCTATCTCTCCTAAAAATACAAAAACAATTAGCTGGGTATGGTGGTGCACGCCTGTAATCCCAGCTACTCGGGAGGCTGAGGCAGGAGAATCTCTGGAACCCAGGAGGCGGACATTGCAGTGAGCTGAGATGGCACCACTGCACTCCAGCCTGGGCCACACAGCAAGACTCTGTCTCAAAAAAAAAAGAAAAAGAAAAAGAAAAAAAGAAAGTAAACAACTTCTAAAGCGATTCAAGCACCAGAAGGGTTCAAATGAAAATGAGACCAAAGGAAGTAAATAAAAAAGAGGAGGGAATTTGTGAGAACACATTTTAAAGGGTCCATTTTCAAGGCATGATATCCAAGTATTGGCAGCCAGTCTGCGGATGTAACAAACCGCACGGCTCATGCTCCTAGCAAATCACAATAAGTGAACAGAATGGCGGGGGGTTGTGGGGGAGGAGGCGGTCAGCCCATAAAAGGGAAAAAAATTTTGTTATTGGGAAATCGCAACTTAAGCGGGGAAGGGGACGGGGTACAACCTTATAAGGGGGATAATGAAACTCAGGCGAAGTCTGGGAAGATTGTAACCTCATAGTACTCGACCAGTGAGGAACTGGGGAAGGGATAGTTGAGTGCCAAGAGATAAATTACCTGCTGTGACTGCCCCGGCTATGCCTACCTAGCAGACATCCAATTTTGCAAGACCCTGTTAAAAGTCTCACTTTCAGGCGGGACATGGTGGCTCACGCCTGTAATCCCAGCACTTTGGGAGTCAAGGCGGGCGGATCACGAGGTCAGGAGATCGAGACCAGCCTGGCTAACACGGTGAAAACCGTCTCTACTAAAAATACAAAAAATTAGCCGGGCGTGGTGGCGGGCACCTGTAGTCCCAGCTGCTCGGGAGGCTGAGGCAGGAGAATGGCATGAACCCGGGAGGCGGAGCTTGCAGTGAGCCGAGATCGCGCCACTGCACTCCAGCCTGGGTGACAGAGCGAGACTCCATCTCAAAAAAAAAAAAAAAAAAAAATTCGCAGCAGGGTCTGCTGGGGCAAAGCAAGGGGTTCGTCTCCTGGTAAGTTTCCCTGGGACCTCTCAGTACCACCTCCCCCTGTCCTGCTCCCAGTGGGACTGCTGAGATCTAGGGAGCGGGTGTGATGTCCCTGAGGTTCCACAGTATGAAGTGAACCATGTTCCCCTGAGCCCCAGACCCTTCCCAGCCCCTTCCTGTTACTAGTGAAACTGCAGGGTCCCCATCTGCACCCCAGGTGCACCCCCTCTTCCTCTTACTCACTGAGGTTTTCTTCTTGGATGTCAGCAGCTGGGCTGGACCTGGGGGAGGACACGAGAGTGTGGTGTGGTGGAGTGTGGGAGTCTGGGGTCTTTGGGCAGAATTACCTCCTCAGCAGACCCCTGTTCTTGGGCTCTGGTCCCACGGCCCCTGCAGGGTGTTGGAAATCAGCCTCTCTCTGGGCTAGGTGAAGAAGGACAAAGTCTCAGCCCTGGGAACCTTAGAACCACCCACCCAGTACATGCGACTTTAGGGGAAAAAATGAAACTTGAAAACACACCCATATATATATATATATATATATATATTTTTTTTTTTTTTTGAGACAAGGTCTCGCTCTGTCGCCCAGGCTGGAGCACAGTGGTGCGATCCCAGCTCACTGCAGCCTTGACCTCATAGGGTCAAGTGATCCTCCTGCCTCAGCGTCTTGAGTAGCTGGGACCACGGGTGCACACCACCAAACCTGGCTTATTTGCATTTTTAATTTTTTTTGTAGAGATGGGGTCTCACCACATTGCCCAGAGTCCTCTGAAACTCCTGGGCTCAAGCCATCCACCTGCCTCAGCCTTCCAAAGTACTGCGATTACAGGCATAGTTGTTTTAAATACTGGATACACTTAAAAAGGCCCGAAGACGTTGGGCCGAATGGCTCATGCCTATAATCCCAGCACTTTGGAAGGCTGAGGCGGGTGGATTGCTTGAACTCAGGAGTTTGAGACCAGCCTCGGCAACATAGTGAGACCCCCCATCTCTCCCCCGCAAAAAAATAATTAGCCTGGCGTGGTGATAGGGGCCTGTAGTCCCAGCTACTCAGGAGGCTGAGGTAGGAGGATCATTGAGGATCTTGGGAGGTGGAGGTTGCAGCGAGCCGAGATCACACCACTGCACTCCAGCCTGGGTGACAGAGCCAGATCACGTCTCAAATAAAATAAAATAAAAAGCTCAAAGAATAAATTACTTGCACATACACTCATATTTATTCTCTTCTTTCTAGATTTTTCAGCTGGGACTTTCTGGAGCTGTTTTTCTAAGCTGACTTTCTTGTGTGTTTGGTTCCCCTTTGGTTGGTGCCCTGATCCCACCCTCGGTGGGCCCACAGGTTCCCCCAGTCCCTGCTCACCCAATGTCCTGTGTTTGCTCTGACGCCGACATTGGAGGAGGAGGACGAGCGGCAGGACAAAGGCCACTGAGACCCCGGTTACAACCCCCAGGTATCTTCCCAGACCTTGCGCGTGATGACGTCGGGAATGAGGATGACATCGCTGATGTGAGCACCTACTGTGTGCAGGCGCGTGCTGGGTCTTCATGAGCTCTAACCCTCACAGCAGTCGTGCAACGTGGGATTGCCAACCCCCCAACCCATTTCACAGATGCACAAACTGAGGCTCAGAGGGGGGAATCGCCTGCCCCAGGCCCCCCAGCCTGGAAGAAGCAGGTCTGGGAGGGGAACCTGGGACCTTGTGTTTTCCCCAGCTGTCCTCCTGCTGCCCCACCAGGTGGACACCTGCTTCCTGCTCTGGGTCTTCTCATCTGACAGCAGGGGCCTGTCTTAGTGTCTCCATCTGGGGCTGTGTCCTCCTTACAACCCTCCCTTCCCCAGCACAGCAGGGCCTGGGGGAGGGAGTGGGCTGTACAGGACGGACCCTGCATTGCTCTCACCCCCAGCCCAGCCAGGTCCATCTCCTACTCTGCCAATCCCTGACCTTCCCATGCAGAGCCTTTGACCACAGACTGAAGGGCTGCACTGTCGGCTTCTCGGCTTCTGAGGTTTTGGTACTCGGACTAGCTTCCTTGCTCCTCAGCTTACAGACAGTCTATTGTGGGACCTCACCTTGTGATCGTGTGGATCAATACTCCTTAATAAACTCCCCTTTATATATACATCTATCCTGTTAGTTCTGCCCCTCTAGAGAACCCTGACTAATACATGTTTCTGAAATACGCAGCCATAGAAGGAAATGAGAAATGAAACTTCCTGACACAGGCAGGAAACCTCAGGAAGCAGCGAGGTCAGAGCTGAGTTGGCTTCTGGTGACTTGCAATGTCAGGGAATCACTAAAAGGGAGGTTTCCGCCTCTATATGAGACAGAGGAGAACCCCAGGGCCCTCACAGTCAGGGAGGGGTTGGGGTTTTGGGTGAAAGTGGGAAGTTGTGGCTCCTCGTCCCCTGTGTTTGTGGATGGCACTGGGGTATCTCTGCTCATTGACTCAGGTTTATGGTCAGCCCTGAGCCTCCCCCTCTGTGTGTGTGAAATAGATTCATTGTAGAGTTGTCAGACATGAGGTTCACACTGGACCCTCCCCTGCTGGTTACAGGCCTGAGCAGACTCACAAGACCCGGGCAGGTGGTGCCGTCCTCCTCTTTTCAAGCCTAACGCCCAGTGCAGCCCTGGTAGAAACCCTCTCTGGCAGATGAGGCACTGGGAGATGAGTGTCCAAGAATGAGAAGAAAGAGGAATCATCCTAATGATAAAAAGTGCTATGACTGGCTGCCTGCGATGGCTCACGCCTATTTTCCCAGCGCTCTGGGAGGCCGAGGTGGGCAGATCGCTGGAGCCCAGGAGTTCGAGACCAGCCTGGGCAACATGGTGAAACCCCATCTCTACTAAAAAGACAAAAATGAACTGGGTGTGGTGGTGCACACCTGTAGTTCCAGCTACTTAGGAGCCTGAGGTCGAAGATCGCTTGAGTCTGGCAGGCGGAGGTTGCAGTGAACTGGGGTGGTGCGCCACTGCACTTTAGCCTGGGTGACAGAGCAAGAACCTGTCTCAAAAACAAACACAGGCTGGGCGTGGTGGCTCACGCCTGTAATCCCAGCACTTTGGGAGGCCGAGGCAGGCAGATCATGAGGTCAAGAGATCGAGACCATCCTGGCCACACGGTGAAACCCCATCTCTACTAAAAATACAAAAAAAAAAAAAAAAAAAGATTAGCTGGTTGTGGTGGCGGGCACCTGTAGTCCCAGCTACTCGGGAGGCTAAGGTAGGAGAGTTGCTTGAACTCAGGAGACAGAGGTTGCAGTGAGCTGAGATCACGCCACTGCACTCTAGCCTGGGTGACAGAGTGAGACTCCGTCTCAAAAAATAAATAAATAAATAAATAAAAACAAAAAACAAACCAAAAAATCAAACACAAAGTGCTATGGTTGACAATCCACACTCACTAATGAGGATTATCATGGTCAAAAGGAGTACTAGGAATGTGTGAGACCCATCTTAGGTTAAACATGTTTAAATATTTGAGAAATACAGAGGACATTGAATTTCTGAGGCAGGATTATATGATTTTTTTTTCTACAGCAGAATGAATATTATATAAAATAATTAGAAGACATAGAAAAATCAGATTTAATGAACACAATCAAAATACTCATTCCTTCGAGGACAAGACACAGTGAAGCACCAATTATGAAATTAGAAAACAAAACAGAATTTTTTTTAGAGTGTAGCATAGAAACTTTATAAATTGCAATTTAAAGTACTTGGGAGAATAGAATGAGGAGGGGGAATGTCCTATCTATTGTAGGCGTCAGAAAGAAGGAAGAGAAAACGATGTCTAGCAATAGCCCAAGAGGTGAGTAGCTGAACATTTTATAGAGATGAGGAGAGACTAACTAAGGACTAGGGCGCATCCCTTTAAAATTGAAATGTATGGGCTGGACGTGGTGGCTCACGCCTGTAAGCCCAGCACTTTGGGAGGCTGAGGCGGGCGGATCACCTGAGGTCGGGAGTTTGAGACCAGCCTGACCAACATGGAGAAACCCTGTCTCTACTAAAAATACAAAAATTAGCCGGGCGTGGTGGCAGGTGCCTGTAGTCCCAGTTACTCGGGAGACTGAGGCAGGAGAATCGCTTGAACCCGGGAGGCAGAGGTTGCAGTGAGCCGAGATCACTCCACTGTACTCCAGCCTGGTGATAGAGCGAGACTCCGTCTCAAAAAACAAAACAAAACAAAACAAAAACCCTCACACAAAAACCAAGACAAATCCCCTTGACACAAGTTTATCTGTCTAACAAACCTGCACATGTATCCCTGAACTTAAAAGTGAAAAAAATAAAGGCAATATGTGTCAGATTTGTGGTGGTGTCTGCTGTTTCACCCCCATATGGAAATGTGTGCCTGAACCCCGCTTTTTTCCTTGCTTATTGTGGCTAGGATTTGTGAATGTAATTCACATTCTCAAGAATGAGCTTTTTTGGCTTCATCGAGTTTTCACGTAGCCCTCATTAGTAACTCCTCTTGTTATTTTTGTCCCCTTCCTCACACCTTCATTTGGAATAATTTGTTGTTCTTTTTCTAAATTCTTTCTGTCATTGCCAAGGTCATTAATTACGTAGGTTTTATTCTTTTCTAATTCATTCGCTCATTTGTAGTTTTCCGATTTCATCATTTAATGTGTAATATTTACATTATCATTCCAAATTTATACCATGCTCTAATTTCTGTTTCAGTTTTCTCAGCTCATTGATTTATTGAGAAGTCTGTGGCTTCATTTCAAAAATGCAAGGATATTAGTCATCTTTGACTGCAGAATCTAGTGAGTCCCAGAGTTCCCAGGATGTCCTGGTGGTCTTTGTTAGGGGTCCAGGCTGGCTGGGGTTCATTGGTGTCCACTGGGGGCAGCTCCTGTGCCTTCTGGAGTCTCTGAGTCTCCTTCTGTTGAGTATGAGATCTGGGTCCCCCGTGGGCTAGTGGATGGCCAGGGGGGCGTAGATGCTGGGTTCAGCTGGAGGTTCCCTTTCCTGGGATGGAGGAGGCTCAGTTGCCTCCCGTCTGAGGGTCAAGCTGTGCAGCTGGGCGTAGGTCACATCCTGGGGGGCTTCAGATGCAGCAGCCTGCAGCGGGGGAGAGTGAGAGGGAAGGAACGTGGTGGGGGTGGGGGAGGCCTGGGGGCCTGGAGAGGAAAGGACTCTCTCAGTGTCCATCTGTCTGTCCTCTTCTGCCTGTCTGTCCTTTGTGTCCAGGAATTCCCCAGACAGTGGGGAAGGAGGAGAGGCCATTTCTCTCCTAGGTCTGGAGTGTTTCACCGGGGCATACGTCACTGCCTGGGGGTCTTCATCGTGTGGGCTCTGCTGGAGAGAGACAGTGGTGGGGGGTGTCCTTGAGTCCCCCTGACCTCCTGGAGTCAATTTTCCTCACTGTTCCCGGGGTGATCCGATTACATCCCTTTCCTGATGGAATCTCAGGGACGCCCTAAGGCCGTGGAGGGTCTGGCCGCTCCCTCCCTGTGGTTCTGGCCTCTGCTCCTCACTCTGACCTTGCCCATTTGGCTGCAGCCTCACGGGCCTTCCCGCAAGAGCTCGCTGCTGCCTCGGGGCCTTTGCACGGCTGTTTCCTCTGCCTGCAGGGGCTCGTCCATCAGAGGATCGTGTGCCCCACTCTGTCCAGGCTTCTCAGATGACAGCTGAGCAGACAGCCCTCCCCTTCCATTCAGACTGGCCCCACTGCCCCACACTCTCTGCCCTTTCCCTGGTTTATGTTCCTTACAGCACGTTGCACTCCTGGACACGATGCATTTATTTGCATTTTGTCTCCCACCATGAGGTGAGCTCAGGAGGCGGGGGCGGCTTTGCTCCCTGCTGTGTCTGCAGCTCCCATGGGGAGCCCCATCCACAGTGAGCTCCCTGGGAACACTCGCTGGTTGAATGAATGAAGGGGAGCCTGGGGGACCGGGTCGGTTCATTTATTCCTCATCCTCCTGAGGCCTGGGGAGAGCTCTAACAACCAGACGGCCAAACAGAGGATGAGGAGCAGGAAGGGGACCCGGGAGGAGGCCCACGAGGTCCCAGGACAGCAGAAGAGAGTGAGGTCGCAGCAGGCGGGAGGCAGCGTGCTGGACAAGGAGGGGTCCACCGTGACGATGCTGAGAGCCGGGGGAAGGAGGACAGAGAAGTCCTGCTGGATTAGATCTGGCACCAGGAGGCCTTTGGTGCCCGGGACAGGGGCGGGGCCTCACCGGAGCATCCATCTCCACCCCGTCCTTGGGCTGTGTGTCCTTCACGGCAGCATCTGCTGGGCCAGAGCAAGGGGTTCATCTCCTGGGAAGGTTCTCTGAGACTTCTCCGTCCTGCCAGCCCTTGCCCTGTTCCCACTAGGGTGGCTGAGATCCAGGGAGGGACTGTGATGTCCCTGAGGTCCCACAGTGTGGGTTCAGACCGCCTCCCCCTTGGCCCCAGACCCCCCCCAGCCTGTGCTCCTGCCCCCATTGCTACAGAAACTTTGGTGCTCCCTTGCCCACCCCAGGTGCCCTCCGCTTCTAGTCACTCACTGAGAATTTCCTCCTGGATGTCAGCAACTGGGCTGGCCCTGGGGGAGGACACGGGAGTGTGAGGGGCAGTGAGGGGGCTGTGCGGGTGGATGGGAGTCTTGGGTCTTCATGCAGAATTACCTCTTCTGCAGGCCCTGGTCCTTGGGCTCTGGCCCCGCAGCCCCTGCAGGACGGTAGAAATGGGCTGGACAGAGATGGACAGAGGGTCAGGCCTGGGAGAATTCGAACCAGCTGCCCTGCACACACAACTCGAGCGGAAAGAAGGAAACCTGGAGGCCCACTGGCACTGAGGCTTTAAATACGTCGTAAGTTTAAAGTAAAATCAGAAGAATCAAGCACTTCCACACATGCTCACATTTATTCTCTTCTTTCTCGATCGATTTTTCACCTGGGAATTTCTGGAGCAGTTTTTCTAAGCTGACTTTCCTTTGTGTTTGGTTTCCCTCTGGCTGGTGCCCCGAGCCCACCCTCGGTCGGCCCACGGGTTCCCCCATTCCCTACTCACCCGATGTCCTGTGTTTGCTCTGATGCCGATGTCGGAGGAGGAGGAAGAGGAGGAGGAACAGCAGCAGGACGAAGGCCACTGAGACCCCAGTCACAACCCCCAGGTGCCTTCCCAGACCTTGAGCGTGATGACGTTGGGAATGGGGATGACGTCATTGATGTGAGCACCTTCTGTGTGCAGGCGCGAGCTAGGTCTTTCCTTCATGAGCTCCAACCCTCACAGCAGTTGTGCAACATGGGATTGCCAACCCCCCAATTCACAGAGGAGCAAACTGAGGCTCAGAGAGGGGAATCGCCTGCCCCAGGCTCCTCAGCCTGGAAGAAGCAGGTCTGGGAAGGGAACCAGGGACTTTGTGTTTTCCCCAGCTGTCCTCCTGCTGCCCCACCAGGTGCACACCTGTTTCCTATTTGACAGGAGGGGCCTGTCCTAGTGTCTCCATCTGGGGCTGGTGTCCTTCTTAGGATCCTCCCTTCCCCAGCACAGCAGGGCCTGGGAGAGGGAGTGGGTTGTGCAGGACGGACCCTGCATTGCTCTCACTCCCAGCTCAGCCAGGTCCGTTTCCCACTCTGCCAAGTTCCCATACTCCCATGCAGAACCTGTCTGGATAGGGGCTCTGTGTGTATCTGGGAAGGGCTGAGGGTAGCAGGAGGACGGTGCCCCTGCCGAGCTGTGTACAGGGCCAGGTCCCATGATTTTGCTTACGCCTCGCAGCAGTTCTGTGAGCTGGATGGGACTGAGCCAGTTTACAGCTGCTGAAACTGAGTCAGAGTAGAAAGTTGACCTGCCTGGGCCCACGGTGGGATGCGGCAGAGCTGGGAAGTGAACCCAGGAGTCTGACCCGCAGCCCTTGTTCTCTGCACCTGAGCGGAGCCCCGGAGCTGCAGGGAAAGAGCCTGAATGCCCCAAACCACGGCCCTGCTCCCCTCCCCTGCCCCAGGTCACCGTCACTGCTGCCGGTGGGACAGGACAGTCCCCTGAAGAATCCCATCAATGCAGGCCTCTCTCCTTTACACTTGGAGAAACTGAGGCCCAGGCAGGGGAAGGGCTTGTGCACTTCACCATCTCCAGAGGAGCCTGAACCTACGACAGAACCCACCCCTGCCTCCCCTGGTCTCCGCCCACCTCCCACTCAGAGCCCCTCACTCACCACTCTGGGGATCCAACCCCGTGGGGGTGAGGGGCTGGTCCTCAGGGCCTGCTGGGTCAGGACGGGGAGGTGAGGGCTGGGGCTGCCCTGCTCCCCACATCAGCCCGGCTGCTCCTCCCCCAGGCTGGGCCCCAACACCCAACATCTCTCTCTGCCTCGACGCCCGCCCCCTCACCGGCCCAGCCTCAGAGCCCCGGGGAGCCTGTGGCCCCTCCTCTGGCTCTGCCCAGCTCCCTGGAGGGAAGCTCCCGCTTGAGTCTTTGAGGGGAATAGGATCCTCGGGGAGACTCAGGGCTGCCTGGGGGGAGACCACGCTCCCTCCGAGCCCAGAGGCCTCAGTGACTCACCAGGTGTGGGGGTGGAGCCTGTAGGTGAGAGGCTGGGATCCCCAGAGGGTCCTGGGAATAAGCACAGAAAGGGAGCGAGGCGCTTTGGTGCTGAGTGAGGAAACCCGTCCCTCCACCTGCCCGTGGCTTCTCTGGAAACTTTCTTCTGCTCACCTTTCACCATTTGCATCCCAGGAGATGGGGCCAAGTGTGGGCATGCCTGGGGAGCCCCCGTTGTCCTCCTCCCCTCTGAGGGGTGAGTCTCCCTCTGGCTGAGCCCCCCTCAAACCCTCCCCCCCGCACCGCGACTCCATCCCAGCCCAGAGCTCTCCTGGGGGCAGGGCCTGAGCTGAGCCTTTGAGCTTGGACAGGACAGGGTCAGGGCCCTCACCTGAGACCACGAGCTCCTGGGGGTAACTAGGGCTGGACAGCAGGTAGGGGTAGGACCTGATTGCGCTGTAGCATCGGTAGGTTCCACCCTGGGCTGAGGTCACAGGACTCATGGAGAATTCAGCCTGGTGTCTATAAGACTGGTACTTTGACTTTAGACACAGCGGGGGATGGGCTGCCCCCTCCTTGGTCAAAAAGAAAGTGTCTATCTGATGCCATGACTGACACAGCAGGGTCACGTTCTCTCCTGAGGCCACCTTGGGGCCCGGCTGCACCGAGAGGGCGGGTATGTCAGGGATCAGTCCTGGAGAGAAGAAGGATGGGTGAGGGGCTGCCCCACCTTGCTCTGAGCTGAGACCTCCCCAGGCCTCTCTAGGAGCCTCTGTCTCTGTTTTCTCTGAGTCTTCCCCTCCCCACCCATCCCCTGTCTCTGTCTGTCTCTCCCTCCCTTGGGACCACCCCCCCGCCTCATCCCGGCCATCACTAATTGGATTCCCCCGGCAGGACCTGTGCAGAGCCTGGGTCCCTGACTGAACCCGCTGGGCTCCTCACCTGCGATCAGGATGTCCAGGGGGTCGCTGGGGGCCGACCACCTAGGGGAGAGGTTGTGTGCACCGTAGCATCTGTACTGGCCCCCGTGGGAGCGGCTCACAGGGCCCAGGGTGAAGTTGGCCTGGGAGAGCCCAGCCTGGGGCTGCTGGCCAGAGCCCTGGACGAGGTCATGTTCCCCCTCCTTGTACAGAACGAATATGTCATAGCCGACATCAGAGCGACACTGCAGGGTCAGGCTGCCTCCGCGGGCCACGACAGAGCCCTGCGGGATCAGGAGGGAGGGCTTCCTAGACACGCCTGGAGGGAAAGAGGAATTGGGACTTGGAAGGCTGGTTCCTCCCCCGCCCCTTCCTTCTCCCGTCCTGGCGTCCTGGCCCTGCAGGTCTCACTGTCTCTCACGCTCTGTGTCTCGGATCCCGGGGCCTCCTTCTCACCTGGGTCTGTCTTGGAGTAGTTCCAGACCGATAGTGTCTCTCTGACTCCTGGCCACTGTCTGTCTGGTCTGTCCTCTCCTCATTGAGGGACAGGAAATTGCAGCAAATACACCCATTGCCTTCCTGAGTCGACCCCTTCCAGGTGAGGGTGACTCAGGCTCCTGTTTCCCCATCTGAGCCTCCCCGTGGGGTCTTCCTCACGCCTTCAGCCCATCCATCAACACATCCTTCTGGGGTCCTTGCCATGATCAGTCATCAACCAAACTCCCAACAACCTATCTGGTTCCCCAAAATTATATAAAGAAGTGTGGTGGCTTTTTCACCTGGGACCAGAATCTCCAGGAGGTCACTGGGGTTCGACCACACCTGAGGGTTTTTCCTGTAATAGTAATAGCATCTGAACCTCCACCTGCAGCTGGGGGTCACGGGACCCACAGGGAACAGGGCCTGGGATGGCCCTTTGGGGAGCTTCTGTGAGTACAGGGTCCTGGGGAGCTTCTGTTCTTCCTCAACAAGAACAAACGTGAGAAGTCCGTCCAGTGTATCACACTGGAGGGTCACATTTCCTCCTGAGGCCACCACAGGACTCGGCAGGGCTAAAAGAGTGGGTTCTGCATAGAATCCTAGCAGAGAAGGAGGCACGTCTTAAGTGGGGCTCCGACCTCCCACATCATCCCCAGGGCTGGGCTGTGAGAGGTAGACGTCCCTAAGAGCCGACCCTCTTCCTGAGGGCAGAGCCTGGGGCTGGGACCCCTGAGTGTCCTCTCACCTGTCGCCACCAGCTCCAGGGGGTCACTGGGCTCTGACCAGCCTGCAGGGGTCTCATAGTAGCAGCGGTATCGCCCTGCACTGTCATACACCGTGGATGGAATGTGGAACTTGGCCTTGGCTCCAGGCTCCAGTGGGTTCTGTCTCTTCCGGGCCCATGGGAGTCCCTCCTTATCCAGACGGTACTCCTCAGTCTCCAGGGGCCCCTGACACCAGAGGGTCACGGGCTTCCCCCGAGCTATCACAGAGGCTGGCTCAGCCCAGAGGGTGGGTTTGGGGAGGGTGCCTAGAATGGAATCAGAGGCTGGATCCCAAGACATCCCCATCCCTCAGATTCCAGCTCTCAGCCCCAGGACCCTCCAGACGTCCCCATCAGTCAGCCCAGAACAGCTATCTCCACCCCCAGCTGCCCGGGGTTGGGCCCTTGTCCCCAGTGAGAAGAAGGGACCTGGGACAGCTGGGGACAGACTCACCTGCCTGCACGCAGGTCCTGGGGCCCACACTCAGCCCTGGAAGAGAGTTCCCTGTGAGGGATTTGCCCCTGGAAGCCCCAGCAGTTCCTCTCCTCCCTCGGAGCCTCTGATAGACCAGATTCTCTGATAGACCAGAGCCTCGCTTTAGAGTGAGCTCCCTCCAAGACGGGGACCTTCCTTCCCCCTCTTCAAACCTCACCGAGGCAAATCAGGACTGAGAGGGTGAGGGTCATGGCGTCAGCTCCCACTGGACTCAGCTGTGCAGGCGGATGAGACCACGGTGCCTGGCAGGACACAAAAACACGCAGAGTGTGGACTGGAGGCTGGGTTCTCCCTGTCACAAGACTGTCCCATCGGAAGCCCCACAGGAAGGGGAACTGCCCTCCCCAAGAGCCTGGCTCTCATTTCCCCAGGGATGGGGCTGGGGTGAGCTCCAGGCTCTCTGCAGACATTTCAGACAGAAATGGGGTCTCCCTGAGCCCTAGCCGCTGTCGGCCTGACCTATACTCAGCTCACCAAGGGCTAGGGCAGAGCAACAAAACCCCTCCGCTGGGAATGAACCTCTAAGTCGTTCCTGCCTCCTCAGTGCCCCTTTGTCCTTGGCCGTCCCTCTGTGCCTCCAACCATGTTCAAGGTTTTCAGAACAATTACTCAGGTTTGTCATCTGATTCATGGGGTGGAGTGGGGAGCTGAATTTTCTTCCTAATTCCACCGATTATGTGACCTTGGACAGCAAAGTGGCTTGCTTGAGCCTTTCTCTTTTGGAACTTGTGGTCATGACCTCAGCTTCTCAGAGTGGATGTGGGGCTCAGTGGTGCCTGGGACATGGGAGGGGGCTTGGCCATGGTGAATTTCCAGACCAGATTAAGACAGGAGTGGTTGGGGTGTGAGAGGATCCTGGCATTGAGCTCCGTAGTAGAGGAGGATGATTGATGCCCCAACTCAAGAGCCCACATCTGCTCCAAATACCAAGAAATGCTCCTTATGTTTGAAGTTCCCGGCACGGTGGCCCACCCCTGTAATCTGAGCACCTAGGGAGGCTGAGGATGGAGGATCCCTTGAGCTCAGAAGTTCAAGACCAGCTTGGGGAACATAGTGAGACCCCGTCTCTGCATATAACAAAGAAGAAATAATCAGGTATGTTTGTGCACGACTGCAGTCCCAACTATTTGGGACACTGAGGTGGGAAGATTGCTTGAGCCTGGGTGGTCCAGGCTGTAGTGAGGTATGATCATAGCACTGCACTCCAGCCTGGGTGAGAGAGCACGACCCTGTCTCAAAACATACATATATATATATATATATATATATATATATACACACACACACACATACACACATCTGAAATATGTAGATTATACATCCGAAATATGTAGATTATGAAAGTTTTGTGCAGAAAAAGAAATGAAAAGTTCTTTAATTTGAGAAGGTTGCACATCAAAGAACAAACTTGAAAGCTGACAGCCTGCTTGTGTCTAAGACTGTCCCAGGGTCATTAGGGAGGAAATTTCCACTTCTGTGTGGGACAGAAGAGGAACCCCAGGTCCTCATGGAAAGGGAGGGGGTAGGGGCTCCAGATGAAGATGAAAAGCTGTGGCCCGGCCCGGCGCGGTGGCTCACGCCTATAATCCCAGCACTTTGGGAGGCTGAGATGGGCAGATCACGAGGTCAGGAGATCGAGACCATCCTGGCTAACACGGTGAAAACCCGTCTCTACTTAAAAAAAAAAAAATAGAAAAAATTAAGCGGGCGTGGTGGCGGGCGCCTGTAGTCCCGGCTACTTGGGAGGCTGAGGCAGGAAAATGGTGTGAACCTGGGAGGCAGAGCTTGCAGTGAGCTGAGATCGCGCCACTGCACTCTAGCCTGGGGGACAGAGTGAGACTCCGTCTCAAAAAAAGAAAAAAAAAAAAGGAAAAGAAAAGCTGTGGTTCACCCTTGCTCGTGCTTGTGGACAGGAGCTGGGATATCTCTGCCCACTGACTGAAGTCCATGATCAGCATGGGGCCACCTCTCCCGTTTTTGTGTTTAACAGATTCCGCCGCCGTGCGTGGTGCCTCACGCCTGTAATCCCAGCACTTTGGGAGGCTGAGGCGGGCGGATCACCTGAGGTCGGGAGTTTGAGACCAGCCTGACCAACATGGAGAAACCCCGTTTCTACTAAAAATACAAAAAAATTAGCTGGGCGTGGTGGTGCATGCCTGTAATCCCAGCTACTTAGGAGGCTGAGGCAGGAGAATTGCTTGAACCCGGGAGGCGGAGGTTGTGGTGAGACGAGATCAAGCCATTGCACTCCAGCCTGGGTGACAAGAGTGAAACTCCATCTCAAAATAATAATAATAATAATAATAAATAAATAAATAAATAAAATCCTTGAAGTCCACCCGGCGTTCTATTGCACTGCAGCTGACCTGGCACTCAAGCCACAAGATACTGTCCTTCCTACTCATCCCTCCCCTTTCTTAAGGCAAAGGAGCCTCATGCCATGACCACTGCCACAACAGGCTTACAGGGAGAACTGCCAGTGTTCTCTTAAGCCCTAAGGGATCTTCAGTCAGCTTGTGGTGAAGGCTTCCTGGCCTGCTATTCATCCGTCATGACACTGGGCTCTGCCCAGGCCCAGGGCAGGTCCAGAAATGATCTCTAAGAGCAAAGTCCTTGAATTGAGGACCTGAGAGCCTACTTGGCACTCTATCCCCTGTTGTTGAGCTGGTACCTAAGGTGCAATACAAAGTCCCTTTTACTTTTTCTTCCACTTTTCTCACCCCACAGTCAACATGGCTGGGAAGGTGCTGAGTCTCACTTGAAGCCAGCAAGTCTCAGAGTCTCACCTAAGGCCCACGACATAGTACCTGTATATTGCTGCTGGTTATTCAGGGCCTGAGAGCTCTTCAGTTAGCAAGTGATGAATTCTGCCAGGACTAAATCCTTCCCCACAAGGCAGCAATTTCCCTTCTGGCCTAGGGTATGTGGAAAAATGTTGTCCAGGAGCTAGCATCTGGGATGGGGACCTCAGGACTCTGCCTGTTGCCCTATCTTACTGTGGCTGAGTGGGTATCCAAGATAAAAGACAAAGTCCTCTTTATTCTTCCCTCTCCTCTCTTCAATCAGAAGGAAGGAATCACTTTTGTTGCTACAAGTTGTGCTGCCTTGGGTAGTGGGAAGGATGAAACAAGTACACCCTTAGCTACGTTTGCTGATTTCTCTAAATTCACTGGCTCCAAACTCAGCACAGCACTAGGATTTTCCCAGGAATCACAGTACTTGTGGCCTAGACTCTTTCAAGCTTGTTTAAGACCCCAGACCAGGCGCAGTCACTCACACCTGTAATCTCAGCACTTTGGGAGGCTGAGGCGGGCAGATCATGAGGTCAGGAGTTTGAGACCAGCCTGGCCAATATGGCCAAATCCCATCTCTACTAAAAATACAAAAATTAACTGGGCATGGTGGCACGTGCCTGTAGTCCCAGCTACTTGGGAGGCTGAGGCAGTAGAATCGCTTGAATCTGGGAGGCAGGGGTTGCAGTGAGCCGAGATTGCACCACTGCACTCCAGCCTGGGATGACAGAGCGAGACTCCATCTAAAACCAAAACAAAACAAAAAAACAAACCCAGAGCACTTTAGCCTGAGGTCTCAGGTGGGACTTGCTGAATCTCAAGTTCCAACTGATTTTCTGGGCAGTTCCCCTTTGGGTAGAGCTCATCAAATGCTTTCTCCATGAACGGGCATCAGTTGCAATCAGCCCAGTGTGGCTTTCCAGTGTGACAGGGCAGCATTGAGTTCAGTCCTGCCTTCTCCCTTCCCCAAGCACACAGTCGCTGCTTGGGTGACTCCAGCCTGGGTGACAGAGCGAGACTCTGTCTCAAAAAAAAAAAAAAAAGAATGCTGAAAATATACCCTAATATCTTTAATATCTTCTGACTTTTAGGGTTATGCTGAAAGGTTCACTGTTAGCCTGATGAGGTACGTCTTTTGGATGACTGGCCTATTCTCTCTAGCTGCCATGAATAATTTTCTTTCACGTTGATCTTGGAGAAGTTGATGAGTATGTTGTTTGTGGATGGTTTTGTTGTATAGTATCTCACTGGGGTGTTCTGAGTTTCCTAAATGTGAATGTTGGCTCTCTAGTGCGGTTGGGGAAATTTTTATTGATAATATTCTCAAATATGTTTCTCAAGTTGCTTGCTTCCTTTCTTACTCAGGGATGCCAATGGGTCATAGGTTTTGTCTCTTTCCATAATCCCATAATTCTCAGAGGTTTTGTTCATTCTTTTAAATTCTATTTTTTTTATTTTTGTCTGACTGCGTTGATTCACAGAAGCAGTCTTTTTTAATTTTGTTTTTATTTTTGTTTTCTGAGATGGAGTTTCGCTCTTGTTGCCCAGGCTGGAGTGCAATGGCACAATCTTGACTCACTGCAACCTCCACCTCATGGGTTCAAGCAATTCTCCTGCCTCAGCCTCCCTAGTAACTGGGATTACAGGCATGCACCACCACGTCCGGCAAATTTTGTATTTTTAGTAGAGATGGGGTTTCACCATGTTGGTCAGGTTGGTCTCGAACTCCTGACCTCAGTTGATCCGCCCGCCTCAGCTTCCCGAAGTGCTGGGATTACAGGCGTGAGTCACCACGCCTGGCCATAGAAGCAGTCTTTGAGCTCTGAGATTTTCTTCTCACCTTGGTCTATTTTGCCGTTACTACTTTTTATTATATTATGCAATTTTTGTAATGAGTTTTTCAGCTCTATAAAATCAGTTTCTTTCTTTCTTAAAATGTCTATTTCATCTTCCACCTCTGGTGTCATTTTACTGGGTTCCTTATATCCCTTGGATTGGGTTTCAACTTTCTTCTGAACCTCAGTGATCTTAGTTTGGCATCCAGATTCTGAATTCTATGTCTGCCATTTTAGCCATTTCATTAAAAATCACAGGATGGCCACGTAATAAATGAAAGTAGCACTGCACCTCTATCACCCCATCCTTCAGTCAGGATCAGCTTGGAATAAAGAGGGACTTCTCCTTGCTGGAAAAAGCTGAGAAAAAGACCTAGCAGCTTCCATCAACACTTTGGACACCTGTAGATCTCACCATTGGAGATTCCCTTTCACAGACACTAAGCACAGCTGACGGAGCTACCCAGATTCCACACAGCTGCACTCACCCAGGAGAAAAGACTGACACTGTGCCCCACTGTCCACGGCCATCACGGCTCTGGCACTATGCCATTGTGGAATGGGATCTACTTCTGGATCTCTGGGGGACACGTAGCCGCAGCATCCTTTCACTGCTGAGGGATTGTCACTGCTGAGCCAGCCTTGCCTGGTGGCCTGCCATCCCCAGGCTGAGCTGTTGCTCTACACTACCCTGTCGTGCCAAGCTGCCTAGAGCCACTCGATCCACCTTTCCCAGTGGCAGATGCATCCTGACCCTCAGGGACCGAGCTGAAGTGGAAACGGTGCCTTGGGTGTTCACAAGAGTGATGGCCTGTGCCTGCGCTAGTGTGACACGCTGTGTATTAGGGTTCTCTAGAGGGACACAACTAATGGCGTATATATGTGTGTGTGTGTGTGTGTAAAATCGTATCTGGTGTATATATATGTGTGTATATATACACATGTCAAAAATATATATGTATATGTGTGTGTATATATGTGTGTGTATATATGTGTGTGTATATGTGTGTGTATATGTGTGTGTATATATGTGTGTGCATATATGTTTGTGTGTATATATATGTGTGTGTATATGTGTGTGTATATATGTGTGTGTATATATGTTTGTGTGTATATATATGTGTGTGTATATATATGTTTGTTTATATATATGTGTGTATATATATGTGTGTATATATATAAAATCATATCTGGGGTATATATATGTGTGTATATATACACATATCAAAAAATATATATGTATATATGTGTGTATATATATGTGTATGTATATATGTGTGTGTATATATGTGTGTATATATATGTGTGTGTATATATGTTTGTGTGTATATATATGTGTATGTATATATGTGTATGTATATATGTGTGTGTATATATGTGTGTGTATATATATGTGTGTGTATATATATGTTTGTGTGTATATATGTGTGTATATATATGTTTCTGTGTATATATATGTGTGTATATATATGTTTGTGTGTATATATATATAATCGTATCTGGTGTATATATATGTACACATATCAAAAAATATATGTGTGTGTACATATATGTGTGTATATATATGTGTGTGTATATATATGTGTGTACATATATGTTTGTGTGTATATATGTGTGTGTATATGTGTGTATATATATACCCTACATATATATACCATACATATATATGTATATACACCATATCTATATGGGTGTTTATTAAGTATTAACACACTATTATACAAAAATTAGCCTGGTGTGTGTGTGTGTGTATACATATATATATATAAAATCATATATGTGTGTATATATATGCATGTGTGTATATATATGTGTGTGTATATATATGTGTGTATATATACACATACATATATATGTATATACACCATATATATATGTGTGTGTGTATATATATATATATACGAGTGTTTATTAAGTATTAACTCACACTATTATACAAAAATTAGCCCAGTGTGGTGGTGCACGCCTGTAGTCCCAGCTACTCAGGAGGCTGAGGCAGGAGAATCAGTTGAACCCGGCAGACGGAGGTTGCAGTGAGCCGAGATTGCGCCACTGCACTCCAGCCTGGTGACGGAGTGAGACTCCATCTCAAAAATTGGACTCTAGCCTGGGCAACAAGAGCAAAACTCTGCCTGTCTCAAAAAAAAAAAAAAAAAAAAAAAAGACATGATCCAGGCAACATCGATGGGGCATCACCAGGGTCTGTCCTGTCTGTTGCAGTCCACACTTTGCCCTGCTCATAGCCCCATGAACTTCATGTTCATGTCTTTTCACACTATAACTTCTTCCAGGTCTTTGCTGGACACATTAAAAAAATATATATATATATAAAATGCTTCATGAAATTTGTTAATATCCTTGTGCAGCTGCCATGCTGATCTTCTCTGTATCATTCCGATTTTGGTATATGTGCTGCCAAAGCAACAACACACTGGACACATTTATCTACAAATGAGGCAAACAAAGCATATGGGTGTGAATGGGGAGAAGTACAGTGTTCTCTGTTGTAATTGACCCCGAGGTCATCCTTTATATTTACCAGCTTTGCTGTCTATCACCCTCTCTAGGTTCTGCTTACCTTCTGCCAGAGTTCGCATGAGAAACTCTACTTGTCTCAACTATCGGCCCAATGAAATAAACATAAATTTCAACCTTGAGGCATCTGAGCACCTGATTATTGTGCCTGTTTCAGGCTTTCTTGTGGGAGTTGCCCATTGTGTTAGTTTCTTGGAGGCTGATATAACAAATTATCACAAAGTATTGAATAAAAAGAAGATAAACTTATTCTCTCAGAGTTCTGCAGGCCAGAAATAAAAAATCAAAATGTTCATATAATTTCTTCTTTCTAGAGGCTCTGAAGAAGAAACTTCTGTGCTTTTTCCTTCTTTCTTTCTTTCTTTTTTTTTTTTTTAGATGGAATCTCGCTCTGTCTCCCAGGCTGGACTGCAGTAGCGCGATCTCGGCTCACTGCAAGCTCCGCCTCCCGGGTTCATGCCATTCTCCTGCCTCAGCCTCCCCAGTAGCTGGGACTACAGGTGCCCGCCACCACACCCGGATAATTTTTTTGTATTTTTAGTAGAGACGGGGTTTCACCATGTTAGCCAGGATGGTCTCGATCTCCTGACCTCATGATCTGCCCGCCTCGGCCTCCCAAAGTGCTGGGATTACAGGCATGAGCCACCACGCCCGGCCACTTTTGTGCCTTTTTCTTAGACTTTGGTCCTTGCTGGCATTTCTTGGCATTCCTTGGTTTACAGACTTCTCATTCTAATCTCTGCCTCCATCTTCACATGGCATCCTATTCTTCTCTGTGTGTCTTCTTCATGTCTTATAAAGATGTGAGCAATATTGGATTTAGATCCTGCCCGAAGCCAGCATGACCACATCTTAACTAATTATACCTGCAAAGATCCTATTTCCAAATAAGTTCATATTCACAGCTACGGGAGGTTAGGATGTCAACATACCTTTTTGGAGACACAGTGCAAACCCCAACCCCAGTCATGGTTACCTCCAGCTATGGAGAATTCATCACTGCCACAGTGAATTATCTAAGCTGCCCAACCACCCTCTCTTCACCAAATCCTCCTCCTCATCGTTAAAGAAAATTACCCAGGCCAGTATGATATCTTTCTCCTTACCTGCTGATGTACTGTAATGAGGAAACCCAAGGAAAACCAGCTACATCATCATTTTAGGTACAGAGTAATTTTTGTGTTGTTCCCTGGTAGTGGTTTCTTACCAGGCAGATCTTCTAACCCAGGGTCACCTAAAAGTGCAGTCACAGGATGTGCACATCTCCCAAGTGTGTCATCTGTAAAGTTAGTGATAGATGCTGTTCATTAAACTCTCACTTTACTCCCAAGCCCATGCATTCTACCTGTCAAAAGACATACCATGATTTATTGTTTTATTTATTTTTTATTATTTTTTATTTTTTTGACGGAGTTTTGCCCTTGTTGCCCAGGCTGGAGTGCAATGGTGCAATCTTGGCTCACTGCAACCTCCGCCTCCCGGGTTCAGGCGATTCTCCTGCCTCAGCCTCCCAAGTAGCTGGGATTACAGGCGAGCAGCACCACGCCTGGCTAATTTTTGTATTTTTAATAGAGATGGCGTTTCACCATGTTGATCGGGCTGGTCTCGAACTCCTGAACTCAGGTGATCCACCTGCCCTGGCCTCCCAAAATGCTGGGATTACAGGCGTGAGCCACCGCACCTGGTCCATTTATTGTCTTTATAGCTATATCTGTATGTATATCATCTACAGCTTTCTGTATGCTTATTTACAGCTACTGTAACAGAACCCCCAAACTGCAGAGTCTCATTCACAAACTGTTCAATACATCCAATTTCAAGAGGCCATTTCAATGTTCTTTCAGTCCCAGTAAAACCAAACCACTGCATAGTACATATCTCAGGTCATTCCCAGAATATCACGTGGCCATGTTCTCATTCCCTCCACGGATTTTGTGGGCATCTGGATTCCCATTCTGAGAATAAGTCATGGGTTATTTCGTTTAAACAAGTCAGACATTCTGAGTGCTCACAGACCCCTGCGAGGAGCTCCGTCAAACCCATTTTCAGCACAAGCATCCTTCAGACTAAGGAAGGTTTGCTGCCCCCTCGTGGGTGGAATGTGTTCCATGGCATCAAGTTACTACCAGGCATCACATCCAGACCTCTCTGCTGGTCACAGGTGAGACTTTCAGCTACAGTGGTGGCTACGTGGTCCTTGGTGAGAGGGAGTCACTGGTGTTGGGTTCATGCATGTCCTCCTTTCTTGCTCCATGGCTATCCCATTCACGGGCCCCTCCTGCTTGCATTGGGCCTGCTGACCCCACAGCTGGATGGATTCCACTGCATCAATTCTGTACTCCACCTGGTGCCTCCCCCAGCTGTGGACTGCTCTTGCTTGCTTCTCAGGGATAGGCTCATGGTAGGGAGTATAAATTTCTCCTGTCCTCACCCAGCCTCAGTCTTGGACAATTTCTATATGAGTGGGCCTTGAGGGTGGAGCTTGCTCAGTGTTTGTGTCCTTCTTCCCCTTGGCAGCTGGATTGTACTTGGTAGCTTTGGTTGACTTGGGCAGGAATTTCCTGTCCCTTCCCTGACATTTGTATATCTGGGATTATGGTTTCAGGAATTTTCTGCAGTACTCCTAGGGATAGAGGGACTTTTAAATCTACCTTCTTATATCCACAATGGGTTTTTACCTGGGGCCTGAGATTGGCTGGTTTTTCTGAACCTCTCTCAATGACTTCAGTCTTTTTCTACACATGGGAGAAGTATCTGGGCAGGGGGTGAGATTTCAGGCCACACACTGTGGAAGGTAATCATGTCTGATCACAAATTTTGGGTCTCCACCTTACTTCCAATCTATGTTGTGAATGCCCAGTTGAGACCCACGGAAAAGAGCTCATGGGTGAGTGTGAAGTGCTTCTCTGTCTTAAGTTCCCAGAGATCCTTGCCTCTTGGAGGCCAGCAAACACTAACTCTTGAGGAATTCATGACAATATCATCTGATTCCTCCTTCCCAGCTTGTATGGCAGTCTCCCACCCTCATGTGTTCTGCCTTTGTAGAGCCTGTCATGGCATCCTACTCCTCCTTGGAATTCAGGTTACTCAGTTGCTCCCAGAGCTCGGATTTCTGATGGTCTCAGGTGAAATCTACATTATGGAGTTGATCTGAGTTTTACTCATGGTTAGGATTGCAGAGAAGCTCTTTTTTTGGAGTGGGGGAGGGAGGGGGAGGGATGGAGTTTCGCTTTTGTTGCCCAGGCTGGAGTGCAATGGCGTGTTCTTGGCTCACTACAACCTCTGCCTCCTGGGTTCAAGTGATTCTCCTGCCTCAGCCTCCCCAGTAGCTGGGATTACGGGCATGTGCCACCATGCCCAGCTTTTTTTTTGTATTTTTAGTAGAGAGAGGGTTTCACTATGTTTTCCAGGCTCGTCTCAAACTCCTGACCTCAGGCAATCCACCCACCTCAGCCTCCCAAAATGCTGGGATTACAGGTGTGAGCCACCGCACCCAGCTAGTGAAACTCTTTCCAGCTCCCCAAACCCTGGGCAGAAGCCGGGATATGAATTATTTATTTACTTACTGAGTTATGTGACATAACTCACACCATATGAAATGCACCATTTTTTAGTGTACAAATAAATGGATTTTAGTGTCTTCACTATGCTGTGCAATCACCATCCCTACCTCATCCCACAGCATTTCCATCACCTCAGAAAGAACCCCCAAGTAGTCAGTCCTAGTTCTTCCCTTCCCTCAGCCTTAAGAAATCACTAGTCTACTCTCAGTTTCTATGGCTTTGTCTATTCTGGATATTTCATGTGCATAAAATCACACCAAATACACGTCCTTTTGTAGCTGTTGATGGAAAAGAAGTGGTTACCATGAAGGAACTGAAGTTTTCCAAAGACAAAATTATAATGTGGCCTGACAGAAGAAGTACAGAAATTGATAACAAAAACAAATCCATCACAACTTATCATGAATCTGGTCATGCCATTATTGCATATTACACAAAAGATGAAATGTCTATCAACAAAGCTACAATCATGCCACAGGGGCCAACATTTGGACCTGTGTCCCCATTACCTGGTGATGACAGATGGAATGAAACCAGAGCCCAGCTGCTTGCACAAATGGACATTAGTATGGGAGCAAGAGTGGCAGAGGAGCTTATATTTGGAATTGACCATATTACAACAGGTGCTTCCAGTGATTTTGCTAATGCCACTAAAATGGCAAAGCAGATGGTTATCAAATTTGGAATTAGCGAAAAGCTTGGAGTTATGACCTACAGTGACACAGGGAAACTAAGTCCAGAAACTCAATCTGCTATTGAACATGAAATAAGAACCATTCTAAGGGACTCATATAAATGAGCAAAACTTATTCAAAATTCAAATAATTGTATGACATGGTTATAACAAAACACCTTCCTACCCCATCCATAGTATTTATTTAGATGAACAAATTTTCTCAGTCCTGTATCTATACAAATGAAAACTAGATATAGTATTGACGTTTAGCTCTGTTTCAGTCTAGGAATAAGTAATATTTACCAGTGGACTTGTGAACAATTAATAACCATAATCAAGAAGTATTTTTAAAACATTTAGCATCTTAAATTTATATAGTAGAGATGGATAGGGTGATCCATGAAAGATGTTTAATTATATAATTATTACATTTCGCTAAAAACTTGTTGGTGATGTTGAATGGAAAATCAAGTCAAAAATAAAGAAGAATGATGCAAACCTTAAAAAAAATGAGCAAAACTTATCTTGAAAAGTCATGCAGAGGAGCATAAGAATCTAGCAGAAGCTTTATTGACCTATGAGACTTTAGGTGCCAAAGAGATTCAAATTGTTCTTCAGGGGAAAAAGTTGGAAGTGAGATGAGAACTCTCTTGATGTGGATGCTTTGCTGGTTTTATTGCAAGAATATAAGTAGCATTGCAGTAGTCTCCTTTTGCAATGCTTTCTCCTCATTATTGACGTTGTGTAATTTAAGGGTGTGAAACATTTTGTCAATATTTTGTCACGTTTACCCAATTTTGGTTATTCTCATTATGACACCCATTGCAAATCAGCATCCCATGGCAAATATATTTTTAAAACTAAAGAACTATCAGGATTAAAGACAGCTCATTTGGGAAATGTCAATTAGTTATGAAGTTGAAAGTAACTAATGATTTTATGGTTGGTTACTCTACTAGAGGTGAATAAAACTTCAGCCTTTAGCCTTCTATATACATCAGTGGAAACTTAATTAAGATGCATTAATTATGTTCCAGATTGACCATCAATAAAATGTTTTTAAATCTAAATGTAGAGAATTGTAAGCATACAGTTGCAACCCGAATTTAAATGATTATAACCTTTTGGCATGGTGTGATGGCTCACGCCTCTAATCCCAGCACTTTGGGAGGCTGAGGCGAGTGGAAGGCTTGAGTCTAGGAGTTCGAGACCAGCCTGGCCTACACGGCGAAACCCTGTCTCTACTAAAATTAAAAAAAATAGCCTCCTGTGGTGGTGCACAACTGTAATCCCAGCTACTCAGAAGGCTGAGGCACAAAAATTTGCTTGAACTGGTTGCAGTGAGCCAAGATCTCACAACTCCACTCTAGCCTGGGCGACAGAGTGAAACTTTGTCTCAGTAAATAAATAAATAAATAAATAATTGTAACCTTTTAAAAATAAAAAAACCCAAACAAATATATGTCCTTTTTTTGTCATTATTCATGATAGCTAAATAGTGAAAACAACCCAAATGTCCATCAATTGGTGAATGCATAAACCAAATGTGATATAGGCATAGAATGGAATATTCTTCAACAGTAGAAAGGAACAAAGACCAATTACATGCTCTAGCGTGCAGAGACCACGAAAACATTTTGCTATGTGCAATTGGATTTTTGCCATTTTGTTGTTGTTTTTAATGTAGTACATTTATTTTAATTTATTATTTTTTTAAAAAAAATTCAATAGCTTTTGGGGAACAGGTGGTGTTTGGTTACGTGGATAAGCTCTTTAGTGGTGATTTTTGAGATTTTGGTGCATTCATCACCCGAGCAGTGTACACTGCACCCAATGTGTAGTCTTTTATCGCTCATCCCCCTCCCATTGTTCCCTGTGAGTCCCCAGATTCCATTATATCCTTCTTATGCCTTTGCATCCTCATAGTTTAGCTCCCACTTATGAGACCATATGATGTTTGGTTTTCCATTTCTGAATTACTTCACTTGGAATAATGGTCTCCAACTGCATCTAGGTTGCTGCGAATGCCATTATTTTGTCCCTTTTTGTGGCTGAGTAGTATTCCGTGCTGTGTGTGTGTATATACACACATACACATACATGTTTTTCATATGTTTGTGGACCGTTCGTATATCTTCTTTTGAGAGTTGTCACAAAGGGAATTGGATTTGGAGGGAACAATTTTATGGCCATTTTTCAGTATAATCATCGGGTGAAGACAGTGTCTGTTCGGCCAGTGTCGCTTTAATCCATTACCTGTAGCCAGGAAGGGAGACGTTTATCGCAGAGATAGGCACCAACCTGGAATGCTTTCCTCAAAGGCGATTAACTGTAGTGTGAACCCGAAATTTCACCGCAGTTTGGTCCTGATTTGGCACAAGATATGCTTTATCCACTGATGTGAAATGTCCAGGTGTTTTTTTGTACGGTTTTGTTGCTGAAAGACACAATACCCTCTAATCTAAGGCATCCTCTCCAAATCCCACTGAACAATACCCTCTAATCTAAGGCATCCTCTCCAAATCCCACTGAGGCACAGGAGTGACACTAGAGAGGGGGTCACGGAGCTTCCTGAGAGAGATTCGCCTCCTGAACCCTGGGCAGATCCTCCCCACCTTGGGATCTCTGTGAACCTCTGGGGTCTTCTATTCAATCAGGACCAAGTTGTGAGGTGGGATTCCTTCCAGGCTACAGTCTCCCCTCTCCCTCTTTCAATTTTATCAAGACAGATCAGAGGTTTGTGGGAGGGAGTCATGGCGTCTCCTCCACAGCCCCCAGCTGTGCAGATGGATGAGGCCACCGTTCCTGGATGGAGTAAATCTACTGGGAACCTGGGTTCTCCATCACGAGGTTGTCCCGTCATCAGCCCCAAAAGAAGGGGAACTGCCCTCTCCGGGAGCTTGACTTTCATTTCCCCAAGGCTGGGACTGGGGCAGGCACCAGGCTGTCTTCAGATACTTCATACAGAAATGGTATCTCCCTGACCCTTTTCTGCGATTTGCCTCATCTGTCCTCATCTCATCAAGGGTCAGGACGTAGGAGCCGATAGACCCAGCACCTTTCTGAGTCTGTCCTGTCCAAGTGAGGGTGAGTGGGGGCTTGTTCTTCTTCTCAGAGCCTCCCTGTGGGGTCCTCTTCCCTCCTTCAGCCTGTCCATCAACACAGCATTGCGGGATCCTTACCATGGCATCCAGCCCTGGAGATGCTTCAGGAAAGTTGCAGGTCCATGCTGCAGGACAGGCTCAGATCAGCAGAGACGCATCTCACATCGGGCTGTGAAATTCAAGTTGAGCTGCAATTGGCAATGAGAAGAAAAAAGGAGAAATAAAGAAATGCTGACTCTTCTTTTGTCTTTGGAGTATGGGTTTTATTTCTTCCAGTTTCCTTCTTAGACTTCCCTTCTTTTTTTTCTTCCTATTTTTTTTAATAGTGTTCAGGTCCCCCTCCCTTAAAAGTAACCTCTGAGTCATTCCTGCCTCCTTGGCGTCCCTCCCACCCCCAGCCCCGCTTCCTTGGGCATTCCCCTGCATCTCAGTCTGCCTTCAAGGTTTTGGGAACAAGTACTTGTCTTGAGCTCTGATTTGGGGGTGGGATAGGGAGTTAATTTTTTCTGAATTGCTCACCTTCATCCCTGCGTGCATGACCTTGGGCAGTAAGTCCCATCTCTGAGCCTCGGTTTCCTCATTTGGAGCCTGTTGTCATGAACCCCCCTCCTGAGTGGTTTTGGGGGCCAGTGGTGCCTGGGTCATGGGAGGGCCTCAGTCATGGTACATTTCCAGACCGGGTTAAGTCTTGGGGGTTGAAACATGAGTGGATCCTGGTGTTGGACTGCACAGTCACGGTGAGTGACTTATGTGCTCAACAGCCCACATCTGCTCCTAACACTGGGAAAACCTACTTATAATGTGTCTGAAATATGTAGCCATGGTCCAATGAAGAAAATGAGAAATGAGACTTCCTGTCATAGGCAGGAAACCTTAAGAAGCAGAAGATGCCAGCGCCGAGGGGCTGCTGGTGACTTGCAAAGCTGGGGGTCACTAAGGGGGAGGTTTCTGCCTCTGTATGAGACAGAGGAGAACCCCAGGGCCCTCACAGACAGGGAGGGGTCGGGGTTTTGGATGAAAGTGGGAAGTTGTGGCTCCTTCTCCCCTGTGTTTGTGGATGGCACTGGGATATCTCTGCTCATTGACTCAGGTCCATGGTCAGCCCTGAGCCGCCTCCTCCATGTGTGTGAAACAGATTCACTGCAGCGTTGTCACACATGGGCGTCTGTCCCACATGCGAGTCTGAGGCTCACACTGGACCCTCCCTGCTGGTTACAGCCCTGAGTAGACTCATGTGGCACTGGCAGGTGGAACCATCTCCCCTTTTCCAGCCTTAACTCCCAGCACAGCCCTGGTGGAAACCCTCTCTGGAAGATGAGGCATGTGGGAAGCATGTGTCCAAAAATGACAAGGAGAAGGAATTATCCTAATGATCAAAAGTGCTATGATGGGCCAGGCACCGTGGCTCATGCCTGCAGTCCCAGCACTTTGGGAGGTCAAGGCGGGCGGGTCACTTGGGCCCAGGAGTTCAAGACCAGCCTGGGCAACATGGCAAAACCTCATCTCTACAAGAAATACAAAAATTAGCTGGATGTGGTGTCATGAATAATGGCCTCCAGCTCATCCAGGTTGCTGCAAAACTCAATCCCTTGTACATCAGTTGCAAAAAATTAAAAATATCTAAGAATATACCTAACTGAGGAGGTGAAAGATCTCTACAAGAAGAACAACAAAATGCTGCAGAAAGAAATCGTAGATGACACAGCAAAATAGAAATATATCCCATGCTCATGGATTGGCAGAATCAATATTGTGAAAATGATCACACTTCCCAAAGCAATATTTAGGTTCAATGCAATTCCCATCAAAATATCAACATCATTTTTTTCACAGAATTAGAAAAAAATCCTAAAATTCATATGGAACCAAAAAGAGGATGAATACCAAAGCAATCTTAAGCAAAAAGACAAATGTAAATTTAATAAACATATCCTAGGCTGAATTGTAGGGGGTTTGTTTTTGCTCACTTCAACCTCCACCTCCCGGGTTCATTCAAGTGATCCTCCTGCCTCTGCCTCCCAAGTAGCTGGGATTGCAGCGTGCGCCACCATGTCCAGCTAATTTTTGTATTTTTAGTAGAGATGGGGTTTTGCCTTGTTGGCCATGCTGGTCTTGAACTCCCGGCCTCAAGTAATCTGTGGCCTCTGCCTCCCTAGGTGTTGAGATTACAGGCGTGAGCCACCGCACCCGGGCACATTGCCTCTTTTTCTATTCTCAAGAAACATTTGTGATGCTCTGGGTGTGTTTGTGTGTTTCATTAGTGCGTCAATATTTGTAAGAAATCACCAGTGAAACTTCCTGAACTGGAGTTGATACGATGGGAACATTTTTATTACAGTCAATGTTTTTCACACACACACACACACACACACACACACATATATATACACACACATACACACACATTTAAAATGAGTCAGATTCTCTGATTACTCTTACGTTCATTATGTAAACTCCAGTTTTGAATATTTCATCCATTTAATCTGCATTTTCTAGTATATTGGTATAGGTTTGCAGCCTGTTCTGGGGTTAGTTTGTGAAAATGTGTGTAGGATCTGCTGGGCTGTCTGCTGGCTCACTCCCATATGGAAATGCGTGCCTGCTCTTTCTTTCTCTTGCTCAATGTAGTTAGGATTTATGACTGTAATTAATATTTTCAAGAATGAGCTTCATTGGCTTTGTTGAATTTTCAAGTTTTGGTTTTTCCTCATGAGCAACTCTTCTTCTTCTTATTCCCTTTCTTACACCTTCATTTGGAATAATTGGTTATTCTTTTTCTAAATTCCTTATACGAAAGCCAACGTCATTCATTTCCTAGTTTTTTTTTTTCGTTTCTACTTTTTTCATTTGTGGTTTGTACTTTTTCAATTTCATTGTGTGATGTGTAATATTTATATTGTGATTCAGTTTAAAGCACATTCTTACTTCTGATTTTAGTTTTCTCGGTTAACTCATTGATTATTGAGAAGTCTGTTGCTTTAATTAAAAAATGTAGGGATATTAGTTATTTCGACTGCAGAATCAAGTGAGTCCCAAAGTTCCCAGCATCTCCTCATGGTCTTTGTTAGGGGTCCAGGCTGACTGGGGTTCATTGGTGTCCACTGGGGGCAGCTCCCGTGCCTTCAGCAGTCCTGAGTCTCCTTCTACTGAGTGTGGAGTCTGCGTACCCTCCGGGCTAGTGGATGGCCAGGGTGGCGTAGATGCTGGGCTCAGCTGGAGGTTCCCTTTCCTGGGATGGAGGAGGCTCAGTTGCCTTCCGTCTGAGGGTCAAGCTGTGCAGCTGGGCGTAGGTCACATCCTGGGGGGCTTCAGATGCAGCAGCCTGCAGCGGGGGAGAGTGAGAGGTAAGGAACGTGGTGGGGGTGGGGGAGGCCTGGGGGCCTGGAGAGGAAAGGACTCTCTCAGTGTCCATCTGTCTGTCCTCTTCTGCCTGTCTGTCCTTTGTGTCCAGGAATTCCCCGGACAGTGGGGAGGGAGGAGAGGCCATTTCTCTCCTAGGTCTGGAGTGTTTCACCGGGGCATATGTCACTGCCTGGGGGTCTTCATCATGTGGGCTCTGCTGGAGAGAGACAGTGGTGGGGGGTGTCCTTGAGTCCCCCTGACCTCCTGGAGTCAATTTTCCTCACTGTTCCCGGGGTGATCCGATTACATCCCTTTCCCGATGGAATCTCAGGGACGCCCTAAGGCCGTGGAGGGTCTGGCCGCTCCCTTCCTGTGGTTCTGGCCTCTGCTCCTCACTTTGACCTTGCCCATTTGGCTGCAGCCTCATGGGCCTTCCCGCAAGAGCTCGCTGCTGCCTCGGGGCCTTTGCACGGCTGTTTCCTCTGCCTGCAGGGGCTCGTCCATTAGAGGATCGTGTGCCCCACTCTGTCCAGGCTTCTCAGATGACAGCTGAGCAGACAGCCCTCCCCTTCCATTCAGACTGGCCCCACTGCCCCACACTCTCTGCCCTTTCCCTGGTGTATGTTCCTTTAAGCACGTTGCACTCCTGGACATGGCGCATTTATTTGCATTTTGTCTCCCACCATGAGGTGAGCTCAGGAGGCGGGGGCGGCTTTGCTCCCTGCTGTGTCTGCAGCTCCCATGGGGAGCCTGATCCACAGTGAGCTCCCTGGGAACACTCACTGGTTGAATGAATGAAGGGGAGCCCAGGGGACCGGGGTGGTTCATTTATTCCTCATCCTCCAGAGGCCTGGGGAGCGCTCTAACAACCAGACGGCCAAACAGAGGATGAGGAGCAGGAAGGGGACCCGGGAGGAGGCCCACGAGGTCCCAGGACAGCAGGAGAGAGTGAGGTCACAGCAGGCGGGAGGCAGCGTGCTGGACAAGGAGGGGTCCACCGTGACGATGCTGAGAGCCGGGGGAAGGAGGACAGAGAAGTCCTGCTGGATTAGATCTGGCACCAGGAGGCCTTTGGTGCCTGGGACAGGGGCGGGGTCTCACCCGAGTGTCCATCTCCACCCCATCTTCAGGCTGTGTGTCCTTCACGGCAGCATCTGCTGGGGCAGAGCAAGGGGTTCGTCTCTTGGGAAGGTTCCCTGGGACCTCTGAGTCCTGCCAGCCCCTGCCCTGCTCCCAGATGGGGCTACTGAGATGCAGGGAGGGGCTGCAATGTCCCTGAGGTCCCACAGTGTGGGGTGAGATGATCTCACCCTGAGCCCCAGACCCTTTCCAGCCGGTGCCCCTTTCCCCATTGCTACGGAAACTTCGGGGCCCCTATCTCCCTCCTGGCTGGTCACCTCTTCCTCTCACTCACAGAGGTTTTCTTCCTGGGCGTCGGCAGCTGGGCTGGACCTGGGGGAGGAATGGGAGCTTTAGGGGCAGTGTATGGGCCACGAGCAGGTGGGAGTCTGGGGTCTTCGGGCAGAATTACCTCCACTGCAGGCCTCTGTCTGTGGGCTCTGGCCCCACAGCCCCTGCAGGATGTTGGAAATCAGCCTTTCTCTGGGCTGGGGGAAGAAGGACAGAGCCTCAGCCCTGGGAACATTGGAGCCCCCTGCCCTGCACACACAGCTCGAAGGTAAGGAAGGAAACCTAAAAACACTCCTGCCTCCATGTTCCAAATGCCTCATGAGATGGACAGAGTCCGAAGGACACTTTACATTTGTAGATGGGACTGAGCCCGGAGGACACTTTATATTTGTAGATGGGACTGACGTTAAGTGCTTTCTCCATTCACCTGGTGAGAAATGCTGGAACAGTTTCTCAAAGCTGCATTTGCCCAGTGGTTTGGATTCTCTTTGGCTGTGCCCTGAGCCCACCCTCGGTCGGCCCACAGGGTTTCCCCTTCCCTACTCACTCGATGTCCAGTGTTTGCCCTGACGTCGATGTCGGAGGATGAGGAAGAGGAGGAGGAGGAGGAGGAGCAGTAGGACGACGGCCACCAAGATGCCGATCACAACCCCCAGGTGCCTTCCCAGACCTTGAGCACGATGATGTCAGGGATGGGGGTGATGTCATTGAAATGAGCGCCTACTGTGTGCAGGTGACTGCTGGACCTTCTGTTCACCACCTCCAACCCCCACAACAGTCGTGCAGCACACAAACATCCACCCCACCCACTCTACAGATGAAAAACTGACGCTCAGAGAGGGGAATCGCCTGCCCCGGGCCCCCAGCCAGGAAGCGGCAGAGCTGGGAAGGGAGCCTGGGAGTCTGACCTGCAGCCCTTGTTCCTGCACCAGAGCCGAGCCCCGGAGCTGCAGGGAAAGAGCCTTACCGTCCTGAACCACGACTCTGCTCCCCTCCCCTGCCCCAGGTCACCGTCTCTGCTGCAGGTGGGACGGGACAGGCCCCCGCGGAATCGAGTCTTGGAGTCTTCCCTGAGGGGCCTCCTCTCCCAGGAGGTCACAGCTGGGAGTGAGAGCTGAAAGGAACTTTCCCACCTGCAGGCCTCTCTCCTTTACACTTGGAGAAACTGAGGCCCAGGCAGGGGAGGAGCCTGTCTACATCACCACCTCCAGAGGAGCCTGAACCTAGGACAGAACCCACCCCTGCCTCCCCGGGACCCCGCCCACCTCCCACTCAGAGCCCCTCACTCACCACTTTGGGGATCCGACCCAGTGGGGGTGAGGGGCTGGTCCTCAGGGCCTGCTGGGTCAGGACGGGGAGGTGAGGGCTGGGGCTGCCCTGCTCCCCACATCAGCCCGGCTGCTCCTCCCCCAGGCTGGGCCCCAACATTTCTCTCTGCCTTGACCCCCCACCCCTCACCAGCCCAGCCTCAGAGCCCTGGGGACCCTGTGGCCCCTCCTCTGGCTCTGCCCAGCTCCCTGGACAGAAGCCCTTGATTGAGTCCCTGAAGGGAATGGGATCCTCCTGGACACTCAAAGCTGCCCTGGGGGTCGCTGCGCTCCCTTCGAGCCAGAGGCCTCAGGGACTCACCAGGTGTGGAGATGGGACCGGTGGGTGGGGGGCTGGAACCCATGGAGGGTCCTGGGTGAAAGAATGAGAGGAGGGTGAGGAGCTGGGGCTTTCCTGAAGTCTCCACCTCAAACCAAATTTCTCTACATGGGCCCTGTGGCCTCCCCAGGCCCCTCCCTCCACCCGCCTCTCCTGTCCATGATGCTGGCGATGCCGCTGAGTGTGCGCAGGCCTGGGAGGGCCTGTTGTCCTCCTTCCCTCTGAGGGTGAGTCTCCCACTGGCTGAGCCCCGCTCAGACCCCCGCTCACTCCATCCCAGCCCAGAGCTCTCCTGGGGGGCAGGGCCTGAGCTGAGCCTTTGAGCTCAGAGAGGACAGGGTCAAGGCCCCCACCTGAGACCACGAGCTCCAGGGGCTCACTGGGGTGAGACAGCAGGTAGGGGTCGGAGTTGAGTGAGCCGTAGCACCTGTAGGTCCCCGCGTGGGCTGAGGTCACAGGACTCATGGGGAATTCAGCCTGGTACTTAGGATATTCGTGTATTGATCTTAGACGGAGTGGGGCATCAGCTGCTCCCGCCTTGGTCAGAAGGAAAGTGTGGAACTGCCGCCATGACTGACACAGCAGGGTCACGTTCTCTCCTGAGGCCACTGTGGGGCCTGGCTGCACTGAGATGAAGGGTGTGCCACGGATCTGTCCTGGAGAGAAGAAGGATGGGTGAGGGGCTGCCCCACCTTGCTCTGAGCTGAGACCTCCCCAGGCCTCTCTAGGAGCCTCTGTCTCTGTTTTCTCTGAGTCTTCCCCTCCCCACCCATCCCCTGTCTCTCTCTCTGTCTCTCCCTCCCTTGGGACCACCCCCCGCCTCATCCTGGCCATCACTAATTGGATTCCCCCGGCAGGGCCTGTGCAGAGTCTGGGTCCCTGACTGAACCCGCTGGGCTCCTCACCTGTGATCAGGATGTCCAGGGGGTCGCTGGGGGCCGAGCACTCAGAGGAGAGGTTGTGTGCACCGTAGCATCTGTACTGGCCCCCGTAGGAGCGGCTCACAGGGCCCAGGGTGAAGTTGGCCTGGGAGAGCCCAGCCTGGGGCTGCCGGCCAGGGAGCTGGCGAAGGTCACGTTCCCCCTCCTTGTACAGAACAAATCTGTCATAGCCGACATCAGAGACACACTGGAGGGTCAGGCTTTCCCCAGGGGCCATGACAGGACCCGGCTGCACTGAGAGTGATGGCTTCTTAGAAACACCTGGGAAAAGGTGCTCATGGTTTCCAGGAGCCGACCCTCAGGCTTCCCCACAAACCCTCCCTCTCCCCCGGTGCCTCACCACTGCTGATCTTCCTGTGTCTCTGGCCCCAGGACCCCTGAGCCCTCTCGCCCCAACATCATCCCACCTGGAACTGCCCTGAGACACGGCTGCTCCCCACCTGCCTGGAGACTCAGGGAGACTCAGGGAACTCCAGACAATGCTGTGAATTTCTCACCTGGGACCAGGAGCTCCAGGAGATCACTGGGTGAAGACCACACATAGGGAGAGTTCAAGTCATAACCATAGCACCTGTGCGACCACCTGCGATTCGGGCTCACGGGGCCCACGGAGAAGATGGCGCGGGACGACCCACGGGCATGGGGCTGGGAGTTCAGGCATTGTGGGTGTTCATCTTCTCCTTCCTTACACAGAATGAAGCCGCCAAATGCCACCTGTGACTCACACTGGAGGGTCACCCTTCCTCCTGAGGTCACCACAGGGCTGGGCTGGGCTGAGAGGGTGGGTTTTGGGTAGGCTCCTAGGAGAGAAGGAGGCATCGTGTTAAATGGGGCTCCCACCTCCCACATCATCCCCAGGGCTGGGCTGTGAGAGGGAGACACCCCTGAGAGCCTCCTTCCTGAGGGCAGAGCCTGGGGCTGGGATCCCTGAGTGTCCTCTCACCTGTCATCACCAGCACCAGGGGGTCACTGAGCTCAGACCACCGAGCGCGGCTGTAATACTGACAGCCATATCGCCCTGTGTGTTCCCAGGTGATGGATGGGATGTGGAACTGGCCGTTCTTCACAAGCTCTGGTCGTATCCGTGTAATCCAAGATGCTGATTTTTTCTCCCTATATAGACGGTACTCCTGGGCTTCAAGGCTCCCCTGACAACTGAGGGTGACGGGACTCCCCTGGGTGATCACAGAGTCTGGCTCAGCCCACAGGGTGGGCTTGGGGATGGTCCCTGGAAGGAAATCAAAGGTCAGATTCGAAGTCATTTCCCACCCAACAGATCTCAGCTCTCAGCCCAGGACCCTCCAGATGCCCCCATCAGTCAGTCCAGAACTTCTAATCCCCATCCCCAGCTGCACGGAGGTGGCCCCTTGTCCCCAGTGAGGAGGAGGGACCTGGGAGAGCTGGGGACAGACTCACCTGTCTGCACGCGGGTCCTGGGGCCCAGACTCAGCCCTGGAAGAGAGTTCCCTGTGAGGGATTTGCCCCCTGAAGCCTGAGCAGGTCCTCCCCTCCCTGGGATCTTTGTGAGCCCCTGGGGTCTCCTTAGGGACCAGAGTTTGGCTGTGGGGTGAGGTCCCTCCTAGGTTAGAAGCTCCCCTCTCTCTTCAAATCTCACCGAGACAGATCAGGACTGTGACGATGGGGGTCATGGCGTCTCCTCCCACTGCCCTGCTCTGCGGATGGATGAGCCCTCGGTGCTGGCGGGACAGAGACACACAGAGAGAAATAGCCTCCCCTCCTTCCCACCCTGTGTGGACACTCAGAGGCTGGGTCCTTCTCATGGGGTGTTGTCATCTGCAGCCACACAAGAAGCGGAACTGCCCTCCCAGGAGCCTGACTCTCATTCTTTTAGAGCTGAGGTGGGGGCAGGCACTGGGCCCTCTGCAGACATTTCAGACTGTAATGGGGTCTTTCCTGACCCCCAGCCACTGTCTGTCTGGTTTCTCCTCGTCTCACCGAGAGCCGGGATGTAGCAGCAAATAGAACTGGTGCTTCTTGTGTCTGCCCTTCCTGATGAGGGTAGCAGTGGCTTCCCCTTCCTTCTCACAGCTTCCCACATGGTCACCCTCCCTCCTTCAGCCCATCCATCAGCACAGCGTTGTGGGGTCCTTACCATGGCAGTCGTCCCTCCAGCCCTGGAGATGCTTCAGGGAAGACCCAGGTCCATGCTGCAGGCAGACTCAGATCAGCAGAGAAGCATCTCGCCTCTGGCTGTGCTGTCCAGGTTGAGCTGTGTGTGGCAGTGAGCACAGAGGAGAAATGCAGGGAAGTAGGGGAAGAAAAGTTGACTTCTTTCTTGACACTGGATTGTGGGTTTTCTTTCAACCAAATAGTCCCCTCTTAACTTCCCCTTTTTAAATGTTTTTGCTCCAGCGTCCACTCCCTCCCCCCCGGGAAGAAACCTCTGAGTCTTTCCTGCCTCCTCGGTGCCCATTGCGTCCTTAGCCGTCCCTCTGCACCTCAATTCCTGGTCAACATTTTGGGAACAATGACTTATGTTTGAGCTTTGATTTGGGGAGTGGGGGAGGGAGTTGATATTTATTTGATGACTGGTTATCATCCGCTGCCTACGTGACCTTGGTTTGTAATGTCCCATCACTGAGCCTCAGTTTCTTCCTTTGCAGATTGTTGTCATGAATCCCACTCGTCACAGTGGTTGTGGGGTCAGTGGTGCCTGGGACATTGGGAGGGGCTCATTTGTGCTTGATTTCCAGACCAGGGTAAGACCTGAGGCTTTGGGACGTGAGAGGATCTTGCTGTTGGACTCCACATTCTGTAGGTGATTGATGAGTCCACTCAAGATGTCACATCTGACCGTAATGGAGAAACGTATGTGTAGCATTTCTGAAATACCCAGAGTATCAAGGTCATGAGCAGAAAAAGACATGTGGAAACCCCAAGTGTAGACGGACTCACAAGAAAGAACAGAGGCCAGAGGTGAGATGCCACAGGGTCCCGGGACCATCAAGGGCTCATTAGGGTGGAGGTTTCCACCACTGAGTGGAGCCGGGAGAGGAACCCCGGGATCTGCAATGACAGTGAGGGGCTCAGGGCTCCAGACCAAGGTGGGAGGCTGCGTCCTCTAGCTACACCTGAGGCTGGAGTGGACCCCAAGCAGCCCAGGGGAATTCCCTCAAGGGAGTGCACCAAACTGTCCAGACCTGCTGGAATTCCAAGGAAAGAAGCACTAAACACCAGGGTGTTCATAGAGCATTTATTAGGGGGACCTCTGCACAGTGGGGCATCCTTGTCTTCTTGCCCAGTGTCTCCTTGTGGATCTCAAGGATGTGCTTCCACATAGCAGCATGTTCTTCAGATGGACAAGGAGACACTGGGTATTCTATCCAAAGCTTTAACCTAAAATAAAAACAAAACCAAAAATAAACCCCTAGAAAATATGATCTCTCAGTACAGTTGTTTCTTGGGATACACAGGCAATTCGTTTCAGTACCCCCTACATGTACCAACACTTGCTCGTACTCCAGCCCTGACGTTGTCTCTGCTGGGTCTGCATATAGGAAAAGTCTGCCGTTCATATACGCAAGTCTTGTTTCTCACAAATGCTATAGTTTTGATCCCCGTTTGTTTGGAAAAAGTGTGCATATAAGAGACCCCTGGAATTCAAGGCTGCATTGCTCCAGGGTTGCCTGGATTTTGAGTTTATTTGGGAGTGAGAAGCAAGGATTACAATATGGAGTGCATGGCATGGCAAGCCACAGTGTGTCCAGAGAGGGAAGTGTGATGTTGTGATATATGCTGGTTTTCACCCGCAGTTCCTGGCTTGTAACTCCCATAGCCCTTGTTATAGTCTTTTGTTATAACATTGGCTGTGCTGGGCCTCAGGGGAGGCCTCTGACCTCCTCCTGCCCTTCCTTCACCTAACCCAAAGTAAGACTCGAATGTTCCCTGCCTTTCTGATAGTGGATCTTAAGACCCTCCCAGAAGACAGTCTCACCCTGTTCCTTGTGGGAGGAAATGCTGATGTCATGAAGCTTTCATAAAAGCCCCAGAGGACTGGGTTTCATGAGTTTCTGGGTGGCTGAGCATGCTAAGGCTCCTGGAGGGCGACGCCCAGGGAGGGTATGGAAGCCCCGGGCCTCTTCCCCCATGCCTCCTCCTATGAGTTTCTTCATCTGTGTCCTCTGCAGTGTGCTTTGTATTCAACCAGGAAATGTCAGTGTTTCCTGAGTTCTGTGAGCTGCTACAGCAAATTAATCAAACCCAAAGAGTGGGGCATGGGATCCCCAACTTGAAGCCAGTCAGTCAGAAGTTCTGGAGGTCTGGACTTGGGAATGGTGTTGGGGGCAGTTTTGGGGAATGGGCCTTCAATCTGTGGGATCCGGGACTGTCTCTGGGTAGACAGCACCAGAGCTGACTTAGAGGACACCCAGCTGCTGTTCGCTACTGCGTCTGGGGAAAAAAACCCCATACATCTGGTCCTAGAAGTCTTTTTCTGTGTTGATGATTCCTGTGACGTGAGAGTAGAGGAAAAGCACCGTAGAGAGAGCTCTCTGTACATAGAGAGGTAAAGGAAGTTCTTATCAGCAACAAGGGAGAGCCTGACAGAGCTGCCTGGAAACAGAGTTCCCTGGTTCCACAGGTTCAAAGCCAGAGTTGCTGTCAGTCCATTGGAGGAGATGCTGTTGCTGGTCAATGGTTCTCTTGAGAGCATCTTATCTGAATTCCTGACGTCCTAAAGAACATCTAGTGATAAACCTTGTCAAAGCAGAAGGGGCTGAAGGACATGGAAGAGTTTCTTATGGGTTTTTTAAAAGTCCTTAGAAACAGTTCTTATCTGAGACGTGGAAGCATGGGCCTCCTCTCCTTCAGGCCTTCCTGGCCCTGTGGGGTCTGAGTTTGACCAAAGTCATCTCATCCTTGCACCTGTAACTTTTCTATTGGGAGTCTGCAGTGAAGGGATGGGGTTACGAAGTTTAACCTGAGAGTTTCAGGAATTTGGTTCAGGGGAGGGCTTGTTTCTACACTTTTAGCAAAAGGGTTAATTTTTCAGTGTTTTCTAGAAACAACCTAAAGTGCTTTATCAGTACTTGGGGATGCTCAAGACCTCAGCTTGGGTTCCAGCCTGCAGGTGGAAACATGCATCTGTCCAACCCACAGAACAGTCATGGCCCTTTGTCTCACTCTCAGAACAAGGAAAAAAGTGGAGGAAACTGTGGGACCTTAGAGACTGTGACTCCCCCTCTTCTGTGTTTGTGGACAGACCCTGGGATGACTCAGTGACCCGGGCTACACTCAGCACTGAGCCACCTTCCCGGGTGTGCATGACACAGATGCGCTTTATCATTGTTGGACCGGGCATCTCTGACCCTGGAGTGTGAGGCTCACATGGACCCCGCCATGCCGGGCATAACACAGAGGTGATTCTAAGCTTGGGAGCATGGACACCGCAGGGCAGGAGCGGCTACAGCAATGCCCTCATCAGCTTTCCTTCCTGAGTCAGCCTGGGGAGAAACCCTATATGGAAGATCAGGTGTGTGGGAGAAAAACCCACCCCAGAGGAATAAAAATCAAAGAGTCCGTTAGAGAAAAAACAGGCAATTGTAGAAATGAATTAGGAAGCTATTGTGATGTGAAAATAGTAAATTATATTAACACATTTAGAAATAATTTCATCCAGAACAAGACACAGCTGAAATGATAAACATTGTATTGGTGTAGAATATTTACTAAAATTTTTCATTAGTCATCAGAGAAAAACTAGAAATGAAAAAAATAGAAAAGATAATTAATGCACACAAGAAATGGAATGAAAAGAGGAAACAGATATCTCTCTTTGGATCACACTTTCAGAATGAAGGAAATAAGGAGTATGTTATTCAGTAAATACTTGCAAAGAAAATGGTTGACATTTTTATAGAAATGAAGAAAGAACATGAGTTTAACGTGAACAAATTCATAAATAACATCAATGTCTTAACTATGATAGAGTAAAAGATACCTAGAATAGATACAAAGTAATTTTAAAACTACTGGAGAAAATGAAAATTATTGTCCAATGAAAGACAAGCACATTGGGACTGGATTTCCCAAGAGTAAAAAGTGCAAGAAAATGACTGGGGGCTGAGGTTCAAGTTGGCTGAATGGAAAGGGCTGGAGTCTGCCTACTCACTAAGAGGACCCAAAATAGCGAGTAAATACCAACAGGTCAAGTGGATCTTCCAAGAGGATGCTGGGGTTCACCTGAGAAACATGAGGACATGGAGAGAAGAGAAGAGAAAAGGTGGGAGCCAGGAGAGGCTCCTAACACGGGGAAGGGGTGAGTGAGTGAGAGATTCACCAACACGGGGAAGGGGTGAGTGAGTGAGAGATTCCCCAACACGGGGAAGGGGTGAGTGAGTGAGAGGATCCCTAACACGGGGAAGGTGTGAGTGAGTGAGAGGATCCCTAACACGGGGAAGGGGTGAATGAGTGAGAGCCTCCCTAACACAGGGAAGGGGTGAGTGAGTGAGGGGTCCCTGGCATCTACACCTCTGCTGTGGGCCCTTAGGATCCTGCCCACAGGAGAGCGCCTGTCCCCTCTGGGCCTCCAGAGGCCCACAGTTTGCTCCTGGAGACTGTACCAAGGCCCCACTGGAGCCCACGTGGAATCCCACAGGCTTCTGATCCCTGAGCAGCCTGGGTCCAGCTGCCACTGCCTTAGCAGGGAGGGAGGAGGCCAGGCACCTCTGTGGGCCCCAGAATAAGTATGACAGCTGGGGCACAGGAGCAGCCAAGCTGAGCACCACACAGCTGCCCACCTCTGTTGCTTCCTGCGAAATGGGGCTTCCTTCCTGCTAATGGGGCTTGCCAGCTGCAGGGCCCCAGTCACCCGTCCTGCCCCCACCCGAACACCGTGGCCCTGGCTCGGTGCCCTCTGAAAGCCCAATGCTCAGAGGCCCCTGACAAGCCCTTTGCAGTCACTGCCACCTCTGCCTCTGCCCCTGCTGCCCCAGGCCCAGGGAGGGTGTGGGGAGGCCTGGCACTTTCACGTGTCCCCAGAGCAAAACCGAGTGACACTTCTTCAGGAGGGAAGTGTGAGCGGGCCCTGTGCCTCACAGCTGCCAGTCTCCAGTGCCCCAGCCGAGGGGCGCTGCCCTCCCTAGTGACAGGCCCACAGCACAGCCACCCTGCCCCCACCTGGACATTTCAGCTGCAGCCCCCAGCCCTTCTGAGAGCCCAGTCCCCACAGGCCTGTGATCTGCCGCAGGCTCTACCACCTGAGCCTTCTGCCTGCCCCGCCTGAAGGTTCTGCCGGTGACCTGGGGACCAGCCCATCCCTCCCCATCACAGCCAGCATCTGAACCCCGGAGCAGCCGAAACCCAGTCCAGCCCCTTCAGGACTCACACACGCTGTCCAGCCGGCCACCTAGGGGCCTGTGATCCGGGAACTACCTGCCCTTTCCTACCTGCTGGCACCTGACCACTCACCCCAGGGCCTGAGGTCGGGCCCACCCAGCCAGCAACACCACCACAACTGACGTCCACTCTCCCATCCAGAGAGGCAGAAGCCCCACATCCCACCTACATGAAGCAGCTACCGCGTCAGACAACAGACAGCCGCTCAGGGTCTGCACTGGGCTGAGGGAGGAGGCTCTGCCTTGGAACCACGCCTGCAGAGAGTGGCAAGGCAGGTGTTTCCCACTGCCCTCAGCCACACTGTGGCCTGGGGAGAGACAAGAGTGTGTGTCTGAACTGAGACTCATGAGCCCTGGAGCACGGGTGTGATAGGGAGACAGACAACGTTCCTCCCTATGGGACTGGAAACGGTGTAGCTCCTTCACTCCCCGCAGAGACCTCAGGGCATTTCACTAGGAGCTGCTCCAGCCATGTCCATCAGGACTAGTGCCTGCACTCATCACTGGGATATCTGTGGGCAAGCCGGGGGTTCCAGCTCTGCCCAGGGGTGTTCCCTCGCCCCTGTGGAACAGGAAGCTCAGGGCACCTGACACTCCACGGTCCAGCCCTTCCCCTGAAACAAGAGTCAGCACCTCACAGGAAACACACCAGGTCCACATCCACCTGCTTGTGCCGAGCGTGGCTCTTACCCTTAAGCACCAGCTCCTGGCCTGCAATCTGAGCTGCACAGCCCAATGCAAACCCTGCTGCAGAAGCTCCCAAAGCCATGGGAAAAGCCAAAAGACCCTTCCCAACATGCTCTACAGTCACCCTCCCTGCGGGGCTGGGGGAAAATGTGCAAAAGAAATCCCATCCAAACGAAAATAAATTCGAAGAGAGTAAGTGGAGGCCTCTCCAGATGAGAAGGAATCAGTGTAAGGATTCTGACGCCGTGAAAAATCTGAATATTGTGGCACCACCAAAGGATCGCACTGGCTCGCTAGTGATGGATGCTGAAAACAATGGAAACTCTGAAAGGACAGATAAAGAATGAGACTGACACAAAAACATTACAAAGAATCAATGAAAGAAAACGTTGGTTTTTTGAAAGTATAAATAAAATTGAGAGATGGCTGACTACACTAACCAAAAAAAGGAGATTTAAATAAGCACAATCAGAAATGATAAAGTTGACATTACAACCAACACCACAGAGATACAAAAGATCATCAGAGACTACTATGAACACCTTTATGCACATAAACTAGAAAACCTGGAGAAAATAGATGAATTCCTAGACACACACAACTTCCCAAGATTGCACAGGCAAAAAATAGAAACTCTAAACAGACCGATAACAACCAATGAAAAAGGATCAGTACTAAAAATCTTCCAGCAAAAAAGTCCAGGAACAGATGGATTCGCAGTTGAACTTAGCTGTATGTACGAAGGAGGGCTGGTACCAATCATACTGAAAGTATTCCAAAAATCAAGGAAGTGGGATTCTTTGCCAGCTCATTTTACAAAATCAGTATCATCCTGATAGCAAAATCAGACAAGGATCCAACAGAAAAATAAAACTACAGGCCAAGAAATCTGAGGAACACAGATGCAAAAATCCTCAAGAAAATACTAGCAAACGGAATCTAACAGTGTATCAAAAACATAATTCATCATGATCAAGTTGGCTTGATTCCAGGGAAGAAAGGATGGTTCAATATATGCAAGTCAATAAAAGTGACTCATGACATGAACTAAGAACAAAAAGCATATGATCATCTCTATAGATGCAGATAAAGCTTTCAAGAAAGTCCAACATCGCTTCGTGATAAAATCCCTCAACAGGCTAGGCATGAAAGAAACATACCGCAAAATACCAACACCCCCTGCGTGACAAACCCACAGCCAACATCAAATTGAATGGGGAGAAGTGAAAACATTTTCCCAGGAAAATGAGAATGGGATCCTCCCTAGCCCCTGGGGTCTCCTACTGGACCAGGGCCTATCTGTGGGGCAGGGTCCCTCTCATGCTAGAATCTCCCTTTCCCCTCGTCAAATCTCAGTGAAGTGGACCATGGCCATGGGAGTGACAGTCATGGCACAGAGAGGCAGGGCTCTCCTGTAGCAGGACGAGCCGCAGACAAAACTCCTCAGACACCGGATTAAAGAAGGAAGAGGTTTTTATTCAGCTGGGAGCGTGGGCAGACTCGCGTCTTAAGAGCCGAACTCCCCGAAAAAGAAATTCTTGGCCTTTTTAAAGGCTTATAACTTTAAGGGGTCCACGTGAAAGGGTCGTGATACATCAAGCAAGCGTGGGAAACATGACTGTGGGGGGCTATATGCATCAGCTAACAGAACAAAAAGTTTTACAGTGCTTTTTTCATGCAGTGTCTGGAATTTACAGATAACACCAGTAGTTTAGGTCAGGGGTTGATGTTATTATTATTACTTTTTTTAACTCCTACGGCCGGGTGGTGGTGCCAAGGTTGTCTGGCTATTTATCTTACTTTTGTATTTTTCCAACTTTTGGCTTTTTCTCTCTTCCTGTTTTGTGAACTAGGCAAGGTGGGGGGAGGAGGGCAGCAGGAGTAGTAGTGGTCTCCTTCCTTACTCCCACTTACAGGATTTTCCCACCAGCATCTCCATGGGTGGTGAGCTGTCCCGGACCCCGCTGGCTCATGTTTTCCCAGGACTTGGCCTTTCTCGAATGCTTTATCTGCATCGCTTGAGATTATCACATGCTTTTTGTTCTTAGTTTATGTCGTGAGTCACCTTTATTGACTTGCATATATTGAACCATCCTTTGAGACAGGCACCAGGCTTTCTGCTGATATTTCAGACACGCATGGCATCTCTCCTGATCTCCTTTCACTGTCTGCCTGACATGTCCTCGTCTCATTGAGGGCCGGGACGTAGCTGCAAATGGACGTGGTGCCTTCCTGAGTTGGTCCCTTCCAGGTGAAGGCAACGGAGGGTTCTTCCTTCCTCTCAGAGACTCCTCGTGGGGTTTCCCTCTCTCCTTCAGCTCACCCATAAACACACCCTTGTGGGGAACCTACCATGGCCAGTCTTCTCACCAGTCCTGGGGAAGCTTCAGGGAAGATGCAAATTCAGGCTGCGGGGCAGACTCACATCAGCAGAGACTCATCTCGCATCTTGCTGTGCAGTTCCAGTTGAGCTTTATTGTGGCGATGAACAGAAAAGGGAAATACATGGAGACAAGGGAAGGAATCATGACTCTTTCCCCAGAACTGGAGTGTGGGTTTTCTTTATGCAAAAACGTTCCCTTCACGAACTTCTCATTCACTCATCGCAACAGCATCTGCCCCCGTCTCCCTGGAAACAACATTGACCTGACTCTGCCTTCTTGGTGCCCCTGTCTTCTTTCAAACACTCCTGTTCCCATCCTGTGCTCCTGAGTTCAAGGTTCTGGGACAATACGTGGGGTTAGCACTCTGCTTTGAGGGGAAATCTTGTCTTTATTTAAATATTCATGTGTCACCCCCTGCCTGTGTGACCTTGGGCAGTAACCTCCCATTTCTGAGCCTCGGTTTCCTCATTTGGAGCCTGTGATGAACCCCATTTATCACAGGGGAGCTGGGTCATTGGAGCCTGGGGACTGCAGGGGGCTCAGCCATGGGTAATTTCCAGAGCAGGTGAAGACAGGAGGGGTGGGGGCATGAAGGGATGCTGGCGCCCACCATCAAGGCCTGAGATTGATGTTTCCACTAAGGAGAGCCCCTTTGTTCCTGCCCTTGAGAGATGCTTCTCATAATATTTCATCAACACCCCCGTTATCACAGTCATGTCCAGAAAATGAGAAATGAAAGCTTGTCAGAAGGAGAAGCGCCTGCATTAAAGAGAAAATTAAAACTGACAGAGCATTTGTGTCTGGTGCCATTGGGGTCTTCAGGGAGGAAGTAATTAAGTCACTAGTGTGCATACATTTAAGCATGAAATGCAAATCTTTTTTTTTTTTTTTTCGAGACAGAGTCTCACTCTGTCGCCCAGGCTGGAGTGCAGTGGCACAATCTCAGCTCACCGCAACCTCCACCTCCCGCGTTCAAACGATTCTCCTGTCTCAGCCTCCCGAGTAGCTGGCACTACAAGCACGCACCACCACACCCGGCTAATTTTTGTATTTTTAGTAAAGATGGGGCTTCACCACGTTGGCCAGGCTGGTCTCAAACTCCTGCCCTCACCTGATCCGCCTGCCTCCGCCTCCCAAAGTGCTGGGATTACAGGGGTGGGCCACCGCGCCTGGCCAAAATGCAAATCTTGACCTCTCATGATAAACTGAAAAATAGGAGTAAATTAAAAAATACATATGCTAGACTGAATTATGTAATTTAAAATGCATTTTTGTGTTTTGTGATTTTCAACTCAACATGTCAATAGCATTGCTTCTCAGTGGGACTGGACTTCCCGATAGTAAAAAGATAAGGGAAGGAGATGCTAAGAGAGTACTCTCAGGGGACTAACTGCAAGTGAGGAATTCTATACTTACTCAGGTTAATACCTGAAAGGTAAAGGGGTCAGCAGGGGACCAATTCCTAAACAGAAGAAGGCTCAGGGCAAGACGGACCTGTGAAGCTGTCTGGTTGGGCTTCCCCTTCGTGAGGGCTGAGGAGGGATTGGAGGGTGGATCTCTCAAATCATCAGATGTGCTTTCTCTTCCAGGTGTTATACTTACCCTTTAACTAATACAGAAATGTTTTCATCTATTTTGATAGAGAGAGTGGGAGGAAAAAGAAGGCATTTTCTGAGCTGCAAGTTACTAGATATTACTGTTTTCATGCTCAGTGAAGGCAATTTTAAATGATATCATCCAGTTGGAAGATCAATGAATCCGGCCGGGCGCGGTGGCTCACGCCTGTAATCCCAGCACTTTGGGAGGCCGAGGAGGGCGGATCACGAGGTCAGGAGATCGAGACCATCCTGGCTAACACGGTGAAACCCCCGTCTCTACTAAAAATACAAAAAAATTAGCTGGGCGTGGTGGTGGGCGCCTATAGTCCCAGCTACTCGGGAGGCTGAGGCAGGAGAATGGTGTGAACCTGGGAGGCGGAGCTTGCAGTGAGCGCAGATTGTGCCACTGCACTCCAGCCTGGGCGACAGAGCAAGACTCCGTCTCAAAAAAAAAAAAAAAAAAGAATCAATGAATCCAAAATGTAGAATATGAGATGCCACAGTGATGTAAGTGAGAAACAGGCAAGTATTTGAAAATCACACACAGACATGCCCACATGAATGCAACCACACACGGGCACACATGTATGAGTCAGTGTGCATGTACACATGTGAGTACTCAGAGTTCAGCTACAGTGGAATTAGAACGTGTCTTCTCTAAAGGCAAGGATAAATGAATCCTCATTCGAAAATATATAATTGAGTGAATACTTAACTAAATAGGTGAAGTTATTCCAAATTTTTCTTTTTTTTTAATCCTGTATGTAAAAGAGTAATTCATCCACTGAAGGATAAGTTAAATAGCCCAGTACCCCAATCACACCTAGGCATGAAACACAATAGTACCATCTAAAATGAAATGATAATTTACAATCAGTAAGTGAAGAAAGGTATACTAGTAAAATATCTATTGGAAATATTAATATTCAACAAAATGTAACATAATCCAAAAAGTTTTAGAAATAAAAACTAAAATTTTGTGTTTTAATGAAGTTGTAAGGGCTGGGCATGAAGGGATTTGCAGGCTGAGCGGGGAGGATCACTTGAGCCCAGGAGTTCAAGACCAGCCAGGGCAAATAGTGAGACTCATCTTTATTTATTTTTTTAAAAAAAGAAGGTATTAAAGATGACTGGGAAAAATCACTGTATGAAAAACCGAGGAAGAAGGAATTAGGGCTCCCGAATGGGGTGAAGACCCACATGCAGAATGTCTCTGAGCCCTGAGAGTGGAGCAGTGTGTTCAGGATCCTGAGCCTGTGGAACCAACATTCTCTGAGATGTGAGTCTATGGAATGTGTGTTATAAGACCTGCCTTTTGTTAGTATAATCCAGCAAAAGCCCATGGGCGAGGACCCAGTTTTATTTTAGGGAATGTGGGGACAGTATATTTTCTATTTGTGTTTATGCAAATTTCATATTGCTGATCAGTCATGCAGAAGGCGGAGGTCAGTGTGTTCACAGGATTCGTACCCGAGAGTCTGGAGACACATGTGGGGGTCCATGGGAAAGGCTGGTGGCCGGGTATGGTGGGAAGGTAATCAGCGACAGATGCCAGAGTCTCCTGCTTGATCTTGCCGAAATCTGGCTCAAATGTTTGGCCTGGCACAACCAAACTAGAACTTGGAAGACGCTGTATAGGTAAAACATAATATTGTAATCATTCATATTCTGTTAAGGCTTTGAAAATGTCCTTAATAAGATTTCTTTATCCTGGAAGGTAGATGGCAAATGATAACATTTCTTTATTCTAGAGGGTAGATGGCAAACGATAAGATTTCTTTATTCTAGAGGTTAGATGGTGAATGATATGATTTCTTTATTCTAGAGGGTAGATGGTGAATGATAACATTTCTCTATTCTAGAGGGTAGATGGTGAATGATAAGATGTCTTTATTCTAGAGGGTAACTGGCGAACGATAAGATTTCTTTACTCTAGAGGGTAGACGGCAAATGATAAGATTTGTTTACTCTAGAGGGTAGATGGTGAATGATAAGATTTCTTTATTCTAGAGAGTAGATTGTGAATATTTGGTCCTTCATGTTTTCTCAGGATCCTCCCTCCAAACATTCTATCCTATACAGCAAAGCTTTACATCCTTCAAACACAACAGTCGTCTTGGACCTAGATATGTTGAACTCTTTAATGCTAGGACTCAAGTCCTCTTGCTGTTTGGGACAATTCAGAAAAGAATCAGCCCCAGTCATTTTGCATACTTCTGTCTGACTGTCATAGGTGAGTAGAAAGAAACAGCTCAACTGCTTGACAAGATTCATCGACCTGAGGTCTTGTCTGCAGCTGGATTTCTATCCTACTTCCGTGATTTTCCTTTCGTGGATCACCAACACACTGCAAATGCCTATCATTGCTTTTGACGTGGTGTACTTTGGTTCTGCCTGGAAAGGCAGGAAGTCTCGAAGTGAGGAGCTCACAGGTCAAAGGAGATTGAAATGTTTTCAGACAGAATAGGCAAATCCGTAGAGACAGAAAGCACACTTGTGGTTAGCAGGTGCTGGAGGGAAGAGGGAATGGGGAGTGGCTGCTGAATGGGTGTAGGATGATGACAATGTGTGGAACAGGATGGCAGTGATGGTTACACAGTGATCTGAGGAGAAGATACACAGGTAGCATCTGAGAAGGAGGGAAGGGCTTGTAGGGTTTGGAGAGGGTGTCAGGGCATCAGGGTGGATTTATCTTTTCCTGGTTGAAATCTGATACTCTCCCATTGATTTAGTTACTGAAGCACGTTTGGAACTCTGAACTGAAGAGATGGAGGCTCAATAAAGCACACCAGGGAGTATGGCAATGAGGAATAAAGAAGACTGTGTTACACACCATGGACCAGAGCACACAGATGTGCAGAGGTGTGGATCCAGCCCTGCCATGTGGGATGTAGCCTCATGTCTAGGGGTGGGAAAAGAAGGGGATCCAACCAAGGGAAGTCAACATTAATAGAGAGGAAAGGTATCACATGTTAATGGTCCTCCATGGATCACCCTGCAAAATATCTCTGCAATCCAACACTGATTCCTCCTTCTAGAAATTATCAGCAGACAGTCCAGATAGCATTGGCCCTAAATTGTCTCCCGGAACCTCCTGGGATCACCATATCTATTCCCAAGGTTTCACCACTCTGAGAGATGCATTGTCCTCTCTGCTGTTCACCTCCTAGCTGCATCTTAGGGGCTTCTCTGGCTGTGCTGAGCCTCAAATAACAGAATCCTGAGGACCACCAGGATCAAGCCAGCCTTGCCCATGTGGATGAGATTCTCCACTGTGTAATCCTGGGGGTGTGAGGTTGGGGATGGTGGGCAAAGAGACCACAGAGGTCAGGGCAGATCAACATCACCCAGGACCTCTGGATGTCCACCCAGGGCACCCACCTCCCCTTCACAGGACCTGACCCTCTGTGCCAGCCCCATAACTGAAAGCATCTCCTCACGCACCAGTCTTGGGGTCTGAATTGTTTTGTGATGGGCTGAGGGTATCAGCTGCTCCTGAGAATCAAAGCAAAGGAGAAGTACCCTGAGCCAGCCTCTCCCATGGGCTCGGCATTCTTATCTTCCCCTGTCTCCTGACATGAGTTCTAAGGAGTTCCTTAGTAAACTCTTCCTCTGTAGCAGTGTTCGTTCCGTTCTTCTTAATGAATTATTTCAGCTTTCCTGCTTTCTACAAATCCAAATGTTGCTCTTGAGTCATTTGGGGGAGAGTTTTCCTTCACCCTGAGGGCTCAGGATCTGCAAGGAAAGTGGTCCCCAGTACAGAGGTCACTGAGCCCTGTGTGCTGTCTGTGCAGCCTGGGACACGGGAGCACATGAGCCAATTCCCCCGGAGATGAGAGTTTCACGGATCCACCAGCTGAGGACCCAGGCTCCCTGGATGAGGGGTTGGTCCTCAGGGGCTCCCGAATGTCAGAAGCACAAAGCGGTGAAAGTCTGGGGCTGCCTCCCCTTCACCTGGGTTTTCATTGTCCAATTAATCTAATTAACTAATTCTTCATATAATCAGGAAAACCTAGAATGATGTGATACCTTCCCCCCGGCCCCCATCCAAAAATATCTGTCTGCTAAATAGTGGTGCTATTAGAGGTTCATAAATCAGTATTTCTGCTTTTACAAAGTGTGAATCTAGGTGAATCTAGACCAGTAACAAACATGTAAACTCCTACCACATCAAATGTCTTATTTATTTATTTATTATTTTTATTATTTATTTATTTATTTATTGAGGCAGAGTCTTGCTCTGTTGCTCAGGCTGGAGTGCAGTGGTGTGATCTCGGCTCACTGCAAGCTCCGTCTCCTGGGTTCAAGCAATTCTCCTGCCCCAGCATCCCGAGTAGCTGGGATTACAGGTGCACGCCGCCACGCCCAGCTACTTTTTTTGTATCTTTAGTAGAGATGGCGGTTTCACCATGTTGGCCAGGCTGGTGTCGAACTCCTGACCTCATGATCCTCCCACCTCGGCCTCCCAAAGTGCTGAGATTGTAGGCATGAGCCACTGTGCCCGGCCTATTTTTATTTTTATTGAGATGGAGTCTCACTCTGTCGCACAGGTTGGAGTGCAGTGGCACTATCTCGGTTCATTGCAACCTCTGCCGCCCGGGTTCAAGTGATTCTTGTGCTTCAGCCTCCCTAGTATCTGGGACTACAGGGCCGCACCACCATGCCTGGCTAATTTTTTTTTGTATTTTTAGTAGAGATGGGCTTTTACCATGTTGGCCAGGCTGGTATCAAACTCCTGACCTCAGGTGATCTGCCCGCCTTGGCCTCCCAAAGTGCTGGGATTACAGGCATGAGTCACTGCGCCTGGCCATCAAATATATTAAGAATATGGATATATTTATCAAGTGAACTTGGAAATACTTACACACATATTCAAATGTAACTTATATAACCACACATAAATATGTATAGATGTAAAACTTTAGATATTTAAGATGTAGTTACATACATATTGATATTTGAAGTGAGAAATATTGGCAAGCAATATAGAAATAAGTAAAATCTCCATTGTCTCATGGTTTGTATACATTTCATCAGGAAATTAGAGGAGATCCATAGAAAAGCAATTAGAATGGGGTAATTTGGTAGTGAGTTAGCATGAAATACAATGAATATACTCAAACGAGTAGCTTTCTCATGGATAATTATCTTTTATTTTTAAAATATGAAAGAATAAAGTACTTCACATATACATTGTTAAAGGTGTTGAATAATTCTTCAAGTTGGAATGAATATAATTCTTCAAATGTCCACCCAGGACACCCAGCTCCTCTTGACAGGACCTGACCCTCTGTGCCCAGCGTCATCACGGCAAGCATCTCCTCACTCACCAGCCTTGGAGTCGGACTTGTTTTGTGGTGGGCTGAGGGTCTCAGCTGCTCCTGAGAATCAAAACAGAGGAGAAGAGACATATTCAGAGGTAACTCATATGACAAATTATTCAACACCTTTGACAACTTATAAGTGAAGTATTTGATTCCTTTATATTTTTTAAACAAGAGGTAAGTACCCATGAGAAAGCTACTGGTTTGGGTATATTCATTGTATTTCATATTAACTTATTACCAAATTGCCCTCTTCTGATTTAAATTTAAATTAACAATTTTAAAGCATCTCTTTTTCCTATAAAAGAGGTTTAGTTAGATGTCAGAATTATCCAGTGATTGGACAACATTGGACATGAACCCCCCAGGCCCAGAGCTGGGCTGCACTGTAGCCCCCGCTGACCTCCCCCGGGTTTCCCATGCCACAGGGAGCCGCCCAGTCAGTTTCCCTCGGGCCACTGTGCTTTAAAACATCCAAACACAGCCGGGCGCGGTGGCTCACGCCTATAATCTCAGCACTTTGGGAGGCTGAGGCGGGCACATCACAAGGTCAGGAGATCGAGACCATCATGGTTAACACAGTGAAACCCTGTCTCTACTAAAAATATAAAAAATTAGCCGGGCGTGGTGGCGGGCGCCTGTAGTCCCAGCTACTCGGGAGGCTGAGGCAGGAGAATGGCGTGAACCCGGGAGATGGAGGTTGCAGTGAGCCGAGATCGCGCCACTGCACTCCAGCCTGGGAGACAGAGCGAGACTCCGTCTCAAAAAAAAAACAAAAAAAAAGAAAGACAGCAGATTCTAAAACAGTGGAGATGGAGGTTGCAGTGAACCGAGATTGTCCCATTGCATTCCAGCCTGGACAACACTGTGAGACTCCATCTCAAAAAAAAAAAAAAAGTTTTGAGTGGGGTGTGGAATAGGGGAAGGCTCTGCAACAGATCCAGGTCCTGCACAAGCTCTTCTGCCACCTGGGCCATATGATCCAGTGGAACAGATGGTGCTTGAAGTGTCAGTGGCAGATCGAGATGCTGTTTGGAGGTTTTGACAAGCTCCTTCCTATAGGTGAATTGGGGCTTAGACACTTAGGATTGTGGAGCAAAATCCTATCATCATTCACAGATAGCTAGTCTCCTTTTGAAAAACATATATTTTTTTTTGCCGGGCACAGTGGCTCATGCCTGTAATCCCAGCACTTTGGGAGACCAAGGTGGGCAGATCACCTGAGGTCAGGAGTTCGAGACCAGCCCGGCCAACATGGTGAAACCCTGTCTCCACTAAAAATAAAAAAATTAGCCGGGCATGGTGGCACCTGCCTGTAATCCCAGCTACTTGGGAGGCTGAGGCAGGAGAGTCGCTTGAACCCAGGAGGCGGAGATTGCAGTGAGCCGAGATCATGCCACTGCACTCTAGCCTGTGCAAGAAGGGTGAGACTCCATCTCAAAAAAAAAAAAAAAAGGAAAATATTATATTTTTTTCCATTATTGAGCCTTAGGAGAGACTGGATGCTTGGGCACAGGTCACCAAGGTACCATGAAATGTGAAGTGTGTGTTAGCCGATGCAAGCTGTATAATAAGATCATGTCCACTCAGGCCCTGAAAGTGTGAGCAATTTACACAAAGCAGGGGGCCAAATGCCCATGGTTCCTGTCCCTGCTACACAACCTTCTGCCTTCCAGCCTGCACCTATAATCTCATGGGGATTTCTCTATGCTCCGTTGACAGAGAAAGTGAAGACTCAAGCCTGGTTTGCAGATGGTTCTGCACGATATGCAGACGCCACCCAGAGGTTGAGAGCTTCAGCACTTCTGCCCCTTTATGGGACATCCCTAAAAGACAGTAAAGTCAGGGCGCAAGTGACCCCCTTCCTGAGGACAGAGCCTGCGGCTGGGCGCCTTGAGTGTCCTCTCACCTGTCACCACCAGCACCAGGGGGGTCACTGTGCCCTGACCGGCCTGTGGCACTTTGATAATAACAGTGACAGTTCTCTGCATTGTGCTCTGGCTTGTGTGAGATATGGGTCCTGGTCTTGTTCCCAGGCCCCAGTGGTTTCCTTAATGTTCTGTGACACTGAGCTTCCCTCTTTATCCAGCTGGTGCTCTTGGGGCTCCAGGGTACCCTGACACCAGGTGGTCACAGGCCTCCTCCCAGGGATCACACAGTCTGGCTCAGTCCAGGTGGTGGGTTTAGTGAGGAGCCTTGAAATGAAATCACAGGTTGGGTCCCAAGATACTAATGCATTCCTCAAATCCCAGCTGTCAGTCCCAAGACCCGCCCAGATGTCCCCATCAGTCAGCTCAGAGATGCTGTTCTCCATCCCCAGGTGGCTGGGGGTGGCCCGTTGTCCCCAGTGAGCAGGAGCGACCTGGGACTGCTGGGGACAGACTCACCTGCCTGCACATGGGTCCTGAAGCTCAGACTCAGCCCTGGAAGAGAGTTCCCTGTGAGAGATTTGCCCCTGAAGCCTGAGCAGGTCCTCCCCTGCCTGGGAGCATCCTGACCCCTGAGATTTCCTGATAGACCAGGGCTTGGCTGTGGAGTGAAGTCCCTTCAAGACTAGGGTGCCCCTTCTCCTCTTGAAATCTCACCAAGTCAGAGTAGGGTTGTGAGGGTGGGAGTCACGGCATCTCCTCCCACTGGCCCCAGCTGTACAGATGGATGAAACCATGGTGTCCAGGAGGACAGACAGACACACTCAAAGGCTGGGTTCTCCCTGTCATGGGGTTGTCCCATCAGCAGCCCCACAGGAAGGGGAACTGCAGAAGCCTGGCTCTCATTTCCCCAGGGCTGAGGTGGGAGTGAGCACCAGGTTTCCTGAAGACATTTCAGACAGAAATGGGCTCCCCCTGATCCTTGGCTACTGGCTGCAGGATCTTTCCTCATCTTATTGAGGGCTAGGATGTAGTAGAAAAATGGGCCCAGGGCCTCCCTGAGTGAGCCTCTTCCAGGTGAGGGTAACTGAGGGCTTCTCTTCCCCTCTCAGAGCCTCCACATGGGGTCTCCTTTACTCCTTCATCCTGTCTATCAGCACGGGGTTGTGGGGTCCTTACCATGGCCAGTCATCTCATCCGTCGTGGAGATGCTTCAGGGAAAATGCAGGTCCATGGTGCAGGGCAGACTCAGGTCAGCAGAGACGCATCTGACATCAGGCTGTGTAGTTCAAGTTGAGCTGCACTGTGGCAATGAGCGCAATGGAGAAACACAGGAAATATGGGTAGAGAACACGACCTGTATCCAACACTGCCAGTTTGCTCTATCAACCCGTGCCCTCCATGGACTTTCCCTTTCTCTTAGCAGCAGTATCCACCTTCGTCTCCTTGGAAACAGACTTGTGATCCACTCCTGAGTCTTCAGTGTCCTTTGTTTCCCTGAGGGGAACTCACCTGTTGGGATGGGGAGCTGATTTTTACTTAATGATTGCTCATTATCTGCTGCCCATGTGACCTTGAGCCTTCACAACCCCTTCTCTGAGCCTCAGTTTCCTTGTGTGGAGCAAGTTGTTACACACCCCACTCATCAGAGGGGTCGTGGGGGTCGGCGGTGACTGGGACTTCGAAGGAGCTCAATGATGGTTAATTCCCAGGACAGAGTAAGACATAGGGTTGTAAATTTGAGAAAATCAGGGTGTTGGACAATTGACGCTCCCACCCAAGAATCCTCATCTACCCTGAGCACTAAGAAATTGTACATATAATATTGCTTAAATACACAGATTATCACAGTCATGAGTAGAAATCCTTCCTTCCTTCTTCCTTCCTTCCTTCCTTCCTTCCTTCCTTCCTTCCTTCCTTCCTTCTTCCTTCCTTCCTTCCTTCCTTCCTTCCTTCCTTCCTTCCTTCCTTCCTCCCTCCCTCCCTCCCTCCCTCACTCCCCCCCCCTTTCTTTCTTTCTTTCTTTCTTTCTTCTTTCCTTTTTTTTTTTTTTTTGACAGAGTCTCACTCTGTTGCCCAGGCTGGAGTGCAGTGGCACAATCTTGGCTCACTGCAACCACCATCTCCTGGGTTCAAGTGATTCTCCTGCCTCAGCTTCCTGAGTAGCTGGGACTACAGGGGCATGCCACCGCACCTGGCTAATTTCTTTTGTATTTTAGTAGAGATGGGGTTTCTCCATGTTGCCCAGGTTGGTCTTGAACTCCTGAGCTCAGGCAATCCGCCCGCCTCGCCCTCCCAAAGTGCTAGGATTACAGGCGTGAGCAACCACGCCCAGTCGAAGGACTAGTTTTTAATTCCGGTTCTGGCTGTCTGGTTGGTTTTGGTTTTCCTCATGTATGTTTGCTGAGAGGATCTATGTAGTTGCCTGTGATGCCCGTTAATCCAAAATTGCCACCTCACTTTCATCAGTAGGTGGTATCTTAGGCCATCGTTATATAAGAGTAACTTTTTTTTCACTTTTTGGAAAATATTTTATTTGCCAAAATACATTTGAGAAAAATAATGTTGATTATACAAGCGGATAAAGCAATTGTCATATATATATACACACATACACACACACATATATACATCTATACATATACACATATATATACATATACACACATATATACGCATATATACATATATACACACACATATATACATATATATATGTATACACGCACACACACAAATATATATACACTGTGGAATACTACTCAGCCATAAGAGGGAACAAAATAATGGCATTCATAGTGACCTGGATGAAATTGGAGACTATTATTCTAAGTGAAGAAATTCAGGAATGAAAAACCAAATATTTTATGTTCTCATTCCTAAGTGGGAGCTAAGCTATGAGGATGCAAAGGCATAAGAATGCTACAATGGACTTTGGGGACTCGGGGGAAAGGGAGGGAGGAGGTGAGGGATAAAAGACTATAAATCGGGTTTAATGTATACTACTAGGGTGATGGGTGCACAAAAATCTCAGAAATCATCACTAAAGAACTTCTGCAAGTAACCAAACACCACGTTCCCCAAAAACCTATGGAAATAAGAAAGAAAATAAAAGAAAAATGATGTTGGTTATAAGTTGTGCAAACCTGTGTCTTAACTTGTTCATTCCACCAGCATAAAATGCAGCAACACATGTGCAGTGTTGGCCCCAGGCAAATCTGCTTGAGACTCAATGTTCAAGATTGTTATTAGGTGGGGACCACATAGGCATAATGAGCAGCTACAGAGAAACCAGAGGAAACCGGGTGTTCGCCATGAATTACACTGTTTACAGAAACAGCCTAGTGAAGACATAACAGCAGAATTCAGTGCCGCAGGCACACAACCTCACGTTGTCTCTTAGTAACACAGGGGACATGCTAGAAGCAAGTTCCTAGATGCCAACCAAGAATCAAGCTCACAAACAAGTCCTTCTAAAGTTAGCATCCTCATCACTGTTAGGTTAACTTCTTCTTGCATATCCTTCACCTAAAAGAAATAGTAGTCATCTTCAATCCTTCAGCACAGCGTTCACACAGCACGTGCCTCCAGCTCTCCCAGATTCTTCTAGGGCCAGCACAGCTTTTCTGATGCAGATTTTTCAAAGTTCTCCAAACTGAAGAGTCAATCCAAAATCATCTTGACTTTCCATGTTGGCGGCCTTTGGGGGCCTTCTCTGGCTGTGCTGAGCCTGAAAGATCATCCCCTAGAGACCGCCAGGATCAAGCCAGCATGGTCATTGGAATGAGATTCTCCATTGCATAGTCTGAAGGGGCATGGTCAGTAGACAGAACAGGGCATTCACTGGGGGCTAGACAGGCTGCACCCACATTGGGAGCCTGGATGGGTGTTTACACATTCACACTCCTGAAAGAGAAGTCGTAGTTACTCCTGACTTTGAAACTATACTTGGTGGATGCTGGTTGAGAGGATCAAGGACTCCTACGAATAAGAGCATGGGAGGATTAGAGCAGCTGGGGCCATTCTACTCCTGCTCCCCTGTCTTGGCTCCTTCATAACAACTCTCTTCCCTCTTTTTTTTTTTTTTTTTTTTTTTTTTTTGAGATGGAGTCTTGCTCCATTGCCCAGGCTGGAGTGCAGTGGTGCAATCTCAGCTCACTGCAACATCTGCCTCCCAGGTTCAAGCAATTCTTCTGTCTCAGCCTCCAGAGTAGTTGGGACTACAGGGGCCTGCCACCATGCCTGGCTAATTTTTGTATTTTTAGTAGAGACAGTGTTTCACCTTGTTGGTCAAGCTGGTCTCGAACTCCTGACCTCAGATGATCCACCTGCCTTGGACTCCCAAAGTGCTGGGGCCACCGCGCCTGGACCTCTCTTCCCTTCTCATGGGAGAATTGTGTAACCATCCTTGCTAACCTCAACTCCCACCTCAGATGGAGCACTGTATGATTTCCTTCCTCAAATTTGTTCAAGTTCTTGGGCCTCATTGAGGTCACCACCAACCTCTCGGTTTGGGGGATATTAAGAGTTTAGTTTTGCAACCACAACTCAGTGACAGAAAAAAGGAATTCAAAGATACAGGAATACTTAACTGTGCTCCTTTCTCATCTTCAATTTGTTCCCATATTAGGTAAACCCGTGCTTAACCCCTTAAGGTAAATACCTCTAGTAACTCTTCATCTGTCAATACAGAATTCAGAGATGCGTATGTGGGACTCTAGATTGTACCAGAGTCCAGGGTACAACAGAGCTAAAGGCTGTCACTGCCTTTTCTATTGTTCTGCCTCATCTAATTATCTCTGTGGTCCAGTGTAGCTTAATACTACTACTATTAAAAGTAATAATCACTGCCTCACTTTTAATGATTGGGTCCACTCATCTGTCCTGTTTTGCGATGAATGAGAGAATGATTTTAGAATCCAAGCCTTTTTTTTTTTTTTGAGACAGAGTTTTGCTCTTGTTGTCCAGGCTGGAGTGCAATGGTGCAATCTCGGCTCACCGCAACCTCTGCCTCCGATTCAAGCGATTCTCCTCCCTCAGCCTCCTGAGTAGCTGGGATTACAGGCATGCACAACTACACCTGGCTAATACTGTATTTTTAGTAGAGACAGTGTTTCTCTATGTTGGTCAGGCTGGTCTCGAACTCTTGACCTCAGGTGATCCACCCACCTCGGCCTCCCAAAGTGCTAGGATTACAGGTGTGAGCCACCATGCCGGGCCGCATCCAAGCCTCTTTTCCAGGAGCAAGAAATACTACAGTGAAAAAAATCTCCCATTGTTAATTCAATGTAGAAACTCATGAGAAAAAAGCAAAAAATTTTAAGGAGATAAATTAGAAAACAACATGTGCAGATGGATACATGGACAAAAAAATTAAGCTACCTAGAGATCTCGAATGTGTGTCAACCTAATACAAGGACTATTAGAGAATACAGGTGGGCAAGAATCACTTAACCCACTTTGTCATGGAAAATGTCTTTGAGGATGTGACAGGTTTGGAAAAATGAAAAAATGACAAAGTGGTCATTATATGAAGATCCAGAAAAATAATATTATTCAATATAGGATCAGCTGATTGAAGTATTCAACAAATATGCAGAAAGTTTCCTAGTGTGGACAAGACTTATTTGATTATGAGGAAATTTAATAAGTGCTGTGAAGTAACATAGATCTGTATTCACAGATGTGCAATAAATTAAGTAAAAATCAATAAAGACATAAAATGAGAAAAAAACCTATCTACAATAAAACCATCAATCTCAAATCATTGGATGGAGAGAAATATACATATACAGAATACTCTCTGAGAATAACTAGAATAAGGAGATATGTGGCCGGGTGCAGTGGCTCACACCTGTAATCCCAGCACTTTGGGAGGTCGAGGTGGGTGGATCACTTGAGGTCAGGAGTTCAAGACCAGCCTGACCAACATGGTGAAACCCCGTCTCTACTAAAAATACAAAATTAGCCGGAAATGGTGGTGCATGCCTGTAATCCCAGCTACTCAAGAGGCTGAGGCAGGAGAATCGCTTGAGCCTGGGAGGCGGAGGTTGCAGTGAGCAGAGATCACGCCACTGTACAGGAAGTTTCAAACCCAGGAGAGGTTATCTTTCAAGTACTCAGTGTTGTGGTTTCTCCTGCCAGGGTGACAACCTGATGATTATGGAAATCTAATCAGAAAACTGCTATCTTGCTTTTATTCCTACCTCCACAGGATGAAAACAGTTAATGGTAGAGACAAAATATGTCCAGAGTAGACAGGAGTCACAGAAAAAGTGAATTCTGATACGTTCTTTCCCAGGAAGTTACTGGTACAGAAGTTTAGAACTGAGATACCTTTTGGAAACAAGGATGGCATTCTGCCTTTGATGGATGGAAGAGTACTATCCCAGATTTAGATAGAGTTTGCTAAAGGCGTCTATCTTAGAGTGGCTGAGCCATCTCCACTTCAAGCTATGACTTTCTGTGAATTACCCACCCACTTGTCCTTCACAATAAGAGCTTACCCACCCACTTGTCCTACAGAATAAGAGGGACCTTTTAGTCTGCTCTTCTGATTGCGGACCTGATTCCACAGGTGCCTGGGGCATCTTTGCAATCCCTAGGAATCAGCACCATGGACAGGGGCAAGGAATAGGGTCCACTCCTCTCTCCACTTCAGCTGGACCTCTTGTTCGTTTTCTTTCTTTCTTTCTTTCTTTCTTTCTTTCTTTCTTTCTTTCTTTCTTTCTTTCTTTCTTTCTTTCTTTTCTCTCTTTCTCTCTTTTTCTTTCTTTTCTCTCTCTCCTCTTCTTTTCTTTCTTTCTTTCTTTCTCTTTCTTTCTCTCCTTCTTCCCTTCTTTCTTTCTTTCTTTCTTTCTTTCTCTTCCTTCCTTCCAACTTTTATTTCAGACACAGGGAGTACAAGTACAAATTTCTTACATGGGAATATTGCTTGATGCTGAGGTTTGGAGTACGGATCACATCCCCCAACTAGTGAGCATAATACCCAATAAGTAGTTTTTAACCCTCTTCCACCCTCTAGTAATCCACAGTGTCTATTTTTCCTATCCTTATGCTCATCTTTTTCTTTACACATTTCACCTCATACTGACCACCCAGCAGGAACAAAATACCTCAATGCTGCTTGGAAAATAAGGCTCCCTCCCTTCATCTCTACCTTTCTTCCCAGGCTCTCTGGAAACAACCTCTTCTGTAAAGACTTCAAGGGCAGAAGAATAAGCTGAGAAACTCAGCCCAGAGCTGCCGGAGACTGTGACTCCTGTAGTCTGTGAGGACCTTGTTGCTCAGCCAACATGAAGTGAGTCCATGAGGGTGAGGAGCTGCAGATCCCACAGACTGTTTGGGGCAGGGACAGAAGGAGTAGGTGGGGTTGTGGTGCCTCTTGCTCTGTTCCTCAGCTTCATCTCTTTTGCTCAAAGGTTGGCCCCCTACCTTTTCAAATCTTCTCATTCCACTCACCCAGCACCTTCTGTGACCCCCGAGTAGGGTAAGGCATGGAGAGTGAGAATGACCCCCACTTTCATGAATTTCTTCATCCCTTTCTGAGATGGGATTGCCCTATGACTGGTCCCTGCTGTTTTTCCTTCCTTCTATCCCAGGCCGGGGCTCTCCTAGCACAGGGATGCATGCTAAGGTTTAGAATCTTAACGGATGTGGTGCTTGGAGCTCCTGTACTGAGACCAAAATCTTTAGGGGTCACTGGGGTGTGACAATAGGGGTAAGGAGGAACTATGTGGACCACAGCACTAGTAGGTCCCCCTGTGGGCTGAAGTCAGAGGGCTTGGAGTAAACTTGGCCTGAGAGAGTAAGGCCATGTCTTTCAATCGATGGTTTTGGGGAGGCACAAGTGACCGGTCCTTGGACAGACAGAAGGTACCCAACCAGATCTCTGAGTAGCACTGCAAGGTCAAGTTCTCTCCCGAGGACACTAAGGGCCCTGGCTCAGACAAATGGAGGGTTTCTTGTACATTTCTAGGAAATATGAAGGTTGCAGTGTGTACAAAGCAGCCCCTTCCCACATGTCCTGGACCCCGAACTGAGGGACTGGCCTCCTCTCTCTCAGCTCCTGTTAGACTCTTGGTGTGGGTCTTTGTAATCTCCAGGCCTCTCACTCTCCTTTTCTAAGTTGCTCTCCTTGGACCACTGCCTCATCGCATCCTCTACTCTAGGACCCTCTCCCTGGACCCTCAACCCAGGGATGACCCTGGTCCCAGGACCCTGAGCATATAATCAAGACAGGGGGCTAGGCCAGGCGCAGTGGCTCACCCCTGTAATCCCAGCACTTTGGGAGGCCGAGGTGGGCAGATCACGAGGTCAGGAGATCGAGACTATCCTGGCCAACATGGTGAAACCCAGTCACTACAGGCCAGGTGCGGTGGCTCACACCTTTAATCCCAGCACTTTGGGAGGCTGTGGCGGGCAGATCACGAGGTCAGGAGATCGAGACTATCCTGGCCAACATGGTGAAACCCTGTCACTACTAAAAATACAAAAATTAGCTTGGCATGGTGGCATGCGCCTGTAGTCCCAGCTACTTGGGAGGCTGAGGAAGAAGAATTGCTTGAACTCGGGAGGTGGAGGTTGCAGTGAGCCGACATAGTGCCACTACACTCCAGCCTGGGTGACAAAGCGAGACTCCGTCTCAAAAAAAAAAAAAGAGCGAATGGGGCTTGAAGGCTACAGACAAGAGGTTAGGACGCCATTTTGGATTTATCTTTTCCTGGAGGGCATCTGATCTTCTCCCATGGATTTAGTTACTGGTTCAGGTGTGGAACTCTGAACTGAAGAGATGGAGGCTCAGTAAAGCACACAGGGAGTGTGATAATGAGAATTGAAGTGGACTGTGTGACACGCCAAGGACCAGAGCATGCAGGTGTGCAGAGATGTGGACCCAACGCTGCCTGCCATGTGGGATGTAGCCTCATGTCTCGGGCTGGGAAGAGAAGGGAATCCAACCAAGGGAAGTCAACATTAATAGAAAGGAAAGGTGTCACATTTTAATGGTCCTCCATGGATCACCCCAGACCAGTGTCTCTGCACTCAAACACCCATTCCTCCCTCTAGAAATTGCCAGAGGCTGAGGCAGGAGAATCACTTGAACCCGAGAGGCGGAGGTTGCAGTGAGCCCAGATTGCGCCACTGCATTCCAGCCTGGTGACAGAGCAAGACTCCATCTCAAAAAAAAAAAAAAAAAAAAAAAAGAAAGAAAAGAAAAGAAAGAAAAAAAGAAATTGCCAGCAGACAGTCCAGATGGCATAGGCCTCAGATGGTCTTCCCGAACCTCCTAGGACCATCAGATTCGCTTCCAAGGCTCCAGCATTCAATGGTGCATTGTTCTCTCTTCTGTTCACCTTCCAGCTGCAGCTTGGGGGCTTCTCTGGCTGTGCCAATCCTGAAATATCAGAATCCCAAGGACCACCAGGATCAAGCCGGCCATGCCCATGCGGATGAGATTCTCTACTGCGTAATCCTGAAGGTGTGAGGCTGGGGATGGTGGACAAAGAGGTCACAGAGGTCAGGGCAGATCAGTATCACCCAGGACCCCTGGATGTCTCCCCAGGGCACCCATATCATCTTGACAGGACCTGACCCTCTGTGCCAGTTCCATAACTGAGAGCATCTCCTCACTCACCAGTCCCAGAGTCAGACTTGTTTTGTGACGGACTGAGGTTATCAGCTGCTCCTGAAAATCAAAACAGGGGAAGGGGAAGGAGAAGTTCTTGAAGCAATCTGAGCCCAGCCTCTCCCCTGAGCTCTGCATTCTCCTAGTTCCCTGTGCCTCTCAACATGACTTTTATGGAGTTCCTCCATAAACCCTCCCTCTGCTGGAGCAGGGTTCCCTCCAGTCTCCTCACTGAATTATTTCAGCTTTCCTTTGTTCTTTGAATTTAAACTTTGCTCCTGAGTCATTTGGGAAAGAGCTTTCCTGCACCGTGAAAGCTCAGGATCTGCAAGGAAAGTGGCCCCCAGAAGTCACTGAGCCCTTTGTGCTCTCTGTGCAGCCTGGGACACAGGAGCACATAAGCCAATTCCCCCAGAGATGAGAGTTTCACGGATCCACCAGCTGAGGACCCAGGCTCCATGGATGACGGGTTGGTCCTCAGGGGCTCCTGAAAGTCAGAATCACAAACAGCTGCCTCCCCTTGACGCCACCTCAACCACCTCACCTGGTGTTTCATCATACAATAAGTCTCTAGTCAGCTAACTATTCATATAGTCAGTCATATATATATACGTATGTATATAAATGTGTGTGTGTGTGTGTGTGTGTATATATATGTATATATAAATATATATATATATATATATATATATATATATATATATATATATATATATATATGGTGTTACAGAGGCTCATAAAACAATTTCTGCTTTTAGGGCCAGGCGTGGTGGCTCATGCCTGTAATCCCAGCACTTTGGGAGGCCAAGGCGGGCAGATCACGAGGTTAGGAGTTCGAGACCAGCCTGGCCAACATGGTGAAACCCCGTCTCTACTAAAAATAAAAAAATGAGCCGGGCATGGTGGCACCTGCCTGTAATCCCAGCTACTTGGGAGGCTGAGACAGGAGAATCACTTGAACCTGGGAGGCAGAGGTTGCAGTGAGCCCAGGTCATGCCATTGCACTCCAGCTTGGGCAACAGGGCAAGAGACTCCATCTCAAACAAACAAACAAAAATTTCTGCTTTTATAAAGTGTGAGTCTAGGTGAGAAGACCAATAACAAACATGTAAAAGCCCTCCATGTCAAATACATTAAGCATGTAGATATACGTATAAAAAATATATGCAGATATACCTACACTTATATTCAGATGTAACTTATATAACCATACATAAATATGTATATATGTAAAACTTTAGATATTTATTTAAGATGCAGTTACATGCATATTAATACTTGAAGTGACAAAAATTGATATGCGGTTTAGAAATAAAAAATAAAATTTCAATTTTCTTATAGTTAATATAAATTTTATCAGTAAATTTGGGGAGATCAGTTGAAAGATAATTGAAAGGGAAAAATGTTATAGCAAGCTAAAATGAAATTAAATGAATATACTCAAACTAAAAGCTTTCTCATGTGTATATCTTACTTAGAAATATAAATGAATCAGGCTGGGCATGGTGGCTCACGCCTGTAATCCCAGCACTTTGGGAGGCCTAGGTGGGTGGATCACGAGGTCAGGAGATCGAGACCATCCTGGCTAACACAGTGAAACCCCATCTCTACTAAAAATACAAAAAAATTAGCCCGGCATGGTGGTGGGTGCCTGTAGTCCCAGCTACTCGGGAGGCTGAGGCAGGACAATGGCGTGAACCCAGGAGGCGGAGCTTGCAGTGAGCCGAGATCGCGCCACTGCACTCCAGGCTGGGCGACAGAGCAAGACTCCATCTCAAAAACAAAAACAAACAAACAAACAAAAGAAATATACATGAATCAAATACTTCACTTAAGAATAAAGTAGTTGAAGAATTTTTTAAATTAGACTAAATGTACACATTCTTATGAACGGAACTTGAAAACACTTATTAACTTCATTAATAAACTTCAATTTTATATATTAATAATAGAAATACTTGCTATTAACAACTAATTTTATACAGCAAATGTAAATATTGAATTATGCCCCCAGGACAATGGGAGTGGAATTACTTGTTTTTAAATCATAAATCCATATATCTTAAAGAGACAAATTTAAATATTCAAATATTGTTTTAAAAGATTCAGAAGAAGAGAGAAAAAATAAACAAGTATGCCCAGAAAATGCAGAGCAGCAATGAACAGCAGACAAGACGTGCTGTGAATAAGTTCCTAACTTCCTCCAGGGAGCAGGTGCGCGGCCCCTCCTTTGTCTCAGGGGTGCCCTGAGCACAGAGGCCTCCAGGTGAGCACAGGAGGGGCGGTGTGAGTGGTACCCACAGCTGGGGCGCTTCTCTCTAAAGGAGCAGGTCTGGCGTGGACTCCAGCCTCATCACCGTCAGATCCCACCGAGGCCTGAGCAGCCTCCTCCCCTGTCCTGAGTGGGCTCAGGGACCCCGCAGGTGTGGGTGAGGGGCTCCATCCTCAGGGGCTCTTGGAAATGAGAAGTGAGAGCTGCCAAGGGAGCGTCCGTCTGTCCTCTCTCCAACTCGCCTGCCTCTCTTCCTCCTCCATCAGCCCCAGCATCTTCCCCATGTTCCAAGTCAGGCCTGGACCCCAAATCCTGCTGACCAGGTCTGTTCTCCTTCCTCTACTCATCACTCATCCCGCAGGATAGGGTAGGGGCCTGGGAGTCTTGTAAAGCTGCATGGTTTTTAGTAGAAAATCTGAAACGCTTCGTGTGACATGTGAGAGAGAGGAGATTCTAAACAGTGGGGTTTTTACACATCTTTGCTTTCTCATAATATTGTGGCTTCGTCTCACGAACCTCAGACCCCAGCACTGATGGATATGATTACATGTACCTGCAGCTGCCCCTCTTGGCTTTCTAACCCTTGCGAGGCATAGCTATTGGCAAGAGCAGACCAGGTCTTAGGGTGAGTGATGGGAGCTGCTTTTCTAGGTCTAGGATGAGCCACATCTCAGATGCCCCACAAGGTCAGAAATGAGGGGGCTTTGGGGGTCACTTCCAAGCTCAGGGGGAAGTCAGCCTGGGAGAGCCCAGCCTGGGGCTGCCGGCCAGTGGAGGAGGTCACGTCTGTCCTCCTTGTAGAGAGCAAACCTGTCATAGCCAACATCAGAGTGATACTGGAGGGTCAGGTTCTCTCCAGGGACCACAACAGGGCCCTGCGGGGTCAGGAGGGAGGGCTTTCTAGACACACCTGGAAGGATAAAGGAGCCGGGACTGCAGGGGCTGGTTCCTCCTATAAACCTCCTTCTGGAGTCTCCCTTGCTCTGTTTTTCTTTTTCTTTTTTTTTTTTTTTGAGACAGAGTCTCGCTCTGTCACCCAGGCTGGAGTGCAATGACACAGTCTCGGCTCACTGCAACCTCCGCCTCCCGGGTTCGAGCGATTCTCCTGCCTCAGCCTCCCAAGTAGCTGGGATTACAGGTGTGTGCCGCCACGCCCAGCTAATTTTTGTATTTTTAGTAGAAATGGGGTTTCACCATGTTGGCCAGGCTGGTCTTGAACTCCTGACATCAGGTGATCCACCTGCCTCGGCCTCCCAAAGTGCTGAGATTACACGTGTGAGCCACTGTGCCCAGCCCTTGCTTTGTTTTCCTCACCCTGAATTTGTGTCCCTAGGATTTCTGTGTTCTCCTTCCCCTTTTTGTCTTTCTTAGCAGGGGCTGCCCTGCCTGTAAAGCTCTCCACAACCTGTCTGGCTTCCCTGAATTGTACTAGAGAAGACTGTGGCTTCCTCACCTGAGACCGGAATCTCCAGGAGGTCACTGGGTTCTGACCATACCTGCAGGATATGCCTGCGAGAGCCATAGCATCTGAGCATCCACCTGTGGCTGGGGGTCACAGGGCCCACAGGGAACAGGGCCTGGAACTGCCCACTGGGGGTCAGCTGTGAGTCCAAGGTCCAGGAGAGCTTGTGGTCTCCTTCCTCAGTCAGAATGAACCTGTCGAATCTCAGCCGTGAGCCACACTGGAGGGTCACGTTCTCTCCTGAGGTCACCACAGGACTGGGCAGGGCTGAGAGGGTGGGTTTGTTGTAGAATCCTAGGAGAGAAGGAGGCACCGTGTTAAATGGGGCTCCCACCTCCCACATCATCCCCAGGGCTGGGCTGTGAAAGGGAGACACCCCTGAGAGCCGACCCCCTTCCTGAGGGCAGAGCCTGGAGCTGGGACCCCAGAGTGTCCTCTCACCTGTCACCACCAGCTCCAGGGGGTCGCTGGGCTCTGACCAGCCTGCAGGGCTGTAGTAGTAACAGCGGTATCTCCCTGCATGGTGCTCTGTCATGGATGGGATGGAGAATCTGGCCTTGTTCTTGGGCTCCAGTGGGTTCTGTGTGTCCCAGGGTTCTGGGCTTCCCTCTTTAACCAGACGGTATTCCTGGGCCTCCAGGGTCCCCTGACACCGGATGGTCACAGAGTTCCCCCGGCTGATCACAGAGCCTGGCTCAGCCCAGAGGGTGGCTTTGGAGAGGTTCCCTGGAAGGAAATCAGAGTCTGGGCTCCAAGACCTCCCCACCCCTCAGATCCCAGCTCTCAGCCCCAGGACCCTCCAGACGTCCCCATCAATCACCCAGAACTGCGGTCTTCACCCCCAGCTGCCCATGGGTGGCCCTTTGTCCCCATTGAGGAGGAGGGACCTGGGACAGCTGGGGACAGACTCACCTGCCTGCACGTGGGTCCTGGGGCCCAGACTCAGCCCTGGAAGAGAGTTCCCTGTGAGAGATTTGCCTCTGAAGCCTGAGCAGGTCCTCCCCTGCCTGGGAACCTCCTAAAACCCTGGAGTTTCCTGATAGACAAGGGCCTCGTTATGGGGTGGGGTCCCTCCCAGACTAGGGTGCCCCTTCCCTGAGGCTTCCAATCTCACCGAGGCAGAGCAGAACCATGAGGGCAGGGCTCACGGCGTCTCCTCCCACTGGCTGCAGCTGTGCAGATGGATGAGACCATGGTGCCTGGCAGGACAGAGAGACACACAGGGTGTGGCAGCTCGGAGGCTGGGTCCTTCTTGTCATAGGATTTTCTCATTCTCAGCCCACAGAAAGGGGAACTGCTCTCCCCAGGAGCCTGGCTCTCATTTCCCCAGGGCTGAAGTGAAGTAGTTGAGACTACAGGCACCAGGCTCTCTGCAGACATTTCAGACAGAAGTGGGGTCTCCCTTCCCCGGGCCACTGTCTGCCTGATTTATCTTTATCTCACTGAGAGCCGGGACACAGCAGCAAATAGACCCGGTGCCTTCCTGAGTCAGCCCCTTTCAGGCGAGGGTGACCTCCTCCCTCTCAGAGCCTCCCCATGGGGTCTCCCTCCCTCCTTCAGCCCGTCCATGAGCTCAGCGTTGCGGGGTCCTTACCATGGTCAGTGATTTTTCAGCCCTGGAGATGCTTCAGGGAAGATGCAGGTCCATGCCACAGGCAGACTCAGATCAGCAGAGACACATCTGACACCTGGCTGTGTAGCCCAGGCTGAGCTGCATGTGGCAATGAGCACAGAGGAGAAATGCAGGGAAATAGGGGAGGAAATCATGACCCTTTAGTGGCCCTGGAGTGTTTTCTTTCTAACCAATAGTACTCTCTTTCTTGTACTTCCCTTAATTTTTTTTTTTTTTTTTTTTTTTTGCAACAGCGTCCACCTCCACCCCACCTCCAGTAACAAACCTCTGAATCTTTTCTGCCTCCACTGTGCCTTCTGTTTCTTTGGGCTTCCCTCTATACCTCAATCCATGTTCAACATTTTCGGAGTAATTACTTAGGCTTTGTTTTAAAATTTTCATTCTTATGTATCTATTTATTTTTTAATTTTTGTGGGTACATTACTTAGGTTTGGGCTCTGGTTTGCTGAGTGGGGAGTTGATTTCTTTCTTTCTTTCTTTCTTTCCTTTTTTTTTTTTTTGAGACCGAGTCTCGCTCTGTCGCCCAGGCTGGAGTGCAATGGCGCTATCTCGGCTCACTGCAAGCTCCACCTCCCGGGTTCATACCATTCTCCTGCCTCAGCCTCCCGAGTAGCTGGGACTACAGGCGTCCGCCACCACGCCCGGCTAATTTTTTTGTATTTTTATTAGAGACAGGGTTTCACCATGTTAGCCAGGATGGTCTCGATCTCCTGACCTCATGATCCGCCTACCTCGGCCTCCCAAAGTGCTGGGATTACAGGCGTGAGCCACTGCGCCCGGCTGGTGGGGAGTTGATTTCTATGTAATTCCCGATTATTATCTACGGCTTGTGTGATCTTGGGCAGTACTGTCTCATCTCTGAGCCTCAGTTTCCCTGTGTGGAGCCTGTTGTCATGAACCTCACTCATCACAGCGGATGTGGGGGTCAGCCGTGCTTGGGTCATGGGAGAGGCTCAATCACGGTTAATGTCTAGACTAGATTAAGACATGAGGGGTTGGGACATGAGAGGATTCTGGTTTCAGTCTCTATGATTATGTCACAGAGGTGCAGAAAAAGCATTTGATAAAATCCTGCATCCCTTCATGATAAAAATTCCCAACAAACAAGGTACAGAGGGACATACCTCAAAATACTAAAGGCGATAGGTGACGAAATCCCAGCCAATATCGCAAACAGGGAAAAATAGAAAGCATTCCCCCTAAGAACTGGAGCATGACAAAGATGTGCACTGTCACCACTCTTCAACGTAGTACTGGAGGTCCTTGCCAGAGCAATCAGGCAAGACAAAGAAATAAAACACATCTAAATTGGAAAAAAAAAAAGTGAAATTATTTCTGTTCGCTGATGATATTATCTTATACCTCAAAAACCCTAAAGACTCAGCCAAAACACTCTTAGATTTGATAAAGAAATGCAGTAAAGTTTCAGGATATAGAATCAAAGTACAGAAATCAGTAGCATTTCTGTACTCCAATAATGACGAAGCTGAGAACCAAGTCAAGGAGGCAATCCCATGGACAGTGGGTGCACAAAAATAAAACACCTGGGAATATATTTAACCAAGGAGGTGAAAGATTTCTACAAGGAAAACTTCAAACCAGTGATGAAAGAAATTGTAGAAGACACAAACAGATGGAAAAACATCCCATTCTCATAAATCAGAATAATTACTATGATTAAAATGACCACATTGCCCAAAGCAATCTACAGATTTAATGCAGTCCTTACAAAAATACCTTCATTTTTCACAGACTTAGAAAAAGAAACCTTAAAAGTTATATTGAGCCAAAAAAAGAGCCCAAACAGCCATAGCAATCCTAAGCAAAAAGAGCAAAGCTAGAGACATCACATTAACTGACTCAAAGTTTACAAGGCTATAGTAACCAAAAGAGCATGACACTGGTATAAAAATAGACATATAGGCCAGTTGCAGTGGCTCACGCCTCTAATCCCAGCACTTTGGGAGGCTGAGGCAGGTGGATTACGAGGTCAGGAGTTCAAGACCAGCTTGGCCAACATGGTGAAACCCCGTCTCTGCTAAAAATACAAAAGAATTAGCCAGGTGTGGTGATGGGTGATCTCAAATTAACAACCTAACATCACAACTAAAAGAACTAGAGAATAATCCGCCCGGCGCGGTGGCTCACGCCTGTAATTCCAGCACTTTGGGAGGCTGAGGCGGGTGGATCACAAGGTCAGGAGATCGAGACCATCCTGGCTAACATGGTGAAACCCTGTCTCTACTGAAAACACAAAAAATTAGCCAGGCGTGGTGGCGGGCACCTGTAGTCCCAGCTACTCGGGAGGCTGAGGCAGGAGAATGGCGTGAACCCGGGAGGTGGAGCTTGCAGTGAGCCGAGATCACGCCACTGCACTCCAGCCTGGGAGACAGCAATTGGAATGCAATTTAGAAATAAAGTGAAATTTCAACTTTTGTGTGAGTTATGTACATTTTATTAGTAAATTAGAGGGGATCAATTGAAAATAATTGGAATTAAGAAATTCTGTAGTAAGTTGGTATAAAATAAAGTAAATGAACTCAAACCAATTACTGTATCATGTATACCTAGCTTTTATTTATAAGGAATCAAAGACCTCATTTACAGATTATTCAAGTGATTGAATAATTGTTTAAATTGAAATAAATATATAAAATTCTTATAAATAAAATTTCAAGACACTTCTTAAGTTCATCAATAAACCTCAATTTTAAAAGTTTAGGATAGGAAAACTTAACATAAATAAGAAACTATTTTCTAAAGCAAATATATAAATGAAATCATGTCCCAAATTAAAATGATAAGTTTATATATTCATGTATTGCTTTAAATGTTTCAGAAGAACAGAGAGTAACAATAGACAAGTGTGCACAGAAAAGGCAGGGTAGAAATGAATGACACACAAGCCGCGCTGTGAATAACTCCCTAACTCATCCAGGGAGCAGGTGCGTGGCCCCTCCTTACTCTCAGGGGTTCCCTGAGCACAGAGGCCTTCAGGTGAGCACAGGAGGGGCGGTGTGAGGTGCACCCACAAGTGGGGTGCTTCTCTCTAAAGGAGCAGGTCTGGGGCGGACCCCAGCCTCATCCCAGTCAGATCCCACCGAGGCCCGAGCAGCCTCCTGTCCTGTCATAAGAGGACCCAGGGACCCCGCATGTGTGGGTGAGGGGCTTCATCCTCAGGGGCTCTTGGAAATGAGAAATAAGAGCTCCCAAGGGAGCGTCCATCTGTCCTCTCTCCAACTTGCTTGCCTCTCTTCCTCCTCCATCAGCCCCAGCGTCTTCCCCATGTCTGAGTCTGGCTGGACCCCAAATCCTCCTGATCCAGCCTGCTCTCCTTCCTCTGCTCATCACATATCCTGCAGGACAGGGTAGGGGCCTGGGAGTCATGCACAGCTGTGCTGGGTGTTGCTTTTAGTAGAAAATCTGAAACAGTGTGTGATGTGTGAGAGAGGGGAGATTCTAAACAGTGGGGTTTTTACAAATCTTTGCTTTCTCCTAATACTGTGGCTTCATCTCACGAATCTCAGACCCCAACATTGATGGATACAATTACAATTACATGTACCTGCAGCTGCCTCTCCTGGCTTTCTAACCCTTGCAACACACAGTTATTGGTAGGAGCTGACCAGGCCAAGGGAGGGCTGGGGGACGGCAGCAGGTCTAGGATGAGCCGCAACCCAGATGCCCCAGAAGGTCAGAAATGAAAGGGCTTTGGGGGTCACTTCCAGGCAGCTCCTTCTTATTCGGATGGGAAAGGCCAGGGCGGAAGGGGAAAAGGCTTTCTCAGAAGTTCTGAGGTAGGATGTGGGACTTTGGAGGCGGGGACTCAGACACCACACCAGATTGAGAACTAGCTAAAACAGGGCAGAGGGTGGAAGCAGCTCTTCTTAAGACACGCCCACCAGTGTGGCATCCCGGTTTACCGTTGCCATGGCAACCCCCGGAAGGTACCGCCCTTTTCCACGGCAAAGACCCACTGACCGGAAGTTACCGCCCTTTTTCTAGGAATTTCTGCATACCTGACCTTTAATTTGCATATAATTAAAAGCAGGTACAAGAGTGGCTGCAGGTGTGTTTCTGAGCTGCTATTCTGGGCACACCGCCTGTGGGGCAGCCCTGCCACCCTAGGAGCAGTACCTCTGCTGCTGCTGTGCTCGGCCACTTGACTAGAGGTTGCCGTAACCCTTAAGGGGTTGTGTAACACCAGCTCACCCTTAAATTCCTTTTTTTTTTGTTTTTGAGATAGAGTTTTACTCTGTCACCCAGGTTGAAGTGCAATGGCGCCATCTCGGCTCGCTGCAATCTCTGCCTCCGGAGTTCAAGCGATTCTCCTGCCTCGGTTCCGAAGTAGCTGGAATTACAGGCACCAGCCACCACACCCTGCTAATTTTTGTAGTCTTTAGTAGAGACGGGGTTTCACCGTGTTGGCCAGGTTGGTCTCAGACTCCTGACCTCAAATGATCTGCCCGCCTCAGCCTTCCAAGGTGCTGGGATGACAGGTGTGGACCACCGCGACCGGCCTAAATTCTTTCTTAGGCAAAGCCAAGAACTCTTCTGGGCTATGCCCCGATTTGGGAGCTCCCCTTCCCCGCATCATCTAGTTACCAGGAAGGGATGACGGAGACAGCGAGTGAGAGGCAGAGAGACTTTCCGCAGAGGCAGGGACAATTAGGAGAGAGGCGAGATGGCTAGACAGCAGAGATGGTGACAGTGATCAGCGGAGGGGTGGCAATGGGTGAAAGACACGGAGAGGTGGCACTGGGCTAGACAGCGAGAGGTTGCTGAGACAGTCGGAGAGACAGCGGGGCGGGGCAGTCTGTGATCAGGGCTCCAAGAGCGGTCACACAGGCTGTAACAGTAAACAGCTGCTAATACTGCAGAGCTGTCACACTAACCAAAGGCTTTGCTTTTGGCGCCTTCATCTTTCCTTGGATAGTGGTGGAGCTCAGCGATGGGCAAGCAGGTGAGACCCCCGCTCCAACCGACAGGCCCATGGGTTACCAGTCCCCGCACCGGACCCCTGGGTGACAGCTGAGCCCACCCAAGCTGGGGGATCCTGCAGAGACCTTCACCTGGGCCCCATGTGGAAGATTTTTGATGTTATTTAGGCTTTTGGGGATGGGGGAGTGTCCCCTCTGCCTCCCCCGTAATATCTGGTGAGCCGTATGGGTAATGCGAGCACTAGACACCTAAACCCCACCAGAACGCAATGCATCCATGTAAGGAACCTGCGCGTGTAGCGCCTGAATCTAAAAAAATAGAGTAACATTAAAAACAACAACAACAATAAAGCCGTGTGAGGTGGCTCACGCCTGTAATCTCAGAACTTTGGGAGGCCGAAGCGGGTGGATCACCTGAGGTCAGGAGTTTGAGACCAGCCTGGCCAACATGGTGAAACACCGTCTCTACTGAAAATACAAAAACTTAGCTGGGCATGGTGGTGGGTGCCTGTAATCCCAGCTACTCATGAATTATCATGAAGAGAAAATGGGCCAGGTGCGGTGACTCACGCCTGTAATCCTAGCACTTTGTGAGGCCAAGGCGGACAGATCACCTGCGGTCAGGAGTTCGAGACAAGCCTGGCCAACATGGTGAAACCCCATCTCTATTAAAAATTAAAAATTAGCCGGGCATGATGGTGGGCACCTGTAATCCCAGCTACTGGGGAGTCTGAGGCAGGAGAATCACTTGAACCCAGGAGGTGAAGGTTGCAGTGAGCCGAGATGGTGCCACTGCATTCCAGCCTAGGCGACAGAGAGAAGCTTCGTCTCAAAAAAAAAAAAAAGAGAAAAAATGGTCCACAATAAAATAACAGGCGGTTATTGTACCTGAATTTATCAGTAAAAAATTGAATTTTTTCTTTTATTGCCTAGAGTCCACCTTCTATCAATGTCACAAGCATGACACTCAGAACAGAGAGGAAAAGATTATATTTGAAGTCCTAATATAAATTTAATTTACCATATTGAAGTATAAGTATTTTAGAGTTGCTTCATGAATTTTTTGCTAAAATCTAAAAAGAAAACCCACAAAAAACCCTAAATGTAATGACGTTAATGCAGTTCCTGACAGTGACTTTTAGCCCTTCTGCAAACTTTTGTTTCGTTGCCTTCCTGACCGTATGACGCAATGAAATTTCGATTTGCTTTAATTTCTGCTTCCTCTTTCCCTATGTTTCAGTTCTGAAGGTATGAGCTTCTCTCATCTTTTTCTTTTCTTTTACTTTGAGATGGAGTCTCGCTCTGTCACCCAGGCTGGAGTGCAACAGCCTGACCTCAGCTCACTGCAACCTCTGCTACCCATGTTCAAGTGATTCTCCTGTCTCAGTCTCCCAAGTAGCTGGATGACAGGCATGAGCCACCACGCCCAGTTAATTTTTGTATTTTTAGTAGAGACAGGATTTCACCCTGTTGGTCAGGCTGGTCTCGAATTCCTCACCTCAGGTGATCCACCTGCTTTGGCCTCCCAAAGTGCTGGGATTACAGGTGTGAGCCACCGTGCCCGGCCAGGATATTTTTTTCTTTAGAGCACTTACTTCACTTTCTTTGAGTGAAGTTGGATGGGTTACAGCCGTTGTGGTGTTACAAAGAATAATTCTGAGAGAAATATTGTTATTTGTTGGTAAAATAAAAGTGTCTTAAGTTAAAAGTTTCCTTTGAGACCCAATAAAGAAATTAGTATTACTACATAATGCATTTATTTACAAGTCTTTTTTTGCATGTCCATTGTAAATTTAATATTTTAATTTACAATGAGTTTACAAATAATTTTTACAAATAAATGTTACAAATAAAAATAATTTACAATGAGTAAATGAGTTGGAATTTATTTACATGCTTATGGCTGCCTTTGATTAAACTTCTTCCAAAAATAAACTCTGTCCAGATGTTGGGTTTTATTATACTTAATTTCATTTTAATGTTATTTCATGTGAGATTACTTGAATACAAGCTGTTGCATAATTGCTCCCAAGTGGAGTCTTTGCTGTGCACTTGCATACCCCAGAGTGGGAGGTTTGGGGATTCTGAATGGCCAGGGCAGCGTGTGGGTGTACCTTCACAGGCCTGATGTGTGAGCCTTCAAACACCGGGGTGGAGGAAGTGATTAAATAGAGGATGCAATGGTCTGGAGGCAATTTATAGCCCAGAGACCATACCTGGGGCATTTCTCTTCCTTATCTAGCACACAAAGTAGAACCGTGACACTCGGGCGTCACTGACAATGAACACAAAGGGGCTGAATGTCGGGAATCCTGCAGACGCCAGGAAAGAGGTACTTCTCAGCCATTGGCTTGGATTCTGAATCTGGGTTACGCACAATGACAAAATATCAGCTAGAGCATGAGAGGAGACAAACATGCTCACCAGGATGAGGATGGTGTGTGTGGTTGTGGTTTCATGAGATGTTCTGCGGGAGAGGTTGCGGCTGCGAACATGTTGGACTCTCTGCTTGTATCTATGCAGGACGAGGACCATGGAGCTGCTGGTGCAGATCATGAGGGAGACACATATACGGGAGACACATATACCATCTGTGCAGCAGTAAATGACTGCAACTATTACATACAGCGATCTTCCTGGATAGGGTGAGGAGCAGTATCTATACATTTTTTCCATACTCATGTTTTTGCTCTTTATTGGGTCAGTTATTTACTTTGCAGTATAAATATTTACAACAAGATTCAAGATCCAACAGAGGAAACAGCAGAAAACTATAAACTTTGGGGATCTAATTCAGAGTTCCATCTTCCCAGAGATACTGGGGTGAAGCTTCATGGCCTGGAAGCCACTGAAGAGGCAGGTGGTGCTGAGGGAAACCCCTCTGGCCACTCTGTGTAGGTAGAAGACAAGTTTACATCCAGCCTCATCCAGGAAAGGTTTCAATCCAAAAGCCGCCACTGTCTGAGGGATCCCTTTAGAGAAAAGAACCGGGTTGTTGGCTAAGACCAGCTGGCTGAGAATCAGGTCTCTGGGTCTCACTATTTGTGTGGGGACAAAAGTAAAGCTATAAAAGTAAAGGAGTAGAGAATTTCCAAGGATTCCAGCAGCGGTCTGAATGAGAAAGGTAATACTCCAATTTAAGTTAACAGAAACCATCTCCATTTAGAGGAGATGTTGGAGTTTGATTCTATTTTCATCAGAGGAATCTGTAGACTGAAAAATACAATTGAGTGTTTTCACTGTACCCGGTTTCATGCGCTTCCGTGTGAAGAGACCACTAAACAGGCTTTGTGTGAGCAGTAAAGCTTTTAATCACCTGGGTGCAGGTGGGCTGAGTCCAAAAAGAGAGTCATCGAAGGGAGATAGGGGTGGGGCCATTTTATAGGATTTGGGTAGGTAAAGGAAAAAGAGGGGTTGTTCTCTGGTGGGCAGGTGTGGGGGTCACAAGGTGCTCCGTAGAGGAGCTTTTGAGCCAGGATGAGCCAGGAGAAGGAATTTCACAAGATAATGTCATCAGTTAAGGCAGGAACAAGCCATTTTCACTTCTTTTGTGGTGGAATGTCATCAGTTAAGGCAGGAACCAGCCATCTGGATGTGTATGTGCAGGTCACAGGGGATATGATGGCTTAGCTTGGGCTCAGAGGCCTGACACCCAGAAAATGCCTTTTTCTCACGAAACTCATTATTCCAGGTGAATACAAACATTAAGAACAAACTTGTACAATTACAAAGCTATTTATTCCAAAATTATGATTTGTAAAACTACAATGACTTGAACCCACTTAATTTCAATCAAAGAAAGACTCAATAAATTCCTGGGCCTCCCCACAGTGGAGTCCTGGGCAGCTGTGGGTGAGATGAATGAGTTATCTTGAAGGCTGACCTTCCAAGACGTGTAGTTGTGTAGTTGGGGTGGCAGGGAGAAAAGAAAAAGAAAGATTCAGGACGTTATCAACAGTTAACTTTATTTTACTCAGAACCAGAGAAAAATGGTATAGTGTTATGTCATTGTGTGTGTATTTTGTAATCTATTTTTTAAAATGAAAGATTAATCAATACCTTTAAAAGTGGGTAGTTGAGAGAGAGAGAGAAAACAGTGCAGAGGAGACAGAATAAAGCTAGACTGACATCATTGTGTCTTGTTTCTTGTTTTGGTATAGAAATATAAACATACCTTTGGGAGGCTGAGGTGGGCGAATCGCAAGATCAGGAGTTCAAGACCAGCCTGGCCAACATGGTGAAACCCCACCTCTACTGAAAATAAAAAGATTAGCTGGGCATGGTGGCACACTCCTGTCATCCCAGCTACTCGGGAGGCTCTGACAGGAGAATTGCTTGAACCTGGGAGGTGGAGATTGCAGTGAGCTGAGACTGTGCCACTGCATTTGTAGGGACCAGCCCCACAGGGTCGGTGGGTCTCTCCCTGTGTGTGGTGACGATAGAGTGTAGAAATAAAGACACAAGACAAAGAGATAAAAGAAAAGGCAGCTGCGCCCGGGGGACCACTACCACCAATGCGCGGAGACCGGTAGTGGCCCCGAATGTTGGGCTGCGCTGTTATTTATTGGATACAAGGCAGAAGGGGCAGGGTAAAGAGTGTGAGTCACCTCCAATGATAGGTAAGGTCACGTGGGTCACGTGTCCACTGGACAGGGGGCCCTTCCCTGCCTGGCAGCCGAGGCAGAGAGGGAGAGGAGACAGAGAGAAAGACAGCTTACGCCATTATTTCTGCATATCAGGGACTATTAGTACTTTCACTAATTTACTACTGCTATCTAGAAGGCAGAGCCAGGTGTACAGGATGGAACATGAAGGCGGACTAGGAGCGTGACCACCGAAGCACAGCATCACAGGGAGACGGTTAGGCCTCCGGATAACTGCGGGCGAGCCTGACTGATGTCAGGCCCTCCACAAGAGGTGGAGGAGCAGAGTCTTCTCTAAACTCCCCCGGGGAAAGGGAGACTCCCTTCCCCAGTCTGCTAAGTAGCGGGTGTTGTTCCTTGCCACTTACGCTACCGCTAGACCACGGTCCGCTTGGCAACGGACGTCTTCCCAGACGCTGGCGTCACCGCTAGACCAAGGAGCCCTCTGGTGGCCCTGTCCGGGCATGACAGAGGGCTCGCACTCTTGTCTTCTGGTCACTTCTCACTGTGTCCCCTCAGCTCCTATCTCTGTATGGCCTGGCTTTTCCTAGGTTATGATTACAGAGGGAGGATTATTATAATATTGGGATAAAGGGTAACTGCTACAAACAAATGATTAATGATATTCATATATAATCATAACTAAGATCTATATCTGGTATAACTATTCTTGTTTTATATTTTATTATACTGGAACAGCTCGTGTCCTCTGTCTCTTGCCTCGGCACCTGGGTGGCTTGCCACCCACAGCATTCTAGCCTGGGCGACGAGCAAGACTCCGTTTAAAAATATATATATATACATATATAAACATATTCCTGAATGTCTATACTATAAAATATTTTTAAATATAACTTATAAATCTAAAGATAATACCTTAAAAAAGGAAATAGAATTGAGTTCCTATCAAATTAGGGCATTACTAAACAAGGAAGAATTATTTGTACTAGAATGTAAGCAAAATTACTTGACCATATATTTTATAATGCATATATTATTTATCATATTATATAATAAATGTATACTTTTAAATCAAATTATATATTATGTAGTGACATATAGTTAATATTATTATATAATTTTGACTATATATAGTAAAACATAAGTGAATACACCCTCAAAAATGTTTAATTCTTAAAATATGTATGGTCAAAAATTCTAAATTTCATCCTAGAGAAATAGCTGACTCCACATTCGGAGAGAAAATACAGGAGATGAAGTCAGAACTTCTTATCATGCAAGAAAGCAAAGACATCACCACATACCATCAGATTCATGTTACCTGAACATAAAGTCTATCATGAAAAGTTCCCAATGGCAAAATGTGGAATATTTATAGAATCAAATAATATAGGTAGTGTATTAAAACTAATGAATATGTTCAAAGCCTATCAGTTTACTACTGTTAAAAACAAAATTAAAAAACAAAAAACCCCTCAAATATGAGGAATGGGAAAAGAACAAAATCTCCACATCAAAAACGTGGAAATGAAGGCAAGAAGCAAGATCTCTTTTGTTTATCTGAAGTGTTACACAGGAAACATTCTTTTCTGTAGAATGTTTCTACATAATAATAAGTATAGTAATAGCTATAGTAATGTTTTTGCCTAAGAATAGCTGTAGAGTTTTTGCATAATAATAGTTAACCCTGCAAAGCTTGGATAACCTGTGCGTTGAGTATACAAGCAATAAACATCAATGGCTGCCAAAACCCTTAGGCTGAAGGTTGATAGTGAATATAATAACGAGTGGATCCTGCTGATAGTACAGCCATCAGTACAGAATTGCAAGGTGGAGAATGCAAGACACAAGCAAATGAGCCATTGTGTCTCACTTCTGACATTTTCTAAGCATCTTTTTCACCATACCCTCAAATCTAGACCGTTATCTGGCTGGGCGTCTCTATGTTTCTTGGATTTGTGTGTCAAACTCTCTAGCGAGTTTAGGAAAATATTCATGGACTATATCCTCAAATATATTTTCCAAGTTGCTTATTCTCTCTTCCCCTTTCAGGAATGCTGACAAGTCATACATTTGGTGTCTTTAGATAATATCATATTTCTCAGAGATTTTGTTCACTTTTAAAAATATTTTTTCCTTATATTTGACTGATTTGATTCAAACAAGTCTTCAAGCTTTGAAATTCTTTTCCTCAGCTTGGTCTATTCTGCTGTTAATGCTTCTCATCGTATTATGAAATTCGTGTCATGAATTTTTCAGCTCGAGAAGTTCAGTTTGGGTGTTTCTTAAAATTTAATCGTTCATGTCATTAATCATTTTACTGGATTGCTTGGCTTCCTTGGATTGAATTTCAACTTTGCTCTTGATTTGAATGACCTTCCTTGCCATCCAGATTCCAAATTCTACGTTTGTCATTTCAGACAATTCATACTGATTAAGAACAATTTCTGGGGAGCTCGTGGACTGGTTTGGAGATAATAGGAGTTATTTCCCTGATTTTTTTTCTCATCTGGGAGGGTTGCTATTCCTTTCATTGCAAGGGTATAAATTGAGTATAGTCTGTTGGCTTTATTTCTGGAAGTTTTCAGGGGACTAAGGCTCTGTACAGGGTCTTTGCTGAATTCTTGCTCTTGGTTTTCCAGGCGGTAGAATTTAGTAAAGTGATTTTTGGTGTTGTAGTGTGGCTGTAATCCAGTAGATGGCGCTTGAGAGCAATAGGCAATAGACAGGCTCTTACTCCACTGCGTGGTGCCTTTGTTTATCTTTGTTCTTGACCTTGATACTTTTGAAAAGGTCAGAGCAGTTTTTTTGTTTTTGTTTTTTGAGACAGGGTCTCACTTTGTCACCCAGGGTGGAGTGCAGTGGCACGATCTTGGATCACTGCAGCCTCAACCTTCCCAGGCTCAGGTAGGTGACAGAGCAGGCAAGTTAACTTAAGGCCTCCTCCTTGGCAATCTGGTCTCAAGTAGGGGACAGGTCCCCACAGACAGAACTGAGGGGCAAGTGTGGCATGGGCTCCAGACCCCGAGCACTGGAATTAGACACCTCTCCTTTGCAGAAAGGTTTAGCCTTTCCTCAAGCGGTTCTGCAAAGGAGAGGTGTAGCTGGGGTGGCGTGGGCAATGGTGGTGGCAGAGTTTGTGTGAAACTTGTCTCTTCCCCAATCACTGTCACTTGTTTCAGGAGACGTTGTAATGTGCTGTATGGTTTGACCTCCAGGCCAGTAGGTGGCAATTGCTGGTGAGAGCCAGTTGTAGCGCTGGCAGTGGGCTTTATGCTTGACCTTTGTTAACCAGAAGCATTCAGGTATCCTAAGTGATGGGTTGGGTTGTGGAAAACTCAGTGGTCTTGATCAGTACTCTGCCTCCAACGCAGGGAAATGAAGGTAAGTGTGGCTGGTCCAGGCAAGCCTGTACTCAGGCCCAATGCTAGGCACAGGCTCCGTCCCCACAGAGGCTACATGTGTGGTTCTCAGGTCCCTGGAGAGACACTCAAGCACTGAGTAGGGCAATGACTATTATGCCAAAGTTACAGCAGAGTTCCCCAGAGGGGCACGTTGGGTTCCAAGCCTAGAAAATGACAGTGGGACTCACTTTAATCTAATGCTCCCAACCCAGCAGAGCTCCTCCCTGTGGCCCAATGCTGGAAGCAATTTCAGACCGTCAAATCACATGCGGTTTGATGTCAGACCACTCAACTACCCCAGGCCACAGATCTTGCCTCCTGGGTAAAATCCATGCCTCTCAGGCTACAACTTTTCCCCCTCGGTTCTGTCAAAGAGAGGTGTCCAACGCCAGTGCTTGGTGTCTGGAGCCCATGCCACAATTGCCTCTCAGTTCTGTCCATGGGGACCTGTCTTCTACTTGAGCCCAGATTGTCAATCTCTGGCCCAAGACTCTCCGAAGTAGTGACCCTCACCCATGTTTGATGTCAAGTTCTTTTTTTTTTTTTTGAGACGGAGTCTCGCTCTGTCGCCCAGGCTGGAGTGCAGTGGCGTGATCTCAGCTCACTGCAAGCTTCGCCTCCCAGGTTCGTGCCATTCTCCTGCCTCAGCCTCCCGAGTAGCTGGGACTACAGGCACCCACCACCGTGCCCGGCTAATTTTTTGTATTTTTAGTAGAGACGGGGTTTCACCGTGTTAGCCAGGATGGTCTTGAACTCCTGACCTCGTGATCCGCCTGCCTCGGCCTCCCAAAGTGCTGGGATTACAAGCATGAGCCACCACGCCCAGCTAATTTTTTGTATTTTTAGTAGAGACGGGGTTTCACCGTGTTAGTCAGGATGGTCTCGATCTCCTGACCTCGTGATCCGCCTGCCTCGGCCTCCCAAAGTGCTGGGATTACAGGCGTGAGCCACCGCGCCGGGCCGATGTCAAGTTCTTGCACTGCCCACTAAGGGTTAGGATCAGGAATGGCCTCTTTCTATCAGCATCCAGGTCTGGGAGCACACATGGAGCACTTCCCTGGGCCCTTCCTTTTCACAGTCCTCCCGCTGTTCCCTAAGTCAGATCCAGGGCTTAGGTCGGTCAAAGAGCTCCCCAGTGGCCTGGATTGCCTGGCTCCCCACTGAGAATGGGTATCATGTGGTCTCATAACTTCCCTCTCAGGCACTGGAAGTTCACTCATGGTTTTCTGCCAGGTCTTGCTGCATGAGCTGCTGCCTGCCTTCTTTTTAGCAGTATCTGAGATTTCCTTCACTTTCATATTCAACTCCTGTATTAGTCCATTTTCAGGCTGCTGATAAAGACATACCCGAGACCAGGTAATTTATAAGAAAAAGAGATTTAATTGACTCACAGTTCCACATGGCTGCAGAGGCCTCACAATCATGGTGGAAGGTGAAAGCAACATCTCACGTGGTGGCAGGTACAGAGGAAATGAGAGCCAAGCAAAAGGGGAAACCCCTTATAAAATCATCAGCTCTTCTGAGACTTATTCACGACCACAAGAACAGAATGGGAGAAACTGCCTCCATGATTCAGTTATCTCCCACCGGCTCCCACAGCACGTGGGAATTATGGGAGCTACAATTCAAGATGAGATTTGGGTGGGGACACAGCCAAACCATATCACCTCCCATGTTCTTTCTTGGATACAAGAATGCAGAATGAATCTCTACACACCATTTTGGTATTTTCACCATCTCGGAAGACATAACAGTGTATTATATCCTTAAAAATCACTATAAAAGTAGATTTTAAGGGTTCTTACCACACAAAAATTAGAAATATGGAAAGTAATGTATATGTTAATTAGATTGATTTGCCCAACAGACAAGTATATATATTTCAAAACTACATACTTTACACAATAAGTATATACAATTTAGGAATTTTTCTTTTTTCTTTTTTTTTTTGATGGAGTCTCACTCTGTCACCAAGCTGGAGTGCACTGGTGCGATCTCGGCTCACTGCAATCTCCGCCTCCTGGGTTCAAGCGATTCCCCTGCCTCAGCCTCCCGAGTAGCTGGGACTACAGGCGTGCACCACCACGCCCGGCTAATTTTTTGTATTTTAGTAGAGATGGGGTTTCACCATGTTGGCCAGGATGGTCTCGATCTCCTGACCTTGTGATCCAAAGCTGTGTTATGAACATGAAGTTCTAAACACATTTTCTCATATGTTCACACATGTCTCATTCCAGCCTCAGTGCTCATGGGGTAGGATCTCCTTACCTGAGACCACAAACCCTGGGGGTCCCTGGGGTGTGAAAACAGGTAGGGGGAGGTACTCTATAAGACATAGCACCTGTAGGTCCTCCCAGCATTCATGGAGAATTCAGCCTGTACTGCTGAGCTTGGTACTTTGATATTAGACACAAAGGTAGGGATCTGCTGCTCCCTTCTTGGAAATAAGAAAAGTGTCACTGATGTAGCAGGACCATGTTCTTTCCTGAGGCCACCATGGAGCCCGGCTGCACCAACAGGGAATATCCCTCAGGCAGCTGTCCTAGAGAGAGGCAGGATGGGTGAGGGGCTGCCCCCACCTTGTTCTGAGCAGAGACCTTCCCAGGGCTTCTCTCTAGGACCCTCAGTCTCTCTGTCATTCACTGTTTCCTCTGAGTCTCTTCCTCTCCCTCCCATCCACCTTGCCCCTCTGTCTCTTTCCCTCTCTAAAGAACCTTATCCATTGACATGGTTTGATTGTGTCCCCACCCAAATCTCATCTTGAATTGTAGCTCCCATAATTCCCACGTGTTGTGGGAGGAACCTGGTGGGAGATAATTGAATCGTGGAGGCGGTGGGTGGTTTCCCCCATACTGTTCTCCTGGTAGTAAGTCTCACGAGATCTGATGGTTTTATAAGGGGAAACCCCTTTCACTTGGCTCTCATTTCTTTCTTGTCTGCCACCATGTGCCTTTCACCTTCCACCATGCTTATGAGGTCTCCCCAGCCACATGGAACTGTGAGTCCATTAAACCTCTTTTTCTTTATAAATCACCCAGTCTTGGGGATGTCTTTATCAGCAGCAAGAAAACAGACTAATACACTCATCATGCTGGTCATCACCGCCTGCAGATCCCCAGCAGGCCCTGTGCAGAATCTGGGTCCCTGAGTGAACCTGCTGGACCCCTCACCTGCAATAGCATATCCAGGGGATTCAGGGGACCAAACAATCAGAAAAGACATTGTGGGCTCGGTGCGGTGACTCACGCCTGTAATCCCAGCACTTTGGGAGGCCGAGGTGGGTGGATCACCTGAGGTCAAGAGTTCAACACCAGGCTGGCCAACATGGCAAAACCCAGTCTCTACTAAAAATACAAAAAAAAAAAAAAAAATTTAGCCAGGCATGGTAGTGTATGCCTGTAATCCCAGGTACTTGAGAGGCTGAGGCAGGAGAATTACTTGAACCCAGGAGGTGAAGGTTGCAGTGAGCTGAGATCGTACCACGCACTCCAGCCTGGGCAACAAGAGCGAAACTCCATCTCAAAAAAACAAAAACAAAACAAAACAAGAAAAGAAAAGAAAAGACGTTGCGTTTAGCACAGCATCTGTCCTGGCTCCCATGGGAGCCACTCCAAGGAAACGTCAGCCTGACGGAGCCCAGCCTGGGGCTGCCAGCCATGGTGCCAGGGTGGTCATGTCGCCTCTCCTCAGACAGGAAAAGTCCTTGGTGGCCAACATCAGAGCAACACTGGAAGGTCAGACTCTCTCCAGAGATTAGGAGGGGCCCCTGTTTGGTCCCGTGCAGGGAGTCCTAGACACACCTAGAGGGAAAGACAAGTCAGGACTTTGGGGGCTGACTCCCCTCAAATACATCCCTTGTCCTCCTGGCTCTGCAGATCTCACCATCACTTATACTCTGTGTCTCTGGCCCCAGAAGCCCTCGTTCCCCTCATTCCACCCTCACGCTTGGGACTTGCCTGGGAGCAAGATCCACAGCAACCTGTCTGATGCTTCAAAGAATGTTTGGGGTAAAGATGGGACTTCCTCACCTGAGAACAGGAGCTTCAGGGAGTTGCTGAGGTCCGACCACACCTGAAGGGTGTTCTGACTTCCTCACCTGAGAACAGGAGCTTCAGGGAGTCGCTGAGTTCCGACCACACCTGAAGGGTGTTCCTGTTATTGCCATGACATCTGAACATCCATCTGTGGCTGAGGGTCTTGGGGCCCACAGGAAACAGAGCTTGGGACTGTCCACTAGGGTGTTGCTGAGAGTCTAGGGTGCAGGAGAGACTGAGTTCTCCTTCCTCGGTCAGAATGAATCTGTCCAGTTGCAGCCATGAGCCACGCTGGAGAGTCCTCTCCTAAAGTTGCAACAGGCTCAGGGGGGCTGAGAAGGTAGATTTTCTGTAGAATCCTAGGAGAGAAGGAGGTAGTGTGATCCTTGAGGCTCAAGCCTCCCACCTTATCCCTTAGGGCTGGGCTGTGAGGGAGAGACACCCCTGAGAGCAGACCCCTTTCCTGAGGGCAGAGCCTGGGGCTGGGACCCCAAGGTGTCCTCCCACCTATCACCACCAGCTCCAGGGAGTCAGTGAGCTCTGGGGCTGAAATAGTGACAGTAATATCATCCTACATATTCATTTGTCATGGATATGATGGGGGAACTCGGCCTTGTCTCCAGGCTGCAGTGGGCTCTGTCTGTCCCAGGACACTGAGCTTCCCTCTTTTTTTTTTTTTTTTCTTTTTTTTTTTGAGACGGAGTCTTGCTCTGTCACCCAGGCTGCAGTGCAGCGGCGTGATCTGGGCTCACTGCAAGCTCCGCCTCCTGGGTTCACGCCATTCTCCTGCCACAGCCTCCCGAGTAGCTGGGACTACAGGCGCCCACCACCACACCCACCTAATTTTTTGTATTTTTAGTAGAGACAGGGTTTCACCATGTTAGCCAGGATGGTCTCGATCTCCTGACCTCATGATCTGCCCGTCTCAGCCTCCCAAAGTGCTGGGATTACAGGCATGAGCCACCACGCCCAGCCCCCTCTTTTTTTTTTAGTTGGAGTCTTGCTCTGTCACCAGGCTGGAGTGTAGTGGCACAGTCTCAGCTCACTGCAAGCTCCGCCTCCCGGGTTCAAGTGATTCTCCCACCTCAGCCTCCCAAGTAGCTGGGACTACAGGTGCACACCACCACGCCCAGCTAATTTTTGTATTTTTAGTAGAGACGGGGTTTCACCATGTTGGCCAGGATGGTCTCGATCTCTTGACCTCATGATCTGCCTGCCTTGGCCTCTCAAAGTGCTGGGATTACAGGCATGAGCCACCGCGACCGGCCCTGGGCTTCCCTCTTTATCCAATCGGTACTCCTGGGCCTCCAGGTTCCCCTGACACCAGAGGGTCACAGGCCTCTCCCAGGTGATCACAGAGCCTGTCTCAGCCCATGGGGAGGGTTTGGGGAAGGGCCCTGAAATGGAACCAGAGGCTGGGTCCCAAGATCTCTTTCACTCCTGGTTCTCTAGTTTAGTCCAAAACCCCTCTCTGTTTTATCACCCTCAGCCCAGAACAACTGTGCCCCCCAACCTGAGAGCCCAGGGGCTGGAGTAAGAGGGAGGCTCGTGGAGAACCTGGTAGCCCCTTCTCCCTCCATCACTGACTGAGGCAGAGAAGCACGAACACCGTGATGCCTGCTCTGGGGGCTCCAGCTGTGGGAGAGGAGACCACAGGGCCCTCCAGGACAGACAGACACACGGATGTGGTCACTCAGAGCCTGCTGCTGCCCGTCCAGGTACCCACAGCTGTGGACCCACAGGAAGGGAAACTGCTTTTCCCTGGGCCTGGCTCTGGTTTTCCCTGGGTGGGGGAGCTCAGGAGGACCCCAGACTCTCTGGACACATGAGCCTCTGCTCCCCTCCCCTGCCCCAGGTCACCGTCTCTGCTGCAGGTGGGACAGGACAGGCCCCTGTGGAATCGGGTCTGGGAGTTTCCCTGGGAGGCCTCCTCTCCCAGGAGGTCACAGCTGGGAGTCAGAGCTGAAAGGAACTTTCCCACCCGCAGGCCTCTCTCCTTTACACTTGGAGAAACTGAGGCCCAGGCAGAGGAGGGGCCTGTCCACATCACCACCTCCAGAGGAGCCTCAAACCGATGACAGAACCCACCCCTGCCTCCCCTGGACCCCGCCCACCTCCCACTCAAAGCCCCTCACTTAGCACTGTGGGGGCCTGACGTTGTGGGGGTGAGGGGCTGGTCCTTAGGGCCTGCTGGGTCAGGATGGGGAGGTGAGGGCTGGGGCTGCCCTGCTCCCCACGTCAGCCCGGCTGCTCCTCCCCCAGGCTGGGCCCCAACATCTCCCTCTGCCTCGACCCCCGCCCCTCACCAGCCCAGCCTCAGAGCCCCGGGGAGCCTGTGGCCCCTCCTCTGGCTCTGCCTCAGCTCCCTGGAGGGAAGCTCGTGCTTGAGTCCTTGAGGGGAATGGGATCATCTGGGAGACTCAGGACTGCCCTGGGGGAGGCCACCCTCCCTCTGAGCCCAGAGGCCTCAATGACTCACCAGGTATGGAGAAGGAGCCTATGGGTGGAGGGCTGGGGCCCCTGGAGGGTCCTGGGAAGGAGCACAGAAAGGGAGTGAGGAATTGGAGCTATCCTGGAGTCCCCACCTCCACTCAAAGCTCTCCTCTCCATCTGCCCAGTGGCCTCTCCAAGACCCTCCCTCTTCCCACCTAGCACCTTCTGGACTCCAGGTGAAGGAGAAGAGGGAGAACTCCTGTTGGCTTCTTCTCCTCTGAGGGGTGAATTCCTCTGTGGCTGAGTCTCCCTCAGAGCCCCCTTCACTCCATCTCTGCCCAGAGCTCTCCTGGGGGCAGGGCCTGAGCTGAGTCTTTGAACTTAGAGAGGACAGGGTCAGGGCCTTTCACCCAAGACCACCAGCTCCGACTGCGGTGTGATAGCAGGTAGGGGGAGGTGCAGTCATGTGAGAATCTTGAAGGTGCCCATGAAGGGAGTGTTTATACCACAGTCATCAACAAATTCCACAAATAAATGCTTTTTAGAAAACTTTTTTGTTGTTGTTCAGGAAGCCAGTCTATGCGCACAACAGCAGGCTTTTCCATCAAACACTTCTCTTTTGATTCCTAGTGACTGTATCTCTGGAGAAACTACAGATGAAGAGTGACAGGTGGTACAGCATCACTTTGAACTTAAATTTTCCAAACACGAATCTGATTTTTGCCCATGGATTTAATTATCAAAAGCAAATTCCATGTTATGAGCTGAAGAGATAGTCCCAGTAATACACATTAGAAAATGCAGTAGTTAGAAATAAAGAAAGGTGTATTACCTGAAAGTGGAGCAGAGCATGAGGTCACAGAGGGGCGGACCCAAACCCACCATAGGGGTGAAGCCTTACATCATAGGGAAGAAAAACGAAGGAAGGGGCAGTCAAGGAGAGTCGACAATGAGGAGGAAAGCACCACAGTTTAATGGAGGAAGCATCTTCTACAGACACCCAGACATCTTCCTGCACCTGACCCATGCTTCTTCCCCTTGATATTCTCAGCAGACACTTCCCCAACTGCTGCCCCAGTCTTCCAGAACCTCCTCAGATCATCAGATCTGTTCCCAAGGCTCCACCACTCTGAAGGGTGCATTGTCCTTTCTGCTGTTTGCCTCCTGGCTGCACCTTGGGGGGCTTCTCTGGCTGTGCTGAGCCTCAAATAACAGAATCCCGAGGAACAGCAGGACCAAGCCAGCCACACCCATGCGGATGAGATTCTCCACTGTGTAATCCTGGAGGTGTGGGGCTAGGGATGGTGGACAAAGAGGTCACAGAGGTCAGGGCAGATCACAATTACCAAAGACCCCTGGATGTCCACCCAGGGTACCCACCTCCCCTTGACAGGACCTGACCCTCTGTGCCCAGCCCCATAACTGGGAGAATCTCCTCACTCACCAGTCTTGGAATCTGACTTCTTTTGTGCTGGATTGAGGGTCTCAGTTGCTCCTAAGAATCAAAGAATAAGGATGTTGGTGAGAAGCTGAAGAGCCTCTCCCCTGGGCAATGCATTCTTATATTCCTCCACCTCTCATGGTGTGACTTTATGTAGATCCTTAGTGAACACATTCTCTGCTCTCACAGGCCTCCCCTGGTACGTCATTGGGTTTTTCAACCTCTCTGTGCTCTGGGAATTCAGATCTTGTGCCTGAGTCACTTTGAAACAAAGTTTACTTGAGCCCAGGAGCTCAGGATTAGTAAGAAGAATGATCCCCCAACTAGAAAGAATTGAGCTCTTGTGTGCTGTCTTGGATGTGCAATCTTGTGCAACAAGAACACAACAACTAATTCCCCCAGAGACAGAAATTTCCATTTTTCAGTGGATGAGGACCCAGTCTCTGTGGATGAGGAGTTGGTCCTCAGTCACTCTTGGAAGTCAGGAGCACAAGCAAGGGCTGGAGGCTGCAACGGCCCCCACTGTGTGCGCCTCAGACAGCTCCCCTGTGGTTTCATCATCCATTTAATGTCTTGTTAACTAATTCTTCATATAGTTAGGAAACCTACAATGTGATATGCTTAAATATGAAAATGTATTCTTTTCTAAATGATAATGACTAAGTGGGACAGAAAAACATCATTTCTGCTTTTTTGAAGTATGAACCTAGATTGGAAGGTGAAAAGCAAATATTTAAAAACATACCCGAACTTAAAGTAAAATAAAAAATAAAGGCCAGGCGCGGTGGTTCACGCCTGTAATCCCAGCACTTTGGGAGGCTGAGGCGGGCGGATCACAAGGTCAGGAGACTGAGACCATCCTGGCTAACACGGTGAAACCCCATCTCTACTAAAAATACAAAAAAAAAAAAAAATTAGCCTGGCATGGTGGTGGGCTCCTGTAGTCCCAGCTACTTGAGAGGATGAGGCAGGAGAATGGCGTGAACCCCAGAGGCGGAGCTTGCAGTGAGCCGAGATCGCACCACTGCACTCCAGCCTGGGCGACAGAGTGAGACTCCGTCTCAAAAAAAATAAAATAAAATAAAATAATAATAAAAAATAAAAACAAATAAATATTTAAAAATCTGATGAAAAATATTAAGCACAGGATTGAATACTTGAATATATGTTTGTGTCTATATATGTACATAGCACATATATTCATATAAAATATATGTGATTAACATGGTTTATAAAATATATGTGATTAACATGCTTTGCATTTGTGTCTCTCTCAAATCTCATGTTGAATTGTAATCCCCAATGTTGGAGGAGAGGCCCAGTGGGAGGTGATTGGCTTCCCCCTGGCTGCTCTCATGATAGTGAGTTGTCACGAGATCTTGTTATTTAAAAGTGGGTAGCACCTCCCCCTTCTCTGTCTTCCTCCTATTCCAGCCATAGAAGAAGTTCCTGCTTTCCCTCCGCCTTCTGCCATGATTGTAAGTTTCCCGAGGCCTCCCCAGCCAGGCTTCCTGTATGGCCTGTGGAACCGTGAGTTAATTAAACCTCTTTCCTTTATAAATTACCCAGTCTCAGGTAGGTTTTTGTTTGTTTGTTTGTTTGTTTTTGAGACGGAGTCTTGCTCTGTCCCCCAGGCTGGAGTGCAGTGGTGCGATCTCAGCTCACTGCAGCCTCTGCCTCTGGGTTCCAGCGATTCTCCTGCCTCAGCCTCCAAGGCAGTTGGGATTCAGGTACCCGCCACCATGCCCAGCTAATTTTTGTATTTTTAGTAGAGATAGGGTTTCGCCATGTTGGCCAGGCTGGTCTTTCATTCCTGACCTCAGGTGATCGGCCCACCTCGGCCTCCCAAAGTGCTGGGATTACAGGCGTGAGCCATCGTGCCCGGCCTCAGGTAGTTCTTTACAGCAGTGTGAGAACAGATGAATACAATGATTATAGATACATATGTATACGTGGCTTTAGATATTTGTTTTTAAAGTATATATGTAACTACGTATATATTCATATTTGAGATGAGAAAGATGGGCTTACAATTTGGAAATATAAACGTGAAATTTCCAATTTTTTATGGCTGATATAAACATCAGCCCCAGCATCTTCCCCTTGTCCATGTCAGGCCTGGACCCCCGGACCCCAAATCCCGCTCAGGTAGGGGAGGACAGACCTGACTCCTCCACCTATCATTGCTGCTCCCTTCTTCCTGCCTGGTTCTAGGACACCTCCCTCCCCTCTGACCACCACAGAGGGAACACCTGCTCCATCCTCAGAGCCCCAGGAAGCCACGTGGACCACGCCCTTATTGTCCACTCTCCCCTCTGTTCCTCTGAGGAACAGACCCCTTTCCTGAATATTGGAGATAAGGTTGAGATGAGTCTAGAATATTATACTGGGTCAGAGTAACTGCGCTTTCATCTCCCACGGGGTCAGGACTTAGAGGCTGGGGACACCCAGATGTTGATTCTGAGATGGAGACATCAGGAAGGGAGCAGGTGGGGCCTCCGTCTTCCACCCTCAGTCTAATCTCATCTCCTCCAAGGCTCACCCCCACCTGCTTGCAGCCCTCTCCACTCTTTACCCTACTGAGACTTCAGGGGTGGGAGCCCAGGGTGGGAAGTCCTCATCTATTTCCACACTCCCATAGGCTGGACCTTCCCCTCGGTGGGAGGTTCCCATGTATTTCCACCCTTCCATGGGCTGGGCCCTCCCCTGTGGACCCTCCCCCTTCACTGTCCTGTTTTCTTAGTGTCCTGAACTCTCCTGGGGGCAGGGCCTGAGCTGAGAGAGGCTCAGGGCTCACAAAGGCCGGGGCTGATGGAGGAAGAAGTGGGGCAGCAAGTGAGACAGACAGACGGACACTCTCTTGGAAGCTCTCCTTTTTCATTTCCAAGAACCCCTTTGAGCTCAGAGTGGACAGGGTCAGCGCCCTCACCTGAGACCACGAGCTCCAGGGGCTCACTGGGGTGAGACAGCAGGTAGGGGTTGGAGCTGCGTGAGCCGTAGCACCTGTAGGTCCCCGCGTGGGCTGAGGTCACAGGACTCATGGGGAATTCAGCCTGGTACTTATGAGCTCCGTACATTGATCTCAGACGCAACGGGGGATGGGCTGCCCCCTCCTTGGTCAGAAGGAAAGTGAACATCGGGTCCCATGACTGACACAGCAGGGTCACCTTCTCTCCTGAGGTCACCGTGGGGCCCGGCTGCACTGAGAGGGAGGGTCTGTCAGAGATCTGTCCTGGAGAAAAGAAGGACGGGTGAGGGGCTGCCCCACCTTGTTCTGAGCTGAGACCTCCCCACCAGTCCTCTCCCTGGGACCCTCAGTCTGTCCCTGTTTTCTCTGAGTCTCCCCCTCCCCGCCCATCCCCTGTCTCTGTCTGTCTCTCCCTCCCTTAGGACCCCCACCCCTCATCCCGGCCATCACCACCTGGGCTCCCCCAGCAGGGCCTGTGCAGAGCCTGGGTCCCCCTGACTGAACCCGCTGGGCTCCTCACCTGCGATCAGGATATCCAGGGGGTCACTGGGGGCCGACCACTCGGAGGAGACGTTGTGTGCGCCGTAGCATCTGTACTGGCCCCCGTAGGAGCGGCTCACAGGGCTCAGGGTGAAGTTGGCCTGGGAGAGCCCAGCCTGGGGCTGCCGGCCAGGGCGCTGGGGGAGGCCATCGGCCCCCTCCTTGTACAGAGTGTATCTGATGTAGCCGACATCAGAGCCACACTGGAGGGTCAGATTCTCTCCGGGGGTCACGACAGGGCCCTGCAGGGTCAGGAGGGAGGGCTTCCTAGACACGCCTGGAGGGAAAGATGAGTTGGGACTCGGAGCGGCTGGTTCCTCCTGCGCCCCTTCCTTCTGTAGCCTTCCTCACTAGGGTTTCCAGCGTCCTTGTTTTTTTCTCATTCTGTATTTGTGTCCCCAGGGCCCCCATCTTCCCCTCATCTTTTCTTCTTGCGTGGGCTAGCCCGAGGGTAAGGCTCCCAACAGCTCACCTGGTGCCCTGACTTTGTATAAGGAAAAGCTACGGCTTCCTCACCTGACACCAGTAGCTGCAGGGGGTCACTGGGTTCCGACCACACGTATGGGGTGTTGTTTTCATAGCCGTAGCATCTGAATGTACCCCTGTTGCTGAAGGTCAGGGGGCCCATGGGGAACAGGGCCTGGAACTTTCCATGGTTGTGTTGGTGTGAGTTCAGGGTCCAGGAGAGCCTGTGGTCTCCTTCCTCAATCAGAGTGAACCTGCCCAGTCCCAGCCGTGAGGCACACCGGAGGGTCACGTTCACTCCTGAGGTCACCACAGGGCTTGGCAGTGCGGACAGGGTGGGTCTGCTGTAGGCTTTCAAGAGAAAAAAAGGCAGCCGTGTTTAAATGGGGCTCACACCTCCCACCTTATCCTACAAGGCTGGGCTGTGAGAAGGGAGACCCCTCGAGAGCTGAGAGCCGACCCCCTTCCCGAGGGCAGAGCCTGGGGCTGGGACCCCTGAGTGTCCTCTCACCTGTCACCACCAGCTCCAGGGGGTCGCTGGGCTCTGACCAGCCTGCAGGGCTCTGATAGTAACAGTGATATCGCCCTGCATGTTCCCACATCATGGATGGGATGGAGAGTTTGACCTTGTTTTCAGACTCCAGTGTTTTTAATATGTGCCTCGACATTGAGTTTCCCTCTTTATCCAGACGGTACCCCTGGGCCTCCAGGGTGCCCTGACACCAGATGGTCACGGGGTTATGCCAGGTGATCACGGGACCTGGCTCGGCCCACAGGATGGGTTTGAGTAGGTTTTCTGGAAGGAAATTACAGGTTAGGTCCCAAGATGTCCTCAACCCTCAGATCCCAGCTCTCAGCCCCAGGACCCCCCTCATCCCCATCAGTCAGCCCAGAACTGCTGTCTTCACCCCCAGCTGCCCAGGGGTGGTCCCTTGTCCCCAGAGAGGAGGAGGGACCTAGGACAGCTGGGGACAGACTCACCTGCCTGCACCCGGGTCCTGGGGCCCAGGCTCAGCCCTGGAAGAGAGTTCCCTGTGAGAGATTTGCCTCCGAAGCCTGAGCAGGTCTTCTTCTTTTCCTTGAGCCCCTGGGATGCCCTAATTGACTAAGGCATGGCTATGGATTGGGGTCTCTCTCCTAGACTAGGGTCTCTCCTCCCCCTCTTAAGATCTCACCAAAGAAGAGCAGGCTTGTGAGAATGAGGGTCATGGCATCTCCTCCTCCTGGCCCTGGCTGTGCAGGCAGGTGTGGCCACGGTGCCCGTAGACACAGACAGACACATGGTGTGCGGGCACACGGAGGCTGGGTCCTCCCCATCACGAGGTTGTCCCATCAGCACACCGACAGAAAGAGGAACTGCCCCTCCCCAGGACCCTGGCTCTCATTTCCCAGGGCTTGTCCTGGGGGTGAGCACCAGGCTCTCTGCCGATATTTCAGACACAAATGGGGATTCACAAGGGGGTCGTTAAGAAGGACATTTTCGGCCGGGCGCTGTGGCTCACAGCTGTCATCCCAGCACTTTGGGAGGCCAAGGTGGGTGGATCACTTGAGGTCAGGAGTTCGAGACCAGCCTGGCCAACATGGCAAAACCCCGTGTCTACTAAAAATACAAAAATGAGCCGGTCGTGGTGGCACATGCCTGTTATCCCAGCTACTCGGGAGGCTAAGGCGGGAGAATCACTTGAACTCCGGAGGCAGAGGCTGCAGTGAGCCGAGATCACGCCATTGCCTTCCAGCCTGGGCAACAAGAACAAAACTCTATCTCAAAAAAAAAAAAAAAAAAGGACGTTTCCATCTCTGTGTGGCACAGAAAAGGAAGTCCAGGGTCCTCACAGACAGGGAGGAACCTAGGGCTCCAGGTGAAAGTGAGACGCTGTGGCTGCCCCTCTTCTGTGTTTGCACATGGGCACTGCCATCTCTCTGCTTCCTTGTGGGAGCCATGAGGGGCAGAAAGAGGAACTGCCCCTCCCCAGGAGCTTGGCTCTCATTTCCCCAGGGCTTGTCCTGGGCGTGAACACCAGGCTCTCTAGAGATATTACAGACAGAAATGGGCTCTCCCCTCACTTTGGCTGCGTCTATCTAATCTGTCCTCATCTCACCAAGGGCCAGGATGTAGCAGCAAACAGACCCGGTGCCTTCTTGATTCAGCCCCTTCCAGGTGAGAGGGACTGATGGTTCCTCCTTCCCTCTCAGAGCCTCCCCATGGAGGAGGCTCCATCTCCCCTGTGTGTGTGTGAAAAACAGGCTGTCTGTGGTATTGTCACACCTGGACATCTGTCCCACACGTGAGTGGGAGGTCACATTGGACTCCGCCTTGCCAGCCACAACTTTGGGCAGATGCTAAGTTTGGAAGAGTTGATGCTCCTGGACAGGAGCAGCTGTAACCACCCGCTCTGGACAGGCCTGATTTCTGAGTCGTCTCTGGGAGAAATGTTCTTTGTAAGATCATGTGCATGGGGGTAGATGGACAGCATGCAGTGTATTTGAGAAGAGATAGACAACTAGAAATTATGTAGGCAGATGTGGCTGTGGTGAAAATAGTAGGTAGAATTAACACACTTAAAAATCAATTCTATGGCCGGGCACGGTGGCTCGCACCTGTAATCCCAGCACTTTGGGAGGCCCAGGCGGGCAGATCACTTGAGGTCAGGAGTTCAAGACCAGCCTGGCCAACATGGTGAAACCCCGTCTCTATACTAAAAATAACAAAAATTAGGCTCATTTTTGAATCCCCTTAAACATTACCAGCCCCTAAATGTCTGCTCTATGGATTCTTCTTTGAATTCAGTATTAACATCTTTCCCGTTCCCTCGTTAATAGTAAGCTAAATAAAAACTTGTGTCCATTTTATCCTTCTAGAAGAGCAATTTTTTTTTACCTTTTTGAAAAAAAAAACTTTACCAAAATATATTTAAGATCAAGAATGCTGGTCATAAGCTGTGAAAATCTATGTCTTGTCTTAATCATTCCATCAGCATAAAAAATGTAGCAATGCATGTGAAGTGTTGGTTCCAGGCAAACCTGCTTAAGACTCAATGTTCAAGGTTGTTATTAGGTGGGGGCCATATAGGCATAATGGTCAGTCACAGGGAAACCAGGGAAAAGCTGCTGTTCATCAGCATTTTTTTTTTTTTACAAACTCATCAACAGTGAGCTACATTGTTTGCGGAAATGGCCTAGTCAAGACACAGTAGAATTCAGTGCTGCAGTCACACAACACCAGCTTATCTCTTAGGAACATAGGGAACATTCCAGGAGCCATGTTTAGGAACTAGATGCCAGCTAAGGACCAACTTTACAAGCAAACTCTCCCAACGTTATCACCCTTGCAGCTGTGAGATTAACTCGTTCTTGCACACCCTGTACCTGAAAAAAATAATAGTCCTCTTGAATGCAGCAGCACCTTGTTCACCCGGAACATGCCTCCGCTCCTCCAGATTCTTCCCGCCCTATCTCAGTTTTTTTCTGCAGATTCTCCAAGGTTCTGCAAACTGTAAGCAGTAAATCCACACTCAACTTGAGTTTTCATGAGGGAAGCCGTCTGGGGCCTTCTCTGGCTGTGCTGAGCCTGAACGAGCATCCCCCAGAGGCCACCGGGATCAACACAGCATGGTCATTGGGATGAGATTCTCCATGGCAGAGGCTGGAGGGGCGTGGTCAGTAGACAGAATGGAGCATTTGCTGAGGGCTAGACTGGCCACACTCACCTCGGAAGCCCTGGATGGGTGTTTACACATCTACACTCTGGAAAGGGGAGTCCCAGTTATTCCTCACTATGGGTCTATACTTGGTGGAGGTTGGTTGAGAGGATCAGGGACTCTGTATGCGTCTGTTCTCACTCTGCTATGAAGAACTACCCAAGACTGGGTAATTTATAAGAAAAGACGTTTAATTGACTCACAGTTCCATATGTCTGGGGAGGCCTCATGAAACTTACAATCATGGTGGAAGGCACCTCTTATTGGGCGGCAGGAGAGAGAATGAGAGTGGAGCGAAGGGGGAAGCCCCTTATAAAACCATTAGATCTCATGAGAACTCACTCATTATCACGAGAACAGTACAGGGGAAACCGCCCCCATGATTCAATAATCTCCACCTGGTCCTGCCCTTGACATGTGGGGATTATTATAATCCAAGGTGGGATTTGGGTGGAGACACAGAACCGAACCATATCAGACACCTATGAATAAGAATGAGGTGGGGCATGAGTAGCCAGACCACCATTGTATCCCCCGACCAGGGCGTATAACCCACCATTGTATCCCCCGACCAGGGCACGTAACCCACCATTGTATCCTCCCCACCTCCAGGGCATGTAACCCACCACTGTATCCCCCCACCAGGGTGTGTAACCCACCATTTTATCCCCCTCAGGGTGTGTAACCCACCATTGTATCCCCCTCCAGGGCCTGTAACCCACTATGCCCTGGCTCCTTCACAACTCTCCTCCCTTCTCATGGGAGAATTGTATGAGATCCTTGCTGACCCCAACTCCCAGCTTGGGCTTAGAACCCTATGGTCCCTTCCTCAAATATGTTCAGGTTCCTGGGCCTTGTTGAAGTCACAGACAACTTCTCAGCTGCAGAGATATTGCGGGTTTGGTTTTACAACAACTCAGGGACAGAGGACAAAAATCTCCAACCTCTGGAATGCTTAACTCTGCTATTCCCTGGTCTCAGATTAGTCCCAAAATTAGTTAAACCTAAGCCTCACGCTTTGACCTCTAGTAATGCGTCAGCTGTCAGTATGGAATCCATAGATCTGCATGTGGGGCTCCTGGTGTCCCAGGGCCAGGAATATGAAGCAGCCAAAGGCTGTGACTGCCTTTTCTTTTCTTTCTTTCTTTCTTTTTTTTTCTGAGATGGAGTCTCGCTCTGTTGCCCAGGCTGGAGTGCAGTGGTGCAATCTCAGCTCACTGCAAGCTCCGCATCCCGGGGTCACGCCATTCTCCTGCCTCAGCCTCCTGAGTAGCTGGGACTACAGGCGCCCGCCACCATGCCTGGCTAATTTTTTGTATTTTTAGTAGAGACGGGGTTTCACCGTGTTAGCCAGGATGGTCTTGATCTCCTGACCTTGTGATCTACCCACCTCTGCCTCCCAAAGTGCTGGGATTACAGGTGTGAGCCACTGTGCCTGGCCTTATTTTTTTTTTGGTCAGGGAGTCTTGCTCTGTCGCCCAGGCTGGAGTGCGGTGGTGCGATCTCAGCTCACTGCAACCTCCGCCTCCCGGGTTCAAGCGATTCTGCTGCCTCAGCCTCCTGAGTAGCTGGGACTACAGGCATGTGCCACCATGCCTGACTAATTTTCTGTATTTTTAGTACAGATGGGACTTCATGTTAGCCAGGATGGTCTCGATCTCCTGACCCCATTATCCGCTTGCCTCGGCCCCCCAAAGTGCTGGGATTACAGGCCTGAGCCCGGCCCCCTTTTCTTTTTTTGTACCTCACTCAGCTCTCTGCATTCTCTGGTTCAACTTAATAGTACTACTAATAACCCAAGTAATAATCTCACTATTCTTCTGTCCATTTATCTGTTTTGTTTTACAATTAATGAGAGAATAGTCATAGATTCCAAGTAACTTTTTCAGGAATAAGAAACACTATAGTGAACAAAACCTCCCATTGTTCATTCAATTTGTAATAGAAATGGAGAAAGTCAGATGAATTAAGCAAAAATACAAAAGAGATGAACTATTATTTAAAAACAACACACAGAGGCATAAATGCACAAAATTTAAGCCACCTAGAGGTCTTGAATGTGTGTTGCCCTTATAAAAAAAAAAAAAAACAGTGCCAGCCTGGCCAACATGGCGAAACCCCATCTCTACTAAAAACACAAAAATTAGTTGGGTCTGGTGGTGTGCACCTGTAATCCCAGCTACTCAGGAGGCTGAGGCAGGAGAATCGCTTGAATCCAGGAGGGAGAGATTGCAGTGAGCCGAGATCTTGCCACTGCACTCCATGCTGGGTGACAGAGGGAGACTCTGTTAAAAAACAAAACAAAAACAAACAAACAAAAAAAAGCAGTGAGTACTAGGGGCAAAGATCACTTAACCCAGTTTGTCATTAAAAAAAATGTTTTTGAGGATGTGACAGGTTAGGTAAAGACTGAACAATGAGCAAGAGGAGGATCCAGAAAGGTAATATTGCCCAACATAGGAGCAGATGATTGCGGTATTTTGATACCAGAAAATGCAGAAATGTTCCTAGTGTGTCTAAAATGTATATGAGAATGAGGAAACGGAAAAAGTGGTACAGAGCTGTATTTCCAGATGTGCAAACAGACGTATGAACATCGACATGTGCAATCAATTGTTAACTGAAAATCAATACAGAAATAAAGTGAGAAATAAAAACACTTATCTGCAATACAGCCATGAGTCTCAGAGCACGGCGTGTGGAGAAATGTACATACACGGGGTGTCTCTGAGAGGAAACAGAATAAAGAGGTACTTGATTGCCTCTGGAGATGGAAATTGAGAAGATGGGAGCAAGGATCACCTCTATGCCCGTTGGTAAATATATGTTTGTGTGTGTGTTTCTTTTTTTTGAGGGAACAAGGATCACCTGTGTGCCCACTGGTAAATATATTTGTGTGTGAGTTTTTTGTTTTGTTTTGTTTTTGTTGTTGTTGTTGTTTGTTTGTTTTTTTAGATGAAGTCTGACTCTTATTGCCCAGGCTGGAGTGCAGTGGTGTAGCGCGATCTTGGCTCACTGCAACCTCTGCCTCCCAGGTTCAAGTGCTTCTCCTGCCTCACCTCCGGAGTAGCTGGGATTACAGGTGCCCGCCACCACGCCCAGCTAATTTTTTGTATTTTTAGTAGAGACGGGGTTTCACTATGTTGGCCAGGCTGGTCTCAAACTCCTGACCTCAGGTGATCCACCCTCTTTGGCTTCCCAAAGTGCTGGGATTACAGGCATGAGTGAGCCCGCACCCGGCCTGTATTTTTTTGTTTGTTTGTTTTTTTTCAGTAGAGATGGGGTTTCACCATGTTATCCAGGCTGGTCTTGAACTCCTGACCTCAGGTGATCTGCCCACCTCGGCCTCCCAAAGTGCTGGGATTACAGGCGTGAGCCACCGTACCTGACCCCAACTTTTTTTTTTAATCAAGTGAGTGAGAAGAGGATTCATCTTTTCTTCAAGCCTCAGAAGTCCAGGTGATGATTCTGGTTAGAAAGAGCTGTCCGTGGTCGGGTGCGGTGGCTCACGCCTGTAATCCCAGCACTTGGGGAGGCCGAGGCAGGTGGATCATGAGGTCAGGAGTTCAAGACCAGCCTGGCCAAGAAGGTGAAACCCCGTCTCTCCTAAAAATATGAAAAGTAGCCAGGCGTGGTGGCGGGCACCTGTAATCCCAGCTTCTGGGGAGGCTGAGGGAGATAATTGCTTGAGCTCAGGAAGCGGAGTTTGCAGTGAGCCGAGATCGCGCCACTGCATTCCAACCTGGGTGACAGAGCGAGACTCTGTCTCAAAAAAAAAAAAAAGAAAGAAAGAAAAAAAAAAAGAAAGAAAGAGCTGTCCGGAGTTAAATTCAGACCAGAGGCTGGGCGCGGTGTCTCGTGCCTGTAATCCCAGCAACTTGGGAGGCCGAGGCGGGCGGATCACAAGGTCAGGGGATCGAGACCATCCTGGCTAACACAGGGAAACCCCGTCTCTACTAAAAATACAAAAAATTAGCCGGGCGTGGTGGCTGGTGCCTGTAGTCCCAGCTACTCGGGAGGCTGAGGTAGGAGAATGGCATGAACCCAGGAGGCAGAGCTTGCAGTGAGCCGAGATCGCGCCACTGCACTCCAGCCTGGGCGACAGAGCAAGACCCCGTCTCAAAAACAAACAAACAAACAAAAAAAAAACCAAAAAAACACACAAAAACAAATCCAGACCAGCAGTGATTTTCCCTAAAATGAGAATCCTGAGATAGGAGCTTCCGTACTCATCACAATTGGAGTCAACTTTCACGCAGACCTCAAGGTGTCCAAGTACTTTCCATATAAGTGTTGCTGCTAAAAATAAAATAATAATAATACAAACTCCAGGCCTCTTGGATTCTAAAAATGGGAGTTGTGTATCTCTTTTTTCTCCAAATTTAGCCTGGCCTCTCATGCTTGAGTTGTCTACAGCAGCTTCCATGAGTTCCCAGTGTGGTTGAAATCATAAATATGCCTTCTCTTTCATTTCCCTTTTTCACATCCCCAAACCCACGTGGTGGTTCAGCTGGGGAGCTATATTTCCTTGGGGAGGAAAGTAGCACAGTGGGTGTCATACCCAGGGGAGATTAACTTTCGGGTCCTGTAGTTGCCCCTACCAGGGTGAGAACCTGGTGCTCATAGAAACCTGCTCAGAAAATCGCTTTCTTGCTTTTGTTCCTTCCTCCACACAATGGCCACAGTTACTGGTGGAGACAAAATGTCTGGAGTGGACTGGAGTCCAAGAAAAGGTACATCGGGCATTTCCTCGCCTAGGAAGTCACTGGCACAGAAGTTCAGAAATGAGCGAGATTTTGAAAACAAGAATAGGCCGGGTGCGGTGTCTCACGCCTGGAATCCCAGCACTTTGGGAGGCCGAGGCAGGCACATCCTCTGAGGTCAGGAGTTCAAGACCAGCCTGGTCAACATGGGAAAACCCTGTCTCTACCAAAAATAAAAAAAAATTAGCCGGGCGTGATGGTGCAGGGCTGTAATCCCAGCTACTCTAGAGGCTGAGATGGCAGATCTCTTGAACCCTGGAGGTGGAGGCTGCAGTGAGCCGAGATCGCGCCACTGCACTCCAGCCTGGTAGACAGAGCAAGACTCCGTCTCAAATAAATAAATAAATAAATAAATAATTAAAACATAAAAAAATAAAAATTTTCTCGGGGAGCTGACTATGAGAAGGCAGAAATATGTTAATATCTCCAGGTGTCTGTCTGGGGTGTGGTGGGTGGGAAAAAGGCGGAAGTGGTTTCCTGTAATGAATTTGCTCTGTAGGAAGGAGCCATGTTTTTTGGCGCTGGGGATGTTAACTTAGTCCTGGTCATCAACAACATGAACATCAGGCAGAGATACTTGTGTCTTACTTGGAGGAAGATTCAGACCCGGAGAAGGATTTTGATCAGGGAAGAGTCAGCTACAGATAAGGTTGGGGCTATGAGAATAATAGATGTCAGCCTGGAGTGAGGGTTTGGAGAAGAGGACCAGGAGGAGGCTGATGTGGTGGCACAGACAGGCTGTCTTCAGTCTCCAGTGAGCTTGCACTGTGGGAATGGACCCGGGGACGTGGGTGAGGAGGGCTCAAGGGTACAACTGCTTGGATTTGTTCACTGTATGTGAAACAAAAGTGAGTGAGCAACTAGGGTCTGTTTCACTCTCTGCCTTAGTTTACTGGAGGAACGAATGGTGTCATCCCAGGATGAATGATCCCGGGGAAGAACCAGGCTAGGGAGATATTTATAAGGCTGTTCACGGAGTGCAGAGGAAGCACTGTCTCCCTCCTGGCCCTGCTGTCTAGTTTTGTTTCTCCCAAGCACTTCTTCCCTCCGACTTTCTTAATTCTATAAGTAGCAGCACCAGAACGCGATCATGTCTGTTGCAGAGATGTGAATGGAGCTGGAGGTCATTATCCTTAGTAAACAAACACAGGAACAGAAAACCAAATACCACATGTTCTCACTTATAAGTGGGAACTCCATCAAATCTCCAAGTCATTTACAACCTCTTCTTCCCCTGTCCATAACTCTTCATTTGATACCGTGAATTCTGTCTCCATGCTTTGGGCCAAAGCATTCACTGGAAGAAATTCCCAAGCTTTGGTTTAAGGCATGAGGGTTCATACTTACTGTCAGTTGACCTTCAGCAGGTGACATCCTCCCCTGCCCCATCCATTTTCCTCGTTGTAGGAAGATGGTAATTAACCCTCCCGTCAAGTTTTTTTGTTTTGTTTTTTGTTTTTTTTTTTCCTGACAGCGTCTCATGCTGTCACCCAGGCTGGAGTGCAATGGCACGATCTCTGCTCACTGCAACCTTGACTTCTTGGGTTCAAGCGATTCTCCTGCCTCAGCCTCCTGGGTAGCTGGGATTACAGGCATGCACCACTGCCAAGCGTGTCCATGTGAAGAGACCAGCAAACAGGCTTTGTATGAGCAATAAAGCTTTTAATTCACCTGGGTGCAGGTGGACTGAGTCTGAGAAAGGAGTCAGCGAAGGGAGATGGGGAAGGGGTTGCTTTATAGGAGTTGGGTAGGTGATGGAAAATTACGGTAAAAGGTGGTCATCTATTGTTGGCAGAGGAGGAGGTCACAAGGTACCTGGTGGGGACATCGTAAGACTTATTATCCAGAAGAAGAATGTCACAAAGTTGATTGATCGGTTAAGGTGGGGCAGGGACAAGTCACAATGGTGGAATGTCGTAATGTTGGTTAATCAGTTAAGGCAGGAACTGGCTGTTTTACTTCTTTTGTGGTTTTTCGGCTGCCCCAGACTTCTTGGCTCCTTCAGGCCATCTGGGTGTATATGTGCAGGTCACAGGGGTTACAATAGCTGAGCTTCAGCTCAGAGGCCTGACAACCACCACACTGGCCAATTTTCTTTTTTTTTAAATTTTTAGTAGAGACAGGGTTTCACCATGTTGGCCAGGCTGGTCTTGGACTCCTGACTTCAGGTGATCTGCTCGCCTTGGCCTCCCAAAGTGCTGGGATTACAGGCGTGAGCCACCATGCCTGACCTAAACCTTTAAAAGTGGATACTTGTGTGAGAGAGAGAAACCATGCAGAAGAGATTAAATAAAATTAGACGGATATAATTGTGTCTTGTTTCTTGTTTTGGTTTAGAAATATAAGTGTATTTTCTTGAATAGATATGATGCAAAAATATTTTTAAATATAACTCATAAACTTAAAGATAAAACCTAAAGAAAAAGAAAATGCGGTAAAACAGGTGGGAGGGGAAGCAGGAAAGGCAGGCACACTCGTGTAACTATGATTGAAAGAAAATCTGTATACAAGTGGACCTGCACAGTTCAAACCTGTGGAGTTCAAAGCTCAACTGTATGTTACTGCAAATGATTATAAGTGCTGTTATAGAAACATTCAAAGACCAGAAAAGGACCACAATGGCTGACCACACATAGCCAGGAAGAGCTTCTCCCACCGAGAGACCAGGCCATCAAGAAGACCAGAATGCTCTGGGCAGATCTTCTGAAAGAGGGCGCTGAGGGTGGATGGAGAGAGGACACAGATCCTGAGGATGGATGGAGGGAGGACACAGATCCTGAGGATGCATGGAGGGAGGACACAGATCCTGAGGATGGATGGAGGGAGGAAACAGATCCTGAGGGTGGATGGATGGATGGAGGACACAGATCCTGAGGGTGGATGGATGGAGGGAGGACACAGATCCTGAGGGTGGATGGAGGGAGGACACAGATCCTGAGGATGGATGAAGGGAGGACACAGATCCTGAGGGTGGATGGAGGGAGGACACAGATCCTGAGGATGCGTGGAGGGAGGACACAGATCCTGAGGATGGATGGAGGGAGGACGTAGATCCTGAGGGTGGATGGAGGGAGGACGCAGATCCTGAGGGTGGATGGATGGAGGACGCAGATCCTGAGGATGGATGGAGGGAGGATGCAGATCCTGAGGGTGGACGGATGGAGGGAGGACACAGATCCTGAGGATGGATGGAGGGAGGACACAGATCCTGAGGATGGATGGAGGGAGGACGCAGATCCTGAGGATGGATGGAGGGAGGACGCAGATCCTGAGGGTGGATGGAGGGAGGACGCAGATCCTGAGGATGGATGGAGGGAGGACGCAGATCCTGAGGATGGATGGAGGGAGGACACAGATCCTGAGGATGCATGGAGGGAGGACACAGATCCTGAGGGTGGATGGAGGGAGGACACAGATCCTGAGGATGGATGGAGGGAGGACACAGATCCTGAGGATGCATGGAGGGAGCACACAGACCCTGAGGGTGGATGGATGGAGGACGCAGATCCTGAGGATGGATGGAGGGAGGACACAGATCCTGAGGATGCATGGAGGGAGGACACCACGCCCGGCTAATTTTTGTCTTTTTAATAGAGATGGGGTTTCACCATGTTGGCCAGGCTGGTCTCAAACTCCTGACCTCGTGATCCGCCCGCCTCAGTCTCCCAAAGTGCTGGGATTACAGGCGTGAGCCACCGCGCCTGGCCGGCTTTCTTAGTCATGTTTAATTTAACGAAAATTTTATAATGATCTGAAATGTAAATGGTTTTTAAAGAATTCAAATTAGGATTCATCAAAAATAGGACTGTCTTTATTGTTGAAAAACATTGTATTTCTTTAATAATGAACAACTTATTAAGTTATGATGTGATTTAACTGGTATGAAAATTTGGGAAATTAGAATCTTGGTAAAGTACAGATTAGTTAAAAGAAAAAGATGCTTTAGAAAAATCAAAGACATTTCCGAAAGAATGTACAATAATCAATAGCAGTTTGGCCCCAGTGTTATAGAGGATGGGGAGAAGGTGGAAGAATGAGAAAATAACACGCATTTCACGTAGTATATGTGCACAAATCTTTTTCTTTTGTTGCGAAGAAAATGTTTTATCACAACAAATGTAATAAATTTAGCAACTTTGTTCTGGAGATCAATCAATAAATCCAAATAGGAGAAGGAGGAGGGGTCTGTAAAAGCAGAAAGCAATTTCAGAAATGAATATATATAGTGTACTAAATAAATTGAGCTGGATGGTAAATAAAGGCAACAAGAAAATATCTGTGAATCCTAGACCAGCTGTGATGATGGCTCTGTATGCCCTTAAATAACGGCAATAATTCATGAAAAAATAAAGACCTTGTCCTTTCTTTATCAAAGTGATTTATTATTTATTTATTTATTTATTTATTTATTTATTTATTTTTTAGAGACAGAGTCTCGCTCTGTCACACCCAGGCTGGAGTGCAGTGGCTCGATCTCAGCTCACTGCAAGCTCCACTTCCTGGGTTCACGCCATTCTCCTGCCTCAGCCTCCCGAGTAGCTGGGACTACAGGCACCTGCCACCACGCCCGGCTAATTTTTTTGTATTCTTAGTATAGACGGGGTTTCACCGTGTTAGCCAGGATGGTCTCGATCTCCTGACCTCGTGATCCGCCCGCCTCAGCCTGCCAAAGTGCTGGGATTACAGGCGTGAGCCACTGCGCCCGGCCCAAAGTGATTTTTATGGAGGTACAATTTAGGACTAAATGAGGCACATTTTACTTCTTGGAACGGCAACAGGAAAATTCCCATCCCGCAGCTCTCACAACTCAGATCTTAGCAATTGGAACAGAACAGGTTGTCACTGCTGAAGGACCAAGCAGAACAACGGTTTCAGGAAGCTTTAGCTCTAAATCCCAGTAGATGTAGAGCAGGTGCAGAGCTCTGGGGACTCTCAAAGCACTTTTAACTCTGGTTAAGTGTCAGAATTGCATTTAGACATCAACACATTTATATTCCTTGATTCTTTCTTCTCCCTAAGCCTTAAACATATAGTCACCTTTTATCAAAAAGATATTTTATTTGTCTAAATGGAAGATATAGTTTACTTTCTTCACACAGATGCCAGAAATTTTCTATGAACGTAAAATCTTTGGTGCAATCAAGTGCATACTGCTTCCCAGATCCTACAAGAAAGGAGATTAAGGTGTAGAATTTTACACTCATCACAGAAAGTTTTCAGAGACTAACTGGCATCACCAACCAAAACACAACATGCTATCACCACAACTATTTTTAAATGTCTTAAGTAGTAGTTTCCATTGGACAGCAGGTGTGTAAGCAGGAGCCAAGAGTGAAACACGCTCTTGCTCCTCTTCCTAGCAAGAGAGCAAAGACTGTGAGGTTTGGTGTATTCATCCAGAGAGAGTGTTTTAAATGGGGCTATGACAGAGAAGGTAGACGAGGTGTTGGGCAGCCCTGGACACCCTCAGAAAATATCCCTTCTTCATGAATTTATTTTCTATGTTCAGTTTTACACTAAAAGGTAAAAAAAAGTTAAAAAAAAGAAAAAAAAAGTCCACCCTATAGTTTGTATAACAAACATTCTCACTTGTTCATGCTGTATTCAACGTCGAGCCCATTTTCTTTCCCCTACTACAAAATCCCACCGCTGGGGTCCTGGTACCTACAGTGATGGTTCTGAATAAAGCCCTCCTTACTCTGCTTTGATAAAGGTCACCGGGTAATCTTTCTCTCAACGCCTTGCCCAGCTGGCCCAGGGCTCCAAGAAAGGGAAGGCCAGACCCCTGGCCTCTGCCCTGGTTACTCACAGGGACATCTGTGAATATCTGCTGCTGCCCCATCTGGCCCCGGTGAGGCTGCTCCTCCCTTTCACGTTGGGCCCCACTGCAGCCTCCTGGTGTTCACCGCCAGGGCACACCCCAGGGGAACTGGGGTGGGATCATAAGCACAGGGTAGGCCCTCCCTCTCTGCCTGGCCACACTGCACTGCCAGGTGAATTAAACATGGCTCTTCCCCCAGGTGGTGCTTGGGGGCCCGTGCAGCAGGAGGGACATCTTCTCCGCACAGCAATGTTCCCAGATCTCACCACCCTGAGTTCTGGCCCCTGCGTTGGGCGGGTTGGCAAGTCAAGAGAAAAAACAAGCCCCTGCATCTAATTTTCTGTCTTCTCTCTGGGCCCTTCCTCTTTCCACTAATATGTCAAGAAATAACAGTGTGGTATTTTTGCTTAATTTCCCCTAAACTCTATCTGTCCTGCTTTCCACTGTGACCTCACCACCTGAACTTCCTGGACTTCCTTACACTGGAGCAGACACTGGCATCTGCTCAGCTCTCCTGTGCTCTGCAAGGGGTAGAAAAATTCACCCATCCTCTGCTATGTGCAGACTGTCCACCTTCTGCTATAGAGTTCATGTACCCACCTGTCAACCTCATAGTCAAACAAACAAGACGTTATGGGAGAAAACACCCAGCTGATGGTTGAAAAACAACCAGAGAAGAAAGACAGAGATGTAGAAAAAGAGACAAAGACGGCTGGACGCAGTGGCTCATGCCTGTAATCCCAGGACTTTGGGAGGCTGAGGTGGGCAGATCACCTGAGGTCGGGAGTTCAAGACCAGCCTGAGCAACATGGAGAGCCCCCCGTCTCTAACAAAAATACAAAAAATTAGCCGTGTGTGGTGGTGCATGCCTGTAATCCCAGCTGCTCAGGAGGCTGAGGCAGGAGAATCGCTTGAACCCGGGAGGCAGAGGTTGCAGTGAGCCAAGATTGTGCCATTGCACTCCAGCCTGGGCAACAAGAGCGAAACTCCATCTCAAAAAAAAAAAAAAAGAGAGAGAGAGACAGAGAGACACACAGTGAGAGAGAAAGACAGAAAGAGAGACAGGGACAGAGACAGACAGAGCAGGGAGAATGTGTCCCACGTGAAGAACAGGGAAAATCGGTCACAATGTTCACACAAGAAAGCAAAGATACAGAGTACAGCACTGGGAAGCAGATCCCAGGAGGAAATTAAACCTGAGCACAAATAGAAAATTAAAGCTCAGTACAAATTAAAATTGGGTAGGCCAGTCAGGTACCACCCTCTTTGAACCAGCACAGAAACCTCCCAGCAGACCGAGCTGCAGCCCATCCCGGGGTTCATAATGTGGAGTCAGGAGCCTCAGGTGGGTCTGAAGCCCCTGTCTCTGAGACTTGGCCGACCTTGGACAGGTTACTTCATGTCTCGGTCCATAGTTTCTGTTTTTATAAATGAGGAAAATAATAGAGCACGCTGTGGAGGGTTTGTAGGAGAATTTAATGTGTCCACGTTTGCCTAGAACTAAATTAGCAACTGCCCCATAGAAAGAGCTGGCTGAGTTTTTGCTGAATTCTTAAAAATCTTTCTTTTCTTTTCTTTTCTTTTTTGACGGAGTCTCGCTCTGTCGCCCAGGCTGGAGTGCAGTGGCACCACCTCGGCTCACTGCAAACTCCGCCTCCCGGGTTCACGCCATTCTCCTCCCTCAGCCTCCCGAGTAGCTGGGACTACAGGCACCCACCACCACACCCGGCTAATTTTTTTGTATTTTTAGTAGAGATGGGGTTTCACCGTGTTAGCCAGGATGGTCTCGATCTCCTGACCTCGTGATCCGCCCACCTCAGCCTCCCAAAGTGCTGGGATTACAGGCGTGAGCCTCCATGCCCGGCCTGTTTTTGTTTTTTAAAGACAAACACAGATTAACCCAAATGAGATTCTGCCGCCTCCTAGTGGTACATAGGGTAATTTTCTGTGTCAATCAGTACATCTGACCCTACAGGTAGGGTGGATACTCAGAAATGCCTCAACCAACAGCAGGCTCAGTGATTCCTTGGATTTCCTGGGGCGTGTGAGTGTATGTGCATGTCTGTGTGTGTGCGTGTGTGTATGCATGTGTGTGAGAGCATGCATTCCTGTGCATGTATGTGCAGATGTGGACCTGTAGGGTCGGCTCTCTGCCTTCACCCAGCCACACCTCCCTCATTCATTCCTGATACACGTGATTTGTCAGAAAACACTGACACCAATGTGAAGTCCTAAGATGAGCAAGTTCAGAATATCTAATGTATCGTATCTGTGGCGATGGGTGCGCTGAGGAATTGATTGTGACTGTCATTGCACAATGTACGTGTACGACAAATTATCACATTTTACACCTTGAATACGTACAATCCTGATCAATTAAATTTTAAAAAGAAAACGCTGACACGTTTTCGTAAGTCCTGTTTCCCTCACTCAGCTTTGAACAACTGTGAAGGCAGAGAGTGGGTCCGAGAGACCTATGCACCCAGGACCAGGCCTGGGGCTGCCAGATGTGAGGCCTTCAAAATTATTTATTGATGCGTGGAGTAAAGCACAACCCAGAGAACTGGGCTTGGCTCTCAGCTGTGTGTGTATAGCACAGTCTCAAGGCTAGCTCTTGACTTCTAGGAAGGTCTTTAGGGTCAGCAGGGCAGATAATTACAGCAAAGTCTCTGGGGTCACTGGAGGTTCACAGCAGACACCTAGGACAAGCTTGGAGGTGGCATCACTGCTCAGGAAATCGGCTGATTGGCTGTAGCTGGGCCTTTAGAACAGGCAGGTGACTTTAGCTGGGTCTCTGGAAACAGTCAGGTGAATAAAGCTGGGTCTCTAGAAACAGCCAGGGAACTGTAGCTGGGTCTCTGGAAATAACTGAGAAACAGTCTGTCCAAGGAGCTGCTCGATTGTAGAAGGGACCACCTGGCTAACGAACCTTCTGGATGCTGGTTAGAAACCTCCAGTCTCCAGCTCTTGTCTCCAGGACAGCTGCCTGGCTGGCTTTCTAGATGAAGAGGAATCCAACAGGAAGCCTTCCAAATGGCTGCTTCAGGCTTTTCCTAGAGTGACTTTCTACCCTCAGGTGCAGAGGCCAGGTGGGTATGGGGTCAGTGTCTGGCAACGGCTGCATACGTGATGGACTCGGCCATGGGCTTTGTGGACTGTGGGGACACAGCCCGGGCTGTCCTCTGTGTGAGGGCCCAGTGGTCCAGCTGAGCATACGTCACCTCCTGGGAACTCCCTGCAGCCAGGGCCTAAGAGGGAGAGACCCAGGGTGAGGGAGTGCCTGGTGGAGGGTGAGACGAGGGGCTGTGGGGAGGGAGGGCTGTGGCGGCCATCTCCATGGGCCCTGAGGACCCTCTCCTAAATTGCATCCGTGTGAAGAGCCCTCCCACAGGGTATTGGGGTTGGTTTACGTGACAATGAACAAGGCAGAAGGGAAGACTCCTGACTTCCAAGCTGAGCCAAAAGACATGGTGCTTCTGTCCCCTCCCTGCCACCCATCCTTGGATCCCTCCCTCTGGGGGAAGCCGGCTGTGTGGAGAGGCCCCTGTGAGAGGAACAGAGGTTTCCTGCCCACAGCCGGGGAAGTGAGCGTCTTGGACGTGGATCCTCCAGCCCACGGGAGCCTTCGGATGCACACAGCCCTGGGCGACCTCTCGACAGCAACCTCAGGACAGGCCGTGAGCCGGAACCGCCCAGCTGAGCCACTCCTGAATTCCTAACCCAAGGAACTGAGATTTTTTTAAGCTGCTAAATTTGGGGTACTTTAATAACTAGTAGGAAGGCTCACCGAGGTGTCCGTCTCTCTGTCCTTCTCAGGAAGTCCATTGACTGTGGCCTTGTCTTGGGGAGAAAATACATGGTCAGTTTTCTGGGGAGGATGTCGCAAGGCAAATCTGCCTGAGACCCCCACCCCCAGCTTCCGATGACATCCTGCACCCAATGTATAATACGACCTTCTAGAATGTTCCCAAAGATTCTTCCCCCCACCCCCCACATTGCATCTGGATTGGCACCAAGTCCCCACTTCCCCATCCCAGGCCTGTCCCTCCTCCTCCCCCTTTACCTGCTGTCCTCTCTAGAACATCAACAGCCAGGTCAGGCCTAAGAGGAAAAATAAAAGTGAACCTCAGGGGCAGCCTGGCGGCCGAGGACTGGGTGGAGGTCCAGGAGTCATTCCCAGGGGCCTCACCTCTGCTGTGGCTTCTGCTCCTCGTCCTTGCTTCTGGGGGGCCCTAAGGACAGTCGGGGTGTGAATTAAGGAGACCTTCTTCCTAGCCTCTCCTGACAGCTTCCCAGGTCACCCCACCCTGCCCCTGAGACCTACCCTGCTTTATCTGATTCTGGCGATGGAGGCAGAAGAGGACCAGGAGGAGGAGACAGAAGAGGAAGACCACTGAGACCCCGATGAGAATATACAGATGCTCAGCTTTCAGGCCTTGGGAAGCAGGTGCATCTAAGAAAGACAGAAACAGGATTTCAGCAGTGTGCATTTATTGAGCACCTACTGTATACCACACACACGTCACGTGCGTTTCATAGACTTACTAATATATAAAATATCTTAGGTAAATAATAGTCCTGCAGTACAGGGATCGTTATCCCCTTCTTCCACCACCGGGGTCCTGAGTGCTGGAGTCCTCTGCACAGGGACACAGACTGCCATTGGCAGAGCAGGAATCTGATCAACCCCAAAGCCTGACCTCTTTCTCCTTCCCCAAGAGGCACACACCAGCTTCATGCTCCACGGCCCCCATCACTCACGCTCATTGTGACTGTTGTCCGACGGCCTCTGCGTGGGTCCTGGGAGGGAGGAATCAGAAGGAGGAGGAGTTAGAGTCCTGAGCTGGACAGAGAAGGCTCTGAGTCCTCCCACATCCACTGTGGGGATCTCCCTTCACTCCCCAGGACCCTGACTGCTCCCTCTAGACCAGCACCGACCAGCAGAGTCTTCTGTGATGATGGAAACTTTCTACATCTACTGTCCAGCATGAGAGTCACACATAGCTATTGATATTTAAATTTATCCAAAGTTGAATGGCATGAGAAGCTGGCTGCACCGTCTGCACCTCCAGGACTCAGTGACCCCACGGGCCTGATGCCATCCCTACTGGACGGTGCAGATACAGCGCGTTTCCTGGGCGTGAAGCTGTAGTAGACATCGCTAATTTCTGCCCTCTGCGGATCTAGGCAGAGACCAACCACCCGCAACAAGAGGAAGGGAGACCTTCCCTCCCTGACCTCCTTCTGGGTTCCCACCAGAGGGCAAGAATCCTCATGTCTGATTTTATCTGCCCTCCCGGCAACCCTCTGACGGGGATGTAACCCGCCCTCCTGTGGGAAGAATCCAAGTCCCGATGTGCTCCTCTTTCCTGAAGCCCTGCAGCTAGCGGGCGAGTGTGTGGGGCACCGCCCAGGCTCCCTACGCAGCGCATTGCAGGCCCGCCCGTCATCTCCTCCAACCTTCACCCTCCTCTGCACAGTGCACGCCACTACCCAATTCCCAGGTGGCTAAATGGGGTCCTGAGGGGCTCCCCCAAACCCAGGGTCCGAGCCAAGCGTCCCTCTTCCAGGAACAGCGGTCCCTCCCCTCCCCCGGGGCTGAGGCAGCATCTTCAATATCCTTCAAGAAAGGCAGACATTCTCTCTTGGAATGTCCTTCCCTCCTGCCTCGTCCACGGTCTAAGGTCCAGGACACCACCCGTTATTCTACACCATGACTTCCTGGGCTTGGTCTTCATAACATTTGCCACCATTTAAAATTACATATGTATTATATATGTGCAATATTACAGTTTTTATATTATTTATAGTTATATGTATCATGTATTATGCAAATGTATAATATATAACAAATATATTTTTAATTATGTAATCTTGACATATACATATAATTTAATGTATATAATGTTAATTGTATATGATTTATAACTTATAATATATGTTACATATATTCACTATAATATATAATGTATAATTTATATTTGATATAAACCTATGATTAAATATAAAATATTTTTTCTATTATAGTTATACATAATGTATACATAATAGATAATATATTTACATTAATACCTATATTTATTTATTAACTATAACACTTGAAATTTATTATACTATATATTGTAAATATATCTTTCATATAATATATAATATACACTATAGTCATATGTAGTGATACACTAACATGTTTTATTATATAATTATCTTCCTTATATATATAATATATATATAATATATATATATATTATGATGTAAACATATATAATATAATTTAAATTATAGGTCTGAAATTCTACATTGCAAATCATATATTTTTATCTGTATATGCATGTATGGGAATCAGTGCATTTCTATTGCTCATTCTAACTATTTCTCCCCATTGAAGTTCACAAGACGGGAGGCCATTTCTCCTCATTCTTGGTGCATCAAATCCGGAGGCTTCAGTGCCTGGCACAGTCCCTGTGAGGACAAAATACTTCCTCAGTATTAATAGGAGCATCCCTCCTTTGGGGTTTTCTAATCAGCACTGATGTCAGCGCCGTGTGTACCTGAACTCAAGTCTGCCCTAAACGATTCTACCAGGACAGCTCTTCTATTGCCTCTGTTTCACATGAGGAATTTGGGACACAGGAGGTTTGGGTGAGTCACCGTCAGGCATAGAGCCAGGAGGTGGCAGAACCACCGGGATTTGAACCATGAACCCAGCAATCTGGCTGCAGGAGGGTCTGTCCTCGTGACCTTTATATGTCACTGCATGAAGGTGAGAGAAGAGAGAAGGAAGGAGAAGAAGAGAGGGAGAGAAACAGAGGCAAGATATTCCCGCAGACAGAAGGCTAATAAAAACCAGACACTGGACTTGAACCAGGTCTGCGGGACTCAGGAGCATGTCCCGCTGTGCCCCAGCAGCCCAGGAGCCTCTGAGGGGGTCCGGATGGAGCACGGCATCGCTCCTCCCACCTCCCCATGTGGCTTCAGCCCCTGGTCCCACCTGCCTGAGCTCACAGCCCGAGCCTCACAGGCAGTCACCGGGTCTAGGTCCAAGGACGTACTCTGGGGATAGAAACCCAGGTGGGGAAGGGGCCGCGAATGGCTTATGACCCCGTGTCCTCCCCTGGGAGTTTCTGGTCACAGATCACAGGGGGAGATGGACAACTTGAGACCCAGGGACTTGGGGCAGCTTCAATCCCATCACAGAGTCCAGGGCAGAGCCAGATGGAAGGGAAGCCTCATGGCTTCATCCTGGTCACCGTTCACAGCTACGTCCCCTCCCTGTGGAGCCCTCCTCCTCTTAAGGGACCTTACTCCACCGTTCAGGCCTCCCCCGGAGATCACAGAGCCAACAGGAGCAGCCCCGTCCCTCTCCGGGTGTCCCAGGTTGGAAGGTGAGTTCTAAGTCCCTCCATCAGGTGCAGAGCGGGGTGAATGGTGAGGCCACGCCCACAAGGGGGCAGCGTGGAGCTCGGGCGAGCCCGGAAGTCTGGGGTGGGGCTGCCCGGGTGGGTGGCCCCTGCCCCTTCATGGCCTTGTGCCGTTAAGCACGAAACTTTAATTTATGTTTTGCATATTAGAGAGGAGGAGGAGTTAGAGGATCAGACTAGTACCTCCCCCATTAAGTGGTGCTTGCATTAAGTGCTTTCCACAGTTCCTGGCATGGAACAAGGTTGCAATCACGGTACCATTGCTGCTATGGTCTCTGTGAGCATTAGCGACCTCCCAGAGCTTGGTGGGTGTCGGTGCCTTCCCGTGGCCTCCCTAGACCTTGACTCCAAGCCCAGGGCAGAGGGCTGGACCCGGAACAGCATCCGCAGCACAGATTCCCCTGTAATCCCCTCCAGCTGAGGGCCCTGCTACTGACCAGCTGAGGAGCCGGGCTCTGTGTCCGGGGAGTCCGGGCCTCCAGAGCTTTCTGTAAACAGGGGCAGGAGAAGGATTTAGAACCCGTCCCAACCAACCTGCCCTCCTCCACCCTGAGCCCCCATCCAAAGGCCGCATGACCATCACGCAATCCCAGACAATGTCTCGAGACTCCTGAGAAAACGGGGCAGGGGACAGGAGGCTGGGGAGAGCCCCGCTGCTTGCCCCATTCTCCCTGGGGCTGGTCACTCCCTCTGCTCCTCCCACCACAAGCTCTTCTTGACCTCAGGGGACTGCTGAGGTCCTGGAGGGACATGAAGATGGGTTGGATCCTCTCCAGTGGACTTTGACTCCAGGACATCTCGGGCTGAGCACACACAGGGGTGCATGTGGTCACATACCAAAGGTTTTCCCAAAGCACTGTCCCGCCCTGGTCAGGGGCCATCCCTGGACCCTGCGTTCTGCCCAGTGGGAGATGAACCACACCAGGAGAAGCACATTGCCTGGGGCAGGTTCTGGCTCAGTGGAAAGGAATAAGCGGGACCATCCATCCCGTGTGAAAAGACACTCATCCTCTTGTAGGGGGGTTGCCCCCTAATCTCTGGGAACCCACTCCCCACCCAGCCAAGCAGAGCCAGCTCTGAGCCCACCAGATGCTGGAGCTGAGTGTCCACGCCATCCGTGGCGTCCAGAGGAGACCAGGGCTCCAGGAACCTAAGCAGGTGTGAGGGCAGAGGGGAGGTGTGTGCAGAGGAAGAAGGGGAGGGGAGGGCTTGGGGTCAGGAGGAGGACAAGGTTGGCCACAGAGGACAGCAGCTGGGACAGGGTCCAGGGACCTGGGGACAAGCTCGAGGGTCGAGCTGAGACTGGGGCAGGGCCCAGGTGACGTCCTCACCTTTCACCAGCAGCTCCAGGTAGTCACTCTGCTCAGACCATTTAGGGGGCTTATAATAGATGCAGCGATAAAGCCCGGCATTTCCTTCTCTTACTGAGTCAATGCGGAATCTGGCCTCTGACTCAGATGGACTAGCTTGAGACACATCTTCAGTATCATTGTATGTGGATCTACTGTCCCTCTCCAGGCGGAATGTTTGAACCCCAACCGGGCCCCGGCACACGAAAGTCACATGGCTCCCCAGGGGGATCACGGTGCCTGGCTCAGCCGAGATGGAGGGTCTGGGCAGATCTTCTAGGAGGGAAGCAGAGCAGGATCTCAGCGTCCACTGTAGGAAGTCACCATGCCACACACGTCATTTTAGCATCACAATTCAGGGATTTTAGCAATTTTATAGAGTTATGCAGCCATGACCACAGCCCAACCTTAGAACATTCCCACGCCTCCTGCACCTTCTACGTGCATGTGATTCTCATCACTGCAGAGTTTTTTCCCAGTTGACAGTGAGGACCCTGAGACTTGCTCACAACTTGGGCCTTGCTCAGGGTCATGTGGGAAGTGTCGGAGCAGCCTGGAGCCCTTCATGCCTGCTGCAGAGCCCAGGGCCACTTTCCAGAGGGACAGAGTGTGGGAGGGAGGCACAGGATGGGGATGACAGGGTCATTGGTGAAGGACAAGGGACAGAGAAGCGAGGGCTCTGGAGATGGCTTGTGCTGGGGCCTGAAGGGCACTGGCCGGTCCCCGGGTGGGACTGAGTGTGGGACGGGGGTTGCCAGGCTCCTTTGAGGGTCTGGTGGGGTGAGGGTGAAGCCCCCAGCCCTGATCTGCTCACAGCAGATGCCCAGCCCGTGACAGGTCCCCATTGCTAATGCAGATCTCTGTGGAGACACCACCTCTGGGTTTTCCTCTATAGTTTCTACTTTCTTCTCAGCCTAATTTGCATTTCCTTCTTATTAAGGCTCTTGAAAAACCCCATTTATCTCAACTGGGCTTGGGGTGGAGGAGGAAGGGCGGGTTTGACGCCCTGAAACAGGAAGGTTGTGTCAAAATTAGCAAAATCCCTGAGCGGGGCAGAGAGCTGGCAGGGCTTCAATTCACTCGTCCCGTCTTCATTCATTCCTTATTATTGACAAATTAAAACTGCATGTATTTAAGGTGTACAACATGATGTTTTGATACAGGTATACACTGTGGAATCGCTGAATCAAGCTAATTAATATAACCTCACTTTGCGTAGTTAATTGTTGTGGTGAGAACATTTAAAATCTGCCCTCTTAGTGATTTTCAAGCATATGATACATTGTGATTAACTCTAGTCATTGTGTTGCACAATCCTGAACTTACTCTTCCTGTCTAGACGAAATTTTCTATCCTTTGACCAGCATCTCCCCAAACCCACCCATTTGTTCATTTTTCTTTCTTTTAACCATATCTCAGTTACTTATCAATCTGTTTAAAGACGTTTTTCATGGGCTGCTAATTCCACAAATGTGAGAAACACACACAGGATGCCTGCCGTTTGGAGGTGGACTTCCAGAAGGGAGGACCGGTATTGATCAAAGAATTGTCCAAATCTGCAGCTGTGAACTGACAGAGTCTTGCTCTGTCACCCAGGATGGAGTGCAGTGGCGCGATCTCAGCTCACTGCAACCTCCGCCTCCAAGGTTCAAGCAATTCTCCTGCCTCAGCCTCCTGAGTAGCTGGGATTACAGGTGCACTCCACCACGCCCAGCTAATTTTTGTATTTTTAGTAGAGACGGGGTTTCCCCCATGTTGTCCAGGCTGGTCTCAAACTTCTGACCTCAAGTGATCCACCCACCTCCGCCTCCCAAAGTGCTGGGATTACAGATGTGAGCCACCGCACCCAGCCTCATTGGTCATTTTTAAAATGAATTATTTTTTTTCAAAATCAGCATGTGAGAAGAACCACCATATTGAGCGGCATATGGAGTGTTTGAGAAAGCGAAAGAACCTGGAGGAATGTAGAGATGAGTGAGCCCCAGGTCACAGGGACAGGATGTGGCTGGGAAAATGGGCATGTCCAGACCAAAGAGAGGTGCACAGGTCTGATTCTATCTGAAGATAAACAGGGGAAGGGCTCTGAGAAAAAAAAAAAAAGATTTCATCTTACGATGAGATATTAAATGAAAATTTTTGAATACAATTTAAAAACTGTGGAAAGTACAATGGTCATGGTTGTGCTTTTGCAAATCGCCAGTCCCTGGGGTCAGGAAGGGAGCAGGCAGCAGTGGCATGGACAGGCTGAGGCCGGCCTCGGGGAGCCACGGAGGGGAGAGGGGCTGTCACCTGGGGGTGATGCAGGAAAAGTCGATGAAGAGAGAGGGAAAGATGAGAAAAATTTAGAGTGAAATCACCAGGACTGGGTGACATGGTGCATCCAGGAGGATGGAGAAGAGGATGAGTGTTCAGAGTCTGCCCTTTGTGACTGTCATGTTCCCCGCCAAGAAGCTGCCGAGTGAAGTGTGGGCTCGTCTGGGGAAAAGTGCCGGGCTCAGCCTTGGTTGTGTTGGGTTTGAATTCTCATTGTGGAAATCGGTGTGCGGAGCTGACGCCTGCACTCCCAGGGTGACCGCAGCACTACTCACAGCCGCCAAGACCTGGCAAGAACCTGAGTGCCCACCGCCAAATGAATGGATGAGGAGAATGTGCTGTGTATATGCAATGGAATATTATTCAGCCCTAAAAAAGGAAGGACATTCTGTCATTCGCAACAACATGGATGAACCAGAGGACGTTAGGCTAAGTGAAATAAGCCGGGCACAGAAAGACAATTACTGCGCGTTCTCACTTATCTGTGGAATCTAAGAAAAGTTGATCACCCGGAAGCAGAGTAGAATGGTGGTTATTGGAGGCTGCAGGTGCGGGGCATGGGAGAGACACTGATCAAATGATACAAAGTTTCGAGTAGCCAGGACGAGTGAATTTTTCAGATCTATGGCACAGCAGAATGACAGTAGTTCATAATAATTTATTGTATATTTCAAAATTGCTAAAAGGAGATTTAAAATATTCTCATCACAATAAGTATGTGATGGGGCTGATATGTTAATCAGCTTTATTTAATCTTTCCACAATGTGTACATACGTCATAATATCACACTGTACCCCGCAAATTGCAATTATTTGTCAATTAAAAATAAAATTTTTGAAAATAAGAAAAGCAAAATAAGACAGGTGGAGGATGCGAGAGAGAACTGGGTGAGGGTTGGTTATGCATTTTACATTTGGAAGAGTTTGCAATCTAGGGTATATTTAAAGGGATCTCTCCAGGCCCTCTAAGAATCAACATCACTCCCACCCAGCACTGCCCTTGGGGTGACAGAGGGGACTGGGAAGATGGGACGAAGGCATGACTTACCCTCCTGCGTGTGGATGGTCTGGGCCAGGCAGAGCACTGGAAGAGAAGCCCCAGTGAGAAAAATGCCCAGTGCCCAGTCTCCTTACGGGGCTGCTGTCAAAAGGGGGCTCGATGGAGCTGGGGGGCATTCAGCATTTCATAACGACCAAGCCAACCCTCCTCGACATCACTGTCTCCATGTAATCCTTCTTGCTGCAAAATGGTTTCAAGATAAATCCCAAAGTCTCCTCCTCCAAAAAGGCTCCTGCTCCCCCAGCCCTTCTTAAAGCTGACCTCATCCCCACACCCGGGCCCCTGTTTTTAGGACAAGATCTTCTCTGATCAGACTTAGGCCCCAGGGAGAGCAGCAGGGCAGTCTTGGGAGGAGGAGGACACTTTCCTCCCCAGAATCTTCTGGACTAGAGTCAGGCTTGAGCAGGGAATTTTCCAGACCTCCCGACCCCCTTTCCAGCCTCCCGGCTGCCTCCAGGACTCACCTAGGCCCAGGAGGGCGGTGGGGTGGGGAGACATGGCCCAGGTCCCAGCAGTGCAGCCTGGCCTGAGGCGCACCAATGCAAGGACAGAACTCTGCAGCAGACACAAGCAGACAGGATGTGCTGCCCGGGGGCCTCCTGCCTATGGGGCTTCCACAGCAACTGCCTCACACAAGAGGAAGAGCTTTCTGTCCTGTTCTTTCCACCCTTCCCACTAGTGAGACGAGAGGGAGGGCCTTGGTTTCTGAAAAATGTCGCTTACCCTAAATGTCGCTTAGAGGCAGATGACCGTAAACTAGTTACCAGATGTGTCAGCCTCTTTCTAAATCTATGGGACAAGGCAGAATAAAGGTCGGGCAACCAATTGACTTGGACGCCGTCCCAACTCCACAAGTTAACGGTCGCAGCTCTTGGGCAAGACGTTACAAAACTAGAAGCTGACATTTCCTTGTATTACAAATGGGAGCCATAGAAATCCTTCCCCAAGTTTTTAATATTGTGATCTATGCTAAAATCCCGACAAGGTATTTAACACGTTAAAAATATCCTACAAAGCATATTATTTTTTTAAGGAGACTATTGGTGAGGATGTGGAGAAACTGGATCCCTCGCATACCACAGTAGGAATTAAAAATTGGGCAATCACTATAGAGAACAGTGGGGAGGTTCCTCAAAAAATTAAAAATAGAGCTACCATATGGTCCAGCAATCCCACTTCTGGGTCTGTATTTAAAAGAAACAGGCCAGGCGCAGTGGCTCACAGCTGTAATCCCAGCACTTCGGGAGGCCGGGGTGGGTGGATCACCTGAGGCCATAAATTCGAGACCAGCCTGGCCAACATAGTGAAACCCTGTCTCTACTAAAAATACAAAAAATTAGCTGGGTGTGGTGGTGGGCACAGCTACTTGGAAGGTTGAGGCAGGAGAATCGCTTGAACCCAGAAGGCAGGGGTTGCAGTGAGCTGAGATTGCACCATTGCCCTCCAGCCTGGGCAACAACAGCAAGACTCTGTCTAAAAAAAAAAAAAAAATCAGTATGTCAAAGAGCCGTCTGAACTCCCCTGATCACTGCAGCACTATTCGCAATAGCTAAGACGTGAAAACCATCTAAATGTCCATTGATAGAATAATTGATATAGAAAATGTGGTGCACACACAGGGGAATACTATTCAGCCTTAAACAAGGAAGAAAATTCTGCCATGGGCGACAACACGGACGAAACCTGAGGACATCACGCCAAGCGACGCAGAGGCAGAGACCAAGTACTGCATGATGTCACTTACAGGAGATCTGCAAAGTCACCAGAGTCACAACATCACAGCAGGGAATGGTGGTTACGGGGGCTGGGAGGAGGGGGAAATGGGGAGTTATTAACAAACAGGCCTAGAGATCTGCTGCACCACATACGACCCATCGTCAGCAATAACGTCTTGTTCACTTGAAATTTGTTAACGGAATAGACCTCATGTTATTTGGAGGGCCCGGAGGAAGACAGGAAGAGAAGGGAATGTTTGAAACTTCTTAGAGATGGATTAAATGGTTGTGACCAAAATGCTGATAGTGATGTGAACAGCGAAGTCCAGGCTGACAAGGTCTCAGCTGGAAATAAGGATCTTACTTGGAACTAGAGCGAAAGCCACCTTTGTTACGCCTTAGCAAACAACGTGGCTGCATTCTGTCCATGCCCTAGAGATACCACGCCAGGGTGTCTGGCGGAAGAAATTTCTTTTCTTTTTTTTTAAACGGAGTCTCGCTCTGTTGCCCAGGCTGGAGTGAAGCAGTGCGATCTCGGCTCCCTGCAACCTCTGCCTCCCAGATTCAAGCCATTCTCCTGCCTCAGCCTCCCGATTAGCTGGGACTACAGGCACCCACCACCACGCCCGGCTAATTTTTTGTATTTTTAGCAGAGTCGGGGTTTCACCGTGTTAGCCAGGATGGTCTCGATCTCCTGACCTCGTGATCCACCCGCCTCGGCCTCCCAAAGTGCTGGGATTACAGGCGTGAACCACCAAGCCTGGCCAAGTCAGAAGAAATTTCTAAGCAACAAAGTGTTCAAGTGGCATGGCTTCTTGTACCAACCTAGGCTCAGATGTGGGAGCAAAGAAATTACCTAAAGGTAGAGTTTATATTTAAAAGAGAAGCAAAGTGTAAAAGTTCGAAAAATTTGCGGACTAGCCACATGGTAGAAAAGAAAAGTCCGTTTTCAGGGGAGGAATTCAAGTAGGCTGCTGGGCAACGACTTGCTGGAGAAATTTGCATAACTAAGAGGGAGTCACGTGCTGTACCAAAACATCTCATCTACCCCATAAATATATACACCTACTATGTATACACAAAAATTAAAAATTTAAAAACATATATAGTGACATGAGATGTAGTGTGAAATGTCATTAAAAGATGAGTTTGCATCAGAATAGTCCAAACGTTTCAAAAACATTCCAGCATGATCACTGCCTTGCTGACCAGTCTTCCTCCTGAGACGTGGTGACAGTAATGATCACAAACTTGGATCTCGTGGACAGACAGGGGAATTCAAGCTAAACCCTGGTCCTCAAAGAGTTCTGCATGTTACAGTCCCTGGTATATCCTTCCAATCTAATCCAATTTTCTGTGAGTCCATAAGACAGCAATCCATCTAAAAAATAACAATAAACCAACTAAAACTGCTTAATATAATATGTTAAAGATTTTTTAGGCCGGGTGCAATGGCTCACGCCTGTAATCTTCTCAGCATTTTGGGAGGCCGAGGTGGGCAGATCATGAGGTCAGGAGATCGAGACCATCCTGGCTAACACGGTGAAACCCCGTCTCTACTAAAAATACAAAAAATTAGCCGGGCGTGGTGGTGGGCGCCTGTAGTCCCAGCTACTCAGGAGGCTGAGGCAGGAGAATGGTGGGAACCCGGGAGGCGGAGGCTGCAGTGAGCCGAGATCGTGCCATTGCACTCCAGCCTGGGTGACAGAGCCAGACTCCATCTAAAAAAATATATATTTTTTTTAATTTTTTTTTTTTTTTTGAGACAGAGTCTCGCTCTGTCGCCCAGGCCGGACTGCGGACTGCAGTGGCGCAATCTCGGCTCACTGCAAGCTCCGCTTCCCGGGTTCACGCCATTCTCCTGCCTCAGCCTCCCCAGTAGCTGGGACTACAGGCGCCCGCCACCACGCCCGGCTAATTTTTTGTATTTTTAGTAGAGACGGGGTTTCACCTTGTTAGCCAGGATGGTCTCGATCTCCTGACCTCATGATCCACCCGCCTCGGCCTCCCAAAGTGCTGGGATTACAGGCGTGAGCCACCGCGCCTGGCCTAATTTTTTGTAATGCCTAAGAGATATAAAAACTAAGTGAAGGCTATGCAGTCAAAAGTTAAAGAAAGATGGAGTCCCCAGCCTCAAGCTGAATACTGAACCTGGAGCTCACCTTGATGATGATGAATTAACTGAGCTTTATTTTCATGGTTTTGTAAATCATGAGGACAAGGATAAAGTGCAGGGGTACAGATTCCAAAAGCTTCCACCTCATCATAAGAATGATTTCAAATCACTCACCAACTTCTCATGGTTGCAAGGAATACTACATTTGTTTTGAAACTTAGCATTGAACATGAGGCCAAAACACAGTGGCTCCTGAGAATGACTTTCCTGCTTCTGACTCTTCTTTTACTGGCATAATGGTTTCTATGCATTAGATTATCCTCCCTGCCTCTTTTCACTTTAGGTCTTCATTAGTGATTTTTATTCAGCTTTATCAAAGGATCCTTTGCACACAAACTGCATCCACTTAATCTGTGCAATTCAGTGAATTCTGACAGCTGTGAAACCACCAACATATCCAAGATTTTCTTCACTGCTCAGAAGATTCCTCATGCTCCTTTGCCTCCATGTGGCCACTGGTTCCTTTTTGATATGTATTTGTTGACTGATTTATTTATTTATTTATTTATTTATATATTTATTTTGAGACTGAGTTTCACTCTTGTTGCCCAGGCTGGAGTGTAATGGTGCAATCTTGGCTCCCGGGTTCAAGCGATTCTCCTGTCTCGGCCTCCTGAGTAGCTGGGATTACAGGTGCGCACCACCATGCCCAGCTAATTTTGTATTTTTAGTAGAGACGGGGTTTCTCCATGTTGGTCAAGCTGGTCTCGAACTCCCGACCTCAGGTGATCCGCCCACCTTGGCATCCCAAAGTGCTGAGATTACAGGCGTGAGCCACTGCACCCGGCCGACTAATTCATTTTTTAAACACACTTCTTACCTGGGAATAAATTTAAACTTGCAAAAGAGTTGCAGAGGTACAGAGAGTTCCCATATGCCCTTCATCCAGGTCCCTCTAATGTTCATGCTTTACACGACCCCAGCACATCCGCCAAAAAAAAAAAAAAATTAACACTGGTACAATAATTAACTGACAGGCTTTCTTTGGATTTCATCATCTTTCCACTAACGTTCTTTGCCTGTGCTGGGATCCAATGCAGGGGCACCGTCCTGCATTTACTTCCCTCTCTGTTAACTGCAGAGAAGGGTTTCTGTTTTCCTGGTTGGACCCTGATTAATATTCCCCTAGTATCTGAACTCCAGGTGCCCAGGAAGGTTGGGGGGCAAGGATGTGCTGCCCACTGGGGAAGGAGTGGCTGGCAGAATCGACATCCGTCTGTTCCTCCACAATCCAAGGTCACAGAACACATGGGCAGTTATTCTGGGTTTTTCCATAAGAAGGGTGATACAGAGCTGTCGTTGTTCCATATTATGAGGACCCCTCCACCTTTGCATTCCTCTAAGACCTTTCCTCTGAGACTCTCCTCCAAGCTGGAGAAGACAAGCTACATGCTTATGTCCAAGGCATGCTGCAGATTCAGCATGGCACAGCTCCCTCACTCAAAAACGTTACTTGATGTGGGATGCACAGGCATAGAGTAGTGATTCTCACACTAGACTCAGATACATACACAATATTTGCAACTTAAATTAAACACCAATTAAATGTCAAGTGGAAAGACAACATCTACAGAAATAAAATGACACAAGATGCAATGTGAAATGTCATTAAAAGAAGAGTTTGCATTAGAATAGTTCAAATATTTCAAAACTATTCCAGCACGTCACTGCGTTGCTGACCTATCTTCCTCCTGAGATGTGGTCGCCGTAATGATCTCAAGCTTGGACCTCGTGGACAGACTGGGGAACTCAAGCTAAACCCCGGTCCTCACAGTTCAGCACGTTGCAATCCTGTGTCGTTCCGTCCAATCTAATCCAATCTCAAGGACCCCAGTTCCTGAGCAACCCTGGCTTGGCTCGGCCAAAGGGAAGCGTCTACAGAATCTGAGTCTAGAATGCCCGGAGGTCTGTACTTCTTGCTGTTTTCAGGAGATTCAACTGCAAAGCCCTCCCCAAGTCATCCACATTGGCTCACGTTTCTGTGCCCCACCCTTCCTGCCTGGGAGGACCCTTCTTGTTCAGCCAAAAAAGCAACCTGAGGGTGGTGTGGTAGCAGGGACTCACCCATTTCTCTTTCCATCTTCTGTCGCGGATGCAACCCTGGAAGGAAGACCTCAGGACGATGATCATCTTCATAGGATTCCCGACCTGTGCCTGGCTTTGTCCTGAATATTAGCCTTGGCAGCCTGGCCTGGGCTCCGATGGTGGATGAACTTGGCTTTCCACGGGCTGCCACCTCCAGCCTGCGCTGTGGAGAGACCAGGTCCTCGGAACAGTATTTTAACCTTGTCCTCCTTTCCCTTCCAGGGTTTACCAAGACATAGCGGGTGTCATAGATGTGAAAAAGCTTCTGCTATACCAGGGTCAGGAACGGAGCAAAACTGAAAACCGCACAGGATGTGGTCTGCCAGGTGCCAGCATCACAGCTCAAATCCTTAAGAAGCTCCAGCCGCAGGCACGGAAATAAACAGCTTCTCCCTGCCCTGTATACGTCTCCGATTTTACCCAGGATGGGGCTGAGGAAGCAACACAGATTCCCAAACGTTACTTTTTTTTTTTTATTTTGCTTGAGAGCCAAGGCAATATTAGACAAGCCTTACTCCCTAATTAGTGCCTGACAAGAACCATATCTCTGTCCCAATCCTTCTATTCAAAGTAGGCACAATTTGCTTTTACCAAATGTAAAACTCATGTCAAAGCCATGCTGTGAGTATTTACACCAGAGAAATCGGCAAATGCTACACGTCGGGGTTGTTTTTTGTTTTTCTTTTTGCTTTTTTTTTCAGAGAGCTGATTGTCAAGACTTTACCAGCACACTGCTGGTAAATTTCCAAAGGCCAATTTAAAGAAATTTTTTTAACAGAACATGTAAAAAAAAATCAACGTGAAGTCAACATGCTCCAGGGAAATCAGACAATTGATAAAGCATGTCTATTTCTGTAGTGTATACTCCAGCCTGTTTCCCCCTCCTACCTCAGGTACCGTAACCAGCATCTGAAGTCTTATATTCAAATTTCCCTTGCACTTTTGTAAATATAGTGTTCTCTCATCGATGTACCTATTTGGTGTGTATGTATATGTGTGTGTATATATATATATGCTATCATTTAAAAATTGTATTTATTTATTTAAGGTGGGTCACCGAGGCTGGAGTGCAATGGTGCAATCTCAGCTCACTGCAGCCTCCACTTCCCAGGCTCCAGCGATCCTCCTGCCTCAGCCTTCTGAGTAGCTGGGATTATAAGGGTGTGACCCCATACCCAGCTAATTTTTGTATGTTTAGTAGAGATGGGGTTTCGCCATGTTGACCAGGCTGGTCTTGAACTCCTGCCCTCAGGTGATCTGCCCGCCTCAGCCTCCCAAAGTGCTGGAATTACAGGCATGAGCTACTGTGCCCAGCCTCGTTTTTAATTTTAGTGCAAAGTATAGTTTTCAAAACAATGTTTGCAATGTCATCAAATATAGAATGAGCACGCATCAATGTCTTCTTAATTCATTAATGATGAAATCATCATTCAAAATTCCTGTCTTTACCCAAATATTTAGCTTCTTCTGTTGCTCTTCATTTGTTCCTGCGTTTCTCCATTTCCACTGGGATGATTTCCTCTTGTCCAAGCCTTTTATTCTGGCAACCAATGAACTTTACACTCTTTCTATAGTTTTGCCTTTTCCAGAATGTCACATAGTTGGAATCAGACAGTGGATACGCCATTTGGGCGGGCTTATTTCGTGTAGTGATATACATTGAACTCTCCTCCACATCTTTTCATGACTTGAGAGCTTGTGTCTTCTTAGCATGGGATAATATTCCATTGTCTGGACACATAGTTAATCCACTCACTTACTGAAGGGCATCTTGGTTGCTTCCAAGTTTGGGCGATTATGAATAAAGCTACTGTAAAGATCCATATGACCGTATGTTTTCAGCTCCCTTCGGTAAATATCAAGGAATGCAATTGCTGGATTACATGGCAAAGCTATATTTAGTTTTAGAAGAAATTGCCGCACTGTCTCCCAAAGTGGCTGTACCATTTGGCAATCCCACCAGCAATGAATGAGAGTTCCCGTTGCTCCACATCCTCGCCAGTAGGCCAGTATGTGGTATTGTCTGCGTTTTAGAATTTGGCCACTCTAATAGGTGTGTCGTGGTAACTTGGTTCCTAAGATACTGATAGAGGTGCAGAACACCAGCTGGGAAGTCAGCCAGAATGAGCTTCTCCTGTGACTTCCTGTCCCACAGCCTCAGAGAACTTTGACAAGCCACTTCCCCTATAAACTTGTCTTTCTTTCTTTCTTTTTTTTTTTTTTTTTGAGATGAAGTCTCACTCTGTCACCCAGGCTGGAGTGCAATGGCATGATCTTGGCTCACTGCAACCTCCGCCTCCCGGGTTCAAGTGATTCTCATGCCTCAGCCTCGTGAGTAACTGGGATTACAGGCATGCACCACCACACCCAGATAATTTTGTATTTTTAGTACAGACGGGGTTTCACCATGCTGACCAGGCTGGTCTCGGACTCCTGACCTCGTGATCTGCCCACCTCAGCCTTTTAAAGTGCTGGGATTATAGGTGTAAGCCACTGAGCCCGGCCTCCTTATAAACTTCTCTAAATCTAAATTTGTGAATATTCTTTCTTTAAAAGTCGATCAACTGGCCTGGCACAGTGGCTCATGCCTGTAATACCAGCATTTTGGAAGGTCGAGGCGGATGGATCACTTGAGGTCAGGAGTTCGAGTCCAGCCTGGCCAACCTGGTGAAACCCCATCTCTACTAAAAATACAAAATTAGAGGGGCATAGTGGCGGGCGCCTGTAATCCCAGCTGCTTGGGAGGCTGAGAGGCAGGAGAATTGCTTGAACCCAGGAGGTAGAGGTTGCAGTGAGCCGAAATCGCACCACTGCACTCCAGCCTGGGCAACAGGAGCGAAACTCTGTCCTAAAAAAACAAAATTAAATTAAAAAGCCAGTCCTGGTGTGGTGGCTCACGCCTGTAATCCCAGCACTTTGGGAGGCCAAGGCGGGCAGATCACGAGGTCAGGTGATCGAGACCATCCTGGCCAACACGGTGAAACCCCATCTCTACTAAAAAAATACAAAAAGTTAGCTGGGCGTGGTGGCGGGCACCTGTAGTCCCAGCTACTTGGGAGGCTGAGGCAGGAAAATGGCATGAACCCGGGAGGCGGAGCTTGCAGTGAGCCGAGATCGCGCCACTGCACTCCAGCCAGGGTGACAGAGCGAGACTCCGTCTCAAAAATAAATAAATAAATAAAATAAATAAGTCGATAGACCAATATTTATCAATTACCTCTTATACGCTTGGTGTTTGAGATTCAGGAATGAACAAAACAGATCCAGTCCCTGCCCTCAACCTAGCTCTTAGTGTAATGATTATGGGAACAGGGTCAAATAGCAAATCACAAATTATTTCACGACTATTGTGAGACAAGAGTGAGAGCCAAGAGTGGTGGTGCACACCTGTAATCCCAGCTCGAACCAGGGAGACAGAGGTTGCAGTGAGCCGAGATCGCACCAATGGCTTAACACAATGGGATTTGGCTTTTCACTCATGTAAATGACCAGTGCGGTTTTCTCTGGGGCAGAATTTGAATTTTCTCCCCAGGATGACTCAGGGACACCCGCTTCCTCCATTGTGCTCCCATCATGCCCTTGGGCAATGGCGTCCCGTACTTCAAACAGCAAGAAAGAAGGAGAAACAGAATATATCTGTGCACTTGCAAAATTTGCTGACACATGTCATTTCTGTCCAGAATTGTTGGCTATAAATAGTGTTATGAACAGTCACACAATGATGCAACAAGACCAGGGAAAAAGTCCCTTGGTGGGGGTAGCCACTTCCCAGAGGTTCCAATGCTTGCACTGTAAGGGTAAGTACAGAATTTTTTTTTTTTCTGGTGAGCAGCCACATATTTCTGCCTCACGTGAAAAATAATCTCAAGAAGAAATGTACCTGAGAATGTATAGCCCAGGAGCATGATGTTGTGACACCTGATTGATGGACCATGTGGGGTGATTGACTCCCCTGTACTTAGAAGGAAATCAAAACCAAAGGTTCAAGTAATATTAAAGAGAAACATTGTCATATTCCCTCTGGAACCCATGCACGTCTTAGCTAACCTGCAGAGAGGAGTAGAAACCACTAGAACTGAAGGAGGCAGCTCTGTGCAAGGGTGACGGCCTTCTCCCCTCCCAGTTCCCTTAGTTCTGGAGTTCGATGAAGGACGGGGTCCACACGGCCCACTCCGTTTCCTCTTTCTCTGAACCGGGGGTGCAGAACCTGAACCCAGACAACCCCTGGGTATGAGTCCGGCCCCAGATCACAGCTGTGGTTTTGGCTGCCGCAGTGACCTTGGCAAAGTCCTGAGTCGTTTGCTGTTGTGGGTATGATGGACAGCTGCGACGTTTTCCTGGACTCCCACTGAAATCTTTAACTTCAAGATCATCTTCTCCATCCCAACAGAACTCATCAGGCCCAGAAGGCTCCCAGCCCCAGAGGTTCCCAGAGCTCTTCAGGTGGAATGTTGAGTCTGCACAAGCCAGGATGGTGACTCTGGAGAAGTTCTCCAGAAAAGAATCAGCATCTAGAGTCTCCTGAGTTCCAGGCCCTTAGAAATTTAGACTCCAGAACCACTGCCAAAGTGACCCCCTCAGCCCAGCCCTTCGGTACCCAGCATCCACTGTCCTCAGCCCAGCCCTTCCGTACCCAGCATCCACTGTCCTGGTGGGAGTCCGCTGTGCTGCTCCAAGAAGACAGACCCTCACCATTACCGGAAAGACTGACCCTCCTGTGTCCAGGTCCTGTGGCCCAGACTCAGCTCTGGAAGAGAAATCTGGATTTACAATGCTCAGTACGTCGCTCAAAATCTGCACTCGATGACGTCTGTAAGCTCTTGGTCCCAGCCTGGGCTGCGAAGCCTGAGGCTTGGGCAGACAATGCCGTCCCGCCGTCATCTCTGCTCCCTCTTCGATCGCTAAGCTCCCACAGCATTGATCTAACCAGACATGGGCCCAGGGAGAGAGCTGTCTTCCCCACCTCCCAGCCCCAATCCCTCAATCCCTCGCCTGCCGTGCCAAGACTGGTCAAGGGAAAGTCCAGGAAGAAAGCATGGTAAGGGGCACCGTGCTGCCTGCGCCCGCCCCGCTGTGCAGAATGCAGAGGCTCAGGATGCGGTGCGCAGAGACTCAGTCCCAACCGTCTTGTGGCTTCTTACCACGTATCTCCCAGGAAGTCACCATGAGGCTTAGTTCTTCCTTCCTGTGACTGGGGTAAAGGAGAGAACTGTCTCCTTGGACATCATCATCCATACGCCCGGCCCGAACGTCATCTCTGACCCAAACACCAAATCCAGACGGGCAACCACGGCTGTGGGGTGTGGAGGGGGAATCTGAACACCAACCTGGAGGTCAGACTTGAAGGAGACGGCGACGCTGCCTTCGCCCCATTCACAATATACAACCTTCGATGGGCCACCTCCCCAGTGAGGCTTCATCAAGGGGGCTTGGTCAACTTCCTTTTTGTGTGAACGAAAACATACGTTTCCAGGCGCCTATTAAGGGCTTGAGTCTGTGTCAGAGACGAGCCACACAAGTCAACGGACCTCACAGTCTAATGTGGAGGGCACACCTCTGACTATTCAAAAGTCATATATAGCATATTAACCGTAGATTTTAACAAATTAGCCTTGAAATACCTGCAGTTTGTCACAATGGAAGGCTCACTTCTCACTGGGTGACACGTCCATATGGGGGCCCCCGGTTGGCAGTTGGAGCTCCTCCATCAGGTGACTCAGGTGCCCAGATTCTTCCAACTTTGGGGTCCAACCTCCCCTAGAACCTTGGAGTGCTCTGTTACCAGTGAGGGGAAAGAGGAAGAGAGAGTGGAAAGGGCTCATCCGTGCCTTTTAAATAAAAAATCTGAATGTGACCAGGCGCAGTGGCTCACGCCTGTAATCCCAGCACTTTGGGAGGCCAAGGCAGGCAGATCACAAGGTCAAGAGATGGAGACCAGCCGGGTGCGGTGGCTCACGCCTGTAATCCCAGCACTTTGGGAGGCCAAGACAGGTAGATCACAAGGTCAGGAGATCGAGACTATCCTGGCTAACACGGTGAAACCCCATCTCTACTAAAAATACAAAAAAATTAGCCGGGCATGGTGGCGGGCACCTGTAGTCCCAGCTACTTGGGAGGCTGAGGCAGGAGAATGGCGTGAACCTGGGAGGCGGAGCTTGCAGTGAGCCAAGATCGTGCCACTGCACTCCAGCCTGGACGACAGAGCGAGACTCCATCTCAAAAAAAAAAAAAAAAAAAGAGGTGGAGACCATCCTGGCCAACATGGTGAAACCCCGTCTCTGCTAAAAATACAAAACTAAGCTGGGTGTGGTGGTGCACACCTGTAGTCCCAGCTACTTGGAAGGCTGAGGCATGAGAATCACTTGAACCTGGGAGACAGAGGTTGTAGTGAGCCGAGATCGAGCCACTGCACCCCAGCCTGGGGACAGAGCAAGACTCCGTCTCAGAAAAAAAAAAAAATCCTACGACCTTGTGTGAAAAGGGGACTCAACCCTCAGAGCTAACTCCAGGGAAGCCACCTGCAGTGTGGAGTGGAATTGGGGCTGAGGACTGACGAGCTGGCGACAGGAAGAGCAGCTGGGGGAGACGTGGACGGAGGAGACAGCTTCTGTGAAAGCCCTAATCAGGAGACAATTTTTCCTGTTGTAAGTTGAGTGGACTCCAGATGGAAAAATAATACGAAGAATATGTGTACTGATTGAGCAGGAGTCTCTAAAAGGCCAAATAAAGTTTTGGTATTTTACCCTCAAGAGAGTGGGACAGGTTTTGAGCATAAGTATGGCATCATCATATTTTTGTCTAAAATGTATCTGTAAGACCACTTCCTGAAGTCAGAATTGCACGAAGCAAAAACAGTAAGAGGTAACGTTTTCTGAGCATTTACTTTATGCCAGACACTGCCCTGAGTCCCCAGTATGGATAGTTTACTTAATTTTCCCAACAACTTTGGAAAGGTGTTTTCATCACTAGACTCATTTTAATGATGAGAACACTGAACTCAGAGGTTAATTAGTTTGATTAGTGTCATGTATTAACATGCATAATTTCATGGAAGGAACTGGATTTCAACCCAGGAAGAAAGTATGTCCTTACCTATTATTATTATTATTATTATTATTATTATTATTATTATTATTATTGAGACAGAGTCTTGCTCTGTCACCCAGGCTGGAGTTCAGTGGCATGATCTCGGCTCACTGCAACCTCCGCCTCCCAGGTTCAAGCAATTCTCCTTGTCTCAGCCTCCTGAGTAGCTGGGACTACAGGCGCCCACCACCACGCCTGGCTAACTTTTGTATTTTTAGTAGAGACGAGGTTTCACCATGTTGACCAGGCTGATCTGCATCTCCTGACCTCATGATCCACCCACCTCGGCCTCCCAAAATGCTGGAATTACAGGCGTGAGCCACCGCACCCGGCCGTCCTTACCTATTATTGATATATCATTGTATTTCTTAAAGAAAACAAGAAAAACCAAGTGTGGATAGACCAGTTAAAAAGTTCTTGCCTTCCAGGACAGTGATGATTTGTTTGCACTGGAATTATCACAGCAGGAATTTCAGTAAATATGTGGATTTATGACTGGGAGGTAGGCTCAGAAGAAATGCTGATGGAAGTTTGGCTTCCAGAAATATCTGACTAGGTTGTTTTAGACTAAACTTCTCACCGTTAATTAAAAAAAAAAAAAAAAAAAACTTTAGGCCAGGCGCGGTGGCTCACGCCTGTAATCCCATCACCTTGGGAGGCCGAGGCAGGCAGATCATGAGGTCAAGAGATCGAGACCATCCTGGCCAACATGGTGAAACCCCTTCTCTACTAAAAATACAAAAATTAGCCAGGCGTGTTGGTGGGTTCCTGTAGTCCCAGCTACCCTGGAGGCTGAGGCAGGAGAATCGCTTGAACCCGGGAGGTGGAGATTGTAGTGAGCCGAGATCGCGCCACTGCACTCCAGCCTGGGCAACAGAGTGAGACTCCGTCTCAAAAACAAAAAAAAAACAAAAAAAACAACAACAACTGTAAAAGATGAACAAAAACCAAAGAACATCTGTCTGTAGAACTTGGCATGCTTCCAAGGCAGAGAGAATTTAGGGTTCCAAGACATAAAAGAGGAAGGAAACCAAGCAAGGGGACTTTATCCTTTGAGGTTAGTTTTATGTTAACGGTTTGCTGATTCTGAAACTAAAGGCAGCAGATGAGAGACCAAAAAGCTGAGTAGGAGCAGGATGAAGAATTTCAACAAAGAACTAGCAAATATAAGAACAAACACAGCCGGACGCGGTGGCTCACACCTGTAATCCCAATACTTTGGGAGGCCAAGGCGGGTGGATCACCTGAGCTTGGGGGTTTGAGATCAGCCTGACCAACAGGGAGAAACCCCATCTCTACTAAAAATACAAAATTAGCCGGACTCAGTGGCGCATGCCTGTAATCCCAGCTACTCAGGAGGCTGAGGCGGGAGAATCGCTTGAACCCAGGAGGCGGAGGTTGCAGTGAACCGAGATGGTGCCACTACACTCCAGCCTGGGTGACAGAGTGAGATTCCATCTCAAAAAAGAAAAAGAAAAAAAAAGAAAATACGGGACATGGTGAAAATACTTAACATATGTACAACTGGAATCCCATAAGGGGAAGAAAGACAGAGAAAGAGAAAGGCAGACACGATATTGGAAGGGTTACTGAACAATATTTCCTAAAATGAATCAAAAACATCAAGCCACACAGTAGATGTCCAGTAGGAACTTAAACCTCACGTGTTTATAACATGTTATAATATAAGTTGCTTATATTCACTCCCAAATCTCCTCCTCCTAAGGTCTTTCCCATCTCAGTAAATGAGAATTCCAGCCACTAGTTATTTGGGCAAAAAAAAAAAATAAGTGTTACCCTTGACTCCATGTTTTTCCTCATATCCCACAGCTGTGAGTACATTATCAGACATTTCCCTTTGAAATATCTCCAGAATAGTATCATTTCTCTCCACCTCTTGGAGACCACCCGAGCCTGAACCACTGTCTGCTGTACCTGGATCATTGCAAGAGCTTCCTAACTAATCCTTCTTGCATCTAACATTCCTCCTCTATTAATCTGTTCTCCACACAGTAGCAGAGTTGTCTTGTAAGAAGATAACGATTCTCCCAAGGATCACAGCCAATCAGACACAGCAATGGCTGCTCCAAGCCACAGGGATGCCTGCTCATGCACCGTGCCAGCCAAGCTCGTTTCTGGAGTTTTGGGTGGGTCCGGATGAGAGAAGACAATAGCTAACTTTATGGCTGTCATTCTGGGAAATCATTCCCTTGAGAACAGAGCTTTGTCAAAAGAAGGTGGATTCTACAAAAGATTAAGCAGTAAATGACTCAAAAGATGATCAGGCAATGGGGGAAAATTAGCCAAGAGCTGATTCCTATGAAATGTTTTATTATTCCTGTGAAATTTTTGCATTAATCAAGACCATGAATTTGGAAGGAGCCCTTCTTGGAGAAGACCTCTTCATTGGAAGCAATGGTCCCTGTACAGGTGGCTGAGAGGAACACAACAAAAGCAACGTCCAGGTAGAGCAGGAAGGATGCCCCTCAGGAGCAAGGAGTGGTCATCAGGTGAAACCCAAGGTGTCTTCTTAGAGAGTGAAGGTCCCGGGTACCTGCCGCCAGGTCCTAGTGACCAGCCCCCAGAGTGGAAGTACAAGGGTAATGCCCAGCTACTCACACCGGGGGGTGATGTCCTGGAGAAAGGGCTGACAGCAGCTTACCTGGACTGCTGGCATCATTATCACATGCATGCCACATGCCTTCATGAAAATCAAAGTCTCCCTCCAAAGTGCAAGTCCAATTCCATAAAATAAGGCATGCTGATCATAAAATACGATTTGGCAATAAAATGGCAGTATAGCAAAAGCACTGGCCACTTTGTGTCACTCCTTAGTATGGTTTGGATCTGTGTCCCCACCAAATCTCATGTCGAATTGTCATCTCCAGTGTTGGAGGTGGGGACTGGTGGGAGGTGATTGGCTCATGGGGGTGGCTCCTGCATGAATGGTGGGGACTGGTGGGAGGTGACTGGCTCATGGGGGTGGCTCCTGCATGAATGGTGGGGACTGGTGGGAGGTGATTGGCTCATGGGGGTGGCTCCTGCGTGAATGGTGGGGACTGGTGGGAGGTGATTGGCTCATGGGGGTGGCTCCTGCGTGAATGGTGGGGACTGGTGGGAGGTGACTGGCTCATGGGGGTGGCTCCGGTATGAATGGTGGGGACTGGTGGGAGGTGATTGGCTCATGGGGGTGGCTCCAGCATGAATGGTTTGTCACCATCCCCTTCGGTGCTGTTCTCACGATAGTGAGTGAGTCCTCATTAGATGTGGTTGTTTAAAAGTGTATGGCACCTCTCTTCTCTCTCTCTCTCTCCCTCCTGCTCCAGCCATGTAAAGTGTTTGCTCCTCCTTTGCCTTCCACCATGACTGAAAGCCTCCTGAGGCCTCCCCAGAAGCCAAGCAGAAGCCACTGTGCTTCCTGTACAGCTTGCAGAACCATGAGCCAATTAAACTTCTTTTCTTTGTAAGTTTCCCAGTGCCAGGTATTTCTTTACAGCAATACAAGAACGGACTAATACAGAAAATTGGCACCCAGGATGGACTAATACACTCTTATGCCCAAAAGCGTTCCAGAACTTCCCACCAAGGTCATATTGACAAGACTTTGCATCTTCTCTCCCCCACCCACCTCTTGGCTTAGCACTCTGATTGTATCTCCTCCCACTTTCCCCTTCGTGACCCTGATCCAGCCACATGGACATCCTTGCTGTTCCTAGAATACACCAAGCATGCATCTGCCTCAGGACCTTTGCATGTGCCATGCTTTCTGCCTGGAACACTCTTCCCCCAGAGATGCATGGGGCTCACTCTCTGCCTCCTTCACTCTTGACTCCAATATTCCCTTCTCCTTCAGGTCTTCTTGGACCATCCTATCTAAAGTTGCAACACTCCCTCCAGATTTCATATCACCTCTCACTGCCTTTTTTTCTTTCTTCAGCATATATCACTAATCTTGCATATATTTTATTTATTAATATTGTTTATGATCTGCCCCCCCATTAGAATATATCTCCATGAAGTCATAGATGTTTTTTCTGCAGTGTTTCCTATAGTGTCCCTGCACCTAGGACAGTCCCTGGCACACAATAGATACTCAATAAATTTTTTTGAATGAATATTTGTTGAGTATCTAAAATCTCTAAACTTATGAATGAATAGACATATACAGTATATAGGAAGTATAAGGAAGGCTACAAGGGCATGATTACTGAGTACAATTCTAGAAGCCAGATCTCTAGCTTTTAATTATGGTTGTACCAGTTATAAGCTTTGTGACTTTAGAGTAAGTTTATTAACCTCTCTGTTCCTCTACTTCTTCCTCTGTAAAAAAAATTTTTCAGCCGGGCAAGGTGGCTCACGCCTGTAATCCCAGCACTTTGGGAGGCCGAGGCGGGCGGATCACGAGGTCAGGAGATCGAGGCCATCCTGGCTAACACGGTGAAACCCCGTCTGTACTAAAAATACAAAAAATTAGCCGGGCGTGGTTGCGCAAGCCTGTAGTTCCAGCTACTCGGGAGGCTGAGGCAGGACAATGGCGTGAACCCGGGAGGTGGAGCTTGTAGTGAGCTGAGATCGCGCCACTGCACTCCAGCCTGGGCGACAGAGCAAGACTCCGTCTCAAAAAAAAAAAAAAAAAAAAAATACAAAGTAATTGTACAGAACTCATAAAATTTTTGTGACTATTCGGTGAGTTATTATGTTAAAAGTAATCAGATAGGCTGAGGCAGGAGAATCGCTTGAACCCGGGAGGCAGAGGTTGCAGTGAGCTGAGATCACGCCACTGCACTCCAGCCTGGGTGACAGAGCAAGACTCCGTCAAAAAAAAAAAAAAAAAAAAAAAATTACGTAACGGATACAATGTATGTCACTGGGTTAGTGGATCCCTGAAAGCCCTAACTTCATCATTCTGGAATCTATCCATGCAACAAAGTTACACTCGTACCCCATAAACGTATACAAATAAAAAATAATCGGCTGCGCATGGTGGTTTACAGCTGTAATCCCAGCACTTTGGGAGGCTGAGGAGGGCGGATCACCTGAGGTCGGGGGTTTGAGACCAGCCTGACCAACAGGGAGAAACCCTGCCTCTACTAAAAATACAAAATTAGCTGGGCGTGGTAGCACATGCCTGTAATCCCAGCTACTCAGGAGGCTGAGGCAGGAGAATCGCTTGAACCCGGGAGGCAGAGGTTGCAGTGAGCAGAGATCAAACCATTGCACTCCAGCCTGGGCAACGAGAGCAAAACTCCATCTCAAAAAATAATCATAATCATAATCATAAATATAAGGCAAAAGTAAGCATGCTTTCTTTAAAAAAAGTAGTCAGACTGAGCCTGTCATCTGGTAAGAGCTCTAACGTTTATCGTTAATATGATTGTTATTGTCGCTGTTATATTTTCATTATTGGTGTTGTCATTATATGTACAAAACAGCATCAGCAGAGAATCCACATCCTTTTCAAGAACAAATGAAGCATTTACAAAAATTGATGACTTATTAATCCACCCAGGAAGTCTCAAAATCTTCCAAAAACTTCATATAATACAAACCATGACTGGGCACAGTGGCTCATGCCTGTAATCCCAGCACTTTGGGAGACCGAGGAGGGCGGATCACCTGAGGTCAGGAGTTCGAGACCAGCCTGGCCAACATGGCAAAACCCCGTCTCTACTAAAAACACAAAATTAGCCGGGCGTAGTGGTGCATGCCTGTAATCCCAGCTACTTGGGAGGCTGAGGCAGGAGAATTGCTTGAACTCGGGAGGTGGAGGTTGCAGTGAGCCGAGATTGTGCCATTGCGCTCCAGCCTGGGCAACAAGAGCAAAACTTCGTCTCAAAAAAAAAAAAAAAAAAAAAAAAAAAAAGAAAAAAGAAAAGAAAAGAAAAAGAAAAGAAAAAAAAGAAATACAGACCATATTCTGTGACTACAAATTTATGTAAAAGATTAAATATTAAAAGATTTAAAAATACATTTTTAAAACTAAAAATTCAGTACAACTTATGAGTTCAGACTTAAAAAACACAGGAGACATAAAATATTTAGAAATGAGCAGAGACAGTGATTCATATCGAAACTTGCTGAATGCAATAAAAGTCCTACTTAGGGGAAAATGTACACTTTTTTTTTTTTTTTAGAAAACACGAAGTTTGGGAAATTACTTACTGAGCATGCAACTTGTGGAGCTGGAAGGAGAAAGGAAGTCAAGGGGAGGTGCAGGAAGGGTCCAGAAAAGCAGCAAACACAAGGTTAACAGAAGAAATGCCCCAGTAAGTGCCCAAGGAACTCACCCAGGTGCATTGTCACGACGCTTTCAGAAACAAAAGAAAAAGAAAATAAACATATTCTAGGTGAGAGAAAACAGACAACTGTGCACTAAGTTTCTATTTTTTTTTTTTTTTTTTTTTTTTTTTTGAGACGGAGTCTCACTCTGTCGCCCAGGCTGGAGTGCGGTGGCGCGATCTCAGCTCACTGCAAGCTCTGCCTCCCGGGTTCACGCCATTCTCCTGCCTCAGCCTCCCGCGTAGCTGGGACCACAGGCGCCCGCCACCACGCCCGGCTAATTTTTTGTATTTTTAGTAGAGATGGGGTTTCACCATGTTGGCCAGGATGGTCTCGATCTCCTGACCTCGTGATCCGCCCACCTCGGCCTCCCAAAGTGCTGGGATTACAGGCGTGAGCCACCGCGCCCGGCCGGTTTCTATTATTATAATCACATCAGACTTCTCATCAGTCACTCTGGAAGTTGACAAGGGAGAAATGCGTTTGAAAATAGCCTGTGGCCGGGTGCAGTGGCTCACGGCTGTAATCCCAGCACGTTGGGAGGCCGAGGCGGGCAGATCACAAGGTCAGTAGTTCCAGACCAGCCTGGCCAGCATGGTGAAACCCTGTCTCTATTAAAAATACAAAAAAATTAGCCAGGCATGTCTGTAGTCCCAGCCACTCCAGAAGCTGAGGCAGGAGAACTGCTTGAACCCGGGAGGTGGAGGTTGGAGTGAACTGAGATTGCACCACTGTACTTCAGCCCGGGCAACAGAGTGAGACTCTGTCTCAAAAAATGAAAGAAAGGGCCGGGCACGGTGGCTCACGCCTGTAATCCCAGCACTTTGGGAGGCCGAGGCGGGCGGATCACAAGGTCAGGAGATCGAGACCATCCCGGCTAAAACGGTGAAACCCCGTCTCTACTAAAAATACAAAAAATTAGCCGGGCGTAGTGGCGGGCGCCTGTAGTCCCAGCTACTTGGGAGGCTGAGGCAGGAGAATGGCGTGAACCCGGAGGCAGAGCTTGCAGTGAGCCGAGATCCCGCCACTGCACTCCAGCCTGGGCGACAGAGCGAGACTCCGTCTCAAAAAAAAAAAAAAAAAAAAAAAAGAAAGAAAGGGAGGGAGGGAGGGAGGGAGGGAGGGAGGGAGGAAGGAAGGAAGGAATGAAGGAAGGAAGGAAGGAAGAAAATAGCCTATGTATTCCTATGGAGAGATCCCAGAGTGTATTCTTAGAGATTAAACGACATCAGGATGTCATCTGTATTGTGCCAAGAATTGGGGGAATCAGAATATACATTCATATTGACTCATATTCACCCAGAAACAAACACTGGAAGGATTAATATGAGAAAGTTAAAATTGTGGCTCTCCCACGTTTTCTTCCCCGTCCACCACCTGAACAAGCTGCGGTCCTAGAAATCACCTCGACTGCTCCTCTTTCTCACCCTCTCCCCTTGTTCTACCTCCAGAATCTGTCCTCATGCAGACACTGCTTGCCAGCACCACGGCGCCAGGTTCACCCTCTCTCCCCTCGTCCAGGGAACATTCCCTAAGTGGTGTCTCTGTGTTCATTTGCTGCTTCTTAGCTGTTCTCCTCATTGTAGCCAGGGTGATGTTTTCAAAGGGTCAGTCAAATCATGTCTCGCTACCATTGAAATCTCCAGTGATTCATGATGTACTTCGCCCAAAACCCAAACTCTGTGACCTACGGGACACTCACTCACCTCTCCAGTTTCATGTTGGTCCCTGTGCCCCTCACTCCCTGCCCTCAGGCCACATGACATTCCTGCTGTTCCTTGAAGACACCAGGTCCCTCCCTGCCTTGGGACTCTGCGTCTCTGCCTGGGTGCACCGACCTCCTGCTTTGCACCACAGCCTCCAGGTCTCTGCTCAGCATCATCTTAGCAAGAAGGGCCTTCTCAGATCACTCTGTTGAAAGAAGTCCACTCCCCTGACACCCATCCCTTTGCTAAGAAGATTTGTCTTCATTCTCTCTTGACGTTCATCCTCCTTTCTAATTATCTACTCTTTGACTTGTACGCTGTCCCTCTCTCCCCATTAGAATGGAGACTTCACTTGGCCAGGGACCTTGTCTGTCTTGATCATCACTCTATCACCGGTACTTAGGGCCTGGCACATAATAGATGCTCAGCAAATACTTGTAGAACGAATAGTGAATCAGAAACAATATTGGCCATTGTTTACTGGACATTTAAAGGTTAAATAATGGCACCCCTATGCAATGAAATACTGGATTAGCATTAAAAATGATGCTGCTGGCCGGGCACGGCGGCTCATGCCTGTAATCCCAGCACTTTGGGAGGCCAAGGCGGGCGGATCACCTGAGGTCAGGAGTTTGAGACCAGCCTGACCAACAGGATGAAACCTCATCTCCACTAAAAATAAAAAAAATAGCTTGGCATGGTGGCGCACACCTGTAATCCCAGCTACTCAGGAGGCCGAGGCAGGAGAATCACTTGAGCCTGGGAGGCGGAGGTTGCAGTGAGCTGAGATCGTGCCACTGCACTCCGGGCTGCCCCACACAGCGAAACTCTGTCTCAAAGAAAAAAAAAAAAAAAGGATGATGTTGTTTTACTTTTATTGACATGAAAGATGTCAAGGGTATTGTTGAGTGAACAAAACAGGAAAAACACATGTATGTAGAAGTTACATACATTAAGTTATATATGTACATTTACACACATGTTTATGGAAGGAGAGATTTCTGAGAAAGTGTTAACAGAAATGTTTGCTGTGATTAACATGAGGTAATGAGGGTTTCAAATTCTCTCATTTCATTTTTTATGAGTTGTTTTATTTGGATTTTTTTTTTTGAGACGGAGTCTCGCTCTGTCGCCCAGGCTGGAGTGCAGTGGTGCCATCTCGGCTCACTGCAAGCTCTGCCTTCTGGGTTCATGCCATTCTCCTGCCTCGGCCTCCCAAGTAGCTGGGACCACAGGCGCCCGCCACCACGCCAGGCTAATTTTTTGTATTTTTAGTAGAGATGGGGTTTCACCGTGTTGACCGGGATGGTCTCAATCTCCTGACCTTGTGATCCACCAGCCTTGGCCTCCCAAAATGCTGGGATTACAGGCATGAGCCACCGCGCCTGGTCCCTGGACTTTTTTTTTTTAAAGAAAGGGTCCTGCTCTTGTCACCCAGGCTGAAGTGCAGGACGCGATCGTAGCTCACTGCACTCTCAACCTCGCAGGGCTCAGGTCAACCTCCCAACTCAGCCTCCCGAGTAGCTGGGACTTCAGAAGCGTGCCACGCACACCCGGCTAATTTTTGTATTTTGTATCTAACTCCTGGGCTCAAGCGATCCGCCTGCCTCTGTCTCCCAAAATGCTTGGATTACAGGTGTGAGCCACCATGCCTGGGTGAATTTTTTTTTTTTTTTGAGATGGAGTTTCACTCTTGTTGCCCAGGCTGGAGTGCAATGGTGCAATCTCGGCTCGCCACCACCTCCGCCTGCCGGGTTCAAGTGATTCTCCTGCCTCAGCCTCCTGAGTAGCTGGGATTAGAGGCATACGCCACCACGCCCAGCTAATTTTGTATTTTTAGTAGAGACAGGGTTTCCCCATGTTGGTCAGGCTGGTCTCAAACTCCCGACCTCAGGCGATCTGCCCACCTCAGCCTCCCAAAGTGCTGGGATTATAGGGGTGAGCCACCGTGCTGGCCGAATTTTTTTACATTAAGCATGTGTCAGTCGTAACTAGGAAAAACAAAATTATTTTTGTTTAAGAAGATAAAATAAAATGGCCACCTATGAGGAGCTGGGAGTACAGGCTTAGGTGGAAACAGATAAGGTGTCAAGACCTCCTTCTGTGACTGACCCCTTCAGATTTTCTCCCTAGAGTTTCAGTCATGCAAGATGAGGAGGTCTCAGAGCCTCCTGTGCGGTGTAGTGCCAGCAGGTAACAATACAGTATTGTGTGCTTACACATTTGCTGAGAAGATAGATCTTTTGTTAAGTGCTCTTATCATCACAAATTGATATGTGGCCATAAAAATAGTATCAAACAATAATAATATACAAATAGACGGGAGGAACCTGTGAGAGGTGGTGGATGGGTTTATGTCGTAAACTGTGGTGTTGACACACAGGGCATACTCATCTCCAAACTCATCAAGTCGTATATGTTAAATACATACTGCTTTTTATATGTCAATTATTCCTCGATAGAGTAAGGTTTTTTTTTTTTTGTAATTGCAAGTGTCTGCAGAGAGCTTCTATAGGTTTGGGGGTCCGGGAGACTCCCATAGGTGTGCCCCGTGAGCCTCAGCACCTAGGGTGTGTGTAGTGGCTATTCTGCCTTTATCTGTATTAAATTTTTTAAAAATTATTTTCCCAGGCATTCCACGACGCTCAACTTTTCACCCAAGTTCAAGTTCCTGTTTTTTTCTTCACAGAAGTCGATTGTGGGCGCCAGTTCCCACATTGCTCTCATCCTAAGTAGCAGCAACTTGCGGGCTGATGCCTGTGTCCAGCCCTAGAAGAGCCTCCGTACCTAGAAGAAAACCTCCCCTCCTGGGAGTCACGGCGCAAGGCTGGGCTCCCATCCTCGCAGGGAGGGGCGGATGCACCTGCCCCTGCAGATCTGCGCCCAGATCTGTGTTATCCACACCCACATCTGCGTCTGCAGGAAGAGGCTCCGCAGCAGGCAACAGCTTCCATCTGCGAGCCTCATTTAATCCCCACGAGGATCCTGTAGAGGGTTCCTATGTTCACCTCTGTTTTATATATAGACGAGGACGCTGGCTCTGGGAGGAGTAAAGCCGTGCAGCAGTAACTCCCGTGCAGCAGTAACTCCCGTGCAGCAGTAACTGCAGCCGTGCAGAGTAAACTCCCAGCACAGAACCCGGCCTCCCCGGTTCAGAAACAAAAGTGAGCTCCCTCCTCCCTGCTTGCGGGCGAAACTCTCGCTGCCTGTTGAACGTCTCCACCTGGATGCCACGGCTTCCCCAGACTCCCAGTGCCCCCGGGCAACGCCTTCCTCTCTCCCCACCTTTCCAAATTTTCTCTGCAGCAAGTTTCCCTCCTCCAAGTTTCTCCCCCTTCTCCAGCCTTCACGTTCAGTCCCGTGTCTCTGTGCCGTACAGGACTCAGCTGCCATAACAGCAGCTGGCGTCTCAGCGCCCCCGGAAGCTGAGACTTTCCAGGACAAGAACTGCTTTGGAGTCCTCTCGGGCCCCAGCACGACCTGCTACACTGCAAACTACTGCAAAGAACCTTTCAAGACTGGAGAGATGGAGCACCCCAAGTCTGTTTTACAGATGGAAAGGTGGTGGCTCAAAGACGAGATACCACAATAACAGTGGCTATGAAGCTCTCGCTTTGTCAAGATACAGTTCAAAGCACTGGGCATGCACTGACTCATCTCACGACCCCTAAAACACTCACGTTGGATACTATTGCTACTCCTCTTACCAACGCAGAAACAGCGTCACAGCAAAGTTAAGCAGCTTGCCCAAAGATCCTCCGCTAGGAAGGGAAGAAGGTGGCCTTTGAACTTGAGCTCCCCATCCACAGTCTGCAGTCCTTCAGACTGGAGCACATTGTAGAAATTAACAATGTCATCCCAACAACCCTTATAAAACACTTTTGGGCCGGGCGCGGTGGCTCACGCCTGTCATCCCAGCACTTCGGAAGGCCGAGGCAGGTGGATCACCTGAGGTGAGTTCGAGACCAGCCTTACCAACAAGGTGAAACCCTGTCCCTACTAAAAATACAAAAATTAGCCGGGCGTGGTGGCTGGCGCCTGTAGTCCCAGCTACTCGGGAGGCTAAGGCAGGAGAATTCCTTGAACCCGCGAGGTGGAGGTTGCAGTGAGCCGAGATCGTGCCACTGCACTCCAGCCTGGGCGATGGAGCGAGACTCCATCTCAAAAACAAAACAAAACAAAACAAAAAACACTTTTGAGTTCTGACTTTATTTCTTGCTGTTTTCTTATTTTTCATGGAACTCATCTTAATGATTTCACGTTTACCAATCACGTATATTTGGACGTGATTACAGGGCCACAGGGCAACCTCCAGAAGCATGATTCCTTTCCTAAGAATGAGGAAGGATGTGGTCAGTGTGTTCCTAAAATTATGATACTGCTTTGTAAGATAACATGTTTTGTTCGTTTTATTTCATCTTTTTATTTTGAAACAGAGTCTCACTCTGTCACCCAGCCTGGAGTGCAGTGGAGCAATCTCAATTCACTGCAGCCTCTGCCTCCTGGGCTCAAGCCATCCTCTCACCTTGGCCCCCCAAGTAGCTGGGACTATAGGCACACATCACCATACCCAGTTAATTTTTGTATTTTTTGTAGAGCTAGGGTTTCACCATGTTGCCCAGGCTGTTCTCAAACTCCCAAACTCAAGCAATCCACCCACCTTGGCTTCCCAAAGTGCTGGGATTACAGGCGTGAGCCACTGCACCTGGCCCAATTTTATTTCTTATTATTTTGCATGCCATTGTGAATGTATGAAGTGTTTCTCTCTTTATTTAGATCTTTAATTTCCCTCAGCAATCTTTTGTAGTTCTTAGTGTACACATCTTGCATTTCTTTATTAAATTGGTTTCTATTCATTTTATTATTTTTGAGGCTTTGTAAATAAAATTGCTCTCCTAATTTCATTATTGAATTATTTTTGTCAGTATATAGACATATGATTGATTTTAGTGAATATGTCTTCATCGTGCTAGGATTTTTGTTGTTGTTGCTGCTGTTGTTGTTATTGTTGAGACAGAGTTTCGCTCTTGTTGCCCAGGCTGGAGTGCAATGGCGCAATCTCGGCTCACTGCAACCTCCACCTCCCGAGTTCAAGCAATTCTCCTGCCTCAGCCTCCTGAGTAGCTGGGATTACAGGCATGCACCACCATGCCTGGCTAAGTTTTTGTATTTTTAGTAGAGACGGGGTTTCACCATGTTGGCCAGGCTGGTCTCAAACCCCTGACCTCAGGTGATCCACTCCCCTCAGTCTCCCAAAATGCTGGGATTACAGGCATGAGCCACCACATCCGGCTCTTGCTAGAAATTTATTGTACTTTTCAGCTTCATAATTTCCATTTAGTTTTATGCTTTAATAATATCCCAAGGTAACATTATGGTCACTTTCTGTAACTAATATTTCTTACTCTGTTGATTTATCAGGGGCTGGATTACTCTCCTTCAAGTTTCCTGTGCTAGCCTAATGGTTTGGATGTTGTTGTTCAATGCAATTCTCCTTTATTTTTGTTCCATTTATTTTTAGCAGCTTTGTTTAGCTATAATTGTTCTACTAAAAAACCTTCTCACTTAATGTACACAATCAGATGAATTTGGACACATGCAATAACCCCTTGGAAGACATTCACGTGCATGCGTTGTTGGTTTTTCCGCTTCTTACGGGAACTCCTTTCAGGCATTTCCATCTCCACGCTACACATGGGGAAATAGAGGCTCACAGAGGAGAAAGGACGTGGTTCAGGTCACACCTGTCCCTGGTCCTCCAGGCTGAGGAGCAGAGAGACCACCCACCTTAGTGCTGGAAGGGTTTAACACATAGCTTGGGCTCCCTCTTGTGGCCACAGTGGAGAAACTCCCTGCTTAGTTCATTTTTATTTTTTCCATCTGGCATTCATTTTTTTCATTCAGTAAGTATTTGTTGGTCCTGTCCTGTGTGCCAGACACTGTTTGAGGCTCTAGAGGTCCACCAATATAGAAAACAAACACCCTTTCCATGGAAGAGCTTATATTCTTGCAGAAGGAGAGGGGCAGTAACCCACAGGCATTATACAGTCACAGTCAGCTAGAAGGTGAGAGTGATTTGGATAAATGAGAAAGTGCAGCGGTGGTCCAGGGGGTCTGGAGGGTGCAAAGCTCAGCAGGGGGAATAGTGTGGCAGTTGCAGACAGAGGGGTAGGAAGAGGGAAGTGGCAGGAAGAGAATGCAGAGGGGTGAGGGTTGGGGCCACAGGTCCTGTGTAGAGCCCTGTTGGTCACCATGATCACCCTGAGTGAGCTGGGAAGTAACACAAATGACTCCAAATAGAAGCGCCTTCATGGAGCCTTCTTCTTCCCAGACTTCAACTAGAAACCTGAGCTGCCTGTCACAGCAGGGGACGTGTCATCCCATTAGACTTCAAACGTCCTCAGCAATTCCCTGCCCCCTTCTTTCTAGGAGTCAGGATTCCTCAGCCTTGCTCTAGAACTGCATCTGGTGACCCCTAGAAACCTGTCCTGGAAGCCTTACAAGGCTCTTCACACTCACAGTTTGTGATATGACCCCAGAGTTGTGCAGTGCACAACCTACACAGCTGGACACGATGGGCCTGGCACTCTTCCTCTGTGCTCCCACTGCACTCTGTGCTGACTATGTCATTCCACTGGGTGGTGCCATGTCAACTTCTCTCCTCTCCTCTCAATATCCTGTAAGGATAAGATAGGATCAAAGTTCTACCCACGTCCCTGGTACTCAGAAGAGGAGCTGAAACATTGGCGACCACTCATTAGCACTCTACTTAACAAAACAAATTGCCCAGGTAGTTATGATTAGATTTCTATAAAAGGCTGAATAATTACAGAAAGGCTCTAGAAACTAGTGTATAATTATGTACAGGCGCTGGCAGTGTGTAGAGTCATGGAAATCAGCTAAGGAATCGCGGTGCAGTCTCAGGAACCAGCTGGATAATTGCACCAGGAGCTCCCAAAACCAGCTGGATAATTATAGTGGAGTCCCTGGAACTCAGCGGGTAATTACCATGTACTCATGGAATCAGCAGTAATAATAGAAGGGTCCCAAATGCAGACACTAGGGAAAGTCTGGAGACACTTTTGATTGTCACAACCCAGAGGAGAGGGGGATGCTTCTGGGTGGTGGGGGGTGGAGGCGGGGGATGCACAGGACAGCTCCTCCCCCAAGGAATAACCTAGCCCCGAAAGTCAACAGTGTTACCCAGAAAAAAACAGGGTTCCTTTGCCTGGTGAGGAGCAAACAACTCTCCCGAGAATGCAGGTGATGTGGTTTGGCTCTGTGTCCCCACCCAAATCTCACCTGGTATTGTAATGATCCCCACGTGTCGATGGGGGGCAGTGACTCACGCCTGTAATCCAAGCACTTTGGGAGGTTGAGGCAGGCAGATCATGAGGTCAGAAGATCGAGACCATCCTGGATAACACAGTGAAACCCGTCTCTACTAAAAATACAAAAAATTAGCCGAGCGTGGTGGCGGGCAGCTGTAGTCCCAGCTACTCGGGAGGCTGAGGCAGGAGAATTACTTGAACCTGGGAGGTGGAGGTTGCAGTGAGCTGAGATCACGCCGTTGCACTCCAGCCTGGGTGACAGAGCGAGACTCCGTCTCAAAATAATAATAATAATAATCCCCACGTGTCATGGGAGGGACCTGTGGGAGGCGACTGAATCACGGGAGCAGGTTTTTCCCATTCTGTTCTCGTGATAGTGAATAAGTCTCACGAGATCTGATGGTTTTATAAATGGGAGCGCCCCTGCACGCTCTTTCTTGCCTGCTGCCATGTAAGACGTGACTTTGCTCCTCCTTCATCTTCCGCCATGATTGTTAGCCCTCCCCAGCCAAGTGGAACTATGAGCCCATTAAACTTCTTTCCTTTGTAAATGAACCAGTCTCGGGTATGTCTTTATTAGCAGCATGAGAACAAACTAATACAGAGGTTTTGATCAAGAAGAGTTTTATGACTTGACACAGCTAAGGAAGGCACTGGGTGTATTCTTCAAAGCAGTGTCTCCCTGAGGAAAAGGGACAGGAGGGCTCTATGGGGTGAGGGAGCAGGGAGAGGGCGCGTCGTTGTATGTGGAGGAGGGTCCCAGTCACGCAGATGCAGCGAGTCGTCATACCAGCACACGGGTCGCATGTTACGGTAACGAGACTACAGCTCCTCCCGGGATGGAGACTTGAGCGCAGCAGTGCAGAAAGTTCACTCGGGTTCATCTCTAAGTTGCCAGGGCCCGTCAGAGGCTGGTTCCAACCAACGAGTGGCCGCATTCCACACAGGGTTTGGAGAAAAACAGGCTGCAGGGCAGAAGGCTGTGAAACAGGCTGATTGCTCAAGTTGATTAAATTCCTATAATCCCTGGAGACCCTCCCTGTCTCCATACAGTAGTGCTTGGGTTGAGAAATTTTCTTTAAAAGACTATTTTTAGCCGGGCGCAGTGGCTCACGCCTGTAATCCCAGCACTTTGGGAGGCCGAGGCGGATGGATCACGAGGTCAGGAGATCGAGACCATCCTGGCTAACACGGGGAGACCCCGTCTCTACTAAAAACACACAGAAAAATTAGCCGGGCGTGGTGGCGGGCGCCTGCAGTCCCAGCTACTGGGGAGGCTGAGGCAGGAGAATGGTGTGAACCCGGGAGGTGGAGCTTGCAGTGAGCTGAGATCGCGCCACTGCACCCCAGCCTGGGCGACAGAGCGAGACTCCGTCTCAAAAAAAATAAAATAAAATAAGAATAAGAAGAAGAAAGAAGAAAGAAGAAGAAGAGGAAGAGGAAGAGGAAGAAGAGGAAGAGGAGGAAGAGGAAGAAAAATGTTTTAAAAAGACTATTTTTAGAGCAGGTTCAGGTTCATAGTAAAATGAGGGGAAGGTAGAGATTTTCCATGTACTCCCTACGCCGACACCTACATAGCTTCCCCCATTACCAGCGTTCCCTACCAGAGCGGTATTTTTATTACAACTGATGAGCCTGCATTGACACATTGTAATCACCCAAAGTCATATTAGGGCTCGCTCAGTCTTCCTGTTGCACATCCTATGAGTTCAGGCAAATGTCTAATGGCAGGCACCCACCGTCACAGTGTTAGACAGAGGAGAGCCATTGCCCTAAAATTCCTCTGTGCACCACCTATTCATCCTTCCTTCGCCCAACCCCTGGCAGCTCTGATCTTTTCCTGTCTCCATACTTTGCCTTTTCCAGAATGTCATATTGTTGGAATCAGACAATGCGTAGCCTTTTCAGATGGGATTCTACCACTTGGTAATATGCATTTAAGGTTCCTCTGTGTCTTTTCATGGCTTGAGAGCTCATTTCTATCTATCTATCTATTTATTTATTTATTTATTTATTTACTTATTTACTTATTTATTTATTTTTGAGATAGAGTCTCGCTCTGCTGCCCAGGCTGGAGTGCGGTGGCTGTGATCTCGGCTCACTGCAAGCTCCGTCTCCCAGGTTCAAGCGATTCTCCTGCCTCAGCCTCCCGAGCAGCTGGGATTATAGGCACCTGCCCCCACGCCCGGCTAATTTTTGTATTTTTAGTAGATGGGGTTTCACCATGTTGGTCAGGCTGGTCTCGAACTCCTGACTTTAGATGATCCACCCGCCTCGATCTCCCAAAGTGCTGGGATTATAGGCGTGAGCCACCATGCCTGGCATCATTTCTTTTTCTTTTCTTTTCTTTTCTTTTTTTTTTTTTTTTTGTTGTTGTTGTTGTTGTTGTTGAGGCAAAGTTTCACTCTTGTCGCCCAGGCTGGAGTGCAGTGGCACGATCTCAGCTCCCTGCAACTTCCGCCTCCCGGTTTCAAGTGATTTTCCTGCCTCAGCCTCCCAAGTAGCTGGGATTACAGGCGCCTGCCACCACGCCTGGTTAATTTTTGTATTTTTAGTAGAGATGGGTTTCCCCATGTTGGCCAGGCTGGTCTTGAACTCCTGACCCTGTGATCTGTGGGCCTTGGCCTCCCAAAGTGCTGGGATTACAGATGTGAGCCACCGTGACTGGCTAATTTTTGTGTTTTTAGTAGAGATGGGGTTTCGCCATGTTGGCTAGGCTGGTCTCGAACTCCTGACCTTGTGATCCGCCCGCTTCGGCCTCCCAAAGTGCTGGGATTACAGGCATGAGCCACTAGAGTCTCTTTGTGAAAAGGAATGGAAGGATGTGGTGTGATGCAGCACGCATCACCAGGTCCCTGTCATAAATTTGCTTTTGTGGCCGGGCGCGGTGGCTCACGCCTGTAATCCCAGCACTTTGGGAGGCTGAGGCAGGCGGATCCCCTGAGGTCAGGAGATCGAGACCAGCCTAGCCAACATGGCGAAACCCCATCTCTACTAAAAATACAAAAAATTAGCCGGGCGTGGTGGCAGGCACCTGTAGTCCCAGCCACTCGGGAGGCTGAGGCAGGAGAATAGTTTGAACCCGGGAGGCGGAACTTGCAGTGAGCCGAGATTGCTGCACTCCAGCCTGAGCGACAGAGCGAGACTCTGTCTCAAAACAAAACAAAAAAAGCTTACCCTCCATGATGCAGCAATCCCACTACTGGGTATATGCTCAAAGAAACTGAAACCAGTGTGTGGAAGAGATGTCTGCACCCCTATGTGTATTGCAGAGTTATTCACAATAGCCAACATATGGAATCACCTAAGTCTCCATCAGTGGACAATGGGTAAAGGAAATGTATATATACACAGTGGAAATACTATCCAGCCTTAGAAAGGAAGGAAACCCTGTCATTTACAGTATGGATGTAATTGTCAACCTTCAGGACATCATGCCACATGAAATAAGCCAGATACAGAAAGACAAATATCGCACAACCTCACTTATACATGGAATATTAAAAAGTTGAACTCAGGCCTTCGAGACTAGCCATGGCCAACATGGCAAAACCTACTCGGGAGGCTGGGCACGGTGGCTCACGCCTGTCAGCACTTTGGGAGACCAAGGCGGGCAGATCACCTGAGGTTGGGAGTTCGAGACCAGCCTGACCAATATGGAGAAACCCCGTCTCTACTAAAAATTCAAAATTAGCCAGGCGTGGTGGTGCATGCCTGTAATCCCAGCTACTCGGGAGGCTGAGGCAGGAGAATGGCTTGAACCTGGGAGGCGGAGGTTGCAGTGAGCCGAGATTGCGCCACTGCACTCCAGCCTGGGCGACAGAGTGAGACTCTGTCTCAAAAAAAAAAAAAAAAAAAAAGTTGAACTCACAGAAGCAGAGAGCGGAATGGTGGTGACCAGGGGCTTGGGAAGGGGAGTAGGGATTGGGAAGATCGTGGTCAGAGGGTACACAATTTTAGATAGAAAAAAATAAATTCAAGAGATCTGTTGTGCAACATGGTGACAAATTAGTGAAAATGTATTATGTACTTAAACATTGTTAGCAGAATAGATCGTAAGGGCTCTCGCCACACACGCAAAAATGACAACTATGTGGCCACGAACGGTGGCTCACACCTATAATCCAAGCACTTTGGGAGGCTGAGGCAAGTGGATCACTTGAGGTCAGCAGTTTGAGACCAGCCTGGGCAACATGGCCAAACCCCATCTCTACAAAAAATACAAAAATTAGCCAGACGTGGTGGCACACACCTGTAATCCCAGCTACTCGGGAGGCTGAGGCACAAGAATCACTTGACGTGGGAGGTGGAGTTTGCCGTGAGCTGAGATCGCACCACTGCACTCTAGGCTGAGTGACAGAATGAGACTCTGTCTCAGAAAAAAAAGTGAGGTGATGGATATGTTAAACATCTTGATTATGGTAATTATTTCACAATGTGTACATATGTCAAAACATCATGTTGTACACCTTAAATATATACACTTCTCTTTTTGAGACGGAGTCTCGCTCTGTCGCCCAGGCTGGAGTGCAGTGGCGCAATCTCGGCTCACTGCAATCTCCGCCTCCCGGCTTCACACCATTCTCCTGCCTCAGCCTCCCGAGTAGCTGGGACTACAGGCGCCCGGCTAATTTTTGTATTTTTTTTTTTAGTAGAGACGGGGTTTCACCGTGTTAGCCAGGATGGTCTCGATCTCCTGACCTTGTGATCCACCCGCCTCGGCCTCCCAAAATGCTGGGATTACAGGCATGAGCCACCGCGCCTGACCAAATATATACGCTTTTATTTGTCAATCATATCTCAATTAAGCCAGGAAAAAATTGGTAAGGCTACTTTTGGAAACACTTTGACACTATTTCAAAAAATTGAAACTAACAATCCCTATAGCGCAATCATTCCATTCTTATATGTATACTCTTTAAAAATTCTTGCACATATGCACCAAGAAACATGTAAAAAATGTCTGTTACGTAATAGGGAAAGTAAAATAAATAGAAATAGAAAAGTAACTAAAATAAAAGAAGCCCATGTGTTCATCAACAGGTACAAAAATACAAAAACTGTGATATAGACCTATATTGGAAAGCTTCAAACTATGGCATTGAAAATGATTTCACGAATCATTTCAAAAAAAAATTCATGGTTTCTGTTGTCATTTTTACCAAGTTCATTCCAATATGTGGTTTAGAGACACTATTTTAAACAAATAAGGGGCCAGGTGCAGTGGCTCACGCCTATAATCCCAGCACTTTGGGAGGCTGAGGCGGGCAGATCACCTGAGGTCAGGAGTTTGAGACCAGCCTGGACAACATGGTGAAACCCCGTCTCTACTGAAAATACAAGAATTAGCCAGGCATGGTGGTGCGCGCCTGTAATCCCAGCTCTTCGGGAGGCTGAGGCAGGAGAATTACTTGAACCTGGGAGGCAGAGTTTGCAGTGAGCCGAGATCATTCCACCGCACTCCAGCCTGGGCAACAGTGTGAGACTCTGTCTCAGAACTTAAAGTAGAATAAAATAAAATAATAAAATAAAACAAATAAGGGAACGACAAGCACAGTTACTTCTGCAGAGGAGGAAAGTGGAGGATGAGAATGGAAGGAGATTCCAGGTAGATGAGGTGGTCGGGATGAGATTGTAGCTCTTAATTGGATGGTGGGCTAAGTGAGGCCGTTTCGTTAATGTTTCATGATTCAAGCTGTTTTATAAATTCTCTTTTATTTATGAAAAATACATAATACATGTTTGGTAAAGTGATCAAACTTTCTTGATCAAGATATCAAAAGAAAGACCCAAGATTTTATTTTCTATTTCTTTCTTTTTCTTTTTTTGAGACGGAGTCTCACCCTGTCACCCAGGCTGGAGTGCAGTGGCTCGATCTCAGCTCACTGTAAGCTCCACCTCCCGGGTTCACGCCATTCTCCTGCCTCAGCCTCCTGAGTAGCTGGGACTACAGGCACCCGCCACCACGCCTGGCTAATTTTTTGTATTTTTAGTAGAGATGGGGTTTCATTGTGGTGTCAATCTCCTAACCTCCTGATCCACCCGCCTCGGCCTCCCAAAGTGCTGAGATTACAGGCGTGAGCCACTGCACCCGGCCTCTCTTTATTTCTATATGTATCAGTTAGCTATTGCTGTGTAACAAATCACCTCAAAGGGAGCAGCTTCAGACAACACACGTTTATTGTCTTGCGATTTCCGTGAATCAGGGATCTGAGCACAGCCCGGCTGGGTCTTCAGCTTCAGGGTCTCTCCCGGGCTGCAATCAAGGGGCCAGCAGCTTTGTGGCCATCTCAAGGTTCTGTTGATTTCATGGTGTTGCTGGCAGTTCAGTTCTTTGCTGACTCTTGGCCAGAAGCCACCCCTCAGTTCCTTGCCATGAAAGTTTTCTGCAACAGGATAGCTTTGTTTCATCAAAGTATGCAAACTAAGCAGGCAAAAAGAGTCTGCTAACAGAATGCAAGTCACACAATCATCCTTAAAAGGACGGGATTACATGATGCTATAAATACCAGGAGGTGAGGATTATTGGGGACCATCTGGGAGGCTGCCTACCACACCGCACAAGGCAAACCTTATGAATATGTATGGATTATATAGGTTGCTTTCAGGCTTCCACCAAAAATAGGATTGCCTTACAGCTCTACCAGCCTAGGACCCACCCCAGCAGGTGTGGCTTGCTTGTTTTAAGGGAGCAGAGACAGAGGGTTCCTTATATCCCACAGCCAAGCCCTTACAGGCACAGCAGGGCAGCTGCTTAAGGTGGAGAGGGAGTCTAACCGGTTTTCTTACCATGCTTAGGGCAGAAAACATAATCTCTATTTTGCCATGTAAGACTCACCACTGAGCAGTCCCTCTCTTTCCTCTGTATTACACTGACACTTCACATAAACCTCTAAACCTCATATAACCTCTAAGCAGAGATAGGCTTCATAAAGGAATTTAGCCAGAATGCCACATTATTTTTCCTTGTTGCAGAGAGTAGCATCTATCTTATGGGAAGAGTCATAGAAAGGCCCTGCAGAATTTGCTGTAAGAAAATAGTCAGGCCGGGCCAGGCGCCGTGGCTCACGCCTGTAATCCCAGCACTTTGGGAGGCCGAGGCAGGTGGATCACGAGGTCAGGAGATCGAGACCATCCTGGCCAACATGGTGAAACCCCATCTCTACTAAAAACACAAAAAATTAGCCGGGTGTGTTGGCGGTTGCCTGTAGTCTCAGCTACTCAGGAGGCTGAGGCAGGAGAATGGCGTGAACTCGGGAGGTGGAGCTTGCAGTGAGCGGAGATCACACCACTGCGCTCCAGCCTGGGCCACAGAGCGAGACTCCATCTCAAAAAAACAACAAAAAAAAAAAAGAAAAGAAAATGGTCAGGCCGGGCGTGGTGGCTCATGCCTATAATCCCAGCACTTTAGGAGGCTGAGGCAGGTGGATCATGACGTCAGGAGTTCGAGACCAGCCTGGCCAACATGGTGAAACCCCGTCTCTACTAAAAATACAAAAAAAAATTAGCCAGGCGTGGGGTCAGGCGCCTGTAATCCCAGCTACTTGGGAGGCTCAGGCAGGAGAATAGCTAAAACCTGAGAGGTGGAGATTGCAGTGAGCCGAGACCGCACCACTGTACTCCAGCCTGAACAACAGAGGGAGACCCCATTTCAAAAAAAAAAAAAAAAAAAGGCCGGGTGCGGTGGCTCACGCCTGTAATCCTAGCACTTTGGGAGGCCAAGGCGGGCGGATCACCTGAGGTCGGGAGTTCGAGACCAGCCTGACCAACACGGAGAAACCCCGTCTCTACTAAAAAATACAAAATTAGCTAGGCGTGGTGGCGCATGCCTGTAATCCCAGCTACTCGGGAGGCTGAGGCAGGAGAATCGCTTGAACCCGGGAGGCAGAGGCTGCAGTGAGCTGAGGTCGAGCCACTGCATTCCAGCCTGGGCGACAGAGCAAAACTCCATCTCAAAAAAAAAAAAAAAAAAAAAAGGCTGGGCGCGGTGACTCACGTCTGTAATCCTAGCACTTTCGGAGGCCGAGGTTGGTGGATCATGAGGTCAGGAGATCAAGACCATCCTGGCCAACATGATGCAAACCCATCTCTACTAAAAATACAAAAATTAACTGGGTGTGGTGGCGCATGCCTGTAATCCCAGCTACTTGGGAGGCTGAGGCAGGAGAATCACTTGAACCAGGGAGTCAGAGGTTGCAGTGACGGGAGATCTCACCACTGCACTCCAGCCTGGGCAACACAGCCAGACTCCATCTCTTTAAAAAAAAAAAAGGCCCACATTGGGCCGTGTGATGGGGGATCCCACTCTCCACCTCAAAGGATAGAATGGATTCCACCTTTCCCTCCACAGAGGAAGGCAGAACCAGACTTCCCACTAAGACTCAGACTGACAGGGACCTCTTTCCAAGTAGCAAAAAGGTTCATACACGGAAAGCGGAAAATGACAAATTATGACTTGCCACGGTGCATAGCAGCCAAGGTGGTTCCCAAAATAAAACCTCTTCCCACACACTTTGTGCCAGGTGCCCCACGTCTTTTTTTTTTTTTTTTTTTTTTTTTTTTGTAATTAAAGGAGATCGACAAATCTGGGGTGAGAAGGTTGGTAGAGGATGAGTTTTTCCTTCAACATCTTATTATAAAAATTTTTCAAGCATAGAGAAGAGTTGAAAGAATCTTAGAATGAATACCCCATCCACACCACCCAGACACCCAGACTCAACCATTCACAACTTTTTTTCTTTTTCGAGACAGAGTCCTGCTCTGTCGCCCAGGCTAGAGTGCAGTGGCATGATCTTGACTCACTGCAACCTCTGCCTCCCAGGTTCAAGCGATTCTCCTGCCTCAGCCTCCCACATAGCTGGGATTGCAGGTGTCTGCCACCATGCCCAGCTAAATTTTTTTTTTTATTTTTAGTAGAAACGGGGTTTCATGATGTTGGCCAGGCTAGTTTCAAACTCCTGACCTCAAGTGATCTGCCCGCCTCGGCCTCCCAAAGTGCTGGGATTCCAGGCATGAGCCAACATGCCCAGCTAATTTTTGTATTTTTAGTAGAAACAGGGTTTCATTATGTTGACCAGGCTGGTCTTGAACTCTTGACCTATTGATCTGCCCGCCTCAGCCTCCCAAAGTGCTGGGATTTTCAGGTGTGAGCCACCACACCCGGCTGTTGCACACATCTTAAGTACACCATTAACTGTGTGGGTTTTTTTGTTTGTTTTATTTATTTATTATTTATTTATTTATTGAGCCAGAGTCTCGCTCTGTCACCAGGCTGGAGTGCAGTGGCACGATCTTGGCTCAAGCGATTCTCGGGTTCAAGCAATTCTCCTGCCTCAGTCTCCCAAGCAGTTGGGACTACAGGTGCCTGTCACCACGCCTGGCTAATTTTTGTATTTTTAGTAGAGACAGGGTTCCACCATGTTGGCCAAAATTGTCTCGATCTCTTGACCTCATGATCCTCCTGCCTCGGCCTCCCAAAGTACTGGGATTACAGGCGTGAGCCACCGTTCCCGGCCTAAGCGTGTTTTAAAATTATATACTGAAGCCCCTATGGAGACATAGAATATGGCCATTGTCACAGCAAGCTCCCAAATGCACCTGCCCAGTCACATCTTGCCTTTACTCCCCTGGAGGCTACCACTCTTCTGATATTATTATTTTTTCACTATAGACTAATTTCAACTGTTCTGGGACTTCACGCAAGCAGAATCATAAACTCTCAGAAAACTGAACTCTCCTCTCTGGCTTCTTCCACTCAGCTCAAAGTTTCTGAGATTCACCCGTGCTGCTGTGTGTGTCCACAGTCCGTTCATTTTCACTGCGGGGCAGGATTGCATTGTACGGGGTTCCGTGGTTTATTTATCCTTTCTTCCACTGATGAACACCTGGCTGTTTCCAGTCTTGGGGGCTCTTGTGAACAAAGCTACTGTTAACATTTCTATTTATTTATTTATTTTTGAGACAAAGTCTTGCTCTCTCACCCAGGCTGGAGTGCAGTGGCGCGATCTTGGCTCACTGCAACCTCCGCCTCATGGTGCAAGCGATTCTCTGCCTCAGCCTCCCGAGTAGCTGGGATTACAGACATTTGCCACTGCACCTGGCTAATTTTTTTTTTTTTTTTTTTTGTATTTTAGTAGAGACGGGGTTTCACCATGTTGGCCAGGCTGGTCTCCAACTCCTGACCTCAGGTGATCCACCCATCTCAGCCTCCCAAAGTGCTGGGATTACAGGCGTGAGCCACCGCGCCCGGCCAACAAGTCTTTCAATCACACCTTTCATGTGCAAACCAAACAGTCCAGAGCCCAGCCCCCAGCCACCTCCATTTCTGAGCTCTCACACTCAGGGCTGCTGTGCACCTGCCTTCATCACCCAGGGCCAGGAACCAGACCACTAGAGTAGGCCCAATGCCCCAGGCCCTGCTGAAATTATTCAAATTAGCTAATCACAAACCTGTTTACCCTGCCCCACCCACTCATTCCTGCAAAAACCAAATCAAGCTCTTGCCCTCTCTCCGCCCTCACTCCCTCTGCCTCTGATCCCTCGTGCTCTCCCGTGTGACCTGCATGCTCCCTCGGCCCTGGTGCTCTCTGGGTGTCCTGCCTGGCCTGGCATGTCCCTTCCTCTTGAGAACTGTGACAAACTGTCTTCTCAGTGGTCCATCTCATCTGCTGGGCCCCCCATACCTATGTATGAAAACATCTTGAAGCCGGGCGCGGTGGCTTACGCCTGTAATCCCAGCACTTTGGGAGGCTGAGGCAGGTGGATCATGAGGTTAGTGTCACGCGAGTCCGTGTGAAGAGTCCACCAAACAGGCTTTGTGTGAGCAACAAGGCTGTTTATTTCACCTGGGTGCAGGCGGGCTGAGTCCGAAAACAGAGTCAGTAAAGGGTGGTGGGATTATCATTAGTTCTTACAGGTTTGGGGACAGGCGGTGGAGTTAGGAGCAATGTTTTGCGGGCAGGGGGTGGATCTCACAAAGTACATTCTCAAGGGTGGGGAAAATTACAAAGAACCTTCTTAAGGGTGGGAGAGATTACAAAGAACCTTCTTAAGGGTGGGGAAGATTACAAAGTACATTGATCAGTCAGGGTGGGGCAGGAACAAATCACAATGGTGGAATATCATCAGTTAAGGCTATTTTCCCTTCTTTTGTGGATCTTCGGTTGCTTCAGGCCATCTGGATGTATAGATGCAGGTCACAGGGGATAGGATGGCTTAGCTTGGGCTTAGAGGCCTGACAGGAGTTCAAGAGCAGCCTGGCCAAGATGGTGAAACCCCATTTCTACTAAAAATACAAAGAATTAGCCAGGTGTGGTGGCATGCACCTATAGTCCCAGCTACTCAGGAGGCTGAGGCAGGAGAATTGCTTGAACCCGGGAGGCGGAGGTTGCAGTGAGCCGAGATCGCACCATTGCACTCCAGCCTGGGCGACAGAGCGAGACTCTGTCTCAAAAAAAGAAAAAAAAAAGAAAGAAAGAAAAGAAAAGAAAAAAGAAATACATTGGGTTTGGAAGGCCGAGGAGGGCGGATCACAAGGTCAGGAGTTCAAAACCAGCCTGATCAACATGGTGAAACCCTGTCTATACTGAAAATACAAAAATTAGCCAGGCGTGGTAGCGCATGCCTGCAGTCCCAGCTACTCAGGAGGCTGAGGCAGGAGAATCGCTTGAACCCGGGAGGCGGAGGTTGCAGTAAGCCAAGATCATGCCATTGCACTCCAGCCTGGGCTACAGAGTGATACTCTGTCTCAAAAAAAAAAAAAAGAAAGAAATACATTGGCGTGGTTCAGAAAGGTGGAACAACACAAAGGGTGGGGCGAGGCGTGCAATTTAAACATTTTCTGATTGACAATTGGTTGAGTTTTCTCTGAAGACCCGGAATCAATAGAAAGGAAATGTTCAGGTTAAGCTAAAGGATCGTGGAGACCAGGTTTTATTGTGCAGAGGAAGCTGACTTCAGAGAGAGAGGGCAGGGTGTAAAATGCTTCTTACAGGACCTAAAAGAGTGCCTGGGCCGGCCACGGTGGCTCACACCTGTAATCCCAGCAACTTTGGGAGGTCGAGGCAGGCGGATCACCTGAGGTCGGGAGTTCAAAGCCAGCCTGACCAACATGGAGAAACCCTGTCTCTACTAAAAAATACAAAATTAGCTGGGCGTGGTGGTGCATGCCTGTAATCTCAGCTAGTTGGGAGGCTGAGGCAGGAGAATTGCTTGAACCTGGGAGGTGGAGGTTGCGGTAAGCCGAGATTGTGCCGTTGCACTCCAGCCTGGGCAAAAAGAGTGAAACTCTGTCTCAAAAAAAAAAAAGAGTGTCTGGCTCTCCTGGGCCTGGAAAGGAAGAAGGGAAAACAAAGGAGAAACGGGGTTCTGTAAAGAATGTGGATTTTTCCCACAAGAGACTTTGCAGGGCAATTTCAAAATATGGCAGAGAAACATGTTTTGGGGTAAAATATTTTTATTTTCTTCCTTGTGTTGTAATGCTATGCCAGAGTCAGATTGGAAAGTAAGTCACACCATAGAGGATTAAATACAACCCATCTGATGAGAATTTATGGTTTGTAAGGCATGACTCCTCAAACGCCTTAGGTAGGAATTTGGGCAAGATAAAAAAATCAGAGCTTAGTTCTCAGGGGTCATGGCGGGACAACAGGAGAGAGCGTCTCACCCATATTTAAAAAAAAAAAAAAAGTGCAATGCAGGCTGGGCATGGTGCCTCACGCCTGTAATCCCAGCACTTTGGGAGGCCGAGGAGGGTGGATCACCTCAGGTCAGGAGTTCAAGATCAGCGTGGCCAACTTGACAAAACCCCATCTCTACTAAAAATACAAAAATTACCTGGGTGTGATGGCATGCACCTGTAGTCCCAGCTACTCGGGAGGCCGAGGCAGGAGAATTGCTTGAACCCAGGAGGCGGAGGTTGCAGTGAGCTGAGATGGTGCCACTGCACTCCAGCCAGGGTGACAAGAGTGAAAACTCTGCCTCAAAAAAAAAAAAAAAAGAATATTACAGTGAAAACCTAGATAGTTATCACCTGGATTCTAGTCTACTGTTAATCTTTTCTCCTTCCTTCCTTCCTTCCTTCCTTCCTTCCTTCCTTCTCTCTCTCTTTTTCCTTCCCTTTCTTTCTTTCCTTCCTTTCTCTCTGTTTCTTTCCTTTCTCTCCCTTCTCTTTTCCTCTTTCTTTCTTTCCTTTCTCTCCCTCTTTCTTTCTTTCCTTTCCTTTCCCTTCCCTTCCCTTCCACTCACTCACTCCCTCTCTCTCTCTCTCTCTCTTTCCTTTCTTTCTTTCTTTCTTTCTCTCTCTCTCCCTCCCTCCCTCCCTCCCTCCCTCTCTGTCTCTCTCTCTTTCTTTCTTTCTTTCTTTCTTTCTTTCTTTCTTTCTTTCTTTCTTCTTTCTTAAGACAGGGTCTCGCTATGTTGTCCCGGCTACAGTGTAGTGGTTATTCACAGGTGCAATCATACCCACAGAGCAGCCTTGAACTTCTAGGCTCCAGTGATCCTCCTGCACCAGCCTCCTGAGTTGCTGGGAGCACAGACTCATGCCACTGTACCTTGCTTAATATTTATCTTCCTTTGCCTTATTACCTATCCCTCCATCCATCCGTCTTATTTTCTTTTGTGATTAACTTCAAAAAGAGACTGCAGACACCACTACACTTTCTCCCAATACTAAGCATGCACCTCATTAACATTTTTCAGTAAAATTTTTATAGAGTGGAGTGCACAAATCTTTTTTTTTTTTTTTTGAGATGGAGTTTCACTCTTTCTCCCAGGCTAGAGTGCAGTGGTGTGATAGCTCACTACAACTTCCACCTCCTGGGTTCAAGCGATTTTCCTGCCTCAGCCTCCCGAGTAGCTGGGATTACAGGCATGCACCACCACAGCTGGCTAATTTTTGTATGTTTAGTAGAGACGGGGTTTCGTCATGTTGGCCAGGCTGGTCTGGAACTCCTGACCTCAGGCGATCCACCTGCCTCGGCCTCCCAAAGTGCTGGGATTACAGGTGTGAGCCGCCGCACCTGGCCAGAAATTCACAAATCTTAAGTGAGCGACAAATGCAGACACTGGTACAAAACGAACCCTCATCAAGATACAGAACGAGGCCCTTTATCCCAGGAAGTTCCCCCAGCCCCCTTCCCAGTCACCCTGACCCTACTCACCCAGAGGCAACCACTGTTTTTATTATTTTTGCTACCATATGTTAATTCTGTCTGTTTGGAAAATCATCTAACTGAACTCATACAGTGCATCCTCCTTTGTTTCTGACACTCAGCACAATAATTTTGAGACCGACCCATATTGCTGCATGCATTATTAGCTTGTGCCTTTTCATTGCTAAGTAGTATTCCATTCTGTGGCTATATTACCTATCTTGGTCCATTCCCCTGTTGATAGGCATACAGGATGTTTCTAGCCTGAGGCTATTATGAATAAAGCTGCTGTAAACAGTCTTGCAAAATTCTTGGTGTGGATAAATATTTTCTTTTCTTTTGGGTAAAAGTAGAATTGTTGGCCGGGCGTGGTGGCTCACGCCTGTAATCCCAGCAGTTTGGGAGGCCGAGGTGGGCAGATCACGTGAGGTCAGGAGTTTGAGACCAGCCTGGCCAACATGGTGAAACCCCATCTCTACTAAAAATACAAAAATTAGCCAGGCATGGTGGTGTACACCTGTAGTCCCAGCTACTCGGGAGGCTGAGGCAGAATAATCACTTAAACCTGGGAGGCAGAGGTTGCAGTGAGCTGAGATCATGCCATTGCACTCCAGCTTGGTGACACAGTGAGACTCCGTCTAAAAAACAAACAAACAAAAAAGAGTAGAATTGTTGGGTCATGGGATAGGTGTGGGCTTAGATTTGTAAGAAGCTGCCAGGCCTTTTCCTACAGGGTTTGTACCCTTTACTCTCTCATCAATAATGGATAACACTCGGGTGCTTCATTCCTGGAATCTTTGGATCTCAGGCCTGCTTTGGGCTGTTGGTATTTCACTGTGGTTGAATGCAGCTCTATTAGTCAGATTTGTCCAAAGAAAGAAAACCAAAGAGATATATAAAGAGATACCAGCAGAGGTTTATTATGAGAACTTTTCTTACACAATTCTGGAGGCTGAGGAGTCCCACGACGTGCTGTCCATAAGCTGAAGAAGCAGGAAAGCTGGTGGTGTCATTCAGTCTGAGGCTAAAGGCATGAGGACCAGGAAGTTTGATGTCCTAGGGCAAGAGAAAATGGATGCGCCAGTTAAGAAAACACAGTGAATTCGCCCTTCCTCTGCTTTTTGTTCTATTCGAGCCTCCAGCAGATTGGATGAGGCCCGCCCACATTGGTGAGGGAGAACTTCTTTACTCAGTCTACTGATTCAAATGCTCACCTCTTCCAGAAACACCCCCACAGACACATCCAGAAATAATGTCTTACCAGCTATCTGGGCATCCCTTAGGCCAGTCAAGTTGACGCATAAAGTTAACCATGACATCAGCTTATTTAATAAACTGGCTATATCTGCATATTTGCTCATTTGCCTAATGAGTTATCTCTATCATGCTCTGTGAAAGCAGAGATTTTCATCCCTTTAGTTCACTGCTGAATTCCCAGGGCCTAGAACAATGCCTGGCACCTAGTAGCTGTCCAATAAATAAATACTTGGGGAATGAACAAACCAATGAATGTATGGATTCTTCTTTATTATTAATAGATCCCAGGGCTTACTTAACACAGCCTGGCAGCTATTAAACATGTAATCGAAAGAAAGGAGGGGAAAAGGAAGGAAGAAGGAAGGTAGCAATGAAGGAAGAAGGAAGGAGGGAAGAAAGGAAGGGAGAGAGAGAGGAAGGAAAGAAGGAAGAAAGGGAGGGAGGAAGGAGGGGAGGGAGGGAGGAAAGGAAGGAAGGAAGGTAAAAAGGAAGAGAGGGAGGAAGGAGGAAGGAAGGAGAAAGGAAGAGAGGGAGGCAGGGAGGGAGGGAGGGAGGAAGGAAGGGGGGAGGGAGGGAGGGAGGAAGGGGGGAGGGAGGGAGGGAGGAAGGAAGGAAGGCCAGAAGGCAGGAAGGGGTAGGGAGGGAGGGAGGGAAAGAGGAAAGAAGGAAGGAGGGAAGGAAGGAAGGGAGGCGGGGAGGGAGGGAAAGATCATAAGGATGACTGAACATCTGAAGGCTGAACAGCTTTACGTATTTATGCCTTTTCCGGTCATTTTCTTATGTACTTGTGAATTCCTTCACTTTGCTTTCCTTCTATTTGGCAGATGTCACTGTAGTCATTTTTAAAAATCAACAACTGTCACCCTCGTAATAATTCGCGAGCGCTTGTCAAGCACTTTGTCAGCAAACACTTCCCGTGTGTTCACTCGATCTGCACAACAACCCTGTGGAATTGGTTAAGGTTGCTCTTTCTTGCTTTTTTTTTTTTTTTTAAACAGAGTTTCACTCTTGTTGCCCAGGCTGGAGTGAAGTGGTGCGATCCTGGCTCACTGCAACCTCTGCCTCCCGAATTCAAGCGATTCTCCTGCCTCAGCCTCCTGAGTCGCTGGGATCACAGGCACGTGCCACCATGCTCGGCTAATTTTCGTTATTTTTAGTAGAGACTGGGTTTCGTCATGTTGGCCAGGCTGGTCTCGAACTCCTGATCTCAGCTGATCCCCCCCGCCTTGGTCTCTCAAAGTGCTGGGATTACAGGCATGAGCCACTGAGCCTGGCCAAGGTTATTATTTTCATCCTGTTTATGTGAACCGAAAGCACAGAGTTGAGAAAATTGTCTAAGGTCACCGAGCTAATAAGGAGCTGAGCCAGGGTTGAAACCAGATAATGTGGCTGCAAAGCATGAACTCTTAGTCATGCCAATCATGAACTAAAGAGCGTCCTTCATTTGTGTCTCTGTTCAGATATCATCCAAATGGAGAGAGAGACATTCCCTGAGCACCTTCTATTATATAAGTAGCAACCACCAGACGTGGTGGCTCACGCCTGTAATCCCAGCACTTTGGGAGGCCGAGGCAGGTGGATCATGAGGTCAGGAGTTCAAGACAAGCCTGGCCAAGATGGTGAAACCCCGTCTCTACTAAAAATACAAAAAATTAGCTGAGTGTGATGGCAGGCACCTGTAATCCCAGCTACTTGGGAGGCTGAGGCAGATAATTGCTTGAACCGGGGAGGTGGAGGTTGCAGTGAACCAAGATCACGTCACTGCACTCCAGCCTGGGCAACAGAGCAAGACTCTGTCTCAAAAAAAAAAAAGTAGTGACCACCTCATCCCCACCACATCCACTCACATCTATGTGTTGCTTCCTCTTACCTGATAGTATAGACTCAGCTCACCTGTTCATTCCTCAATTTTCTACCTTCTGTACTCCAGCGGTTTTAGTTGTGCCAACTGGAGACTTTGTCTTTTTTGCTTATGCCCATTTCTCCAGAACATGCAGCAGTGCCTGGGACATAGTAGGCACTCAATACGTGTGTGGGGAACAGATACATCATTGAAGCACAGCTGTTAGCACAGCACACATGGTCCTGATTTATTGAGAACCTACTATGTGCTAGGCACAGGACCAAGCAGTTGGAAATCTCTCCTGGCATTCTTACAGCCACTCAGTTAAGCAGGCAAGTCTCCCAAAGCTTAAGCCGTGGGAAGCACATGCTGAGTCCTTCAGCCAGGAGCTGTCCTTGCCTTCTGTCAGCAGAAGCTGGTCAGGAGGCCTTCCCGGAGGAGGCAGCATCACTGCCTCCCCCAATCTTCCCTCCCATCCCTGTGGCTGCTCCTTCTCAGTCTCATTGTGGGCCCCTCTTTCTCCACTTGTCCCTTTCATGCCTGTACTACTCCATGTCTGGCTAGACCAGAGCTTATAAACCAGCCAGCTCCAACCCACAGACAGGTTTTATTTGGCCCACACAGCATTTTTTTTTCATTTGAATTAGTTTTAACATTTAAAAGCTGAGGGATTTTGCTTTTAAAAATATCCAGATTTCTGCCTTCTCTTGGAAATTTGGAACATCTGGTGGTGCCAGGTCCCTCTTCCCATATGGCAAGCGTTGGCTGAAACGAAATAGCAACAGCCATGTTCTCTGAGCTACCCTCTACCAGGGGGTTTGCATGCGTCCCAAGCCATGAATGAACACCTGCAGAGCTTGAGATGGTTTAGGGGTGGTATTCAGCCAAGGGCTCTAGAAATACCCAAGGGCCACCTGGAATGACCGTTTGTTTTCCTCAGCAGAAACAGACCCAGGGAACCACGGCCGGAGAAGGTAGAGATAATACATTTCTGTCAGGCAGCATTGCAGATGTCCCATGCAGGAGGATGGATGTCCTGGGTTTAATCGATGCAGGCTAAGCCATTCTCTAAAGAGGCTTGCCTTCTGGGGCCCAAAACACATGTGAGGGAGACAGAGAGGTGGGGACAGAAAGAGCCAGAGTAAAGCAGAGAGAGAGAGAGAAAGAGATAAAGAGAGAGAGAGAGAGACAGAGAGAGAGACAAAGAGAGACAGAGAGAGAGAGAGAAACAGAGAGAGAGAGACAAAGAGAGAGAGAGACAAAGACAGAGAGAGACAGAGAGAGACAAAGAGAGAGACAGAGAGAGAAAGAGAGACAGAGAGAGACAGAGAGAGAGACAGAGACAAAGAGATAGAGAGAGAAAGAGAGAGAGACAGAGAGAGACAGAGAGAGAGAGACAAAGACAGAGACAGAGAAACAAAGAGAGAGAGAGAGACAGAGAGAGACAGAGAGAGACAGAGAGAGAGAGAGACAGAGAGAGTGAGAGAGAGAGAGAGAGAGTCCATCAATTTAAAGTCTTTTTCTAGGGGAATGAAGGGGAATGGCATATGTGGTGACTATGGGGTGTGTGTGTGTGTGTGTGTGTGTGTGTGTGTGTGTGTGTGTGTGTGTGTATTTCATGTAAGAAAGCAGCATGCTGAGGACACAGCAGCAAGAACAAAGCAATGAGCTCCCCCTGGAAGCCAATATAACTTACTTCTACTTAGTAACATTTACCCCTTTTCTTTTTTAAGACAGAGTCTCACTCTGTCGCCCAGGCTGGAGTACAGTGGCACAATCTCAGCTCACCGCAACCTCTGCCTCCCAGGTTCAAGCTATTCTCATGCCTTGGCCTCCTGAGTACCTGGGATTACAGGCACACATTGCCATGTCCAGATAATTTTTTTGTATTTTTAGTAGAGACAGGGTATTTTTTTTTTTTTTTGAGACAGAGTCTTGCTCTGTCACCCAGGCCGGAGTGCAATGACACAATCTCGGCTCACTGCAACCTCTGCCTCCCAGGTTCAAGCAATTCTCCTGTCTCAGCCTCCCGAGTAGCTGTGACTATGGGAGTGTGCCATCACATCCAGCTAATTTTTGTATTTTTACTAGAGATGGGGCTTCACCATGTTGGCCAGGCTGGTCTCGAACTCCTGACCTCGTGATCCGCCCGCCTTGGCCTCCCAAAGTGCTGGGATTACAGGCATGAGCCACCATGCCTGGCCTGTTTGTTTATTTTTTTGAGTTGGAGTCGTGCTCTGTTGTCCAGGCTGGAGAGCAGTGGCACAATCTCAGTTCACTGCAACCTCCGCCTCCTGGATTCAAGCAATTCTCTTGCCTCAGCCTCCCAAGTAGCTGGGATTACAGGCACACACCACCATGCCAGGCTAATTTTTTTGTATTTTTAGTAGAGACAAGGTTTCGCCATGTTGGCCAGACTGGTCTCGAATTCCTGACCTCAGGTGATCCACTGGCCTCGGCCTCCCAAAGTGCTGGAATTACAGGCGTGAGCCACTGGGCCTGGCCGAGACAGGGTTTTACCATGTTGGCCAAGCTGGTCTCGAACTCCTGACCTCAAGTGATCTGCCCACCTCCACCTCCCCAAGTGCTGGGATTACAGGCTCGAGCCACTGCGCCTGGCCCCCACTTACCCCTTTTCTAACACCAACCCAGATTGTTCTCTGCAATTCAGGATTCATGTTTCTCAGGTGGCAATCCAAGATCCATTAGCCAGCCACAAAACAATTTAGAAGGTTGTGACCAGATTTGAATTACAAAATAGAAGTAACAGAGGATAGAAATTATCCAAGAGCATTGCACATAGTGGTCAGAAACTTTTTACTTTTTTTTTTTTTTTTTTTTTTGTGTGTGTGTGTATACTAGATCATAATGTAAAATGTATTTCTCACTGTGGGTTGTGGCCCTATCAGTTGGAAACCACTCATCTAGAATATTATCCATATGGAGAGGGCTGATGCAGGGCCAAATGATGGAGGGTATAAACTCAGGGCTGAGGGTGTGACTTGATTCTATGGGCAACGTGGAGCCACTGAGCTCTATTGGGTTGCACAGTCACCACCAGCACCTCACTGTCCTGCACTCTGATGTACACATGCCCAACTGTGCACATCATGACGTTTGGAATTCTTCCCATTAGCAAATCCTGCTGCTACAACAAACACTGGCTGTGGACATGATGCAAGAGATTGTCAGAACAAGAGTTTTAGAATATACTAATCTTAGCCCTAAAGGGTTAAGCCTTCATTTTACAGACAGAAAAAGAGGGACTCTAAGATGAAAAACTACTTGCCTAGAGTCACTTAATACACCTCTAACCGCTCATCTCGGGATCTTCTTCATCCCCAAGCCCCATGTAGGCCACCTGGTTGGGAATGGTGGAGAACATGACTCTAGCCAGAACCAGAGAAAGCTGAAGAAGACCTAGGGTAGTGATGAGAGAGGGTGTGTGTGTGTGTGTGTGTGTGTGTGTGTGTGTGTGTGTGTGAGAGAGAGAGAGAGAGACAGAGATAAGGCGCCTATTCTCACTCTCCCATTTCATCATCAATACCTTCACCAATATCACTATCCTCCTCCTCACCGTCATCATCATCGTCCTCATCACCATCATCACCACCATCATCATCATCATTATCATCATGACATGTCAACATAATCTTGTCTTCACCACCATCATCATCATCACTATCATCATCATCATATCCTCATCTTCACCATCACCATCACCACCACCACCACCATCACCACCACCACCACCATCACCACCGTCACCACCATCACCATCACCAACATCATCACCACCATCACCACCATCACCAGCATCATCACCACCATCACCACCATCACCACCACCACCATCACCACATCACCATCACCACCATCACCACCACCATCACCAACATCATCACCACCATCACCACCACCATCACCAACATCATCACCACCATCACCACCATCACCAACATCATCACCACCATCACCACCATCACCATCACCAACATCATCACCACCATCACCAGCATCATCACCACCATCACCACCATCACCATCACCAACATCATCACCACCATCACCACCACCACCATCACCAACATCATCACCACCATCACCAACATCACCACCACCATCACCACCACCACCACCATCACCAACATCATCACCATCACCACCATCATCACCACCACCATCACCACCATCACCACCACCACCATCGCCACCACCATCACCATCACCAACATCATCACCACCATCACCATCATCACCACCGTCACCACCATCACCACCACCATCATCATCATAATTATCATCATGACATGTCAACATAATCATGTCTTCACCATCATCATCATCATCACCATCACCATCATCAACACCACCACCACCATCATCATCACCATCACCACCATCACCATCATCATGACATCATATCACCAACATAATCACCACCATCATCGTCATCACCACCACCTCCGCTACCACCAGCATTCCTCTTTTCCCTAGCCCTTTCTTGCCAATCTGGAGCAAAATATGGAAATGGGTTAAGTGGAGAACTAATCTCCCTTTCTTCCACTCATCCCAATTCCCACAAGAGAGGCCACGTGTGTGGTTTCCAGATGGCAAAGTCTCACCCTGCCCTACAGCAAGAGGGGACCCCTGGGGCCAGATTCCTGAGCACCTAGTTTTGGCTGCAATAGTGACAGTCTGGGTGATGATGTCAGGGTGGCCAGGTCCCCTCCCAGGGTTGGCACTTCCCCATCTATCGGTGTGGCATCGGAGGATTCCAGTGAGATGTAACATGGGGAGTGGCTGGAAAAATACTCTGTAACTGTATGGCGAATGCCAAGGGGCAGGGGTCCTTGTATACACCGAAGTAATCCCGAGTCAGTTTACAGGATGGGAAGGGCCCCTATATAGATGACCAGGGTCCTTATGCAGGTAGAAGGGGTCCTTATGCAGCATGAAGGCTTGCTACACAGGCGTGTGGATTTTTCCATACATTCTGGAGTAGCCTCTACACATAGGAGTGTTTGTGCTTAGAAGCTGTGTCCTTATGCAGGCTAGGAATAAAAGTGGGACGGAGATTTTACACAAATACGGGCATCTTTTACAGGTGGGAGCACTTTCGTACACAGAGGACTTCTTATCCATGGAATTGGCCGTTCTTTGTAAAACGCTCTGTACTTACTAGCAACCTTTACACAGACATGAAGTTTCTCCATAAGGATAAAGGGATCATTATGTTTTAGGTGAAATAACAGTATGAGTGGCCTCGTATGGACAAGGAGGGCTGATTTCAATCGCGATGCAAGCCAGCTGTCCGGATGCCGCCGACGCCAGCAGCGCGGTACCTGCGCGGGCAGCAGGTGGGAGCCGCGACCGGGGTGGGGCGCGGAGCGCTGGGGGCCTCCCGACTCCCGCAGTCCCCGCCGCGACCACCAGGGGCAGCACCGTCCCCGCCCGGCCCGCGCCTCCCTCCCCCCAATCTCCGCCCCCCACCCCCTGCCTCCCCCCCGCTCCCGCTCCCCTGAGCCCAGCCAGACCCCGCGCCGCCCGCGCCCCGCTCGACTCCGGAGGCTCCCGCAGCCCCGGCGTCCGCCCCGCTGCCCCCTCCCCCGGGGGCCATGGGGGCGCCCCCGGGCTACCGGCCCTCAGCTTGGGTGCATCTCCTCCACCAGCTGCCCCGCGCCGACTTCCAGCTCCGCCCGGTGCCCAGCGTTTTCGCGCCCCAAGAGCAGGAATACCAGCAGGTGGGACCGGGCGCCAGGGCCTGGGGGCCAGGGCTGGGGGCCGGAGCTCCTGGGTCCCGAGGGAGAAGGGGGCTGGGTCACAGATTTCCTGAGCTCCGCCGGAGGCTGGGGGCCGGCCCGGACTTTGGGGTTTCGGAGGGAGGAGGAGCCTGGGGGCGCCCATGCCTGGAGGTTCTCCTGGGACGCGCGCTGGGGGTCCAGACCTCGAGCTCTCTAAATAAGGGAAGGCTGGGGACCTGCACCCCTGAGTTCATGGAGAGGAGGGGAGGGGGGCCCGGATTCCCGGGTGTCTGATACCTGCCTGGGAAGCCGGCCTCCAGGGTCATCGGGAGGGTAGGTCTACTCTTCCTGCCCTAAAAGATGACCCTGCCCCACAGGATCAGAGCAGGTGAATATGTCCCAGATAAGGTGGGACCCAGGAGACAGCGGACCTGATAACGGTGGCGGGGAAAACGCTGGCTGCTGCGGTGCTGGGATGGGATTGAGAGTCTGAAATGGGGAAGGGGGCTTCAGGGGCTGAGGACCAGGGCTGGAAAATGAAGGGGCTCTGGGAGAGGAAGCTTCTTGCCCGTCCCAAGAAAGAAGGGGTGGTCAGGGCGCTGCAGGGGTGAGGGCCGAGATGAGGCTGGGTTTGGGGAGCCTCGGGATGACAGACCCGGGTCCCGAGGGTGGGGCCGGTGTGGGAACCTCACAGAAGCCGGTGTCCCTGGGGAAGGGGCCCGGCTCGGGGCAGCTCCAATGGGCGAAAGAGCTGTCCCCTGACCCAGTTTAATTCAAGTCCTTGACTTCGAGATTAATGAGGAGAAAGGCTTGGCTGAGCTGGGGACGGGTGGGGGTGCTGGGAGTCCCGATGTGGCCCCAGGACGGGTCCTGGCCCTGCTGATGGGGCCTGAGCCCCTGGGCTCCGTCTTGGGTTGCTCCTGGGAGAAGGGGGCTGGGATTGGAGAGCTCAGGGGGCGTGGAGGGGGTCCCAGAAAAGCGCGGAGGGGATGAGTGCTGTGTTCTGAGCTATTTGGGTCACGGCTGGCACAGCCCTGAGCAGCTCTTCCCCGCCTGCTCCTCGCCGCCCCCTCTCCCCACACACGGGGACCGCCGTCCCCTCGCCCACAGCCTCGCGGTTACACAACGGCCACCTCCAACAACGCCGCTCCACCGGCTCCGGCCTCGGCCCAGACTCACGCCCGCTCTGGCCCGGAGACCTCCCGAAGCCGCACGCGGGGATCCGCGGCCCCAGTCACCGCCAGAGGCACGGGTTTGGGGGAGCCTCACTCCGCCCCCACGGTCGGGGGTCAGGGTCAGGGTGGCAGGGATGCGCGGGCAGAGCCCCACAGCCGAGGAGGGCAAGGGGGACCCCTGCAGGGACGCGACCACCGTGGGTACAGCTGCAGACACAGCCAGGGCCTCAGGGACACTGGCCCGGGGGAGGCACACAGCCACACGCACACACTCACTGGCATATGCACAGCACACACACACGTCCACTTACTCCCATTACACACTCACATGCACACACATATGCACAGGCACACCCAGACACGCCCACTTATTCCAACACACTCACATGCACACACATATGCACAGGCACACTCAGACACACCCACTTACTCCCATTACACACTCACATGCACACTCACATGCACACACTCAGACACGCCCACTTACTTTCATTACACACATGCACACACACATATGCACAGGTACACACACACGCCCACCTACTCTCATTACACACTCACATATGCACACACACATACCCATTTACTACTCCCGCTATGCACTCACACCCACATACAACACACGCATATAGACACATGCATACACTCACATGGATATACCCACTTACACATACACAATCACACATATGCACACGCACATTGCGCACAGTGACTCACAACACACACATACACATGTATAAGCATTTACTCCCATATACAAGCACACACTGCACTTATATATATATGCTTACACACTCATGCATGCACCGTCACATACACGTTTATACTCCCATACACACACACACGTACATTCCATTCACATCTACACACACATGCACACACATATTGACTATAGCATTCATGTGCACACACACACTCACATGCAGTCACGCATCCACACACACACTCATCCACACTGTTACACACACACAACCGGACCCACTCACAGGCCCAAGGAACTGTGCCCAGAACACACAAATGCCCACAGATGTTCTCATTTGCAGACAGCAGTGCACCCAGGAGACACACTCAGGTGCCCCCTCATCTCATGGAGACAGCCCAAAGATAAAAACATCCAGTCTCAACCAGAAACACAAACACTGCACACACTTGGGACACACACACACACACACACTGTGCCACTGTGTGTGTGTATGTGTGTGGACAAAGGCAGAAACACCGTGGTTTAGGGGAAACAGCCTTGGCAAGTCCAGAGGTGTGACTCTGATCCCAATGTTGTCCCTCCATGCTCCGGGGCTCAGTGCAAACCCCCTGGGCCACTGTGGGCCTCTGGGACCGCACAGGTCAGCTGTGAAATCCCCGCCACGTGGAGAGCCCTGTTATTCTGCAAGGCTCTGCCCACCGCAGAACGTTTCCGCGGCCTGCCTGTCTTCCGGGCCTTGGCTCTCTCCGCCTCTCTGTCCTTGTGTGTCTCTCCCGTCTCCATAGTGTTCTCACGCTCTCTCTCCCTTACTCTGCTCTTCCTCTCTGATTTGATCCCTTTTGCTCTCTGCCTTTTTCTGACTCATGCCCGAACCTTGTCTTATCTTTGTCTCTTTTTTTGGTTGTGTCTTTCTGCCTGTGCCTCCCTCCATCTCTCTCTCTCTCTCTTTCTGTTCTGTCTTCACTCTTCCAGTTTCCATTTCTGAGTCTTGCATACACACACACACACACGTTGCCACACAGCCCCTCGTCCCGTCCCTGGGTGACAAGCTCAGGCGCTGTGGGGTGTAGCGCTCAGCAGCAGGGGAGACAGTGAGCAGGGAGGAGAGGGGGAGGAAGCACGCCTCCCCCAGCCTGGCCCGAGGCACCAGGAACAGGTGCCCCCACACCCCCACCCGCCCCCTGATCCCACACGATTGTGGAGGGGCCTTGGCAGGTCCTTGGGAAAACCTCCATTCCAACTGCTGGCTGCAGAGAGAAGGAAACCCAGGCTCGGAGAAGGGGCGGTTCCTGCTAAAGATTGCACAGCCAATGGAGGGCAGAGCAGAATTGGGACCCAAGGCTTGGGGCCCCCAGTTGGAAGCTCCCTCCAGCAAGCTGGCCCTGACACCTGGAGCCCCAGCTGCCAGCCTGGGAGGGGCTGGGACCCAATCTCCCCCAAGATTAGGCCAGGGATGTCTCCCACCTTCACTCTGACATCCCAGACCCCGACCCCCCAGCCACGCAGGAAGGGGGATCTGAGTGTGGAACACACGGGTGCCCTCGGAGGTCTGATGTCACCCCCTTCCCCAGGCCTTGTTGCTGGTGGCGGCCTTGGCGGGCCTGGGCTTGGGCCTGAGCCTCATTTTCATCGCTGTCTACCTCATCCGCTTCTGCTGCTGCCGGCCCCCCGAGCCCCCCGGGTCCAAGATCCCCTCGCCCGGGGGAGGCTGCGTCACCTGGAGCTGCATTGTCGCCCTTCTCGCCGGCTGGTAATGGGGCCCCAGGGTGGGTGGGCGGTGGGGACAGGGCTCCCCAAGCTCTTTGCTGGCCTTCCTGGGGGTGTCCTCCGGGGACATGGAGGAAGCAGACAGGAAGGAGGAAACTCCCTCGTCCCTGTCCCTGCCATTTGCAAGCCCACTTCAGCGCACAGCAGGAAGGACTGTCCCATTTGATGGATGGAGAAAGTGAGGCTCTGGAGAGGAAGTGAATCAAGGGCAGCCATCTGGTGAGAAGGCGCAGGGGCAGTCAGATGGCCTGGTTTTGGTGGCTCTCCCATTGAATAGCTGTGTGACCTAAGGGAGTGATAGTCTCCCTGGGCCTCAATTTCCACATCTGTAAACTGGGCATTATCATCTCGCCCACCTCCTGCGGGGGTAAGATGGAGAGAAAGCACAGTGTCTGACTTGCAGCTACTCTCAGCCAACATTAACTGGTGATGTCTGTCATTCCGTCATTCACCAGCTCATTCATTCGACAACTGTTTATTGAGTATTTACTATGTGCCAGATACTGACCAAGCCAGGCAAGGAGCCCCTCGTGCAGCTTATGTTCTAATCAGGGAGACGGACGATAAATAGATATAATCACCCTCCAAGAGCACCTCATCTGTGCCCAGACCTGAGCTGGTCTAATTCCTTCTCACAATAATGCTGCTGGATTCAGGGGTGTCAGGCCCAGTTTCCAAAGAGGAAGGCTCAGGGACAGAGGGGAGGTCACCTTTCAAGGCCACGTGGCTTAAGAGGCAGCACAGAGATTCAGACCCAGGTTAGTAGGACCCCCTCACACCCCTCAAAGCGAGCTTAGGGGGCTTCCAATGTGAACACACCAGCTACCAAGAACGAGCTCTGAGCACAGCCCCCTCCCCGGCAGGGCAGCACCCACAGGTTGCAGACAGCAATCCTCTTCCACAGACGGGGGGTCCCAGAGGGCCAGACGCCTGCCCCGGACCCACAGCGGGCAAGGGGAGGGACCTGTAGGGGTGGCCTGTATTCAGGACGCTTCCTCCTCCGGCTCTCTGGCGTGGGGGGAGACAGGGGAGGTGGACAAAGGCCCAGTGGGGGAGAGACACGGCCCCAGCCCCCGCAGCCTGGGAACAAGAGGAGCTTTGTAGGACTCTGAACAATGGGGCGGGGACACTGGGCGTCCGACCCGAGGGATGGGGGTGGAGGCCCAGCCGGGGCTGGGAACCGGGAGGGTGTCAGGCTCCCGCCCCCTCCACTGCGGGACACCGGCCGGGGGCGGGGACGGGAGGGGTCTGGGGCCCCACATTCAGGTCCCACAATGGAGCTCTGTGTGTCGGTAGGGTGGGGGCGGGGGCACGGCTTCTCGCCCATCCTCCAGCCTCCCTCCCACATTCCCTTACTTCCCTCCCAGCTGGCCCGACGCTTGGGTCCCGGGTGGGGGAAGGCCGAGAGCTCCAGGCTCAGCGTCCCCCCAGGAGATGGTGGCAGCTGCCCCCCTTGTACCCTTAGGAACCCCCAGGAGGTGGGGGCGGAGAACGTCTCAGCACTGAAGGGTTGGCACTGCAGGCCCCAAGGACCCTAGGGCACCCTAGGACAGGTGCCAGGAGGGCTGCCTGCCTGGCAAAGGATGCGGGGGAAGGGTGTGGGGCAGGCAGTCCTAGGGAGGGGAAGACGGCCCATCCCGGAGCTGGGTGTGACTGGGGTTCTGCTCCAGGGAGGTGCGAGTTAAATCGGGGGCTCCCTCCCCCCCACCACTCCACCCACCATTAACATCACAATGACGTCCCTCCGCTGGGGGAGTGAGGCCTTCCCGTTCCCTTGGCAACCGACGGGGGCCAGGCTGAAGTCGCCCTTTTCCCACGGGCTGGCCCAATGAGGTGGGGCTGAGATGGGAGGGGTGGATAAGAAGGCGAGGTGGAGGGGATGGGGTGGGAGGGGACGGTGGCCCCCGGGGTCCTGGGACCCGCTGAGATTCCTCTCCCTCCTCCTCCGCTCAGCACTGGCATTGGCATCGGTTTCTATGGCAACAGTGAGACCAGTGATGGGGTGTCCCAGCTCAGCTCTGCGCTGCTGCACGCCAACCACACACTCAGCACCATTGACCACCTGGTGAGGGGCCAGCAACCAGTGGGACCCCAGACCCACACCTGGACGGGCTCCCCACACCCAAGGACAAAGGGATCCAAACTCAGAGCTAAGACCCCAGGCTTGAAGCTTAGGAACCCAGATTCAGAACTTCATCCTGAGACCCACAGACCTCAGACTATCCACCCAACCCCCGACCCTGGCTGCAAATTGAGGACCTCACACACAGGCCCAGCCCTGGACCTTACCTGGAACCCCCAAGCCACACAGAAACCAAGCACCAGCGACACCAGCCCCTGTCCACGGGCCAGATCCAGGGCCCCAGACCTGATTCTTGGCCCGTAAGCAAGCTCAGGGACCCCCGCCCTGAGGCCCAGGTCCCCGACTTGAGGCTTCAGCTCCGACATCAGCTCCAGGATTCTGGGCCCTGGGGCTGAGGCCTGGCCCCACTTCATGCCTTAGATTCCATGTCCAGCTGCAGACTCTAGACCATGGGACCCAGACTTGAGACCCCAGATTCTGGAAGGCAGATGAAAACTTCAGACCTAAAGCTCCACACTTAATCTCAGTCCTGGGGCTGGACTTACTACCCTGGGCTCAAGCTACCAACCATCCAGAGCTCTGGATAGAGGCCACAGAACTCCATGAACTTGATCTTGAAGCCCCTCCCCAATCCCTTCCCTTACTCAATCCTCAGATGTCCCAGACTCCAGATCTCAGACACCCGCTACTATGCACCCCTCCTTCACTTCTAAAACCCCATGCCTCGACCGCGGGCTCCCCCCAGGATGTCCTTCCAGACCTCAGCCCCTGTCCTATCCCCAGGTGTTGGAGACGGTGGAGAGGCTGGGCGAGGCGGTGAGGACAGAGCTGACCACCCTGGAGGAGGTGCTCGAGCCGCGCACGGAGCTGGTGGCTGCCGCCCGAGGGGCTCGACGGCAGGCGGAGGCTGCGGCCCAGCAGCTGCAGGGGCTGGCCTTCTGGCAGGGAGTGCCCCTGAGCCCCCTGCAGGTGGCTGAAAATGTGTCCTTTGTGGAGGAGTACAGGTGAGACGCTGCTCTTCTTGCTCTCTGTGCCGGCAGCTCTCAGGCGGAGTCCCCGGGGGGACAGTTGGCAATGCCTGGAGGCAGTTTTGGTTGTGACAGCTGGGGAGTGTGTGCGCACTGCTGGCATCCAATGGGTAGAGCCCAGGAACTGTTCAACACCCTGCAATGCACAAGAACCCCCTCCCCACCCATTGGCAGGGAATGATCCAGCCACCATGACAATTATGACGAGGCTGGCCAGGCGCGGTGGCTCAGGCCTGTAATCCCAGCACTTTTAGGAGGCCAAGGTGGGTGGATCACCTGAGGTCAGGAGTTTGAGACCAGCCTGGCCAACGTGGAGAAACCCCGTCTCTACCAAAAATACAAAAATTAGCTGGGCGTGGCGGCAGATGTCTGTAATGCCAGCTACTCAGGAGGCTGAGGCAGGAGAATCCCTTGAACCCGGGAAATGGAGGTTGCAGTGAGCCGAGATTTCACCATTGCACTCCAGCCTGGGCGATAGAGTGAGACTCCATCTCAAAAAAAAAAAAAAAAAAAAAAAGATGAGGTTGAGAAACCTACTGTGGAGGGACAGATCACCAGACCCCATGGCCATCCTGACACCCATGTCCTCACCCATTCACTCACTCACCCCCTCCACGTCACTCCACTCACTTATTCACACATGCGTTCATTCCTTGACTCACTCATTCAGCAAGTCACTCTTGGACTCAGTTACTCCTGGACTAACCCAGCAGGCCACTCACTCAGTCGTTCATCCGTGTGACATGTGTATTTGTTCAGCACTATTTTTTTTTTTTTTTTTGAGATGGAGTCTCACTCTGTCGCCCAGGCTAGAGTGCAGCGGTGCGATCTCGACTCACTGCAACCTCCGCCTCCTGGATTCAAGCGATTCTCCTGCCGCAGCCTCCCAAGTAGCTGGCATTACAGGCAGGCGCCACCACGCCCGGCTAATTTTTGTATTTTTAGTAGAAACGGGGTTTCACCATGTTAGCCAGGCTGGTCTCAAACTCCTGACCTTGTGATCTGCCCGCCTTGGCCTCTCAAAGTGTTGTTCAGCACTATTTATTTAGCACCCTCTGGTGAAAGAGGCAGCGTACCTACAGATCAGGAACCTGAGCTCGAAAGCCAGCCAGCCCCACCCTAACCACGCGGCTGCAATCAAGTTACTTTGCAGACCTCTGCCTTGGTTTCCCCATCTGTGAAATGGGAATCGGGGCAGCGTCCCCCTTGTTGAATTGGTTCGAGTTGTTGAGTTGGCATCTGAGTGCTGAGAAGGACGATTAGCACAGGGAGAGCACCGCAGAGATATGAAGTGTAGTCACCCCGGTGGCGGGCCGGGCAGTGAGCAAGTGGCAGAAATCCCTGCCACGTGGCTGCGTCCTCCGGGGGGAACCAGCAAGGGACAAACGCAGAGAAAAACATTGTAAGGTGTTGGGCCATGAGAACTTTGGAGAAAATTACAGAGGGGACCAGGCACGGTGGTTCACGCCTGTAATCCCAGCACTTTGGGAAGCCGAGGCAGGCGGATCACGAGGTCAAGAGATCGAGACCATCCTGGCTAACACGGTGAAATCCCGTCGCTACTAAAAATACAAAAATTAGCCGGGCGTGGTGGTGGGCGCCTGTAGTCCCAGCTACTTGGGAGGCTGAGACAGGAGAATCGCTTGAACCCAGGAAGTGGAGCTTGCAGTGAGCAGAGATCGTGCCACTGCACTCCAGCCTGGGTGACGGAGCGAGAATCCGTCTTAAAAAAAAAAAAAGAAAATTATAGAGGGAGATGAGGTGGGACAGAGTCTGGCAGTTCATCAGGGGGACTGAGAAGGTGGCATTTGGAGGAGAGGAGGCAGTGAGCTGTGCAGTGTCCAGGCAGCCACCCTTCCCAGCGGCCACCATGACGGTGTCCTCATTGCTTTGACCATTAGTAATCATTCATTCATTCATTCATTTATCCGACGTCAGCTGGAGGCCCTGCCCGCGGGGCATGCGCTGAGATTTGGGAGGCCTTCCGGGATGCTGCGCTCCAGCGGGGAAGGCCGACTGGGGCTGAAAAAGCTGGAGGTCAGGACACACCCGCAGGGCAGCAGGTGCAAGAGACAGACAGGCCTGGGTTTGAAGAAGTCCAGGTTCTGCATTGTGGTCAGGCCCAGGGGCTGCACAAGCCGGGCCTCAGCTCCTTCTCCTGGGCGAGGGCAGGGAAGTGGTGGGAGCCATAAGGGTGATGCCAGGGTGAGGCAGACCCACCATCACTAGAAAATATCTTCCGGGTGCACCACTGCGAAAGCACCCCACACTTGGGAGTCCCTCGACAGACAAATCAGGGGCCTCCAAGGGAGTCTTGCTGGAGGGGAGCACTTGCGAGGCTGGGCGGAAGCAGCCAGAGACCAGGGTAAGGAGTGAAGCCCAAGCTTGTGGGGCCTGCAGAGAATGGCAGGAGGATTAACTGAGCACTTACTACGTGCCGGGCACTGTGCTGTTGTTACGGCGGGTCCTTGCTCCCGGAGCTCCCAAGATCGTGGTGGCCACTTCCAAGAGGGCAGCAAGCCTCGTGTTCTCTGACCTGGGGTTCTTGGCCTCACGGATTCCAAGGAATGGAATCCTGGGCCCTGCGGTGAGTGTTTTAGCTCTATTAGAAGCCGTGGGTCACGGAAGAGAACCGTGGAACCCAGCGACCAGTGTTCAGCTCGATCAGGATGAACCCAGGCAGTTAGCTGTGCAGGAACAATGGCGAGCCTCTAGCCCGATTGGGAGCGGCAATGGGTGTCTCCCTGGATCACGAGCACAGTGGACACCCTGCCGGATCCGGAGGGTGGAAGTCAGCGGCGGGTCTGCGACGGCGGCAAACAGCAGTGGTGGACGGCGAGCGAAAGCTCAGCTCAAGCCGTAACAGACACGGACCAGAAGAGTGTGCAGTTTCAAGTTTTAATAGAGTGAAAACAGAGTTCCCATACAACGGGAGGGGACCCAAAGTGGGTAGCCGTTGCTGGCTGGAATGCCTGGGTTTCTATCCAGATCATTGTCCCTTCCCCTGTGCTCTCAGGTGATAGATGATTGGCTATTTCTTTACTTCCTATTTTTGCCTAACTAGCACTTTAGTGAGCTCTCTTTACTACCTGATTGGTTGGGTGTGAGCTAAATTGCATGCCCCGTGTTTAAAGGTGGATGCGGTCACCTTCCCAGCTAGGCTTAGGGATTATTAGTCGGCCTCGGACATCCAGCTAGTCCTGTCTCTCACTGTGGCTTGCATGCTTGCACCTCCTGAATCATGGTGGTGGGCCCTTCACTGATATTTAAGGATTAACTTTTTTTTTTTTTCATTTTTGAGACTAAGTCTCACTCTTGTCGCCCAGGCTGGAGTGCAGTGGTGCAATCTTGGCTCACTGCAACCTCCACCTCATGGGTTCAAATGATTCTCCTGCCTCAGCCTCCCAAGTAGCTGGGATTACAGGCGTGCACCACCACGCCCGGCTAATTGTTGTATTTTTAGTAAAGACGGGGTTTCACCATGTTGGCCAGGCTGGTCTCAAACTCCTGACCTCAAGTGATCCGCCTGCCTCAGCCTCCCAAAATGCGCGGATTACAGGCGTGAGCCACCTCGCCCGGCCAAGTATTAACTATTAACTAACATCTCAGTTCCCTCGTTCACGCTCAGGCTAACCTCTAAGTGTGTCCACGTGCTTGGCACTCTCCTAAGCACTTCTAGTCATGCAGCCCACTCGAGGCAATATTCTCAAGCCAGTGTTGTTGTGCTCCCCACGTTACATGTAGGGAAACTGAGGAACGAGAGGCTAAGGTTACCGAGACAAGAGTTACCCGGCCAGTTAAGCGGAGGGGCTGGGGTTGAGACCAGGCAGCCTCTGCCTCCAGACGTCATGCCCTCCAGGGATGCGATGGGATCTTTGGTGCAGTCTTGAGAACGAGTATCTCCACTCTGCAGGGTGGGGTTGGGGATGGGGAGCTCGGAGAGAACACATCACGTGTCCCTGGTCACAGGGCACATGTGTGTGGCCCGGCCAGGGGATAGTCCCAGGTGCTCAGGACCTGTATTCTAAACCGCTCCAGTGTCCTGTCTCATGATAACACTATTTCACAGAGGACCTGGGCTGTGGCCCAGACACAGTAAACAGCAGGAGGCTGAGCTTGGAGGGTGGTGAATGTGAGGCTGAGCTGGGGGGCAGGGTGAATGCTGGTGGAGGGTTGCTGTTCCGCCGGGGTGCCTGGAGGCAGGTTTGTGGTTTCAGCCCTACCCTCTCCCCTCCCAGGTGGCTGGCCTACGTCCTCCTGCTGCTCCTGGAGCTGCTGGTCTGCCTCTTCACCCTCCTGGGCCTGGCGAAGCAGAGCAAGTGGCTGGTGATCGTGTAAGTGCAGGCAGTAGGGGGACCCAGTGCTTGCCTGGCACTCTCCTGGCAGGCAGGACCTCAGTCTTACAACTCTCCTACACGGAGGACCGTGGTCCTTCACGGCCGGGTACACACGAAGAAAAGAGAGTCAGAGCAGCCCAGGAGGGAGGCGGGGACAGACCTGAAAACAGGCAGCCCTAACAGTATGAAGTATGCTGGAATCATGGCAGAAATAATCATTGTGTTGGCAATAAAGATGAGGATGAGGCCAGGCGCGGTGGCTCACACCTGTAATCCCAGCACTTTAGGAGGCCGAGGTGGGTGGATCATGAGGTCAGGAGTTTGAGACCAGCCTGACCAACATGGAGAAACCCTGTCTCTATTAAAAATACAAAAATTAGCTGGGTGTGGTGGCATGCGCCTGTAGTCCCAGCTACTCAGGAGGCTGAGGCAGGAGAATCGCTTGAACTCAGGAGGTGGAGGTTGTGGTGAGCCAAGATCACACACCATTGCACTCCAGCCTGGGCGACAGAGTGACACTCCATCTCAAAAAAAAAAAAAAAAAAAAAAAAAGGCTGGGCGTGGTGGCTCACGCCTGTAATTCCAGCACTTTGGGAGGCCGAGGAGGGCGGATCACGAGGTCAGGAGTTCGAGACCATCCTGGCTAACACGGTGAAACCCCATCTCTACTAAAAATACAAAAATTAGCCGGGCGTGGTGGCGGGCGCCTATAGTCCCAGCTACTCGGGAGGCTGAGGCAGGAGAATCGCTTGAACCCGGGAGGCGGAGCTTGCAGTGAGCTGAGATTGCACCACTGCACTCCAGCCTGGGCGACACAGTGAGACTCCATTTCAAAAACAACAACAACAAAAAAAAAAAACAGATGAGGATGATGATCTATTGAGGGTCATGCACGCTGAGTCCTTCAGTTGCCTCCACCCCATGAAGGAGCTACCATAAGGCTCCATGTGGCCGGTCAGGGACCTGACTAAGAGCGCAGAGGGTGGCCAAGTCCAAGACTGAGCCGTCCTTAAGTGTCGTGGCAAAGCCGCAGGACCACACTGATTTCACAGCTCGCTCTACGCGCCCGACACTCTTCTCTGCACTCCCTGGAGCACCTCATGCCCCCTGTGAGGAAGGTGCTTCCTTCTGCCTGTTTTTTATTTCTGTTTTTTATTTTGAGAAGGTCTTGCTTTGTTGCCCAGACTGGAGTGCAGTGGCATGATCACGGCTCACTACAGCCTCTGTCCCCTGAGGCTCAAGTGATCCCCCCACCTCAGCCTCCAGAGTAGCTGGGACCATGGGCTTATGCCACCACTCCCGGCTAAGTTTTTTTTTTTTTTTTTTTTTTTTTTTGAGCTGCAATTTGGCTCTTGTTGTCCAGGCTGGAGTTCAGCGGCGCGATCTTGGCTCACTGCAACCTCTGCCTCCTGGGTTCAGGCAATTCTCCTGCTTCAGCCTCCCAAGTAGCTGGGATTACAGGCGTATGCCACCAAACCTGTCTAATTTTGTATTTTTAGTAGAGATGGGGTTTCTCCATGTTGGTCAGGATGGTCTCAAACTCCTGACCTAAGGTGATCCGCCCGCCTCAGCCTCCCAAAGTGCCTGGATTACAGGCATGAGCCACCGTGCCTGGCCTAAGTTTTGTATATTTTTGTAGAGATGGAGTCTTGCTATGTTGCCCAGGCTGGTCTCGAACTCCTGGCCTCAAGTGATCAGCCTGCCTCAGCCTTCCAAAGTACTGGGTTTACAGGCATGAGCTACCATGCCTGGCCCTTCTCCCTGTTTAACAGAGGGAGAGACTGAAGATCAGAGAGGTTGGACCACTTGCTCAGGGCCACACAGCTAGAAGTGCTAGAGCTGGGATTTGAACCAGACAGGCCATTCTCATTGGAGGAGTCCCTGCATTCTCTCTGGCCCTGGTGGGGTGAGGCAGAGTTGAACCTGTACCTCCATTGCCCCTGAGAGAGTGGGAGAGACCCCGCGTAAGGCTTGCAGACCCATAAACCTAGCCAACACAGGGCAGGTCTGGGACTGGAAGCCAGGCCTTCAGTTTGGGGACCCCTGGGTGCCCTTCTTGCTTACTGGTCACCCTACCAATGCTGACACGCCCCCTGCACCCCTCCCCACCCGGAAAGTCCAGAGACTTTCAGATTTCAGCCCTGGCACTGTCTCCCATTCTCAGAGGAGACAGGGCAGAGCCAGAGGCTGATCAGGCTGTGGGTGGACTTGGGGGAGCCTTCGGGGGAAGTGAGCCCAGAGGTGAGCAGTCACCGTCCCAGGGTCCTGGAGCTGGGATCCAAGCTGCGACCACCCAGCCCAGGGCCCTGCTCATACCCCACACCCTGCTCATCTGGGCAGGAGCCAGATGTCCAGCTGGACATCAGCAGCCACTGGCCTACCCCCAACCACTGAACTTGTGTTTCCCTAATTCTGATCCTCCAGGCTCCAGAGGTGGGTGGAGGTGGGGGGCGGCTGTGATGGGATTTGGGGTGTGGAAAGAGGCTAGGCTAGGAGATTAAGAACCCCGGGCTGATCCTCCCTCCCCCACTCTAGGATGACAGTCATGAGTCTCCTGGTTCTCGTCCTGAGCTGGGGCTCCATGGGCCTGGAGGCAGCCACGGCCGTGGTGAGTGCCAGGGCCGGGCCATTGGGCTCTGGGACTCAGGGGGCCTGGAGACTTCAACTTCTGGATCTCGGGATGGCATGGCTTAGTAGAGAAAGGAATTGGGGGGCACGATCACAGCTCTGAGGTTTAGGGCTTGTTTCCTGGGGCCTGAGTGGGTACAGATTGGTGTCCTGGACGTTTGAGCTGTAATGGAGGAGGGGCTGGAAACCTGGATTCCTAGGTCTGAGGGAGGAGGGGCTGGGGGTCTGGACTCCTGGGTGTGAGGGAGGAGAAGCTGGGGGCCTGGACTCCTGAGTCTGAGGGAGAAAGGGCTGGAGAGTCTGAACCCCTGAGTCTGAGGGACGAGGGGCCTGGGGCCTGGACTCCTGAGTCTGAGGGAAGAGGGGCTGGGACCTGGACCCCTGGGTGGGGAGGGGAGCTGGGGAGCCAGGCACTGGGTGCTGTGGGAGTGTGGAATCGGGGCAGTTTTGGGTTTGAGCCCCTTTTCTGCTGCCTCACGCAGGGCCTCAGTGACTTCTGCTCCAATCCAGACCCTTATGTTCTGAACCTGACCCAGGAGGAGACAGGGCTCAGCTCAGGTGATTTCCAAGGGCCCGGTGGGTCCGCCGGGTTGGGCAGTGCAGGCCCTGGCTTCCTCAGGCCTCCTCTGTGCCCGGTCCTGCCCAGGGTGGGGTGGGGGTGCAGCCTGCCAGGCGAGACCCAGCCCTCTGGAAGGGAAGCAGGGCTCCTGGCCACTCCCCAGCTCGGAGCCCTCCTGGAGCCCCGCCACCCGCCAGACCCTCATCCCTTCTGCTCCAGCTGGCAGCGCCTCTCCTGGTGGGCTGGAAAAGAGGGCAGGATAAAGATAATGGTGCCAGGAAGAGAGAGGAGGGTCAGGAGAGGGTGCTCCTGGGCGTCAGGAATGGGGAGTTTGGCCCCCTGGAGAAAACTGGGGAGCACCATTTAGTCAGGGGTTCCCAGGGAGTATAGGGTTGCCCACCAGCGCCTGCTCTGGCTGTGGCAGGAGCAGAAGGGACGCGGGGCTGGCGGGTCTCTGAAGGTAAGGCCATCGGGCTCCAGGGCTGGGCTGAGGCCCCTAACCCTGCTAACCCCCCAGTGCCCGGCCTTCCCCCGGGAGATCCCTGGGGGCCCAGGCTCATGGCCTCCTCCCCTCTCCTCCTCCCACTTCAGACATCCTGAGCTATTATCTCCTCTGCAACCGGGCCGTCTCCAACCCCTTCCAACAGGTTAGGGCTGCGGGCAGGGGAAACGGGTGTTGAGGGAGCCAGAAATCTGGACTCTGAAGGGAGGGGGCGGGGCTGGGGCTGGGGCCTGGACTCCTGGGTTCCGGGGAGGATGCAGGCCAGGGGCCCGAGTGCTGTGTCCGGAGGAGAGGAGAGAGGGCCGGGGGCGTATACTCCTGGGTCCTCCTCCCTCCCTTTCTCTTTCTGCAGAGGCTGACTCTGTCCCAGCGAGCTCTGGCCAACATCCACTCCCAGCTGCTGGGCCTGGAGCGAGAAGCTGTGCCTCAGTTCCCTTCAGCGCAGGTCGGTGGGTGGGCGCTCCCCAGACACGCGGACCCCACGGGGAAGGCGGACGGGGCGGGATGGAGCTGTGGGGCGTAGGCGGGGCTGCAGAGCTAGGCGGGGCCTTGGGTTGTGGGCGGGGACGCAGGGCGGGGCCAGGGCGATGGGCGGGCCTGAAGAGTTCGTGGGAAAACGACCCCTCCTCGCCCCGCAGAAGCCTCTGCTGTCCTTGGAGGAGACTCTGAATGTGACAGAAGGAAATTTCCACCAGTTGGTGGCACTGCTACACTGCCGCAGCCTGCACAAGGTGAAGCCCCTCCCCTCCCAATTTCTTCTCCCACGGGGGGCCTCTGTCTCGACCCACAGAACTACCTCCTCCTTCTCCTTGGACCCCTGCCATTGCGCCTGAGGATATCTCTGTATCCTCTGTTTATATGATTTATCTGTCCTATATCTATTCTCTACCTATTTATAACCTGTCGTCTACCTACCTATCAAGCATTATCCATATTCCTTCCCTCCTCCCTCCCTTTCCCCCCAACTCCCGCACTCCCCGCTGGGTCCCCATCCCACCCTCCCCGTCCCTTCCTGCCACCTTTTCCTTCCTTGTCTTCTCTCCTCTCTCCGTCCTCCTGCCTCTCCCTCCCTCCTAGAGGCTGCCGCTTAGTGAGTTCTGGAGCAAGACTGCCTGGGTTCCAGTCCTACCTCCTGACCAAGGGCAAGTCACCTAACTTCTCTGTACCTCAGTTAGTTCCCTCACTTATAAACCTGGGATTGCAAGAGTGGGCACCTGTCCAGCTCCCCTGCGGCTTGTGCTGTTCATACACTGGACAGGCAGGGGTGGGCAGGGTGCCCAGGAGGAAAGATATCTGGTGTCCTGCAGGCTCCAGTTTGGGCTCTGCCGCAGGCTGCACGGCCATAGGCAGGTGAGCGTGGCTGACTCTGCTTCCCACCCGTACCGTGAGGAAGGACGAGTTTTTTTTGTTTGTTTTTTTTTCACTGGATGGCTGTGAGGATTGAAAAAAAAAATCCCCTTATAAAACAGTAGGAGCTGGCCGGGCGCGGAGGCTCACACCTGTAATCCCAGCACTTTGGGAGGCCCAGGCGGGTGGATCACCTGAGGTCAGGAGTTCAAGACCAGTCTGGCCAACATGGTGATACCCCGTCTCTACTAAAAATAGAAAAAGTTAGCCGGGCATGGTGGTGGGCGCCTATAATCCCAACTACTCGGGAGGCTGAGGCAGGAGAATCGCTTGAATCCACGAGGCAGAGGTTGCAGTGAGCCAAGATTGTGCCACTGCACTCCAGCCTGGGCAACAAGAGCGAAACTCTGTCACAAACAAACAAACAAAACCAGTAAGAGCTGTTCTAAAACACACACCCGAGGATGCCTTTCCCCGGCCAGTCTTCCCATCAAAGACCTCACATGTGCATAGCTTCACCAAGTACCTGACCCTGTTGCATTTCACAGGTGGTAACTCATCGATGCCTCATAACAATGCTATGAAGAAGGAACTATGATTATCCCACCTAACAGGTTAGAAGATGAGGAGCAGAGTTGAGGGACCTTCCCAAGGTCACACGGCCAGCCAGCCCATGCACACTGAGGAGAGAGGGACCTTCCGGAGGGCCCCGCCCTCTGCCCCCCACAGCCAGGCAGTTGCCCAGTTTTGTCCTTTCTGCTTCTGGAATGTCTTCATCCATCTACTCTCAATGCCCAATGCCCCTGCCGCAGCTGAGGCCTCGTTCTCTCCCCTGCAGAAGGAAGCATGGCCCCCTCCCCATCCATCCCCCCATGGACCCTAGAATAGGGCTGCCAGATTCAGCAAACAGCAAACCACTCTGCTATAAGTACGCCCGGTGCAATGCTGGGGAGATACTTATACTAGAAAATTATGTATTGGGCATCCGATACTCAAATGTAACTGGAAGTCCTGAATTTGATCTGGCAACCCTACCCAAGAGGGATTTGTCTACGCCATCGCATGGATCTGAGCTTTCCCTGGTCTGGCTCAGACAGACCCCTTCTGTGGCTCCCACTGCCTCCCACCCTTCTGGAACTGGCATTCCAAAAAGGGAGTGGGGAGTAAGCACTGAAGCCATGCTCAGAATTGCTGACTATTGAGCTGAGAAAGGCTGGGCCCCCACCCAGCCCAGGGCTGCCCTGATCTTTTGCATAAGGATAAACTGGGGTTCAGGCGCTTTTCTGTGGCCTAGGCAGAAACTGGGCTGGAATACAGGCCCCCAGACTCCTTTGTGGAGGGAGGGAAGGGAAGGAAGAGGACAGATCACTCTACCCTTCCCTACCACTGCACCATGAGACCCTGGGTCTCCATCTCCCCTGTCAGTGTGCCAGGGTCCTCACAGATTAAAATCAAGAATAAGCGGCGGGGCCGGGCACTGTGGCTCACGCCTGTAATCCCAGCACTTTGGGAAACCAAGGTGGGCGGATCACCAGAGGTCAGGAGTTTGAGACCAGCCTGGCCAGCATGGCGAAATCCCATCTCTACTAAAAATACAAAAAAACTAGCCGGGCGTGGTGGCACACCCCTGTATTCCTAGCTACTCAGGAGGCTGAGGCACGAGAATTGCTTGAACCTGGGCAGTGGAGGTTGCAGTGAGCTGAGATCGAGCCACTGCACTCCAGCCGGGGTGACAGAGCGAGAATCCGTCTCAAAAAAAAAAAAAAAAATAGGAGGGGGCTAGGGATGGGTGCCTCGTGCCTATAAACCCAGCACTTTGGGAGGCCCAGTGGGGCAGATCAGAACTCCTTGAGCTCAGGAGTTCAAGACCAGCCTGGCCAACATGGTGAAACCCCATCTCTATTAAAAAAAAAAAAATCAACAATAAGGGACATCAGGGATGAGGATGAAGGAGGGAGGGCACTGGAGCCTAAGAGAATCAGCTCCAATATCGCTTCTGCCCCTTCCAGACAGTGTGACTCTGGGCAAGTAGCTTGCCTTCTCTGGGCTGCAACTTCTTTCCACCATTGCAAGAGGCGGCAGCGTGAGAGGGTCAGTGTCTGCCTGGCAGGGCTGTTGTGAGGATGAAGGACAGTGTGCATGTACCAATACTCTCAAAACAGAGCCTCCATTGCCCCGACAGGTCCGTACCCCAACCCTCACTGGCTTAGTAACAGACACCCCACCTCAACCAGGTGCTCCTGCCAGAAACTCAGGCTCTTAGCTCCCACAACCATTCTCAGAACAAGTTCTGTTGGCCCTTCCTCTGAAACCTATATGGACTCCCACCGCTGTTCCTACCACCATTGCTGTGCCCTGGTCCCCGCATCCTAGCCACCATGACCACAGGGGCCTCTTCCCTGTCCCCCCTCGCCTACCCCCGTCTGTCCTCCATGCAGCAGCCAGCCAGCCAGGTGATCCTTTTAAAACACAATCCGATCAAGTTCTTCCTCTGCTTAAAACGCTCAGTGATTCCCCTCAGACATGGATTAAAATCCCTGTTCCTCGCCCTGACCTACAAGGGCCTGGGTGGTCAGTCCTGGATCTGTCTGCCTCTGGCCTCAGCCCCTCCCAGCTTCCTCTGCACAGCCCTCTGCCTGGCTCCTTCCTGGAGGACCCATCCCTGCTAGTGGGGTTACCCGACCTACCCCTGCCCTGCACTGACCCCCGCCCTCCTACCTCGTTGCACACCAGCCTCTGAGATGACCTTCTCGGTCCTGTTTACCGAAGTTTCCTGGTACTGGGGGCAGCGCCTGGGGCAGAGCAGGCTCTGTCAACCCCCACTGAATACATACGCTGTGCAGGTGCTTAGCACTCGGTGAAGGCCGTTTCTGCTGATTTCTTGGGACGACAGTCATCAGAGCCAGCATTTGTTGGCATGTTGAGTGTGTATTGTGTGCGCGGTGTCATCTTGAGCCACTGGTTGGTTTTTCGACGTGCTGTTCCACGTGCTCTAGGCCAGTGATTCTGCCCCCAGGGACACCTGGCTGGGTGAGGAGTTCTGCCCCCAGGGACACCTGGCCGGGTGCCGAGTTGCTGTTGGTTGTCACACTGCAGGAGGGGGTGCTCCTGGCATCTGGTGGGTGGAGCTGAGTGGGGCTGCTCAGCACCCCACAACACACAGGGCAGCGCCGTCACCACAGAGAATGATCTGGCTCAAAATGTCAGCAGGGCCCAGGTTATGAAGCCCTCGCCCCTGGACCAAGGCGGAGCTGGCGGTGGCTGGCCTGTGGGCGCTTGGTGCAGGGGAGGATGCTCTTGCAGGAGGTGCCGCTGCCGGGAGGGAGAAGGGAAACGGAAGTAGCAGTTCTCACGTTCCTGGGTAGATGAAGATGGAGGAGAGGGCCCAGGGCTGGTGGGAGATGCTGGACTGGTTCTAGATGTGGGGTGCTGACTGGGGAGGACCCATGTGAAAGGGAGATAGGGGCCTGCAATGACAAGGGCGGGTGCAGCTCAGGAGAAGCCAAGTCTGGAGGCTGGGCAATTAATTCCTGAGTGCCAGGCCTATCACACCAAAGACCCCACTGTACCCACTGTATTCTCAGAACTGCCCTTTGACAGGGGAAACTGAGGCACAGAGTGGTCAGTTGACGTGTGCAGTACCACAGCCGGGAGGACGGTCAGACTGATGTGCACAGTGTGTGCCGATGGGGGAGGGGGTGGGGACGCATGGCCTGATGACGCCCTCCCCTCAGGACTATGGTGCAGCCCTGCGGGGCCTGTGCGAAGACGCCCTGGAAGGCCTGCTCTTCCTGCTACTCTTCTCCCTGCTGTCTGCAGGAGCGCTGGCCACTGCCCTCTGCAGCCTGCCCCGAGCCTGGGCCCTCTTCCCACCCAGGTCAGGAGCGGGGGAGGGTAGGGTCCTGGGGAGGGAAGAGGAGGGGCAGCACCTGGGGACCACGGTGGCAGTGGGGGTGGGGGGTGCAGCCTCCTGATGGGTCCCCATCCCGCCTCTCTGCCATGCCCCGCATCAAACCCCAGTGACGACTACGATGACACAGACGATGACGACCCTTTCAACCCTCAGGTACTGGATGCCTGGGTCTGAGGGAGGAGGGGCGGGGGGTCCTGAACTCCTGGGTCTGAGGGAGGAGGAGCTGAGGGCCTGGCCGCCTGGGTCTGAGGGAGGAGGGGCTGGGGCCCGGACTCCTGGGTCTGAGGGAGGAGGGGCTGGGGTCCCACAGTACAAAGCCAATTCCCACTCCATTCCCTCCTCTCCCCCGCTACCCCGAATCTCCTAGCAGGAATCCAAGCGCTTTGTGCAGTGGCAGTCGTCTATCTGAGCCCCTCCTCCCGGCTGGACTGGAGCCTGGCTCCCCTCTTCGGTGAGCTTCCAAGGGCCACCCCAGCTCCTGCAGCCGGGCCTCTGCCCCCCTCCCGCCCTCCGAGCTGCTCCAGGCATGGGCTGCGTGCCTCCTGCTGGGTGGATCGCACCGGGCAGGCCCTCCAGCCTGCATCACTGCCCTGTCTCTCCCTCTCTCCGCAGTTCCTTCCCTGGCTGCCGGAGGAGACCCCACTAACCCAGCCTGCCTGGGCTCTGACCACTAACACTCTTGGCCATGGACAGCCTGCACAGGACCGCCTCCCTGCTCTTGGCCACTGTGCTCCCATTTCTGTCCTTGGCCTTGGGAGTAGCTGAGGGGGCAGACTAGGGAGTAGGGCTGGCAGGGGAGGGGGCAGACAGCCTCGCCTCGCACCCTTCATCCCTGGCTGCCGGTCCCATCCTTGGAGGGACTAAGCTGGGGGTGGGGGACATGAGTCCCCCTGCTGCCCCTGCCACATCCCAGTGGGCTCTGACCCCCTGATCTCAACTCGTGGCACTAACTTGGAAAAGGGTTGATTTAAAATAAAAGGGAAGACTATTTTACAAGCAGCTGGGTCCTCCTTATTTCTCCTCTCCCTTGATTCGGCCTCCTGGCCAGGGCTGGGACATCCTCCCTGCTGTCCTCTCTCCCCCGGCCTCCCAGCTGCCAGGAATTTCTGCGCCTGTCCAGGCTCAGCAAGGGGTCCAAAGACATTGTTCTTTAAAAAAAAAAAAAAAAAAATCAAAAAACAAAACGCTTTCTTCTGATTCTAAAAGTAATGCGCGTGTCCTGACACAGGAAGACACAGGCATCTCTGGCACAGAATAGATGGCCTAGAAATAGATCTAACTGTGTGTGTGTGTGTGTGTGTGTGTATATATATATATACACACATGACAGAAGACAGATTTCAAGTCAGTGTGGAAAGGACGGTTGGTTTAGCAGCAGTAGTGACATATCGGCTCTCCATCTGGCCAAAAACTTCTATAGATAAGATGGGTGGAAGATCTAGATGTATGCAAGTAAAGGCACAGAAGAATTTCTAGAGAAATTAGGAGGGTGGGCATGGTGGTGCATGCCTGTGGTTCCAGCTACTCGGGAGGCTGAGACTCCTTGCTTGAGCCCGTTTCGAGGTAGCAGTGAGCTGTGATCGTGCCACTGCACTCCAGCCTGGGCAACAGAGCAAGACCCTGCCTCTTTTTTTTTTTTTTTTTTTGTTTTTGAGACGGAGTCTCGCTCTGTCACCCAGGTTGGAGTGCAGTGGCGCGATCTCGGCTCACTGCAAGCTCCGCCTCCCAGGTTCATGCCATTCTCCTGCCTCAGCCTCCCAAGTAGCTGGGACTACAGGCGCCCGCCAACACGTCCGGCTAATTTTTTGTATTTTTAGTAGAAACGGGGTTTCACCGTGTTAGCCAAGATGGTCTCGATCTCCTGACCTCGTGATCCGCCCGTCTCGGCCTCCCAAAGTGCTGGGAATACAGGCGTGAGCCACCGCGCCCGGCCAAGACCCTGCCTCTTAAAAAAAAAAAAAAAAAAAGACAAAAAACAGAGAGAGGCTGGCTGCGGTGGCTCATGACTGTAATCCCAGCATTTTGAGAGGCCAAGGTGGGTGGATCCCTTGAGGCCAGGAGTTTGAGAGCAGAGTGGCCAACATGGTGAAACCCCGTCTCTACTTAAAGAAAAAAAAAATTAGCTGGGCATGGTGGCACAGGTCTGTAAGCCCAGCTACTCGGGAGGCTGAGGCAGGAGAATTGCTTGAACCCGGGAGGTGGAGGTTGCACCACTGTACTCCAGCCTGGGAGATCAAGTGAGACTCCATCTCAGAAAAAAACAAAACAAAACAAAACAAACCAGAGAAATTAGGAGAATATTTGTATATTGTCTGCATGTCATGTATCTGGGTAGGGAAAATGGGGAGGGAGGAGTTTAAGCAGGAGATCATAAAACCAGAAAGGAAAAGATAGCTTAGTTGGCAAATTATAGATTGAAAAACATACCGTAAAGTCAAATGGCAAATTGACAGACTGGGGAACAGTGAGTGTGTGCGTGCGTGTGTGTGTGTGTGTGTGTGTGTGTGTGTGTGTGTGTATGTTAACAGTTATGATGCAGAAATGTTATTCTTAAAAGATATAATCTACAAAAGCTTTCATAAACTAAGAAAAAGACAACCCATTTAAAAGTAATCAATTGAGTTGAATACTCAATAAAAATTCCAACATCAGTAAACAGACAAAAAGATTCAAACTCTAATAATTGGGAAATGCAATTTGAAAGAATGAGAAACTACACTTTTTCACTACCTAGACACAATGAAATTAACAAGAGTGGTGATGTCCTGGGCGGGCGAGGACCTAGAGGAACAGGCACTCAAAACACTTCTCCTGAGGCTGTGAGCTGCCACCATCCCTTGAAAAAAAAAAAAAATGCGCTTGTATGTGATCAGATCAAAACTGCATACACCCCATGCCCCAACAATCCTGCTTTTGGGAATTGATTTACAGAAAAAGACACACAGGCTTCTGAAGACTTCTATTTAGAGCTGCCTGTTACAACGATACCACTTTGATCAGCTAAACCCTGAAAACAAACATGCACAAAAAGAGAAGTCCAATAACTGACTGCACAGCAGGGCTCTCTGGAAGAAACCAGCTCTTGGCTGAGTTGAGGATGTGAGGGAAAAGCCTGGCAGAGAGGAGCTATCAGAGCAGGGTGTGGCAGACAGCAGTGGCAGAGTGGACTGAAGGAGAGGGGCCTGCACAGTGAAGGGCCCAGCTTATCATTCAAGGCACCCCAGGCCACCATCCTGGCCCTGCTTTTCATGACCTTCACGGATATGGGAAAGTCACTTGACCCGTTAGACCTCGGTTGCCTCTTTGATCAAACGGGTATCAGAAATCCAAAATTCCAAAATCCACAGATCCAAAGAGCTCCAAAGTCAAGCCATCCCCAAGCTCATTGGGCAGGAAAACCTGACCTGTGTTGGTGGGAGATGACTTACAGACATGACTGACACGCTTGGTGTGAACGTTCACATACTTCCCTGCAGAAAAGTTAACCAGGCTGCTGCACACTGCTGTGCTGAGCACTGAGGGTGCCGTGTGCCCTGTGGAGTAGAGATCATATTGCCTTTGCAACTGAAAAATCCTGAATCTCAACACACACCTGGCTCCGAGGGGATCGAGTTGGTGCTTGGTGACCCACAGTGCCAGATGCTGGTGTACAGCGTGGGGCCTGCTGCTGCTCTGTGCCTGTCAATCATTTCTATTTTGTGTACTGCAAGGAGCGTTCAGAGGAAGCTTTAGATATGTGGGCCTGACGGTGGGAATAAAAATCAACTGCAATTTCAGGGAGGGGTTCTGGGGGCCACATGCGTTCACTCACTTTTTCCTAACCATGTGGGCTGTCTGCCCCAGGCCCGGCCCTGCTGCTATGCTGACTTCTTTCCTCTCAAACACTGCCCTCTAGTGCCCCTGAGCCCATTTCCCAAGCACAGGCATCCGCTGGCTGTTGGGCGGCTGCAAAGTACCTTGAGACTCAGCTGCTTGATCTCCCATGCCAATGAGCCTGGGGGTGATCTCTCAACAAGAAGTTGGCCGGGCACCCTGGCTCACGCCTGTAATCCCAGCACTGTGGGAGGCTGGGGCAGGCGATCACCTGAGGTCAGGAGTTTGAGACCAGCCTGGCCAACACGGTGAAACCCCATCTCTACTAAACACAAAAATTAGCCGGGCATGGTGGCGGGCGCCTGCAATCCCAGCTACTCAGGAGGCTGAGGCAGGAGAATCACCTGAACCCGGGATGCGGAGCTTGCAGTGAGCCGAGATCGCGCCACTGCACTCCAGCCTGGGCGACAGAGCAAGACTCCGTCTCAAAAAAAAAAAAAAAAAAAAAAAAGGCATTTTACCCAAACTTTACAAAAGGAAAATCCAGTGTTATTTTTAGAATGTTACCTATGGGGGCTTCCACTGCGACCAGGATGGAGTCACAGAGACTGGACTTGACCCCCCAAAAATAGAGTAAATACAAGAAAACAACAGTGGTCAAGACTCTACCAAGAAAGTGATCCCTGAGGAACGGGAAACATCAAGGCAAGCCCTAAAATTGCCGCTGGGTCCTGTTGCAAGTTTCTAGACCACGGGACAGGGAGGGAAGACTGAGGCGGAGCTGGGAGGACTCCGTGAGCAGAGGAGACAAAGCAGGGAGTCTGAGCTTTGTTCTTGAGCTTTGTTTTGAGAATGAAGTTATGGGCCGGGTGCGATGGCTCACGCCTGTAATCCCAGCACTTTGGGAGACCGAGGTGGGTAGATCACCTGAACTCAGGTGTTCGAGACCAGCTTTGCCAACATGGTGAAACCCTGTCTCTACTAAATATATACAAATTCGCCGGGTGTAGTGGTGGGTGCCTGTAGTCCCAGCTACTCGGGAGCCTGAGGCAGGGGAATCTCTTGAACCTGGGAGGCGAAGGTTGCAGTGAGCCAAGATCGCGCCATTGCACTCCAGCCTGGGCAGCAGAGCGAGACTCCATCTCAAAAAATAAATAAATAAAAATAAAAATAAATTATCTTGGACTTCCAGCCTCCAGAACTGTGAGAAATAAGTGTTTGTTGTTTTTGAGCCACCAGTCCATGGTCCTCTGTTACTGCAGACTAGAATGCCAGGGAAAGAACCACCTGGAGGGACTGAAGCAAATAGCGCCTGAGTTCTGGGGACTCACACAGGCCTTGACAAGGCGCTGTTCCTGCCAGAAGAACCTCATAACTGAAGGAACACTGGGTAGAACACGGAGAGGGTCTTACATCAGCCGTGGGGAATAAGCAGCCCTAACCTGTTAAACACTGTTCTGGTCCTGCCTGAGGAATCTTAAAAGCAAAACCTGAAAGGATCAAGCTGCTTCCAAGTAAGGTGACTGCATTCTCAAACAAAGCTCAAGAATATTTATAGGCATACAAAAGTAACGAGTGCTCGACAAGGTAATACTGATATTGTCTAGTATCCAACAACAAAGTCACCAAATATGCAAAAAGCAGGAAAATAGGGCACATCATGAGGATAAAAATCATTCAACTGAAACGGACCCAGGAGTTAGAATTAGTAGGTAAGAACATTAGAACAACTATTATACTGTACTCCATACGTTCCAAAAGTTCTTTACAGATACGGAAGATATAAAAAAACTCAAACTGGATATCAACAGATAGAAATTACAATGTCTGAAATAAATAATGTACTGGCTGGAACAGCAGATTTTTGTTTTTTGGGGGAGAGTCTTGCTCTGTTGCCCAGGCTGTAGTGCAGTGGCATGATCTAGGCTCACTGCAACTTCCACCTCCCAGGTTCAAGCAATTCTCATGCCTCAGCCTCCCAAGTAGCTGAGACTACAGGCACCTGCCACCACATCCAGCTAATTTTTGTATTTTTAGTAGAGACGGGCTTTCACCATGTTGGCCAGGCTGGTCTCAAACTCCTGACCTCAAATGATCTGCCAGCCTCGGCCTCCCAAAGTGCTGGGATTACAGGTGCGAGCCACTGCACCCAGCCCTAGAACAGCAGATTAGACATTGCAGGAAAAAAAAAAAAATCTGGAAGACAACATTAGAAACTGTCCAAATGAAACATTTAAAAAAATGATTTTTTTTTTTTTACTTTTTAGACAGGGTCTCACTCTGTCACCTAGGCTGGAGTGCACTGGCGTGATCATGACTCACTGCAGCCTCAACCTCTCCAGCTCAAGCGATCCTCCCACTTTAGCCTCTCGAGTAGCTGGGACTACAGGCGCACACCACCATGTTTGGCTAATCTTTAAAAATTTTCTGTAGAGATGAGGTCTCACCATGTTGCCCAGGGTGGTCTCAAACTCCTGGGCTCAAGTGATCCTACTGCCTTGGCCTCCCAAAGTGCTGGGATTACAGGCATGAGCCACCATGCCCTGCCCCAGAAGGAATGAATATATTTTTTTTTAATGAAAAGAACACTGGTGAGCTGTGGGACATTTTAATATATGTGTAACTGGAGGCCCATAAGGAGAGAGAAAGAAAGGAACAGAGAGAGTGTTTAAAGAAATAATAACCCCAAATTTCCCAAATTTGATACAAACTATAAAACCAAAGATACAAGAAACTCAACACACCCCAAGCAGAAGAAACACAAAGATAAACCAAGATACATCATAATCAAATTTCTTAAGACCAGTAACAAAGAGAAAATCTTGACAACAGCCAGATGAAAAACAAAAAGATTTTATAAACAGAGGAACAAAAATTAGGATGACACCAGATTTCTCACTGGAAACAATGTGAGAAAGCAGTGTAAGAAAATTCTTAAAGTAGCAAAAGAAAAAAGTAGTCAACCTAGAATTCGATACTCACTGAAACTGTTTTTCAAAAGTGGGCCGGGCACGATGGCTCACGCCTGTAATCCCAGCACTTTGGGAGGCAGAGGCGGGCGGATCACAAGGTCAGGAGATCGAGACCATCCTGGCTAACACAGTGAAACCCCGTCTCTACTAAAAATACAAAAAATTAGCCGGGCGTGGTGGTGGACGCCTGTATTCCCAGCTACTCGGGCGGCTGAGGCAGGAGAATGGCGTGAACCCGGGAGGCGGAGCTTGCAGTGAGCCGAGATCGCGCCACTGCACTCCAGACTGGGCGACAGAGCAAGACTCCCTCTCAAAAAAAAAACCAAAAAAACAAAAGTGAAGACAAGGCCAGGCGCAGTGGCTCACACCTGTAATCCCAGCATTTTGGGAGGCTGAGGCAGGCGTATCACCTGAGGTCAGGAGTTCGAGACCAGCCTGGCCAACATGGTGAAACCCCGTCTCTACCAAAAAATACAAAAATTAGCTGGGTGTGGTGGTGGGCACAGAGCAGAGATAGAACAGTATCATAAGGCTGGGCGTGGTGGCTCACACCTGTAATCCCAGCACTTTGGGAGGCCAAGGCAGGCAGATCCCGAGGTCAGGAGTTTGAGACCAGCCTAGCCAATATAGTGAAACCCTGTCTCTACTAAAAATGCAAAAAGGAGCTGGGTGTGGTGGTGCACGCCTGTAATCCCAGCTACTTGGGAGGCTGAGGCAGTAGAACTGCTTGAACCTGGGAGGAGTAGGCTGCAGTGAGTCGAGACTGTGCCACTGCACTCCAGCCTGCATGACAGTGAGACTCCGTCTAAAAAAAAAAAAAAGGTATCATAAAAAATGCTCAAACTTCCAAACTTCTCTCCACAAATGGTGCTAGAACAACTGGACATCAACATGCCAAAAATAAATAAATCAAATCTATACACAGACCTTAGTCTCTTCACAAAAATTAACTCAAAATGGATCATAGAGCTGAATGTTAAATGCAAATCTATAAAACTCCTAGAAGATAACATAGGAGAAAACCTACATGACTGGGTTTTGTGAATTTTTTTTTTTGAGACAAGAGTCTCACTCTGTCGCCCAGGCTGGAGTGCACTGGCAGAATCTTGGCTCACTGCAACCTCTGCCTCCTGGGTTCAAGTGATTCTCATGCCTCAGCCTCCTGAGTAGCTGGAATTACAGGTGTGCGCCACCACGCCCGGCTAATTTTTGTATTTTTAGTAGAGATGGGGTTTTGCCACGTTGGCCAGGCTGGTCTCAAACTCCTGGCCTCAAGTGATCCACTCACCTCGGCTTCCCAAAATACTGGGATGACAGCTGTGAGCCACCACGCCCAGCCGTGATAATTTTTTTGATACATCAAAGGCATGATCCATGAAAGAAACTTACAAGCTTGACTTTATTAAAATAATAATAAAAAAACCCCTCTGCTAGGCCAGGCGTGGTGGCTCACGCCTGTAATCCCAGCTCTTTGGGAGGCCGAAGCGGGCGGATCATGAGGTCAGGAGATCGAGACCATCCTGGCTAACACGGTGAAGCCCCATCTCTACTAAAAATACAAAAAATTAGCCAGGTGTGGTGGCAGGTGCCTGTAGTCCCAGCTACTCAGGAGGCTGAGGCAGGAGAATGGCGTGAACCCGGGAGGCGGAGCTTGCAGTGAGCCAAGATCACGCCACTGCACTCCAGACTGGGCGACAGAGCGAGACTCCATCTCAAAAAACAAAACAAAACAAAACCCTCTGCTCTTTGAAAAACATTTTTAATATAATGAGAAAAGCTGCAGCCTGGGAGAAACTATTTGCAAGAGACCTATCTCATGAAGGACTGCTATCCAAGATTTACAAAGGGCTCTTAAAACTCAGTTAACAGGAAAACAATCTGATTAAAAAATAGGAAAAGGGGCCAGGCATGGTGGCTTACACCTGTAATCCCAGCACTTTGGGAGGCCAAGACGGGCAGGAATTTGAGACCAGCCTGGCCAATATGGTGAAACCCTGTCTGTACTAAAAATACAAAAATTAGCCAGCATGATGGCACGTGCCTGTAGTCCCAGCTACTCGGGAGGCTGAGGCAGAAGAATTGCTTGAACCCGGGAGGCGGAGGTTGGAGTGAGCCGAGATGGTGCCACTGCACTCCAACCTGGGTGACAGAGTGAGACTCGGTCTCAAAAAAAAAAAAAAAAAAAAAAAAAAAAAAAAAAAAAAAAAGGATTGTTTCTGGGTGTGTCTGTGAGGGTGTTGCCAGGGAGGCTGACACTTGAGTGAGTGGACGGGGAGAGGGAGACCCACTCTCAGTGTGGGTGGGCACCATCCAGTCAGCGCAGAAGGTGGGAGGGGCTGGCTTGCTGAGTCTTCTGGCTTTCATCTTTCTCCTGTGCTGGATACTTCCTGTCTTTGGAGATTAGACTCCAGGTTCTTTGGCCTTTGGACTCTTGAACTTCCACCAGTGGTTTGTCGGGGACTCTTAGGCCTTCCGCCACAGACTGAAGGCTGCGCCGTTGGCTTCCCTACTTTTGAGGCTTTTGGACTTTGAGACGTGACTGGCTTCTTCCTTCCTCAGCTTGCAGATGGACTATAGTGGGACTTTGCCTGATGATCCTGTCAGCCAGTTCTCCCTAATATACTCCCTTTCAATATATACATATATCCTGTTAGTTCTGGCCCTCTGGAGAACCCTAATACAGATGGCAAATAAACACAGGAAAAGATGTTCACCGTATGTCATTAGGGAACCGTCCGTTAAAACAAGACACCACTGGCCGGGCGCGGGGGCTCACACCTGTAATCCCAGCACTTTGGAAGGCCAAGGCAGGTGGATCACGAGGTCAAGAGATCGAGATCATCCTGGCCAACATGGTGAAACCCCGTTTCTACTAAAAATACAAAAATTAGCTGGGCGTGGTGGCGCACGCCTGTAGTCCCAGCTACTCGGGAGGCTGAGGCAGGAGAATCGCTTGAACCCAGGAGGCGGAGGTTGCAGTGAGCCGAGACCATGCCACTGCACTCTAGCCTGGAAGACAGAGTGAGACTCTGTCTCAAAAAAACAAAAAAAAAACAAGACACCACTACATACCTATTAGAATGCCAAATCCAAAATGCTGGCACCACCAAATGCTGGCAGAAATGTGGAGCAACAGAAACCCTTCTTCATTGGTGCTGGCAATGCAGAATGGTACAGCTACTTTGGAGGACAGTGTGGTGGTCTCTCATAATCCTAAACATACTCTTAGAATATGAACCAGCAACACTGCTCCCCAGTATTTACACAGATGGGTTGAAAACTTCTGCCCACAAAGAAATCTGCACGTGCACGTTTATGGCAGCTTTCTTTATCACTGCCAAAAACTTGGAAGGAACCAAGATATCCTTCAATAAATGTCTTACTACATTCTGGTTGTTGTAACAAAATACCATACACTGCGTAGCTGAGGCAGGAGGATCACTTGAGCCTGGGAGGTTGAAGCTGCTGTGGGCTGAGACAGAGATCACATCATTGCACTCCAGCCTGGGTGACAGAATGAGAAACCCTGTCTCAAAAAAAAAAAAAAAGTACAGTTTTGGTTTTTGCTGTGACTGGGCTCCTGGAGTGAGAGCTCTGGATCCCAGCTGCAAGATGAGGAATCTGGAGCCGAGAGAAGGGAAACGAGTTTTCCAAGTCATACGGCTGGTTAAGTAAAAGAGCCGGGATTATGACTTAGGTTTCCTGCCCCCCAAGATTATTATTTTTTGAAACAGAGTTTCGCTCTGTCTCCCAGGCTGGAGTGCAATGGCATGATCTGGGCTCACTGCAACCTCCACCCCCAGGGTTCTAGCGATTCTCCTGCCTCAGCCTCATGAGTAACTGGGATTACAGGCATGCGCCACCATGCCCGGCTAATTTTTCTGTATTTTTAGTAGAGACGGGGTTTCGCCATGTTGGCCAGGCTGGTCTTGAACTCCTGACCTCAGGTGATCCACACGCCTCGGCCTCCCAAAGTGCTAGGATCACACGCATGAGCCACCGCGCCTGGCCTACCCAAGATTATTAAAATAAGTTTTCAGAAGCAACCCCCTACTGGCCAGGCGCAGTGGCTCATGCCTGTAATCCCGGCACTTTGGGAGGCAGAGGCGGGCGGGTCACCTGAGGTCCGGAATTCCAGATACTGTGAAACCCTGTCTTCACTAAAAATACAAAAATTAGCTGGGTGTGGTGGTGCACGCCTGTAAAGAGAATTGCTTGAACCTGGGAGGCAAAGGTTGCAGTGAGCTGAGATCGTGCTACTGCACTCCAGCCTGGGCGACAGAGCCGTCTCAAAAAATAATAATAATAATAGATTTTTTAAGAAAAGCAATCCCCTAGTGACTTCTTAGAGCACATCATCAGACAGTTGGGGTAAAATTCTGAAGTGGATTAAGGGAGGGGTGCTGGTTTGCCTGGATGGCTACATGAACATAGCCCTGGAACCAACCAAATATGTAACTGGACAACAGAAAAATAAGTACAGGGTGCATTAATCAGAGGCAACAATGTTTTGTACTTAAGTACACAGAAGACACGATGTGAAGACACCAAGAGAACAGTACTTTTCATGGTTAGACACATTTCTTAGGTATTTTTTCTACTTTGGGATTCTTTTGTGATATAATTTGTCCTGTTTACATAATTTTTTTCCCTGACATGTAAGATAAATGTATCTAATTGTGGGCTTACTTGTAAAGAGTTTTCACATTTAAGTTCCAGTCATTTCATTTTATCGCTGTATCTGTGTACAGAATGCTAAAGAATAAGACATAAAAAATAAAAGTACAGTTATAAACACCTCTTTTAAAAGGCAGAGACTGTTCGCTTGGGCAAAAAAAAGCAAGATCCAACTACATGCTATCTACAAGAAACCCACCCTAAATACAACAGGTAAAAGGAAGCTAAATGGAACGTGGGTCCTGGCTTGTACCCTGGCATGTAAAGAAAACATTGGAGGAAAAGGTGGTGAAATCCCAGTAAAGTCTGGGTTTTAGTTACAGTAATGCATCATGTCAGTATCTACAACAAACCACTTTTGTTGGTGCTTGTGATGACAGCATCAGAAGAAAGTGGGCATAAAACATGGTGGACTGCTTATGATCTTTGCAACTTTTCTTTTTTTTTTTTTTGAGACAAGAATTTCACTCTTGTTGCCCAGGCTGGAGTGCAATGGTGTAACCTCGGCTCACTGCAACCTTGGCCTCCTGGGTTCAAGCGATTCTCCTGCCTCAGCCTCCCGAGTAGCCGGGATTACAGGTGCACGCGCCACCACGCCCAGCTAATTTCTGTATTTTTAGTAGAGACGGGACTTCACCATGTTGGCCAGGCTGATCTTGAACTCCTGACCCCAGGTGATCCACCCATCTCGGCCTCCCAAAGTGTTGGGATTACAGGCGTGAGCCAGCGCGCCCGGTCTTTGCAACGTTTTGAATAAATCCAAAATTATTCCAGAACAAAAAGCTTAGTACCAAAAAGAAAACAAAAACAAAAACAAAACAAACCCCCCCCCCCCCACAGAGTAAAATAACGGAAAAAGATCTACTATGCTAGCACTAACAAAATAATACGTAGTTATGAAAATGGTATGTATTTTTCAAGCTAGACGTTCATAATGGTAGAACATGAGGAGGAAAACTGCCTCTTAAATCCCACCACTTACTGTGACACAGTGACCGGTCCCTGCAGCGGACTGGATAGTTGTATCAGAGTCCTGGACGGAAACAGATGGCACTCAAAAGGTGGCGCGCAGTTCAGAGAAATGCCTATGTACGGATTTGGTCCAATGCCTCAGCCTGACCTCAGGGACCTTCGGGGGTCTGCTCCGCGCCCACCCTTACACATCTGTGACCCCACACACTTCCACCCCAGCGCCACTGCCAACAGCTACACCCATCCCCCTCCAACCGCGTCAGCTTCCAGCCTCGGTCCATCTGAACTCGCCGTGCCCCCTCCCCTGCGCCCTTCCAGATTCATTTGCTAGGGAAGCCCGCTCTTCCGGGTGGAGCTGTTCCTCATCCCCTTTCTTTATCATTCTCTCCCCAGGGCTTCCACATCACCGTGCTGTGGACAATCCCGGAACTCCTGTCACGCCAGTTTACATTTAGGAACAGTAATGGCTCCCACTGACTCAGTCAAAACAAGGCTGCGGCCGGGCACGGTGGCTCACGCCCGTAATCCCAGCACTTTGGGAAGCCGAGACGGAGGGATCACGAGGTCAGGAGTTCGAGAACAGCCTGGCCGACATGGTGAAACCCCGTCTTTACTAAAAACACAAAAATTAGCCGGGCATAGTGGCGCGCGCCTGTAATCCCAGCTACTCCGGAGGCTGAGGCAGAATTGTTTGAACCCAGGAGGCGGAGGTTGCAGTGAGCAGAGATCACGCCACTGTACTCTATCGTGGGCGACGACAGAGCAAGAGCAAGACTCCGTCTCCGAGAACAACAACAACAGCAACAAGAAAACAACAATAAAAAAAATAAGGCTGCGTGGGAGGCAGAAAGAGCTAATGCGGCCACGCTTGTCTCCTCGGGGCCACCGTCCCCACCCAGACTTCCGGTCTGCCTTAAAATGTTCATGCGTAAGTGCGTGGGCAGGAAGGCGGGCTCAAGCGCAGCTCGTGGCGTTCATTGGCTGTGCAGGGCCGAGGGAGGCGGTGCAAGGCCGCCGCGTGACGTCAGGACGCCGCGGTCAGGACGTCGAAGCCAAAGAAGACCAGAGCCAGCCGGGTGGCACAGCGGTGTCGTGGCCGTGTTGCTGATCGCCTGGGTGGTTGTTGGCGTGTCCCTGCAGCGAAGGATCCTGGTTGGTAAGGGGAGCGGCAGGCGAGCAGGCGGGCGGGGATAGCATCTCCTTTTGGTCTTGCGCCCCGCGAGCCCCGAGGCCTTCTCGGCCGTCGCAGCAGCAGACGCCGCGCGCGAGCGTCGACAGGGTGTGGCGGCGCAGGGGCAGCCACTGCGCCTGCGCACCGGGCCTGGGGCCGCGCGTTCGGGCACTAGCGCGCGTGCGCCGTCGTCTTCTAATTTCCGTTCCTCTCCCTTGGAGTTCTCGGGGCCCCGGGGCGCCCCTCACTCGCCGTTGACCGGGTGTTGCCCCGGGCGACGGGCGGCTCCTGCGCGTCTTTCTGGGGCGTGGTGCGCAGGCGCGGCCTGGGCAGTGGCTCCGTGGCTAGTCGTGGGGATCCGAGCGGCCTCCTCCACCCGGCGTCCTCCTTTGCCTTCGCCCAGCCTGCGGGACGGCCAGGTGCTCCCGGGACCTCAGGCCTCGCGTCTGATGCCTGTCTCTGTTCTTGAGACCCGTCCGGGAGTCCTCTGTCCAGCCCCCAACTCCTGACCTTACCTCTAATCTCCCTTCTGCCCTGGGGCTCCTCTTCCTGTGTCCCCGCCACGATCCCTCGTCTCCACCCACGCCCTGTGTCCTGTTTAAGTTAAGCCTTTGCGTTTCTAGGGCTTTTCCCCAGCTCCAGACTCCCGTTCCTATCCCGTCAACTCGTGGGAATTCCGGTTCTCCTGCGGGATTAATTATCCTACTTATCAGTTACTCCCTCTCGGGAGTTTAGGCTCCTGAATCCTTGCTCCGGAGACACTCCACTTTTCTTCCAATTCTCTCTGTACCCCACTCTTAATTCGTTGAACATGTTTTGGGTCTTCTTTGGCATTCCCAAAGCTTTATGTCCAGACACCCAACCACGGTGATCCCTTTTCTCTCCCAGCCCTACCCCTGCTTCCGGGAACCTCCCGTGGAAGCAGGCAGGGGTAGTCCCACTGAGGACTCCCACGTAGGTCTCTTTACTGCCCTTCGGAGACCTTTTTGAAATCAGTCTGTCAGTGCTAAGAACCCATTTCTTCACGTTGGGGTTCACGTTGGCATTCTCAGGAACGCTCAACGACCACTTGCTTCCAGGGTTAACTTCCGGAAAATCCCCTTTTCCTCTCAAAATTTTCTTCTCTTCTCCAATATTCTTCCAGCCCCCTCGATGCTCCCTGAAAGGCCTCCCTTTTCACAGAGTTCTCGGAAACCTTTCCACCCTCTCAGCCTTAAGGGTTCCCTCAGACTCTTCTCATTATAGCATCCATCCTCTTGGTTCAGGTTCCTTTCACAACCCGTACTCCCTAGCTTTTTTTTTTTTTTTTTTTTTGAGACAGAGTTTCGCTCTTGTTGCCCAGGCTGGAGAGCAATGGCGCAGTCTCAGCTTACCGCCCTCCGCCTCCCGTGTTCAAGCGATTCTCCTGCCTCGGCCTCCCTAGTAGCTGGGATTACAGGCATATGCCACCATGCCCAGCTAATTTGGTATTTTTAGTAGAGACGTGGTTACTCCATGTTGGTTAGGCTGGTCTCGAACTCCCGACCTCAGGTGACCTGCCCGCCTTGGCCTCTCAAAGTGCTGGGATTACAGGCGTGAGCCACCGCGCCTGGCCCCTAGAATTTTTTGTAGACCTTTTCCCCTTGATGGAGGCACCCCTACCCTCTGGACCTTTCATCACAGCCTCTCTTTGCTCACATGGGTTTCAGACCCTTCTCCTTCCCTTTGGGAAGTCTGCTCTGGCTTCCCTGTTTCCAAATCCTTCGTTTTCCACCTGGAGCTCTACAAAGGGGCCAGGGGCTTCCCCTCACTCCAGCCTTTCTAGTCCACACCCAGAACTCTTCAGATCCTTGACCCCAGTGGCTTTTCAGTCAGCCTCCCCTTTTCTGCCCGGCTTCTCTTGAGTCCATCTACTTTTCTTCCCCACTTTGTGACGTGTTTTTAGCTCCCCCTTAAGTCTCCCTAACTCATTCTTTTTCTCATAGACAGTGAAAAAGCAGTCTGGCTCCCGAGGTCCACCCCTTATACCCCAAGGTCCAGATGGCGGCCAACGTGGGTGATCAACGTAGCACAGATTGGTTAGTGAGGCGAGAGGGATGGAGGCCAGTCGGGAGGGAAAGAGGAAGCAAGACCCAGTGCTGTCCTCTGGGGTGGGACCTCCCGTGGCCTTAGGGGAGGTGATGCCACAATCCCTGTGGGTGGGGGTGGTGGTGAGGCAAACACAGAGGGAAGCATTTGGTTGTGGTGTGGAGAGGGGCAAGCTTTCACCTCTCTGAGCTTTCGTTTTTCACAGTACAGCGCTTGCTTTGCAGAATTGTGATGATTCATTCAAGCAAGTGTAATTAGGAGGCAGCTTCCCAACACTCAATACACAGTCATTTATTTGTTTTTCTGCTGATTCCTTATTTTTTCTCAAAATAGTGTGATAACCTGCCGACTGGGGTGATGTCAGACAGAATTCATTGATTCATGAAAGACATAGCCCTAGGAGGTGCCAAGGCCTGTGTTCAGTTCTGTGGGTTCTGTTAATTGTTTTGTTTGTTTGGTTTTAACAACTGCTGTGTGCCAGGCTCTGGGATAAGTACCTTAAGTAGGTGATCTCATTTATCCCTCCCAGCAGACTCTGAAGCAGAAACCCTTTATCAGCATAGTACAGATTAGAAAACTTAGGCTTAGACTGGTAGTAACAGTTAGATATGGGATCCAGGGGCTGGAATTTGCCTCCCAACTTGCCCACCTGTGTACAGTGGGGAGAACAGGTGTGACTTGATGTCCTCTCTCTCTGCAGGTCTTCTCAGTACAGCATGGTGGCTGGGGCAGGCCGAGAGAATGGCATGGAGACGCCGATGCACGAGAACCCGGAGTGGGAGAAGGCCCGTCAGGCCCTGGCCAGCATCAGCAAGTCAGGAGCTGCCGGCGGCTCTGCCAAGTCCAGCAGCAATGGGCCTGTGGCCAGTGCACAGGTGAGAAGGCCTCATGGGGCTGGGGTACCCTGAGCCAGAGGTTGTGGGAGGGACACAGTCTGGCGTCCTGTTGTATCATTCAGACGGGGTGCTCTGAGGGGAAACATGAAAAGACGTTCCAGGGTATCTAAATCTGAACGGGAAAAAGTTCTGTTTCCTTGAGGAAATTAGGGCGTGATGTGGTTCTGAAGAGGGAGGCCATGCCCATGCCCCTGGTCTCTAACGTGCGTGAGTCTCATGGTAGAGACAGTGGCTCACTTTGCAGATACATGGACCCAGTTTCATCCCTTGGCAATTGGCCACCAGTAAACAGGCTTGCCCTTTGGGGGCCGTGTGCCTGTGGATTTGGGCTGCTGACGGCACATGTGCCTCTGCTTCCACAGTACGTGTCCCAGGCAGAAGCCTCAGCTTTGCAGCAGCAGCAGTACTACCAGTGGTACCAGCAGTACAACTATGCCTACCCCTACAGCTACTACTATCCCATGGTGAGTGCCCAGCCAGTGGGGCGGGGCAGGGCGAGGTGGAGTCTGCTGGGTCGGGGCGAGGTGAAGTGGAGTCTGCCGGGATGGGGCTGGGTGGTGGATGGACTGGAGATCGCAGTGATAACTGCTCAGAAACCCTCTAACTTGCCCAGGAGGTAAATTCCTAGGTCCCCGCCATGAGCCACAAGGTCCTACATACCCGGTTCTGGTCCCTTCTCTCCTCATGCTCATTCTGCCATGGCCATCGAAGCAGAGACCTCCTTGATGCCCGCACCCGCCAGGCCCGCTCTCGCTTTGCCCTGGCTGCAGTGCTCCCTGTGTTGCCGCCTCTTGGAGGTCTCTGCTCAGATGCCGCCTTCAGAGAGCCTCTACCTGACACACTGATTGAAAGTAGCATTCCTGCCTCGCAGCCTGTCCCTCTCCCTTTCTTTGCCATCTTATTGTTTCATGATCCTTATTGCTGGATGTATTACATGTTGATGTCTCCAGCCGGACATGTAATTCCAGCACAAGCTTCATTACAGCATGGGTTTTCCTTTTGTTCTGTCGTAGTGCTTAGAAGAGTTGGCACTCAGTATCGTTGATTATATTCTTCCGAGAACTAGCTAAGTGAGATGTGGGATTGATAGAGGTTTTTCTTTTCCTAATATATGAGAGGATGTGGTGCATTAATATAGTGAAGAGAGAAAGGGGTGAGGGATTGGTAGAGGGTCATGGCTGGTGTAGTTCCTGAGCAGGCTGGGGAAGCGGAAAGGGTAGGCCTCCCACTAAACCCTCCCTCCCTGCGCCTTTGCAGAGCATGTACCAGAGCTATGGCTCCCCTTCCCAGTATGGGATGGCCGGCTCCTATGGCTCAGCCACACCCCAGCAGCCATCCGCACCCCAACACCAAGGGACTCTGAACCAGGTAACATCCTAGCCCAGCTCCCATACCCTGCTCAAGCAGAGGAAGTGTAGATTTTTGAATGAGCTGTCAATGAGGAATGGCTTGTACTCCTTAAGCTGCTTTTTTCCTTCCAAGCAACTCCTGATCTGAAAATGAGGAGGACAGAGCATAGTGTTTGAACCTGGGGTGGGTTTAAGGCTGAGCCAAGGCCAGGGCTGAGATGTTGAAAGACATCTCATCTTTTTCCCTAGCATGGTCACCCACAGGCGTGCACACACCGGCTGGGTTTTGCATTGAATGTGCAGCTTGGAGGAATGGCCGGGCTAGTGCACAGGAGGCAGGTAGACCTGGGTTTGAATCCCAGCTGTCCCACCCCTGGTGTAATTACGCATCTCGGTCAGCTCTCGAAAGCGGGAAGGATGGTAGCCTCATCCTTGGGCTCCATGAGTGTGTGTGCTCATGGGTGTCTTGTGCTCAGATGGTAGCGCTGGAGTGGGTGTGTTGTCGGTGGCTGTTACTCCAGCATTGAAACGCTGCCAGCTGCCGCTTCATAGCTTAGGGCCCTGGGAAGTCGCTTAGTCTCTGAGCTGGAGCCTTGTCAGCTGTGAAAAGGGCTGTTAACAAATGTTAACCTCACAGAGTTACTGAGGACTCGAATGAACTCACATTTGGGAAGGTCACGGGAGGGTTGAGTGCTGAGTGCTGTGACCACTGCGTCCTCACAGCGAGGGCTGAGTGCCACTCGCCAGCCCCAGAATCTGCCTCCCGTGCTCAGCGCCTGCTTCCTTCTGCAGCCCCCAGTCCCCGGCATGGATGAGAGCATGTCCTACCAGGCTCCCCCTCAGCAGCTGCCGTCGGCTCAGCCCCCTCAGCCCTCAAATCCCCCACATGGGGCTCACACGCTGAACAGTGGCCCTCAGCCTGGGACAGCTCCAGCCACACAGCACAGCCAGGCGGGGCCCGCCACGGGCCAGGCCTATGGGCCACACACCTACACCGAACCTGCCAAGCCCAAGAAGGGCCAACAGCTGTGGAACCGCATGAAACGTAAGTTGGCAGAGCTACGTGGAGGTCCGAGCGGTTGGGCCCTCATAAGAGCTCCTGGGTGTGAGGCCCGTGGTGTGTGCTGCTCCTTGTTTCTGGGTGTTGTGATCGCCAGGCTGGGGGTGGGGCTGCTCTGGACCAGGCACATGTGTGCTGGAGCCCTCCTCTAGAACCTGAGCGCTCCTCCCTGCATTTCCACTTCCTCCCGTCCCCTGGGGACCCCTGGATGTGCCGGGGAAGGGCCTAACCATAGCTTTCGCTGCCCTCACAGCCGCCCCTGGGACTGGAGGTCTCAAGTTCAACATCCAGAAGCGACCCTTTGCTGTTACCACCCAGAGCTTTGGCTCCAACGCAGAGGGCCAGCACAGTGGTTTTGGCCCCCAGCCCAACCCTGAGAAAGTTCAGAACCACAGGTGACGTCTGCCCCCTTGCCCCGTCGCAGCCCCACACTCTGCACTCAGCGTCTATGGTCCAGTCCCACTGGCCAGCTGCCCACCCTGAGCCTCAGTGTGCGCCTCTGAAAAGGGCAGAAGGACCCTCTCTTGGGGGTTGCTGTGAGCACTGAAGGAGACAGAAGGAAAACTTGGGGACTGCGTCCCGCTGTGTCAGCTCAGAGTGGCGGTGGGGATGGTCTTTTGAGTTTGGGATCGTCTCCAGCTGAGCCCCTCATCTGTCCTCCCGCAGCGGGTCCTCTGCCCGGGGGAACCTGTCTGGGAAGCCGGATGACTGGCCCCAGGACATGAAAGAGTATGTGGAGCGCTGCTTCACCGCCTGTGAGTCGGAGGAGGACAAGGACCGCACGGAAAAGCTGCTCAAGGAGGTGCTGCAGGCGCGGCTGCAGGACGGCTCGGCCTATACCATTGACTGGAGCCGGGAGCCCTTGCCGGGGTTAGTCTGGGTGGGGGACATAGGTGGGAGGGTGGTGCTGTGAGAGGCATGGGCTGGGTATGGAGGTAGGAGAGTTGCGGGTCCCAGGTACCAGGAGCTCCAAAGAGAAATGAACTGGAAAGTTGGATCCTGGGGGGATGAAGTCCTGGTTGGAGGGAGGCCGGTGGGGTGGGGTGGGGACCATGGGTGCTGGAGAGGCGTGCATTGCTCAGTGGTTAAGCGCACCCTCTGGAGACGGAAAACCTGGGTTCGCGTCTCATTTCTGCACTGTAGTAGCTGAGCCGCCTGGGGTAAGTGCCTTTCCTTTCGGAGGCGGGTCGGTACCTTGAGGGAGGTGGTGGCGGCTGTCCTGCCAGTGTCTGGCGGGGTTGGTGACGCCCTGCCCTGCTGTATTCTCAGGCTGACCCGGGAGCCTGTGGCTGAGAGCCCTAAGAAGAAGCGGTGGGAGGCCGCTAGCAGCCTTCACCCTCCTAGAGGGGCAGGCTCGGCGACAAGGGGCGGGGGTGCCCCGTCCCAGCGAGGGACGCCCGGGGCTGGGGGTGCCGGTCGAGCCCGGGGCAACAGCTTCACCAAGTTTGGCAACCGCAACGTCTTCATGAAGGACAACAGCTCTTCTTCCAGCACAGACTCCCGCTCCCGCTCCTCCTCCAGGTCCCCGACGCGCCACTTCCGCAGAAGGTACTGAGGCTCCCGGCTGGGGCTGTGTGTGAGGGAGGGGGAGGCGTTTCAGGCCTGACCCTCCTGCTTCTTCCTGCAGTGACTCCCACTCAGACTCCGACAGCTCCTACTCAGGGAATGAGTGTCACCCTGTGGGCCGCAGGAACCCGCCCCCTAAGGGCCGGGGCGGTCGAGGGGCCCATATGGATCGGGGCCGAGGCAGGGCGCAGCGTGGGAAGAGGTGAGACTGTGTGAGGGCTCGACACACGGGCCAGGGTGGAGGAGGGTACTGGGGACCCATGGGAGAAGGAGGAGGAGGGCCGGACAGGTGGACAGCCAGCTGCCAAAGGGGCGAGGCTGAAGGGGGGCTGGAGACGCCTGTCGCGCTCACTGCCCCTCATCCCTTCCTAGGCACGATCTGGCGCCCACCAAGCGCAGTCGAAAGAAGATGGCGGCGCTGGAGTGTGAGGACCCGGAGCGAGAGCTGAAGAAGCAGAAGCGGGCAGCCCGCTTCCAGCACGGACACTCCCGCCGCCTGCGCCTCGAGCCCCTGGTGCTGCAGATGAGCAGCCTGGAGAGCAGTGGGGCTGACCCTGACTGGCAGGAGCTGCAGATCGTGGGCACCTGCCCTGACATCACCAAGCACTACCTGCGCCTCACCTGTGCCCCCGACCCGTCCACCGTGCGCCCTGTGGCAGTAAGTGCCCAGCAGGGCAGTTCTGCTCTGTGAGGCCGTGCTGGCTCAGGACTTGGGGAGCCAACCCAGGGAGGGTGGCAGAGGCCACACGGGGGCTCTGGTATGGCAGGGGAAGCTCGGCCAGAGACGCCTCGGCTGGTCGGCATTCTGAGAGGAGCGCAAAGGCGCTCTGCTGCCCTGGAGCCCCGCGTGGCGGGTGTGCAGCTTGGCCGGCGAATCGCTTGACCTCTGGGCCGTGGTTCCTGGCTTAGGTGACACGGAGCATAAAGCCTTCTCCCAGGCCCGTGGGCTGTGGGGCGTGGGGGGCTGTGTTTCCAGTGTTTGGCGTAGTCACTGTTCTGCTGCAGAACCTGTGAACAGCCATGTGCTTATAGGGAAATGGGTGTGGAGGTGGCCACTCTTAACCCATGTCTTGTGGGTTTGTTTTCTCTTTTTTTGGGAGAGAGTCTGGCTCTGTCGCCCAAGCTGGAGTGCAATGGCGTGATCTTGGCTCACCGCAGCCTCCGCTCCCCGGCTTCAAGCGATTCTCCTGCCTCAGCCTCCCTAGTGGCTGGGATTACAGGCGTCTGCCACTACGCCTGGCTGATTTTTGTATTTTTAGTAGAGACGGGGTTTCACCATGTTGGCCAGGTTGGTCTCAAACTCCTGACCTCAGATGATCCACACACCTCGGCCTCCCAAAGTGCTGGGATTACAGGCGTGAGCCACTGCGCCTGGCCTTTTTTTTCTTTTTTTAATGTTGCAACTCTCCCACCAAATAAGTGGAAGCCGTTGGCCACGCTACCTGAGTTGTACTCCGAGTGTGAATTCAGTTCCCTTTTTCAGGTTTTGAAAAAGTCGCTGTGCATGGTCAAGTGCCACTGGAAAGAGAAGCAGGACTACGCGTTTGCCTGCGAGCAGATGAAGTCGATCCGGCAGGATCTGACGGTGAGACTCGCGCTGGGAGGGGCCTGGCCTCAGCCAGTCCTGCCTCCCGCTCCTTGTGACTCTTGTTCTCGCCCCGCTGCCCCAGGTGCAGGGCATCCGCACCGAGTTCACGGTGGAGGTGTACGAGACCCATGCCCGGATCGCCTTGGAGAAGGTGAGCTGGCCTCTGCGGGCCTCCCCAGCCCCTTTCCTGCTGCCGTTCTGCCCTCAGCACCCTCACTCTGCTCTCCTCCCTCGGTGCCTCTGCCTTCCAGGGTGACCATGAAGAGTTTAACCAGTGCCAGACGCAGCTCAAGTCGCTGTACGCCGAGAACTTGCCTGGCAATGTGGGCGAGTTTACTGCCTACCGAATCCTCTACTACATCTTCACCAAGAACTCGGGAGGTGAGGCCCAGTCCCCAGGACAGAGGCCATGGTACCCAGGGTTGAGCCCTGCTGACTTCACCCTCTTTGTCTTGGTGCTAGACATCACCACGGAGCTGGCATACCTCACACGAGAACTGAAGGCAGATCCTTGCGTGGCCCACGCCTTGGCATTAAGGACAGCCTGGGCCCTGGGCAACTACCACCGCTTTTTCCGGCTCTACTGCCATGCACCCTGCATGTCTGGCTACCTCGTGGACAAGTTTGCAGATCGGGAGCGCAAGGTCGCCCTCAAGGCCATGATCAAAACGTATGTGGTGCCAAGCTCCCTTCTGCCTTTGCTCTTCCCATCCTTCCGCCTCGCACCGCCCCTCAGACCAGCTCCTGGCCGCAGGCCTCCCCCAGCCCCCAACCCTTGTCCTGGTCCTTGCTTCCCCATCATCTTTCTCCATTCAGCCCTCCCCTCTCCAGTTCCTCTTGCTCTCCTTGTTGGTCACCTCTGTGTTCCGGGTCACTCCTCTCCCTCTCCCCACTGTTCCCAGCTCACTGCCTCTGGGGCCTCTTCTCCACCCCATCTGTGTGTCTCTTCCTCCTGTTCTCTCCTGCCTGGACCCCCTAGTTCACTCCTTGCCCTGGGCTTCCTCAGAACCCTGAGGTCTCTGCTTTCTCAGCTTGTCGCTGTGCTCCCACCATAGAGACCATCTAGACAGCCTCTGGTCTACCAGGACAAGGCCCAGTCCCACTCAGCTCCTTTGAGAGCACCAGAAACGCTTAGGGAGACACCTGTGTTGAGGCCACACTGGGCGCGGTGCCAGAGGCCCCTGGTCAGGCCATGCCCCTGCAGTGTCCTTCGTTCACTAGACATTGCGCCTGGCTTGCTGTGGGTGGGGATGAGTTGCTTGACTCATGTTTAGACGCATGGTTCTGTCTGGTGATTGAGGTGCCCAGGCGACGCTGGGCAATGTCAAGAGAGGTTTTCGCTTGTCACAGCAAGGGGATGCTCTTGGCATCTAGTGAGTGGAGGCCAGGGATGCTGCCCTGCCACTGCCATTGGGCCTCAGAGCTCAGTCTTGCCAAGGTGGAGAAATTCTGGTCGAAGAGGTTGACCGGTAGACTGAAGAGGCCTTGAGAGCCTGGCCAGGTGGCTGTCCACGTGAGGTCATAGTCACAGCATGGAGGCCTTGAGAGCCTGGCCAGGTGGCCCTCCACGTGAGGTCATGGTCACAGCATGGGGGCCTTGAGTGCCTGGCCAGGTGGCCCTCCACGTGAGGTCATGGTCACAGCATGGAGGCCTTGAGAGCCTGGCCAGGTGGCCCTCCACGTGAGGTTGTGGTCACAGCATGGGGGCCTTGAGAGCCTGGCCAGGTGGCCCTCCACGTGAGGTCATGGTCACAGCATGGAGGCCTTGAGAGCCTGGCCAGGTGGCCCTCCGTGTGAGGTCATGGTCACAGCATAGTTTGGAGCTAGGGAGGGACTGTCAGCCTGGAGGTTTGGAGACTCATTCTGGAATCTAGTGTGGGTCAAGCCAACTTCAGGGAGAGGCTGAGCCAGGGTAGGAGTCACAGGAGCAGACGAGGATGTGGGGTGCCGTGCACAGAGCTCCATGACCAGCTTGGGAAGTTAGAAGGAAGGGGAGGCAGGAGGCTGCTTAGTCTGCTGCCATGATGGGCCCCATGAATGGTGGCTCTCAAGCTTCTGTGCTACACAGGGGTGTGTGGTTGGGCGAGTGTCCTTGTTAATTGATACCTAATTGGCCTTGGTTGGGAACATAGCCATGAGTGCCCCTCGTGGGTGGGGCGCCAGTCTGTCATTGACCTCATTGTGTCAGCACCTTCCCCCCAAGGAGGCTGACCCTGCCCTGCCAGCTGAGACTGGGAGACGGAGTGGGCTCTGATCCCAGGGCTTCCAGGAAAGCTCTGGCTTTGGAGCAGAAGCGGGTTCTAGGACTTAGTGCCCCTCACTCGGTGCCTGGGTTCCTGTGTGTGTGGAAAGGGTAGGGCTGCACCCTGTGGAAGAGGGTTCAGGGAGCTCTGAGGACCTGGCTCGTGCTAGATGCTCAGTCAGTAGTGTGTTTTAGCAGCAGCCGGAAGTGACTGCTTTCAGTGTGTAGTGGTGAGTGCTAGCTGGCACCCCTGCGCCTGGCTTCCCAGACACTGTAACGCAGGGCAGGGGAGGCAGCGAGGGCTGGGTCCCCACGGTGGCCCTGGCAGCCCCGCCATCCCCATCCCCTGCCACGTGCTGCTCCCTCCATCTGGTCCCTGCCCCTCAGCCAGCGGAGGAGCCCGCTGGGCCCTTCCCTGCCCGTCCCCGCTCCTCCCTGGCCCCCGCACAGGTAAGTGAGGGTGAGGGGGGCACAGGGGACTGGGGTCACTAACCCCCCCCGGGCCCCCCCCGAGCCCCTGAGGTGGGGAGGCTGGGAGGCGGGTGGGGAGCCAGCAGGCACTGTGCTGAGGAAATCCTGTGGGCACCCGAATGGGGGGGCCTCCCCGCTCGTGGGGCCCTCCCCTGCCCTCCCGCCCGCCCGCCTCATCACCTTCTCCTCTTGTCTCCATAGCTTCCGCCCTGCGCTGCCAGTCTCCTACCTGCAGGCCGAGCTGGCCTTCGAGGGCGAGGCCGCCTGCCGGGCCTTCCTAGAGCCCCTGGGCCTGGCCTACACGGGCCCGGACAACTCCAGCATCGACTGCCGCCTCAGCCTGGCGCAGCTGTCAGCCTTCTGAGCACCCAGCGAGGAGGGGCGGGGGCAGGGGCTGCAGCCCCCAGCGCTGCCTTTGCGGATTCTGTTTTTGAGCCGTGGACTTGGGTTGTAAATTTATTTGTGGGGAGTGCGCTCCAGGAAGAGCCACCATCCCTGCCCCCGTTTTCCCACCGGGGAGTCTGTACAGAGATTTTTCTACGTTTTTATTTTTTGCCTCAGAGGGATGGGATTGGGGAGGAGGGGATGGGCAGCGGAGGGTTGGGGGCATGGTCTGCAGGCTCATCTGTGTCCGCCTTTCACTCCACTAATGCTGTCTCAGTGTTTTCTCTCTCTCTCTTTCGAGCTTGCACTCCGGTACCCGACCCGGCGCCCTGGCCCATCCCATGCCGGGGGGCCAGTGGAAAGAAGACAGGCCGTCCAGCCCGTGCCCGCCTGCGGCGGGGGCACCCAGCAAGCCCGCCCACCGCCCGCTGCCTCACCTGCTTCGCCACAGACTCTTGTTCCCAGCCCCTTGGGGCCTCCGTGTTTGGGGTGGGGGAGCTGCTTAGAGACTGTGCCCGTCCTCGGCCCCCCACCCTGAAGTGCCAGCACCACCAGCACCAGATCCTCCGCCGCCACACCGCACTGAGGACACGCCGGCCGGGCCGCCTCGTCTCAAGTTGTATAAAGTTGTCTCCGTGTCCCCTCCTCCCTCTGCCCCCAGTGTTTCTTCTGATTTTTTTTTCCCCTTTCCCTCCCTCCCTCTCCGCATTCTTCCCTTGGTTCAGCACAGGTAAAACGGTTCCCCTCCCTCCCTGCCTTCATGGATCACCAGCTCACGTCATGTTGCCTTCTCTTTTCTTTGTGTGTGTGTTTATTTAAGTTATTTTTCTTCCTCCTCTCCCTTTTCTTTTTGGCCCTCCCTCCCTCCCTCTTCTGCCATGTAACTGGAGGATGTGCTATGAGTTTGCAAACAGCTGGACTGTCAGGCTGCTTTTTTTCCAGATGTTCCTCCTCTGCCTCCCCTTCCCCTCCTCTCCCCTCCTTTTCCTTCCTTCCTTCCTTTCCTTGGAGCACTGAGCACCATTTGGAAGCTTGAGAGAAACCAAAATTAAAGAGAGAAAGAGAGAGCGTGCACGCTCCTGCTTTGTCTTTCCTGTGTGGGCTGTTTGCATCCATTGTCTCCTCCAGAGGTCTGGGGGTGTCACTCCAGGGGGATCTCAGCCAGGGGCTGGAAAGGCCCCCCTGTCCTCCCTATACGGCACAGCCAGAGTGTCTGCAGGGGCTGGCACCCCACTTCCTGGCTGAGGGTGAACTCCAGCTTGGGGAGGTGGACCTGGGAACCATGGGGCACCTTGGCCACGGTGAGGTGGGGGTGCAGCTGCCCTGGAGACTGTAGTGTACTCAGCCCCTCGGCTTCCAGCCTCTGGCTCAGCACTTGTGCCATGCTTTCCAGTGTGGGAGAGGGTGGGGCACACAGCACATGCGGGCCCAGGAGGACCAGCTTTCTAAAGCTCAGCCGAGGGGGTGCATTTAGCCCCGGGGCCAAGAGGGCCCGTCTCAGAGCTCCAATGGCAGCGGCCTCCTCCCCAGCGCCTGCCAGTCGCAGCAGGGCCAGGGTCAGGTGTAGGTTCTGAGAGGGCACTAGGAAGTTGGCGCAGTGTGGGGCCACGTGGACCAGGTATTCCTGGGCCTTGGTCACTTCTGCTTGTAGCCCAGGCTCGGTCACCATGAGGGCCACAAAATGTGTGGGGCGCGGTTGGCAAGGGGCTGCAACACTAAGGCGGGCCCTTTTGTCCTCGGGCCAGGCCGCAGGACCCCACTCGGCTTCTGTCGTCTCAGCGGAGCCCCCCGGGACTCCCAGGGCCTGTGCTTCCTTGCCCCCCAGCAATGTGGTCCTGGTGGCTGCTGTTGGCTTCAGTGCCTCAGTCACTCCGGCGAGGCGTCCTCTTGGGGCCAGTGTTCCCAAATCAGCAGCTGTGCCCAGCGCCCTCTCCTGGGCCGCCTCCAGCTCTCCGGGTTCCTCCACGCCTGGTTCCTGGTGCCCTGTGCAGAGCGGCCTTGTGCTCCCTCGCTTGGGGGCAGCCTGGGCCTCCTGACCTGTCCCCGCCAGTGTCCACTCGGCACCCTCTGCCCCGTGGGCGCCCTCGGTGTTCGGTGCGTCCAGGATGGTGGGCCCGCGTCCCGCCGCCGAGCCAGAGCCAAAGACGAGGTCGGTGCGCGAGGCGCGGTCCCACACAAGGCGGCCACGGAAGCGGAAGAAGCGCACGCGGTGCTGGGGCACTGCCAGCACGCCCGGCCCGAGCGCCGCCAGCGGCTGGTCCCAGCAAAAGGCGCTGAAGGGCTCCTCGCGCACACCCAGAAAGCGGTCGACGTAGCCCACCGAGAAGTCGGCGGGGTCGAGGCGCGGGTCCCAGCGGATGCGCTGGATGACGTCCGCGGCTGTGCGCAGCGGCGGCTTCTTGGCCCCGGCCTCCGGCTGCGCCTCGCGGCCAGGCGGCGCCGGCGCCCCAGGGTGGGGCTGGCGGCAGCGGGCGCCGAAGCGGCAGCGGCCTTCCAGGAAGAAGCGGCAGGCCGGCGGGGGCGCGGGTTCCGTGGCGGGGGCTTCCTGCGGCAACTCCGGCTCTCTGGCCGCTGCCATGGGTGCGGGGAACTGGCACGCCCGCCGCGCAGACGAGGTCGCCCCGCACGGAGGGCGGCTCCCCTTGGATGCACCGAGCCTCACCCGACAGTGGCGTCAGCGGCCCGCGCTCCGGCCTAGCTCTGGGGACCACGCCGCGTGCCCTCGCGAGGACTCTGGCCCAGTCCCTCCTTGGTGGAGAGCCTGACACCGCTGCTCTGGGACTTCCCGGCTGCGCCCTCCCCCAGCGCCAGGAAAGCAAGCTGCGTAAAGGCTGCGGCAGTCTCGGTCTCCCGGAGCTCTTGGGAGCCTGGCCCCGCCCCTTTCCCGGTGATTGATGTGTGCTGCCTCTTTCTGGGTGATTTACATGTAATGCCCCGCCCCTTTCGGGATGATTACGTGTGCCTCGACCTTTAGGTGATTTACATGTAGTGCCCCGCCCCGTTCCCGGTGATTTACATGTGGTGCCCCGCCCCTTTCCTGGTGATTTACGAGTGCCCCACCCCTTTTAGGTGATTTTTTTTTTTTTTTATGTGTGCCTCTCCCCTTCCCAAGTGATTTACATATGTTCCCCGCTCCTTTCAGGGTAATTTACATGTAATGCCCCGCCCCTTTCCGGGTGATTTACGAGTGCCTCTCCCCTTCTCAAGTGATTTACATGTGTCCCGCCCCGTTCCGGGTGATTTACATGCGTGCCCTGGCCCTTTCCCAGTGATACTTTTGTGCTGCCTCTTTCCGGGTGATTTACGTGTGTGCCTCTCCCCAAGTGATTTACATGTGTGCCCTGTCCGTTTTAAGGTGATTTACATGTGGTGCCCCGCCCCTTTCCGGGTGATTTACCTGTGTCCCATCCCTTTCCCGGTGATTTACATGTGGTGCCCCGCCCCTTTCCCGGTGATACCTGTGTGCCCCGCCCATGAGGGGACGTCTTTAAAGAACCTGGACCCGCCCTCAGTCCAAGTGATTTACATTTGCGGCCCCGCCCCTCTGGGAAACTTACGAGAACCTGGCCCCTCAGTCCAAATCATTTGCATGTTCGGCCCCATCCCTCGGGGGCCTTAAAGAACCAAGATGCCTGCGGACCCTTCCCCCACGGAGACCAGGCCCCTACTGCTCTAAAAGTGTTCTCAGACACTTCCCTCTGCAGCCGCTCCCAGAGTAAACGGCGGCTCCGCCGGGTCGGAGTCCACCTGAGGCGTTCAGGGCCAGAAAGACTCCTGGGGCTGCAGCACTCTGCAGCCCCGCCTCGGCTGGCCCCGCGGTGGCTGAGTCTGGCCCGGCCCCAGGACCACGTCCGGCCGGCGGTGGCGCACAGTATTTGACGAATGGGACTGCGGGAGCCGCCGCCTCTGCAAGGGGCACCGCCTGGCCACGCCCTCGGGCTCTCTTAAAGGAGCCGCACCCCCACCCCAGGGCAATCATCGGACCCGGACCAGGCCTCCGGGTGACACATCCGGCTCTCAGAGGCGCCAGGACCCTATCATTCATCCCTTTCCACGTGCAAAGTGAAAAGTCAGAGCCCGGGCACACACCTTGGCCGTTTATGTATACAGAAGTGGGGTGCCGGGCGGGAAGGGCGCGGGGAATGAGGGAACCTAGAGGCCGATGACGTCGTTCAGCTCGAGGTCCGCGTTGGGGCGGCAGCGGGCCTGGGGGGGCTGCGTCCCGGGGCGGGGTTCCGCGTCGGGCTTGGCGGCAGCCGCCTCCGGGCGCGCCGCGTCCATGACGCCCAGCACCGCGTCCAGCATGGAGGGCCCCAGATCCAGGTGGAAGGACAGCAGCGGGTCGGCAGGCGAGGGCGCTGCGGACTGCGGGACGGCGGGCGGCGGCGGGGAGCGCGGGGCCCCCGCGGGGGGCGCCCGGGGCTCGGGGGGCGGCCCGCCGCCGTGGCGGCTCAGGAACGAGGTGTCCCCGAAGGCGTCGCCGCCGCGCCCCACGTGCAGCGTGTGCCGGAAGTCGCCGAGCGGCGCGGAGATGGACAGGGCGCCGCGATCAGGCCGCTTCTTGGGCTGCGCGGGGCCCAGCTGCTTCAGCACGGGCATCTGCGAGGGGCACGGGAGGGTCAGCGCGGCCCCAGCCCGGGGCTCGCAGCCACGCGACTGCTCAAAGGACGATGGGGGACGGTTCCCGTTTTTTGTTTTTTGATTTTTGTTTTTGAGACGGAGTCTCGCCCATGCTGGAGTTCAATGGCGCCATCCCGGCTCACCGCAACCTCCGCCTCCCGGGTTCAGGCGATTCTTCCTCCTCAGTCTCCCGAGTAGCTGGGATTACAGGCACCCGCCACCATACCCAGCCAATTTTTGTATTTTTGTAGAGACGGGGTTTCACAATGTTGGCCAGGCTGGTCTTGAACTCCTGACCTCAGGTGATCAACCCGCCTCAGTCTCCCAAAATGCTGGGATAACAGGCGTGAGCCACCGCGCCCGGCCTCCCGTTTCACAGATGGGGTAAGATGAGACTCCAGGAGGTCCCATGGGCACAGCTGCTGAGCTCACATTTGGATCTAACCTGACTCCAGAATGCCTATGAACACCATGCTATGCCGATCCTCCTGAGAGCGAATACTTGAGCCTTCCTAGAGGTCAAGTAACAAATATTTCACAAACCCTTCAGAGTGCTTCCCAGACTTGACTGATAGAAAACTCCAGCTTGTTGGCCCGGGTGCGGTGGCTCACTCCTGTAATCCCAGCACCTTGGGAGGCCGAGGCGGGCGGATCGCTTGAGGCCAGGAGTTCGAGACCAGCCTGAGCAACATGGTGAAACCCCATCTCTATAAAAAATGCAAAAATTAGCGGGGCATGGTGGCGCATGCCTGTAATCCCAGCTAAAGTAGGAGAATCGCTTGAACCCCGGAGGCGGAGGTTGCAGGGAGCCGAGATCGTGTCACTGTATTGGCCACTGCACTCCAGCCTGGGCAACAGGAGTGAAACCCTGTCTCAATAAAAAGAAAAAGAAAACTCCAGCTTGTCAAAAATGGAAATTCCCAGGCTCCTGTTCTGAAGACAGGGCTGACTCTGTCCATTAAGCAAAGCAGATCCTGCCTAGAGCCCACCACGCACACGAGGAAGAGGCCCAGGTGGGCTTTGCCTAGGGTGCATTTTATGATTTGAATTACAGTCCTTGGTATCTGTGGGTTCCGCATCAGCAGATTCAATCAACTGCTGATAAAAAATACTGGGGAAAAAATACAGTAATAAAAAATGAGTACAAGTTTCAAACAATATAACAATTATTTGCAAAGCATTTACATTGTATTATGCATTATAAGTAATCTAGAGATGATTTAAAGTGTAGGAGAGGATGTACATAGGTTATATGCAAATACTAGGGCATTTATATAAGAGACTTAAACATCTGCATATTTGGGTATCCATAGGGGTCCCAGAACCAGTCCCATCACTGCTACCAAGGGGCAACTGTACCTGATCTTTTTTTTTTTTTTTTGAGACGCTAATTTTTGTATTTTTAGTAGAGACAGGGTTTCACCATGTTGGTCAGGCTGGTCTTGAACTCCTGACCTCGTGATCTGCCCGCCTCGGCCTCCCGAAGTGCTGGGATTACAGGCATGAGCCACCACGCCTGGCCAACTGTACCTGATCTTGAGACTACAACCTAACAATATGATGTCTTATGTTTTCTAAAATAATAATATAAATTCCCTAGCCAGGCATGGTGGCTCACACCTGTAATCCCAGCACTTTTGGAGGCTGAAGCGGGTGGATCACCTGAGGTCAGGACTTTGAGACCAGCCTGACCAACATGGTGAAACTCCATCTCTACTAAAAAAAAAATACAAAATTAGCTGGTTGTGGTGGTGCATGCCTGTAATCCCAGCTACTTGAGAGGCTGAGGCAGGAGAATCGCTTGAACTTGGGAGGCAGAGGTTGTGGTGAGCTGAGATCGCGCCATTGCATTCCAGCCTGGGTGACAGAGTATGACTCTGTCTCAAAAAAAAAATAAAAAGCCCTATGTTAAAAAAAATGGGAAGAATTGCATAAATTTGAAGCTGGCAGCATCTGCATTGTAAACTAGGTGCTTTATTGCCCATAGCTGCACCAAATTCTTTTTTTTTTTTTTTTGAGACGGAGTCTTGTTCTGTTGCCCAGGCTGGGGTTCAAGCGATTCTCCTGCCTCAGCCTCCTGAGTGGCTGGAATTACAGGTGTGCGCTGCCATGCCCTGCAAATTTTTGTATTTTTAGTAGAGATGAGGTTTCACTATGTTGGCCAGGCTGGACTCAAACTCATGACTTCAGGTGATCCGCCTGCCTTGGCCTCCCAAAGTGTTGGGAATACAGGCATGAGCCACCACGCCCGGCCTAAATTCAATATGAAATAGAAACGCAGCCACAGAGTCTGCCCATATCCTGGTCATTGCATGTTTTGTGTGGAACTTCTGGGAGGGACTTTGATGACCTTGTACTTTTGTTTTAACAGTCACTGTTATCGCAATAATAAAAACCTATTTCAGTTGAAGCCCTACCCTTTGCCAGCTGTATGAACTGCAATAAATTACTTTATTTCCCTGTTTACTTTTCTATCTGTAAGATAAATAAAATAACACTACCTTCCTTTCAGGATACATAGAAAAGTCTGATCAAAGAAAACTATACTTGTAATAGTGCTAACCAATGGGTAATGCTAGCGTTGGGGGGAAAATATTTCCCTAACAATAATTGTGGAACAAAAATTAGGTTGGATAGAACACTATGAGAAAGACAAAGCCGCTGACATTGTTTTCACCGTAACAGGCACCCTGGGAAGTATTGGTGATAATATGGAGGAAAATGAAAGCCAAAGGGATTTAAAATAATTGTAGATGGCTAGATTCTGAAGACTGGCCTACACACACACACACACACACACACACACACACTCTTTACATTGATTTCCATGGGGAAACCAGTTTTGATTTACTACCTCTGCAGCATTTATCAAATTTCTCTGACCTCAACCTAGATGAATAAATATATTTTTATCGTTACCTAGCACACAATCTCCACTCTCTCCTTCCCCATAATGGAAATAAAAATTTTAAGAAACAAGATTTGTCTTGTTTTGAGACAGGGTCTCACTCTGTCACCCAGCTGGAGTGCGGTGGTGAGATCTTGGCTCACTGCAACCTCCGCCTCCCGGACTCAAGCGATCCTCCCACCTCAGACTCCTGAGTAGCTGGGACTACAGGCTCATGCTACCATGTAGTGTTATTTTTGTATTTTTTTTTTTTTTTGTAGAGATGGGGTTTCACCATGTTGCCCAGGCTGGTCTCAAACTCCTGAGCTCAAGCAATCTGCCCGCCTTGGCCTCCCAAAGTGCTGAGATTACAGGTGTGTGCCAGTAAGCCCGGCCAATACTTACTTGTCTTACAACGTGGTAGATACTCTGATTCCTTCCTTCCTTCCTTCCTTCCTTCCTTCCTTCTTTCTTTCTTTTCTTCCCTCCCTCCCTCCTTCCTTCCTTCCTTTCTTTTCTTTCTTTCTCCTTCCTTCCTTCTTTCTTTCTTTTCTTTTTTGATGGAGTCTTGCTCTGTCACCCAGGCAAGAGTGCAATGGCGCGATCTCGGCTCACTGCAACCTCCGCCTCCCAGGTTCAAGTGATTCTCCTGCCTCAGCCTCCCGAGTAGCTGGGATTATAGGTGCACACCACCATGCTTGGCTAATTTTTGTATTTTATAGTAGAGATGGGGTTTCACCATGTTGGCCAGGCTGGTCTCGAACTCCTGATCTCGTGATCTGCCCACCTCGGCCTCCCAAAGTGCTGGGATTACAGGCATGAGCCACCACACCCGGCCCCTACTCTGATATTTTCTATTGTAATCTATTTTATTTTTAAATGTTGAGCTCAGCTCATTAATGTATCTTCTGGATCCACAGTTTAAAAAAAAAATCCTCTCTAGCTGCTAACAGAGCCTATGATCTCAGCACTTGCTCTGCTGTGGGTCAGAGGTGAAAAAGTGGAATTCAGAAAGTCCATTGCACAGGTTTGAATCTGGCTGTGCTGATCGCTCTGTGGCTTTGAGCAACTTACTTGACCTTTCTGACCTCATTTCCTTATCTTGAAAATGGCATGATATTAATCTAATACTTCCCAGTCCTTTTGCAAGAATTGGTGGAGGGATATGTCCCTGCAAGTCTTGGCACAGTGCCCAGCGCACAGGGAATGTTCAATTAACATATGCTCAATGGAGTCACACCTCGGATCATTCTCCCAGTGTTCCAGAGAAGGAAATGGGTGATCCGAGACAGGACGTGACTGACCAAGATCACAAAGCCAGCTCTAGGGAACTCCAGTGTCTAGAGCTGGCTGCCTCCACTCTCTGCTGCCTCTTGACTCGTGGACAGCTCTCAGCCCCTGCCTCTGGTCAGACCCAGCTCCCAGCATGCACCTCGCATCCCCCTTCCATTGCCCTATCCGTTGCCACCACTTTTCAGCACCTGGCAACACACATAAAGTCTTGGTTTCTGACATCACACACATCTGGGCTCAAATTTTGCCATTTCCTTCTTGTGCGATCCCAAACTGGCTTCCTCAACCTAAAGCTCAGTTTACTCCTCAAAAAACAGGGGTTGGAACTCTTGTTTGTGGCTGGGCGCCGTGGCTCACACCTACAATGCCAGCTCTTTGGGAGGCTGAGACAGCAGGATCACTTGAGCCCAGGAGTTTGAGACCAGAATGCGCAACAAAGTGAGATGATCTCTCTACAAAAATAAAAATAAAAAATTAGCCAGGTGCTGTGTCATGCACCTGCAGTTCCAGCTACCTGGGAGGCTGAAAAGGGAAGATCCCTTGAGCCCAGGAGTTTGAGGCTGCAGTGAGGTATGATCGTCCCACCGCACTTCAGCCTGGGCAACAGAAAGAGACCCTGTCTCAAGAAGAAAAGAAAAGAAAAGGAGAGAGAGAGAGAAAAAGAGAGAGAAGGAAAGGAGGGAGGAGAGGGAGGGAAAAAAGGAAGGAAGGAAGGAAAGAGAAAGAAAGAGAAAGAAAAAGAAAGGAAAGGAAGGAGAAAGAAAGAAAGGAAAGAAGGAAGGAAGGAAGGAAAAAGAAAGAAAAAAAGAAGGAAAGAAAGAAAGGGAAGAAAGAAAGACTACACTGAGGGTGCCGAAATTTTATTTTCCAAGTGCTTATCCTGGGCCAGGCACCAGCCTGAGTGCCTCCCCATGAATGAACTAATTTATTTAATCTTCAGGACAACTCCATTTTACAGATGCGCGATGGCTGAGACACAGAGAAGTTAAGTCACTTGCCCTGGGTCACACAGTAGCAAATGCTGCGCGCCAGATCTGGAATCCAGACGAACTCTTAGCTCCCCATAGGAGACTACGGGCATGCCACCCCATGAGAAAAAAAATAATAATGTTCTGATTTGATATGAAGGCGAGAGATTTCCTCTGACACCCTTGATTGTCTTTTTTCCTCTCCAGTCCAGACCAGAACAACGAGTTGGAAGTCGTTTTCGAATGCCACCTCTGCGCCCTAGCTCTGAGACCCTGGGTAAGTCGCTTCACTTCTGCCAGCCTGGGTGTCCTCTTAAATAGAAGCCTCTGACCTCCCTCTGGTTGAATTGTGTTTAAAGCAATGAGGTCATGCTCGGAAAAAGTCCCTCACGCTGCCAGGGCTCGGGACAGAGGGGCTGTTGTTTGTGACCAACGTGGAACAGGCAGAAAGCGGGGCGCGACCGTGGAGCCCGGGGAGGCCCGGGCCGCGCGTTCTCCCCCCGCCTCCGCCCACCCCTCTCTTTCCTGCTGGGGCAGGGCCACGGCTCCAGCTGCAGGGTGGCGGGCACAGCTGGTTCACCTCTGTCCTCTCTCAGTCCCGGCCCCGCCAGGACGGAAATAACAACCCACTCTAGATCCGGCCCAACTGGTTCTCAGACCCGTGGGAGCTGCGGTGCAGCCGGGTCGGGGGACCCCAGATGGGGAGACCCCCGGCCCGGCGAGGGCTTCACTGCGCGCTTCCTGCAGCCACGTGGCTGCGGCCGGGAATTCAGCGGCCCTTTTCCCTCCCGACCGGGACCCAGGACCCCTGTCCCCACCGCGCCTTACCTCGCGGTCCTCCCAGAGCGGGGCGGGCGCGCGCTCACGACTCCAGCTCTAGCCCGGACCCCTGGTTCCCTGGCTCCGAGTCCGCCTCCGTCTCCTAATCCCCGGCCCGCGCCTTCCTTCTTCCTCCGGGCGGGTTCTCACCTGGTAAGGAAAGTGTCATGTGGAACCCGGAGGGAGATTCAGGAGCCAGGCATCCGGGTCCGTAGAGCCACCTCCTCCTTCGCCCTCAGGTCCTAGGCGTCCTAGATCTTCGCTTTCTTAATCCCACCCCAGACCCGAAAGTCAGGGGCCCCCAGCCCCTTCTTCCTCAGACCCAGGGGTCAAGACCCCCCAGCCCCTCCTCCCTCAGACCCAGGAGTCCAGACCCCCAGCCCCTCCTCCCTCAGACCCAGGAGTCCAGACCCCAGCCCCTCCTCCCTCAGACCCAGGAGTCCAGACCCCCCAGCCCTTCCTCCCTCAGACCCAGGAGTCCAGGCCCCCAGCCCCTCCTCCCTCAGACCCAGGAGTCCAGGCCCCCAGCCCCTCCTCCCTCAGACCCAGGAGTCCAGACCCCCAGCCCCTCCTCCCTCAGACCCAGGAGTCCAGGCCCCCAGCCCCTCCTCCCTCAGACCCAGGAGTCCAGACCCCCCAGCCCCTCCTCCCTCAGACTCATGAGTCCAGACCCCCAGCCCCTCCTCCCTCAGACCCAGGAGTCCAGACCCCCAGCCCCTCCTCCCTCAGACCCAGGAGTCCAGGCCCCCAGCCCCTCCTCCCTCAGACCCAGGAGTCCAGACCCCCCAGCCCCTCCTCCCTCAGACTCATGAGTCCAGACCCCCAGCCCCTCCTCCCTCAGACCCAGGAGTCCAGACCCCCAGCCCCTCCTCCCTCAGACCCAGGAATCCAGGCCCCATCCCCTCCTCCCTCAGACCCAGGAGTCAAGACCCCCCAGCCCCTCCTCCCTCAGACCCAGGAGTCCAGACCTCCAGCCCTTCCTCCTCCCTCAGACCCAGGAGTCAAGATCCCCCCAGCCCCTCCTCCCTCAGACCCAGGAGTCCAGGCCCCCAGCCCCTCCTCCCTCAGACCCAGGAGTCCAGACCCCCAGCCCCTCCTCCCTCAGACCCAGGAGTCCAGGCCCCCATCCCCTCCTCCCTCAGACCCAGGAGTCCAGGCCCCCAGCCCCTCCTCCCTCAGACCCAGGAATCCAGGCCCCATCCCCTCCTCCCTCAGACCCAGGAGTCCAGACCCCCAGCCCCTCTTCCCTCAGACTCAGGGGTCCAGACCCCCAGCCCCTTCTTCCTCAGACCCAGGAGTCAAGACCCCCCAGCCCCTCCTCCCTCAGACCAGGAGTCCAGGCCCCCAGCCCCTCCTCCCTCAGACCCAGGAGTCAAGACCCCCCAGCCCCTCCTCCCTCAGACTCATGAGTCCAGACCCCCAGCCCCTCCTCCCTCAGACCCAGGAGTCCAGACCCCCAGCCCCTCCTCCCTCAGACCCAGGAGTCCAGGCCCCACCCCTGGCAAGCCCTGGCATAAGGCCCCTTTACCTGCACCGGGAGCTAAAGTGTCAGCCCCTCTCGGGGGCCATGGCAGGAGCCCAGGCAGAAGCGGAATCACCGCCCAGTCCCCAGGCAGAGAGGGTTTTGGCACAGGCCCCTCCCAGGCTTTCTTATCCCCCAAAAGTTTGCCTCTAGGAGTTAAAGGACTAGAAAGCAGTGGTGGAAAAGCTGAGGCCCCTCTGGGCGGAGTGTGGGGGCGGGAGGAGGCCAGGACTAAGTGTGCAGGGGGAACTGGCAGAGGGGGTGGGGCTGGACAGGGCGCGCCCCCAGCCTGGCCCCTCCCCTGCACAGCTTGGAATTTCCTGAAACTGGGGAAGTCTGGCTGTTTAGAAGAGTAATTTCTTCCAGATTGCAGCTGTATGGAGAGAGAGAGAGGGAGAGAGAGAGAGAGAAAGAGAGAAGAGAGGCAGGTCAGACAGTGAAAGCAGCAGGAGGATGAAGAGCATGGAGGGTGTCTGAGAGGGGCAGCTCTGGCTTTGCTGCGGCGTCCCCTAGATGAACCTCCCTGCCTGGAGCCACTCCGTCATAGAAAGCTCATATCTCATTCTAAGCACCAGTGTCTATTGATGACAAGAGAGTGAGGTTTGAGTGTTAGGGCAATTCCTTCAGGGCGGTGCGGGCAGGGAGAGAGAGCGGAGGGGGAGAGCAGAGTCCCAAGGCAGGATGCAGCTCAGTGGGAAGAAGGTGGGAAGCCCAGGTGGGAGTCTAGGTCTGTGGGAGGGAGGTGGAGGCCCAGGTGGGAGGCTGGGTCAGCGGGAGGGAGGTGGAGATGCAGGTTGGAGCCTGGGTCAGGGTCAGAGGGAGAGGGAGAGGGAAGCCCAGGTAGGAGGCAGCTCAGTGAGAGAAAGGGGAGGCCCAGGTGGGAGGCTAGGTCAGTGGTTTTACCCCTAGCTGGGGCTGGGGTTGTAGTGCTGGAGAGAAGACAGTCAATTTGCGATAACAGGAAGCAGCCTTGAGCTGGGTCTTAAGGATGAGTGAGAGTTGATGGAGCCCAGGAGAGGAGGATGGATATCGGAGCAGAATGGGGAAGCTGGGTGGGGCAGAGGGTTCTCAGACACCAGGTGGAGTTTGATTTGCCTGGAGAAGCCAGCTTGAAAGCCACTGGGAGCTTCAGTTTGCCCTGCAGGCGTGGGGGGACCGCGGAGGAATGGCAGGGAAAGATCCAGGTGTTAGAAAGTTCCCACTGGGGTCCCCGCAGGGGATGGAGTGAAGCAGGTCAGGACTCAGCACCCACAGCAAAATTTAAGGGGGGAGGGGGCAGTGGTCACCAGAAACTCAGTAATCAGAAAAACTATATATATATATATATATATGTTACAGACTTTTATTAAGTATTTTTTATTGATGTAAAATTCACATAACATAAAATTAACCATCTTTTTTTTTTCTTTTTTTTTAATTGAGACGGAGTTTTGTTCTTGTTGCCCAGGCTGGAGTGCAATGGCGCGATCTCCACTCACTGCAACCTCCACCTTCCAGGTTCAAGCGATTCTCCTGCCTCAGCCTGTTGAGTAGCCGGGATTACCGGTGCCTGCCACCACGCCCAGCTAATTTTGTATTTTTAGTAGAGACGGGGTTTCTCCACGTTGGTCAGGCTGGTCTCGAACTCCCGACCTCAGGTTATCCGCCTGCCTCGGCTTCCAAAGTGCTGGGATTATAGGTGTGAGCCACTGCATCGGGCCAGAATTAACCATCTTAAGGTGTACAGTTCAGTGACATTTAGTACATTCCCAATGGAACATACCTAATTGGTACACTGGTAATTGTGTAGCCATCCTTTCTATCAAGTTCCCAAACATTTTCATCACCCCTAAAGAAAACCCTATTAAGCGGTCACTCCCATGCCCCGCTCTCTGCAGCCCCTGGAAACCACTCCCCTGTTTTCTGATTCATGGATTACCTCTTCTGGACATTCGCATAAATGGAATCACACATCATACAGCCTTACCTATCTGACTTCCTTCACATAAGCAGGTTCATCCGTGTGCAGCATGTGCCAGTGGTTCATTACATGTATTATGTACATACGTTAAGATATATATAAAGGCCAAGTGCAGTGGCTCACGCCTGTAATCCCAGCACTTTGGGAAGCCAAGGCGGGTGGATCACTTGAGGTCAGAAGCTCAAGACCAGCCTGGCCAACTTGGTGAAACGCTGACTCTACTAAAAAAATACAAAAATCAGCTGGGCGCAGTGGTGTGTAGTCTCAGGTACTCGGGAGGCTGAGGCAGGATACTCGCTTGAACGCAGGAGGCGGAGGTTGCAGTGAGCCCAGATCGAGCCACTGCACTCCAGCCTGGACAACAGAGCAAGACTCGCTCTAAAAAAAAAAAAAAAAAAAAAAAAGACGAAAAAAAGAAAAAGAGATATGTATATAAGAGATCTATTTGTCACGTGTGTAATCCCAGCACCAGCACTTAGGGAGGCTGAGGCGGGCAGATCACGAGGTCAGGAGATCGAGACCATCCTGGCTAACACGGTGAAACCTCGTCTCTACTAAAAATACAAAAAATTAGCCGGGCATGGTGGCGGGCGCCTGTAGTCCCAGCTACTCGGGAGGCTGAGGCAGGAGAATGGCGTGAACCCGGGAGGCGGAGCTTGCAGTGAGCCGAGATCCCGCCACTGCACTCCAGCCTGGGCGATAGAGCGAGACCCAAAAAACAAACAAACCAAAACAACAACAACAACAACTAACCATCACGCCAGGATAATCTCCCTGACGTAAGATCCACAATTTTAAGTGCATCTGCAGACCTATTCACGGGTCGCAGGGATTTGTGCGTGGACATCTTGCATGTGCGGGGGTGGGTGGGGCTATTCTGCTACCACAGTGCCCCTCAGAGGTCAGGTCCTGGGAGGGGGCGGGGCCAAAGCAGGGCCAGCTTCATGGGTTGCCCAGTGACCCATGCTCGGAGGGCCCTGCACCTTTCTTTTTTTGTTTGTTTTTGAGACAAAGCCTTACTCTGTTGCTCAGGCTGGAGTGTCAAAGGCAAGATCTTGGCTCACTGCAACCTCTGCCTCCCGGGTTCCAGCAATTCTCCCGCCTCAGCCTCTCCAGTAGCTGGGATTACAGGCGCACGCCACCACGCCCAGCTACTTTTTGTATTTTTAGTAGAGACGGGGTTTCACCATGTTGGCCAGGCTGGTCTTGAACTCCTGACCTCAGGTGATCCGCCCGCCTCGGTCTCCCAAAGTGCTGGAATTACCGGCGTGAGCCACTGCACCTGGCCTTTTTGTTTGTTTTTTAGACAGAGTCTCTATCTGTTGCTCAGGCTGGAGTGCCAATGGTGAGATCTCAGCTCACTGAAACCTCCACCTCCCGGGTTCAAGCGATTCTCCTGCCTCAGCCTCCTGAGTTGCTGCAATTACAGGCATGCGCCACCACACCTGGCTAATTTTTGTGTTTTTAGTAGAGACGGGGTTTCACCATATTGGCCAGGCTGGTCTCGAACTCCTAACCTCAGGTGATCGGCCGGCCTTGGCCTCCCAAAGTGCTGGGATCACAGGAATGAGACACCGCGCCCGGCCACCACACTTCTTTTAATGCTCAGTTGTCACCAATTTGAAATTCCTTACGTTTTGAAGAAGGGATCCTGAGTTCTCATTTGCAATAGACCCCACCAATTATGTGGCTGGTTCTGGATGGAACAGCGGGAAGGGCAGAGGCCTGGGAGAAAGTGGCCGAGAAGAGCAACGATGGAGAGATAAAAGGGAAAGGAACTCTGGATGATACCCTGGCAGCAGCCTGGGAAAGCAAAGAGGGAGGAAGAGAGAGGTGTGTCCCAGAAGCCTGGAGTGGGAGATGCACCGTCCCTTCCTTGTGGACTCAAAAGCAGGCTAAGTATGATTAAAAAAAAAAAAAAAAAGAGGGAGTGAGGTCCACTGGACTCAGTAAGAATCCAGAGTTCACTGGGGGCCTGGGTGAGAGCAGACCCAAATGGGGTGGGCAGGGAGAGGTCAGATTGCAGTGGAGAAGGCCAGAGAGAGAGAGATTGGAGGCCAGGAAAGGCGGAGGGGTCAGCAGATAACCCAGGGTGTCCTCTGTGAAGGGAAAGAGAGATAAGGTATCTGGAAGAACAGGGAAGGTCAAAGAAAGGTTTTAGGTTTTTTGGTTCATCTGGATACATTCCCAACTTTTTTTTTTTTTTTTTTTTTTTCTGAGACAGAGTCTCAGTGTATCACCCAGGCTGGAGTGCAGTGGCACAATCTCAGCTCACTGCAACCTCTGCCTCCCGGGTTCAAGCAATTCTCCTGCCTCATCCTTCTGAGTAGCTGGGACTACAGGTGTGTGCCAGCATGCCCAGCTAACTGTGTAGAGATAGGGTTTCGCCATGTTGCCCAGGCTGGTCTTGAACTCCTAGACTCAAGCAATCTACGCGTCTCAGCTTCTCAAAGTCCTGGGATTACAGACCTGAGCCACTGTGCCCAGCTGGTTCCTGAGACTGCACCATGATTCCTTAGCTGATTTCAGTGAGTACATACTGCCAGTGCCCCTACATAATTATACACCAGTTCCTAGAATCTTTTTGTAATTATTCAGACTTTTATAGCAATCTAATCATCACTACCCGGCAATTTGTTTTCTTAAGTCTAGTGCTATTGAGGGGGTTCCAACGTTTCCCTTTTAAATGTTTCAGCCCCTCTTCTGAGTAGCAGGGACATGGATGGAACTTTGATCCTATCTTATCCTTAAAGAGCTTACAGGATATTGAGAGGAGAGGAGGGAAGTTGACATGGCACCACCCAGTGGAATGACATAGTCAGCACAGAGCTCAGTGGGAGCACAGAGGAAGAGCGCCAGGCCCATCATGTCCAGCTGCGTAGGTTGTGCACTGCACAACTCTGGGGTCATCATATCACAAACTGAGTGTGAAGAGCCTTGTGAGGCTTCCAGGACAGGTTTCTAGGGGTCACCAGATGCTGGTCTAGATCAGGATGGAGGAATCTTGACTCCTAGAAAGAGGTGGGCAGGGAATTGCTGAGGACGTTTGAAGTCTAATGGGCTGAGCCTTCCCTGTGGTGAGTGGCAGCTCAGCTTTCTAGAGGAAGTTTGGGAAGAAGAATCCTCAGTGAAGGGGTGTTCTACTTGGAGTGATTCGTGTTTCCTTCCAGCTCACTCAGGGTAGTCATGGCCTCTTCCCTTTCCCTGGCTCTCAGTCTGCATCCACCACACTGTTCCCCCTGCTGAACTTTGCACACTCCAGACCACTGGACCACTGCTGCACTTTCTCATTTATCCAGATCATTTTCACCTTCTAGTAAGCTGTGAATGTGCTTATTATGCCCAAGGGTTACTGTCTGTCTCCTTCTGCAAGAATATAGGCTCCTCGGCTGGGCGTTCTGGGTCAGGCCTGTCATCCCCAGCACTTTGGGAAGCCGAGGTGGGCAGATCACGAGGTCAGGAGATGGAGACAATCCTGGCTAATGCGATGAAACCCCATCTCTACTAAAAATACAAAAAATTAGCGGGGCGTGGTGATGCATGCCTGTAATCCCAGCTACTCGGGAGGCTGAGGCAGGAGAATCGCTTGAACCCAGGAGGCGGAGGTTGCAGTGAGCCGAGATCGCGCCACTGCACTCCAGCCTGGGAGACGAGCGAGACTCCATCTCAAAAAAAAAAAAAAAAGAATATAAGCTCCTCGATGGCAAGGATGTTTTGCATATTGATGGACCGCTAGAGCCTCAAACAGTGTCTGGCACACAGGACAGGACCAACAAATACTGAATGAGAAAAGTGAATGACAGATGGAAAAGAACAGAACTAAACAGGGAGTTTCTCCACTGGGACCACAAGAGGGCACTCAAGATACGTGTCAAACCCTTGAAGCCCCAAGGTGGGTGGTCTCTCTGCTCCTCAGCCTGGAGGACCAGGGACAGGTGACCTGGACCACGTCCTTTCTCCTCTGTGAGCCTCTATTTCCCCATGTGTAGCGTGGAGATGGAAATGCCTGAAATACGTTCTTGTGAGAAGCAAAAACCCAACAACGCATGCACGTGAATGTCTTCCAAGGGGTTGCACGTGTCCAAATTCATCTAATTGTGTACATTAAGTGAGAGGGTTTTTTAGTAGAACAATTATAGCTAAACAAAGCTGCTAAAATGTAAATAAAATAAAAAATAAAACTTGCATTGAACAACAACAGAGCCGTTAGGCTAGAGCAAGAAATCTGAAGGATGGCAATCCAGACCCCAATAAATCCACAAAGGGGTGTGTGTGTGTGTGTGTGTGTGTGTGTGTGTGTATGTATTTTTTTTTTTTTTTGAGACGGAGTTTCACTCTTGTTGCCCAGGCTGGAGTGCGATGGCGCGATCTCGGATAACCTCAACCTCTGCCTACTGGATTCAAGCAATTCTCCTACCTCAGGCTTCCGAGTAGCTGGGATTACAGGCATGTGCCATCACGCCTGGCTAATAGAAATATTAATTACATGAAGCAACCAGTGAGCACAATGCTATCCTGTGAAATTATTAAAACCTAAAACTAAATGGAAGCTCTGGTTGAAAAGTGCAATACATTCCTAGCAGGATGGGAGACATTCAGCAAAATCAATCATGTGTCTGTATACTAATGAACAATAATTTAAAAACGAAGTGAGGAGAGGAATTTTATTTACAAAGCCTCCAAAGTAATAAAATGAGTGGGAAGAAATTTAATAAAAGAAATAAAGGACGTGTATACTAAAAATTACAAAAGATGCTGAGAAGTTAAAGATCTAAATAAACGGAGAGGCTGAGCGTGGTGGCTCACGCCTGTAATCTCAGCATTTTGGGAGGCCAAGGCAGGCAGGTTACTTGAGATCAGGAGTTGGAGACCAGCCTGGCCTACATGGGGAAACTGGTCTCCACTAAAAAACAAACAAACAAAAATTAGCCAGGCATGGTGGTGCACACCTGTAATCCCAGCTACTCAGGAGGCTGAGGCAGGAGAATCGCTTGAACCTGGGAGGCACAGGTTGCAGTGAGCCGAGATCGTGCCACTGCACTCCAGCCTGGATGGCAGAGCCAGACTCCATCTCAAAATAAATAAATACATACGAAAATGGAGAAACAGTTCATACATTCACAATAGCATCCAAAATAATAAATATAAGAAATAAAAATTAACAAAAAGTGTCATCTTGCAAAGCAGTAACATAATATGAAAAAACCCCACTGACCACATCCTTCCTCATTCTTAGAAAGGGAATTATGGTCATAGTGGTTGACCTGTGGCCATGTAATTCTGTCCAAATATCCCTGAATGGTAAATGTGAAAACAGTAGAATGAATTCCATTGAAAATAAGAAAACAAGAAGAAATAAAGTCAGAACGCAAAAGTTTTTTTTAAGGGTTATTGGGATGGAATTTTGTTTGTTTGTTTTTTTGAGATGCAGACTTACTCTGTCATCCAGGCTGGAGTGCAATGGTGCGATCTCAGCTCACTGCATTCTCCACCTTCCGGGTTGAAGCCATTCTCCTGCCTCAGCCTCCTGATTAGCTGAGATTATAGGCATGTGCCACCACGCCCGGCTAATTTTTGTATTTTTAGTAGACGGGGTTTCACCATATTGGCCAGGCTGGTCTCAAACTCCTAACCTCAGGTGATCGGCCGGCCTTGGCCTCCCAAAGTGCTGGGATCACAGGAATGAGCCACTGTGCCTGGCCACCACGCTTCTGTTAACGCTCAGCTGTCACCAATTTGAAATTCCTTACGTTTTGAAGAAGGGACGTCGAGTTCTCATTTGCAATAGACCCCACCAATTATGTGGCTGGTTCTGGATGGAACAGCGGGAAGGGCAGAGGCCTGGGAGAAAGCGGCCAAGAACAGCAACGATGGAGAGATAAAAGGGAAAGGAACTCTGGATGATACCCTGGCAGCAGCCTGGGAAAGCCAAGAGGGAGGAAGAGAGAGGTGTGTCCCAGAAGCCTGGAGTGGGAGATGCATCGTCCCTTTCTTGTGGTCTCAAAAGCAGGCCAAGTATGATTTTTTTTTTTTTTTAACTGCCAGGCGCGGTGTCTCAAGCCTGTAATCCCAGCACTTTGGGAGGCCGAGGCGGGCGGATCACGAGGTCAGGAGTTCAAGACCACCTTGGCCAACATGGTGAAACCTCATCTCTACTAAAAATACAATAATTAGCTGGGCGTAGTGGCGCGCGCCAAGATGGAGCTTACTCGGGCGGCTGAGGCAGGAGAATGGCGTGAACTGGGGAGGTGGGACTTGCAGTGAGCCAAGATCGGGCCACTGCACTCCAGCCTGGGCGACAGAGCGAGACTCCGTCTCAAAAAAAAAAAAAAGCTCCTCGATGGCAAGGATGTTTGTTTTGTATATTGATGGACCGCGAGAGCACAGGAGAGGACCAACAAATACTGAATGAGAAGAATGAATGGCAGATGGAAAAGAACAGAACTAAACAGGGAGTTTCTCCACTGAGACCACAAGAGGGCACCCGAGATACGCGTCAAACCCTCGCAGCCCCAAGGTGGGTGGTCTCTGCTCCTCAGCCTGGAGGACCAGGGACAGGTGTGACCGGGACCACGTCCTTTCTCCTCTGTGAGCCTCTATTTCCCCATGTGTAGCGTGGAGATGGAAGTGCCTGAAATACGTTCTTGTGAGAAGCAAAAAGCTAACAACACATGCACGTGAATGTCTTCTAAGGGGTTATTGCATACGTCCAAATTCATCTAATTGTGTATATTAAGTGAGAGGGTTTTTTAGTGGAACAATTGTAGCTAAATAAAGCTGCTAAAAAGTAAATAAAATAAAAAATGAAACTTGCAATGAACAACAGCAACAGAGTCATTACGCTAGAGCAAGAAATCTGAAGGATGGCAATCTAGACCCCAATAAATCCACGAAGTTAGAATTTTTTTTTTTTTTTTTTTTTTTTGGTGACGGAATTTCGCTCTTGTTGCCCAGGCTGGCTTACAATGGTGCAATCTCGGCTCACCGCAACTGCCGCGTCCCGGGTTCAAGCATTTCTCCCATCTCAGCTTTCTGAGTAGCTGGGATTACAGGCATGTGCCATCGCTCCCGGCTAACAGAAATATTAATTACATGAAACGACCAGTGAGCACAGTGCTATCCTGTGAAATTATTAAAACATAAAACTAAGGCCGGGCGCGGTGGCTCACGCCTGTAATCCCAGCACTTTGGGAGGCCAAGGCGGGCAGATCACGAGGTCAGGAGATCGAGACCATCCTGGCTAACAAGGTGAAACCCCGTCTCTACTAAAAATACAAAAAAATTAGCCGGGCGTGGTGGCGGGCGCCTGTAGTCCCAGCTACTCGGGAGGCTGAGGCAGGAGAATGGCGTGAACCCGGGAGGCGGAGCTTGCAGTGAGCCGAGATTGCACCACTGCACTCCAGCCTGGGAGACAGAGCGAGACTCCGTCTCAAAAAAAACAAAAACAAAACCCATAAAACTAAATGAGGCTCTGGAGTTGAAAAGTACCACACATTCCTAGCAGGATAGGAGATATATTCACCAAAATCAATCATGTGTCTGTATACGAACGAACAATAATTTAAAAATGAAATGAGGAGAGCAATTTCATTTACAAAGCCTCCAAAATAATAAAATGAATGGGAAGAAATGTAATAAAAGAAGTGAAAGACGTGGATACTAAAAATTACAAAAGATGCTGAGGAGAAATTAAAGATGTAAATAAATGGAGAGGCCGAGTGCGGTGGCTCATGCCTGTAATCTCAGCACTTTGGGAGGCTAAGGCAGGTGGATTACCTGAGGTCAGGAGTTCTAGACTAGCCTGGCAAACATGGGGAAACCTGATCTATACAAAACAAAACAAAACAAAACAAAACAAAAAACTTAGCTCCAGCTTAGAGCCAGACTCCATCCCAAAATTAATAGATAAATACATACATGCATGCATACATGAATGGAGAAAGTTTATACATTCACAATAGCATCTGACATAATAAATGTAAGAAATAAAATGAATAAAAAGTGTCATCTTGCAAAGCAGTAAAATAAGATGAAAAAACCTCACTGACCACATCCTTCCTCATTCTCAGAAAGGGAATCACGGTCATAGTGGTTGACCTGTGGCCGTGTAATTCTGTCCAAATATCCATGAATGGTAAATGTGAAAACAGTAGAATGAATTCCATTGAAAATAAGAAAACAAGAAGAAATAAAGTCAGAACTCAAAAGTGTTTTTGAAGTGTTATTGGGATGGGGTTTTTTGTTTTTTTTTTTTTTTTTTTTTTAGACGGAGACTCGCTGTGTCGCCGAGGCTGGAGTGCATGGTGCGATCTCGGCTCACTGAAACCTCTGCCTCCTGGGTTCAAGCGATTCTCCTGCTTCAGCCTCCTGAGTAGCTGATATTATAGGCGCGCACCATCATGCCTGGCTAATTTTTGTATTTTTAGTAGAGACGGGGTTTCATCATGTTGGCCAGGCTGGTCTCGAACTCCTGACCTCAGGTGATAAAGCCCACCTCAGCTTCCCAAAATACTGGCCTTACAGGCACGAGCCACTGCGCCCAGCCTATTTGTTATTATTTGATAATATTTATATTATCACCTATCAATTTATGATGACAAGTGCACTTAACATAAGATCTATCTTAGCAAATTTGTAAGGGTACAAGGCAGTCTTATTCCCTGCACACACTAAGCCGCACAGGAGACTCTAGGCCTTCCTCATCTTGCATGACTGAAACTCAAGAGGGAAAAATGAGGAGTTATCAGTCATAGGAAAGAGATCTTGATACCTTGCCTGTTCTTTCTAAGCCAATACTCTCAGCTCCTTAAAGGGGGCACTTTTATTTCATTTTATTTTTTTTCCCTCAGGTATAAATAATTTAATTTTTTTCAGTTATAAGGCTAACACATACTCAATTTAAAAATCCAAATAAAAACTCCTCAAAAAATGAAGAGCCATTTAAACTCCCTTGACCTAATATTAACTGCTACAAACATCGTGATTAATATTTTCCTACAAATCTCTCCTTCCATAAACATGTGTATAAACATGCATATGTAATTTAACTTACATGTGGCCTCTATATACGTGTTTTTTTTCCTGTTTTGCTCACTCAACAAAATCCTCGGTATCTTCCATGTCAATGAAAGTTAAACAGCACCATCATTTTTAATGACCACACAGTATTCCATTGCACTGGGCAGGTGGGGGGCAGGGCATTGTTTATTTAATATTTAAGTGTCCATTAAGTGATGGGCAATATGTTTCTAATTCACTGCTCTTCATTCTACAAGTGTTTGCTGAGCATCTATTATGTGCCAGGCCCTAAGTACCAGTGATAAAGTGATGATCAAGACAGAAGAGCCAAGACTTCCCTGGCCAAGTGAAGTCTCCATTCTAACGGCGGGAGAGGGACAGCGTACAAGTCAATGAGTGGATAATTAGAAAGGAGGATGAACGTCAAGAGGAAATGAAGACGAATCTTCTTAGCGAAGGAATGGGTGTCGGGCTAGTGGACTTCTTTCAACACAGTGGTCTAGGAAGGCTCTTCTTGCTGAGATGATGCTGAGCAGAGACCTGGAGGCTGTGGTGCAAAGCAGGAGGTCGGTGCACCCAGGCAGAGACGCGGAGCCCCGAGGCAGGGAGGGACCTGGTGTCTTCAAGGAACAGCAGGAATGTCATGTGGCCTGAGGGCAGGGAGTGAGGGGCACAGGGACCAACGTGAAATTGGAAAGATGAGTAAGTGTCCCGTAGGTCACAGAGTTTGGGTTTTGGGCCATGTGTACTATGAAGTCACTGGAGATTTCAATGGTAACAAAACATAATCTGATTTATGCTTTTAAAGGATCACTCTGGGGCCGGGTGCAGGGGCTCAAGCCTGTAATCCCAGCACTTTGGGAGACTGAGGCGGGCGGATCATGAGGTCAAGAGATCGAGACCATCCTGGGCAACATGGTGAAACCCCGTCTCTACTAAAAATACAAATAAATTAGCCAGGCGTGGTGGTGGGTGCCTCTAATCCCAGCTACTCGGGAGGCTGAGGCAGGAGAATCGCTTGAACCCGGGAGGTGGAGGGTGCAGTGAGCCAAGATCACGCCACTGCACTGCAGCCTGGGCGACAGAGTGAGACTCCGTCTCAAAAAAAAAAAAAAAAAAAAAAGAAAGATTATTCTGGCTACAATATGGGGAGGGGCAGCTGAGTAGCACGAAATGAGCGTGGAGAGACCAGCTAGGGGATGTTCCCTGGACGAGGGGAGAGAGGGTGAACCTGGCGCCGTGGTGCTGGCAAGCAGTGTCTGCATGAGGACAGATTCTGAAGGTAGAACAAGGGGAGAGGGTGAGAAAGAGGAGCAGTTGAGGCGATTTCTAGGACTGCAGCTTGTCCAGGTGGTGGACGGGGAAGAAAACGTGGGAGAGCCACAATTTTAACTTTCTCATATTAATCCTTCCAGTGTTTGTTTCTGGGTGAATATGAGACAATATGAATGTATATTCTGATTCCCCCAATTCTTGGCACAATACAGATTTAATCCCTAAGAATACACTCTGGGATCTCTCCATAAAGTACATAGGCGATTTTCTTTTTATTTTCTTTTTTTGAGACAAGTCTCACTCTGTTGCCCATGCTGGAGTGCAGTGGTGCGATCTCAGCTCACTGCAATCTCCACCTCCCAGGTTGAAGCAATTCTCCTACTCAGCCTCCCGAGCTGAAATGATGGGCGCCAGCCACCAGGTCCAGCTAATTTTTTTGTATTTTTAGTAGAAACAGGGTTTTACCATGTTGGCCAGGCTGGTCTCGAACTCCTGGCCTCAGGTGATCTGCCCGCATCTGCCTTCCAAAGTGCTGGGATTACAGTCAGGAGCCTGGCCCATGGGGCATTTTCAAATATATTTCTCCCTGGTCTTCTAAATTCCAGACTGACTGATGAGAAGTCTGATGTAATTATGATAATAGAAACTTAGTACACCATTGTGTTTTTTCTCCCACCTTTGAGGTCTTCTTTATTTTCTTTTTCCTTTGAGATAATGCAGCTTGGTGAGTGCGGTGAGCCCTTAGGGAGGCATTTTTTCTCTCTCCCTAGCGTCACTGCTGGCTGGCTTCCTCCTCTCTGCCCTTTACTTCTTTTTTTTCATTCCAGCTCCTCAAGTTGCATGTTCAGTGATTAATTCTCCAAACTTCATAATTTCTTTTTTTTTTTTTTGAGATGGAGTCTCTGTCACCCAGGCTGGAGTACGGTGGCGCGATCTTGGTTCACTGCAACCTCCACCTCCCGGGTTCAAGCGATTCTCCTGCCTCGGTCTCCCAAGTAGCTGGGACTACAGGCGCCCGCCACCACGCCCGGCTAATTTTTTTAGTAGAGACGGGGTTTGGGGTTTCACCGTGTTAGCTAGGATGGGCTCGATCTCCTGACCTCGTGATCCACCCACCTCATCCTCTCAAAGTGCTGGGATTACAGGCGTGAGCCACCATGCCCAGCCCCAAACTTCATAATTTCTAAAAAAAAAAAAAAAAAAAAAAAAAAAAGTGTGCTTAAAACAATCCACATTTCACTTTAAGTGTGATTTTTATTGCATCTAAGTTTCGATATGAATAACATTGTTCATTTCTAAATATGTCACAACTTCTGTGTTTTTTTTTTTAACAGTCACTCAAAAGTTATGCAGATTTTTGTTGTTGTTTTAAAAATGTGTGTTTTTTAAACGTTTAATTTTTGGTCTTTTATGTAATTTTTGCAGTCACGAAATATGGTTTCATTATATTAAATCTTTGGAATATTTTGAGACCTTCTTGGTGGATTAAGAAGTGGTCAATTTTTGTAGATTTTTCATATGTTCCTGAAAAGAATGTGGGTTCTCCATTGTTGCTGTTTTGTACATATAAATATAACAACACACCAATAATGAAAATAACAATTATGATAACAATCATTAATAATCAATATTAGGCCAGGCGCGGTGGCTCACACCTGTAATCCCAGTACTTTGGGAGGCCGAGGCGGGCGGATCACCTGAGGTCAGGAGTTCGAGACCAGCCTGGCCAGCATGGTGAATCCACGTCTCTACTAAAAATACAAAAATAGCTGGGCGTGGTGGCAGAGGCCTAGAAGCCCAGCTACTCAGGAGGCTGAGGCAGGAGAATCACTTGAACCTGGGAGGCAGAGGTTGCAGTGAGCCAAGATTGTGCCACTGCACTCCAGCCTGGGTGACAAGAGTGAAACTCCATGTCAAAAAATAAATAAGTAAATAATAATAATCAATATTAGAACCCTTAGTAATGTCAGGCTCAGTCTGACTACTTTTTTTTTATTTATTATTATACTTTAAGTTTTAGGGTACATGTGCACATTGTGCAGGTTAGTTACATATGTATACATGTGCCATGCTGGTGCACTGCACCCACTAACTCGTCATCTAGCATTAGGACTACTTTTTATTTTTAAGAAAGCATGCTTACTTTTGCCTTTCATTTTTCTATATTTTTAAAAAACTTTGTAAACATTTATGGGGTACAAGTGTAATTTTGTTGCATGTAAAGATTGCCCAGTGATGAAATCGGGACTTCCAGGTTATCCATTCCCCAAATAATGTGCATTGTACCCATTAAGTCATTTTCTTTTCTTTTCTTTCTTTCTTTTTTTTTTTTTTTTTGAGACAGAGTCTTGCTCTGTCGTCCAGGGTGGAGTACAATGGTGCAATCTTGGCTCACTGCAACCTCCATCTCCCGTGTTCAAGCAATTCTCCTGCCTCAGCCTCCTGAGTAGCTGGGATTGCAGGTGTACACCACCACACCTGGCTAATTTTTTGTATTTTTAGTAGAGACAGGGTTTCTCCACGTTGGCCAGGCTGGTCTCGAACTCCTGACCTCAGGTGATCTGCCCGCCTCGGCCTCCCAAAATGCTGGGATTACAAGCGTAAGCCACCACACCCGGCCCCCGTTCCTCATTCTTAGAAAGGGAATCATGGTCATTGTGGTTGACCTGTGGCCGTGTAATTCTGTCCAAATATCCCTGAATGGTAAATGTGAAAACAGTAGAATGAATTCCATTGAAAATAAGAAGAAATAAAGTCAGAACTCAAAAGTGTTTTTGAAGTGTTATTGGGATGGAACTTTTTTTTTTTTTTTTTTTTTTTTTTTTTTTTTTTTGAGACGGAGACTGCTCTGTCATTTAGGCTGGAGTGCAATGGTGCAATCTTGGCTCACTGCAACTTCTGCCTCCTGGGTTCAAGCGATTCTCCTGCTTCAGCCTCCTGAGTAGCTGGTATTACAGGTGCGCACCGTCATGCCTGGCTAATTTTTGTATTTTTAGTAGAGACGGGGTTTCACCATGTTGGCCAGGCTGGTCTCGAACTCCTGACCTCAGGTGATACGCCCACCTCGGCCTCCAAAAATGCTGGCATTACAGGCACGAGCCACTGCGCCCAGCCTATTTGTTATTATTTGATAATATTGATATTATCACCTATCAATTTATGATGACAAGTGCACATAACATAAGATCTATCTTAGCAAATTTGTAAGGGTACAAGGCAGTCTTGTTCCCTGCACACACTAAGCCGCACAGGAGACTGTAGGCCTTCCTCATCTTGCATGACTGAAACTCAAGAGGGAAAAATGAGGAGGTAACAGTCATAGGAAAGAGATCTTGATACCTTGCCTGTTCTTTCTAAGCCAATACCCTCAGCTCCTTAAAGGGGGCACTTTTATTTCATTTTATTTTTTCCCTCAGGTATAAATAATTTAATTTTTTTCAGTTATAAGGCTAACACATACTCAATTTAAAAATCCAAATAAAAACACCTCAAAAAATGAAGAGCCATTTAAACTCCCTTGACCTAATATTAATTGCTACAAACATCTTGATTAATATTTTCCTACAAATCTCTTATTACTAAATTACTCGATAGCCAGTTATTAAGTAATTTCAGTCTGAGTACCATTAACATAATTACTCACTGAATAATCACAACAGTTCCATGAGTTAGGCACCATTGCTTTTTTATTTTACAGAGGAAGAGGCAAAGAAATAGAGAGGTAAATAAACTTAGTTTAAAGTGAGAGAGCTTATAACTGGCACGACCAAAATTAAAATCTAGAGATCTGGCCTCTGGAATTGTACTAGATAAATCAAGTTATGCACTCATAACTTTCCCCATACTCCCTATATACTATGTCTATTCATTCATCATTCATTCAAAAATATTTATTATGTACTATGTGCTAGGGAGTGTTCCAGGAGCAGGGACACTACAGGAAACACTGCAGGAAAAAAATCTATGGTTTCATGGGGATACATTGTAGTGGGAAGGCAGATAGTCTACAATATTAATAAGTAAAATACGTGCACATATGCTGAAGATTAATGATATATGCTGAAGAAAGAAAAAAGGCAGCGAGAGGTGATACGAAATCTGGAGGGAGTGTTGCAACTTCAGACAGGATGGTCCAAGAAGGTCTGAAGGATAAGGAGATACTGGGGTTGACAGTGAAGGAGAGGGAGGGATGAGCCTTGTGCCTGTCTGGGTGAAGAGCATTCCAGTCGAGAATGGCATGTGGATGAGCCCTGAGGCAGATGCTTGCTTGATGTTTTTTTAGGAATAGCAAGGAGATCACTGGGACTGCATCACAGTCAGTGAAAGGCAGAGTCGGAGGAGATGCTATCAAAGTACTAACCCAAGTTGGGAGACAGAAGACGCAGTCGTGTCAATATGACTGAGGCGGGAAGTCCTGGAAAGTTTCTGATCAGAAGAGTGGCACAGAGTGGCGAATGTTTTTATTGTATTGTGTTGTTATTTTACTACCCAATTGCATTTTATTATCAGCGTACCTTATTTTATGAAATTAGACCTGCATTTTGGAGGGAGAGTCTGATTTTCATGAAGGCATGTGGTATGCTTCTGACGATAACGCCAGCATTCCAGGTAAGCTGCCGTCGGCCCTACCTCCGGGACAGCTTGATGCAAGATGCTAATCAAATTAACTCCCTGAGCGTCACTGTTCTCATCTGTAAAACTGGCCTAATGATGAAAACATCTTCCCAAAGTTGTGAGAATTAAAGGAACTACCCATAAGGGATACTCGGAGCAGTGTCTGGCATAGAGCGAGAGCTCAGAAAGGTTATCTCTTCCTTTGATTGCCTTGTGCAATTCTGACTTCAGGAAGGTCTTACCGATATGTTTTAGACAAAAATATGATGATGCCACGCTTAGGCTCAAAACCTGTCCCACTCTCGTGAGGGTAAAATACCAAAACTCTACTTGGCCTTTTAGAGACTCCTGCTCAATCAATGCACATATTCTTCTTCATTATTTTTCCATCTGGAGTCCACTCGACTTACAACAGGCAAATTATCTCCTGATGGGGACTTTCACAGAAGCTGTCTCCTCTGTCCACGTCTCCCCCCAGCTGCTCTTCCTGTCGCCAGCTCGTCAGTCCTCAGCCCGGATTCCACTCCACACTGCAGGTGGCTTCCCTGGGGTCAGCTCTGAGGTTCTCTTTCTTTTCTTTTCTTTTTGTTTCCCTCCTTCCTTCCTTCTTTCCTTCCTTCCTTCCTTTCTTTCTCTCTCTCTCCCTCCCTTCCTTTCCTTCTTTCTCTCTTTCTCTTCCTTCCTTCCTTCCTTTCTTTCTCTCTCTCTCCCTCCCTTCCTTTGCTTCTTTCTCTCTTTCTCTTTCCTTCCTTCCTTCCTTTCTTTCTCTCTCTCTCCCTCCCTTCCTTTGCTTCTTTCTCTTTCTCTTTCTTCCTTCCTTCCTTGCTTCCTTCCTTCCTTTCTCCCTCCCTTCCTTCCTTTCTTTCCTTTCTTTTTTCTCTCTCTCCCTCCCTTCCTTTGCTTCTTTCTCTCTCTCTTTCTCTTTCTTCCTTCCTTCCTTTCTCTCTTCCTTCCTTCCTTCCCCCGCTCCCTTCTCTTTCTTTCTTTCTCTCTCTCTCTTCTCTTTCTCCCTTCCTTTCCTTTCTTTCCTTCTCTCTTTCTCTCTCTCTCCCTTTCCTTCCTTCCTCCCTTCCTCCCTTTCTCTCTCTCTTCCTTCTCTTTCTTTCTTTCTTTCTTTCTTTCTTTCTTTCTTTCTTTCTCTCTCCTCTTTCTCTCTCTTTCTCTTTCTTTCTTTCTTTCTTTCTCTCTCTTTCTCTCTTTCTCTCTCTTTCTCTCTTTCTTTCTTTTTCTTTCTTTCTTTCTTGACAGAGTCTCGCTCTGTCACCCAGGATGGAGTGCAGTGGTGCCATCTCGGCTCACTGCAACCTCCGTCTTCTGGGTTCAAATGATTCTCCTGCCTCAGCCTCCTGAGTAGCTGGGGTTACAGGCGCTTGCCACCACGCCTGGCTAATTTTTGTATTTTTAGTAGAGACGGGGTTTCCCCATGTTGCCCAGGATGGTCTGAAACTTCTGACCTCAGGTGATCCACCCGCCTCGGCCTCCCAAAGTGCTGGGATTACAGGATTGAGCCACCATGACCGGCCCAAGTCCCCTTTTCACACAAGGTCATAGGATTTTTTTTTTTCCTCTGGAGCACTTACTACATCAGCAGATATGGCTCTCAGTGCAACAAAACTCACAGCTCTCTTACGTGGTGTAGAGTTGTCCCTGGAGGCAGCTGCCCCATGAGGGACCCTATCTTCATCCTTCTTGTACCCAGCTGTGGACTCCTGACTAATTCCCACCCTTGGAATGTGAGCAGCAGTGATAAGCGACATTCAGATTTTTTATTTAAAAGGCACGGATGAGCCCTTTCCATTCTCTCTTCCTCTTTCCCCTCACTGGTGACAGAGCACTCCAGGGTTCTAGGGGAGGTTGGATCCCAAAGGTGGAAGAATCTGGGCACCTGAGTCACCTGATGGAGGAGCTCCAACTGCCAACCGGGGGCCCCTATATGGACGTGTAACACGAGTGAGTAGTGACCATTCCATTGTGACAAACTGCAGATATTTCGAGGCTAATTTGTTAAAATCTACCGTTAATGTGCTTTATATGACTTTTTTTTTTTTTTAAGATGGAGTTTTGCTTTTGTCGCCCAGGCTGGAGTGCAATGGTGCAATCTCGGCTCACCACAACCTCTGCCTCCCGGTTCAAGCGATTCTCCTGCCTCAGCCTTTTGAGTAGCTGGGATTGTAGGCATGCACCACCAGGCCTGGCTACTTTTTTTGTATTTTTAGTAGAGATGGGGTTTCACCATGTTGGTGAGGCTGGTCTTGAACTCCTGACCTCAAGTGATCCTCCTGCCTCAGCCTCCCAAAGTGCTGGGATTACAGGTGTGAGCCACTGTGCCCGGCCTATATGACATTTGAATAGTCAGAGGTGTGCCCTCCACATTAGACTGTGAGGTCCGTTGACTTGCGTGGCTCGTCTCTGACACAGACTCAAGCCCTTAATAGCCGCCTGGAAATGTACGTTTTGGTTCACACAAAAAGGAAGTTGACCAAGCCCCCTTGATGAAGCCTCACTGGGGAGGTGGCCCATCGAAGGTCGTATATTGTGAATGGGGCGAAGGCAGCGTCGCCGTCTCCTTCAAGTCTGACCTCCAGGTTGGTGTTCAGATTCCCCCTCCACACCCCACAGCCGTGGTTGCCCGTCTGGATTTGGTGTTTCGGTCAGAGATGACGTTCGGGCCAGTCGTATGGATGATGATGTCCAAGGAGACAGTTCTCTCCTTTACCCCAGTCACGGGAAGGAAGAGCTAAGCCTCATGGTGCCTTCCTGGGAGATACGTGGTAAGAAGCCACAAGACGGTCGGGACTGAGTCTCTGCGCACCGCATCCCGAGCCTCTGCCATCTGCACAGCGAGGCGGGCGCAGGCAGCACGGTGCCCCTTACCATGCTTTCTTCCTGGACTTTCCCTTGACCAGTCTTGGCATGGCAGGCGAGGGAATGAGGGATTGGGGCTGGGAGGCGGGGAAGACAGCTCTCTCCCTGGGCCCATGTCTGGTTAGATCAATGCTGTGGGAGCTTAGCGACTGAAGAGGGAGCAGAGATGATGGCAGGAAGGCATTATCTGCCCAAGCCTCAGGCTTCGCAGTCCAGGTTGGGACCAAGAGCTTGCAGACGTCATCGAGTGCAGATTTTGAGCGAAGTACTGAGCATTGTAAATCCAGATTTCTCTTCCAGAGCTGAGTCTGGGCCACAGGACCTGGACACAGGAGGGTCAGTCTCTCCGGTAATGGTGAGGGTCTGTCTTCTTGGAGCAGCACAGCGGACTCCCACCAGGACAGTGGATGCTGGATACCGAAGGGCTGGGCTCAGGACAGTGGATGCTGGGTACGGAAGGGCTGGGATGAGGACAGTGGATGCTGGGTACCAAAGGGCTGGGCTCAGGACAGTGGATGCTGGGTACTGAAGGGCTGGGCTCAGGACAGTGGATGCTGGGTATGGAAGGGCTGGGCTCAGGACAGTGGATGCTGGGTACCGAAGGGCTGGGCTGAGGGGGTCACTTTGGCAGTGGTTCTGGAGTCTGAATTTCTAAGGGCCTGGAACTCATGAGACTCTAGATGCTGATTCTTTTCTGGAGAACTTCTCCAGAGTCACCATCCTGGCTTGTGCAGACTCAACATTCCACCTGAAGAGCTCTGGGAACCTCTGGGGCTGGGAGCCTTCTGGGCCTGATGAGTTCTGTTGGGATGGAGAAGATGATCTTGAAGTTAAAGATTTCAGTGGGAGTCCAGGAAAACGTCGCAGCTGTCCATCATACCCACAACAGCAAACGACTCAGGACTTTGTCACGGCCACCGCGGCAGCCAAAACCACAGCTGTGATCTGGGGCTGGACTCATACCCAGAGGTTGTCTGGGTTCAGGTTCTGCAACCCCGGTTCAGAGAAAGAGGAAACGGAGTGGGCCGTGTGGACCCCGTCCTTCATCGAACTCCAGAACTAAGAGAACTGGGAGGGGAGAAGGCCGTCACCCTTGCATGGAGCTGCCTCCCTCAGTTCTAGTGGTTTCTACAACTCCATGCAGGTTAGCTAAGGTGTGCATGGGTTCCAGAAGGAACATGGAGATGTTTCTCTTTGATGTTACTTGAAACTTTCGTTTGGCAAGTTCCTTCTAAGATCAGGAGATTCAATCACCCCACATGGTCCATCAGTCAGGGTATCACAACGTCGTGCTCCTTGGCTATACAGTCTCAGGTACATTTCTTCTTGAGATTATTTTTCACGTGAGGCAGAGATGTGTGGCTGCTCACCAGAAAAAAAGAATTCTCTACTTCCTCTTACAGTGCAAGCATTTGAATCTCTGGGAGGTGGCTACCCTCACCAAGGGACTTTTTTCCTAGTCTCCTTTGCATCCATGTGTGACTGACCATAATGACTACTTATAGCCAAAAATCTGGACAGAAATGATGTGCGTCAATCAATTTTGCAAGTTTACAAATATTTTCTGTGTCTCCTCTTTCTGTTTGAAGTATGGGACGCCATTGCCCAAGGGGATGATGTGAGCACAATGGAAGAAGCGGATGTCCCTGAGTCATCCTGGGGAGAAAATTCAAATTCTGCCCAGAGAAACCCTCATTGGTCATTTACATGAGTGAGATGCCAAACCTCACTGTGTTAAGCCATCGGTATTTTTTCTTTTTTGAGATGGAGTCTCGCACTGTCGCCCAGGCTGGAGTGCAGTGGCGAGATCTCGGCTCACTGCAAGCTCTGCCTCCGAGGTTCAAGCGATTCTCCTGCCTCAGCCTCCTGAGTAGCTGGGACTACAGGCACCCACTATCACGCCTGGCTAATTTTTTGCATTTTTAGTAGAGATGGGGTTTCACTGTGTTAGCCAGGATGGTCTCGATCTCCTGACTTCGTGATCCGCCTGCCTCGGCCTCCCAAAGTGCTGGGATTACAGGCGTGAACCACCGCGCCCAGCCAGTATTTTAAGACTTACTTATAACGGTGGTTAGTGTCACCCTAACTCTTACCTCACAATAGTAGCTAAACAATTTGTGATTTGCTCTTTGATCCTGTCCCTATCATCATTAGACTCAAGCTCTGTTGAGGGCAGGGGCTGCATCTGTTTTGTTCACTCCTGAATCTCAAACACCAAGCAGATAATAAGCAATTGATAAATATTGGTTGATCGGCTTCTGAAGAAAGAAAATTCACACATTTATATTTAGAAAAATTTATAAGGGAAGTAGCCGAGTGGGGTGGCACACGCCTGTCATCCCAGCATTTTGGGAGGTTGAGGTGGGTGGATCACCTGAGGTCAGGAATTCAAGACTAGCGTGGCTGACGTGGGGAAACCCCGTCTCTACTAAAAATAGAAAAATTAGCTGGTCGTGGTGGCATGTGCCTGTAATCCCAGCTACTCAGGAGGCTGAGGCAGAAGAATCGCTTGAACCTGGGAGGCAGAGGTTGCAGTGAGCTGAGATGGTGCCATTGCACTCTAGCCTGGGTGACAAGAGCGAGACTCTGTCTCAAAAAAAAAGAAGAGAGAAGTTTATAGGTGAAGTGGCTTGTCCGAGGTCTCTGAGGCTGTGGGACAGGAAGTCACAGGAGAAGCTCATTCTGGCTGACTTCCCAGCTGGTGTTCTGCACCTCTATCAGTATCTTAGGAACCAAGTTACCACGACACACCTATTAGAGTGGCCAAATTCTAAAACATGGACAATACCACATACTGGCATACTGGTGAGGATGTGGAGCAACAGGAACTCTCATTGCTGGTGGGATTGCCAAATGGTACAGTCACTTTGGGAGACAGTGCGGCAATTTCTTCTAAAACTAAATGTAGCTTTGCCATGTAATCCAGCAATTGCATTCCTTGGTATTTACCCAAGGAAGTTTGAAATGTATGTTCACATAAAGTCTGCATATGAATCTTTACAGTAGCTTTATTCATAATCGCCCAAACTTGGAAGCAACCAAGATGCCCTTCAGTAAGTGAGTGGATTAACTATGTGTCGAGACAATGGAATATTATCCCATGCTAAGAAGATACAAGCTCTCAAGTCATGAAAAGACGTGGAGGAGAGTTCAACGTATATCACTACACGAAATAAGCCTGCCCAAATGGCGTATCCACTGTCTGATTCCAACTATGTGACATTCTGGAAGATGCAAAACTATAGAAAGAGTGTAAAGTTCATTGGTTGCCAGAATAAAAGGCTTGGGCAAGAGGAAATCATCCCAGTGGAAATGGAGAAACGCAGGAACAAATGAAGAGCAACAGAAGAAGCTAAATATTTGGGTAAAGATAGGAATTTTGAATGATGATTTCATCATTAATGAATTAAGGAAACATTGATGCATGCTCATTCTGTATTTGATGACATTGCAAACAGTGTTTTGAAAACTATACTTTGCACTAAAATTAAAATTGAGCGCCTGTAATCCCAGCACTTTGGGAGGCCAAGGCAGGTGAATCACCTGAGGTCAGGAGTTCGAGACCAGCCTGGTCAACATGGCGAAACCCCGTCTCTGCTAGAAATACAAAAATTGGCTGGGTGTGGTGGTGGGTGCCTGTTATCCCAGCTATTCAGGAGGCTGAAGCAGGAGAATCACTTGAACTGTGGAGGCAGAGGTTGCAGTGAGCCGAGATGGTGCCACTGCCCTCTAGCCTGGGTGACAGAGTGAGAGTCTGTCTCAACAACAGCAACAACAACAACAAAATGACAGCATGGCTCAAGTGTGTTGGCTCACGCCTGTAATCCTAGCACTTTGGGAGGACAAGGTGGGTGAGCTTGAGCTCAGGAGTTTGAGACCAGCCTGGGCAACAAGACAAAACCCCATCTCTATCAAACAAAACAAAACAAAACAAAACAAAACAACAACTTGCGGAGCGTGGTGGTGTGTGCTTGTGGTCCCAGCTACTCAGGAGGCTGAGGTGGGAGGATCTCTGGACCCCAGGAAGTGGAGGCTGCAGTGAGCTGAGATTGTGCTAATGCACTCCAGCCTGGGTGACGGAGCGAGACCCTGTCTCAAATAAATGAATGAATGAATAAATAAATAAATCTTAAAGATGACAGCCTACATATATATACACACACATGCCAAACTGATACATCGATGAGATAACACTGTATATACAAAAGTGCAAGGGAAATTTGTTTTTTTTGAGACAGAGTCTCACTCTGTCGCCCAGACTGGAGTGCAATGGCGCAATCTCGGCTCACTGCAACCTCCACCTCCTGGGTTCATGCCATTCTCCTGCCTCAGCCTCCCGAGTAGTTGTTACTACAGGCGCCCGCCACCACACCCAGCTAATTTTCTGTATTTTTAGTAGAGATGGGGTTTCACTGTGTTAGCCAGGGTGGTCTTGATCTCCTGACCTTGTGATCCGCCCACTTCGGCCTCCCAAAGTGCTGGGATTACAGGCGTGAGCCACCGTGCCTGGCCGTGCAAGGGAAATTTGAATATAAGACTTCAGATGCTGGTTACGGTACCTGAGGTAGGAGGGGGAAACAGGCTGGAGTATACACTACAGAGATAGTCATGCTTCATCAAGCCTCTGATTTCCCTGGAGCATGTTGACTTCACGTTGATTTTTTTTTTTACATGTTCTGTTAAAAAAATTTCTTTAAATTGGCCTTTGGAAATTTACCAGCAGTGTGCTGGTAAAGTCTTGACAATCAGCTCTCTGAAAAAAAAAGCAAAAAGAAAAACAAAAAACAACCCCGACGTGTAGCATTTGCCGATTTCTCTGGTGTAAATACTCACAGCATGGCTTTGACATGAGTTTTACATTTGGTAAAAGCAAATTGTGCCTACTTTGAATAGAAGGATTGGGACAGAGATATGGTTCTTGTCAGGCACTAATTAGGGAGTAAGGCTTGTCTAATATTGCCTTGGCTCTCAAGCAAAATAAAAAAGTAACATTTGGGAATCTGTGTTGCTTCCTCAGCCCATCCTGGGTAAAATCGGAGACGTATACAGGGCAGGGAGAAGCTGTTTATTTCCATGCCTGCGGTTGGAGCTTCTTAAGGATTTGAGCTGTGATGCTGGCACCTGGCAGACCACATCCTGTGCGGTTTTCAGTTTTGCTCTGTTCCTGACCCTGGTATAGCAGAAGCTTTTTCACATCTATGACACCCGCTATGTCTTGGTAAACCCTGGAAGGGAAAGGAGGACAAGGTTAAAATACTGTTCCGAGGACCTGGTCTCTCCACAGCGCAGGCTGGAGGTGGCAGCCCGTGGAAAGCCAAGTTCATCCACCATCGGAGCCCAGGCCAGGCTGCCAAGGCTAATATTCAGGACAAAGCCAGGCACAGGTCGGGAATCCTATGAAGATGATCATCGTCCTGAGGTCTTCCTTCCAGGGTTGCATCCGGGCCAGAAGATGGAAAGAGAAATGGGTGAGTCCCTGCTACCACCCCACCCTCAGGTTGCTTTTTTGGCTGAACAAGAAGGGTCCTCCCAGGCAGGAAGGGTGGGGCACAGAAACGTGAGCCAATGTGGATGACTTGGGGAGGGCTTTGCAGTTGAATCTCCTGAAAACAGCAAGAAGTACAGACCTCCGGGCATTCTAGACTCAGATTCTGTAGACGCTTCCCTTTGGCCGAGCCAAGCCAGGGTTGCTCAGGAACTGGGGTCCTTGAGATTGGATTAGATTGGACGGAACGACACAGGATTGCAACGTGCAGAACTGTGAGGACCGGGGTTTAGCTTGAGTTCCCCAGTCTGTCCACGAGGTCCAAGCTTGAGATCATTACGGCGACCACATCTCAGGAGGAAGATAGGTCAGCAATGCAGTGATGGTGCTGGAATAGTTTTGAAATATTTGAACTATTCTAATGCAAACTCTTCTTTTAATGACATTTCACGTTGCATCTTATGTCATTTTATTTATGTAGATGTTGTCTTTCCACTTGACATTTAATTGGTGTTTAATTTAAGTTGCAAATATTGTGTATGTATCTGAGTCTAGTGTGAGAATCATTACTCTATGCCTGTGCATCCCACACCAAGTAACTTTTTTTTCTTTTTTTTTTTTTAAGATGGAGTCTCGCTCTGTTGTCCAGGCTGGAGTGCAGTGGCATGATCTCGGCTCACTGCAAGCTCCGTCTCCTGGGTTCAAGCCATTCTCCTGCCTCAGCCTCCTGAGTAGCTGAGATTATAGGTGCCCGCCACCAAGCCCGGGTAATTTTTGTATTTTTAGTAGATAGGGGGTTTCATCATGTTGGCCAGGCTGGTCTTGAACTCCTGACCTCGTGATCCGCCCACCTTGGCCTCCCGAAGTGCTGGGATTACAGGTGTGAGCCACTGAGCCCCGTCCAAGTAATGTTTTTGAATGAGTAAGCTGTGCTGTGCTGAATCTGTAGCATGCCTTGGACATAGACCTTCTCCAGCTGGGATTGAAGTCTTAGAGGAATGCAAAGGTGGAGGGGCCCTTTGAGAATATGGAACGACGACAGCTCTGTATCACCCCTTTTATGGAAAAACCCAGAATAACTGCCCATGTGTTCTGTGACCTTTGATGTTGATTCTGTCAGCAGGAGGAATCATCTGAGTAGTGAGGAAAATCTTGGATATGTTGGTGGTTTCACAGCTGTCAGAATTCACTGAATGGCACAGATTCAAAGAAGGCAGTTTGTCTGCCAAGGATTCCTTGATAAAGCTGATTAAAAATCGCTAATGAAGACCTAAAGTGAAAAGAGGCAGGGAGGAGAATCTAATACATAGAAACCATTCTACACATGAAAGAAGAGTCAGAAGCAGGAAGGTCATTCTCAGGAGCCGCTGTGTTTTGGCCTCGTGTTCAATGCTAAGTTTCAAAACAAATGTAGTATTCCTTGCAACCACGAGAAGTTGGTGAGTGATTTGAAATCATTCTTATGATGAGGCGGAAGCTTTTGGAATCTGTTCTGTACCCCTGCACTTTATCCTTGTCCTCATGATTTACAAAACCATGAAAATAAAGCTCAGTTAATTCATCATCATCAAGGTGAGCACCAGGTTCAGTATTCAGCTTGAGGCTGGGGACTCCATCTTTCTTTAACTTTTGACTGAATAGCCTTCACTTAGTTTTTATATCTCTTAGGCATTAAAAAAATTAAAAAAATATATATATATATTTTGAGACGGAGTCTAGCTCTGTCGCCCAGGCTGGAGTGCAGTGGCATGATCTCGGCTCACTGCAACCTCCGCCTCCCGGGTTCCCACCATTCTCTCGCCTCAGCCTCCCGAGTAGCTGGGACTACAGGCGCCCGCCACCACGCCCGGCTAAATTTTTTTGTATTTTTAGTAGGGACGGGGTTTCACCGTGTTAGCCAGGATGGTCTCGATCTCCTTGCCTCGTGATCCGCCCACCTCAGCCTCCCAAAGTGCTGGGATTACAGGCGTGAACCACCTCGCCTGGCCTAAAAAAGTCTTTAATATATTATATTAAGCAGTTTTAATTGGTTTATTGTTATTTTTTGGATGGATTGCTGTCTTATGGACTTAGTCTAACATATTCACAGAAAGTTGGATTAGATTGGAAGAACATACCTGGGACTGCATTGCGCAGAACTCTTTGAGGGCCAGGGTTTAGCTTGAGTTCCCCTGTCCGTCCATGAGATCCCAGCTTGAGATCATTACAGCCACCATGTCTCGGGAGGAGGACTAGTCTGCAATGCAGTGATTATGATGGAATGTTTCAATGTTTTTGAAATGTTTGGACTATTCTGATGCAAAAAACTTTCTTTTTATTTTTGAGACAGAGTCTCACTGTGTCGCCTAGGGTGGTTTTTTTTTTCTTTTTTGAAACCCTCTGTTATTAAGAGATAAATATGATTCCCAGGAACATTGCTCTGTTCTGCTTTATTATTATTGGTCATATCTGGTCATACGCCCTGAAAACCCTGAAAATGGGATTGCTAAAATCGCCTTAATCTAAACTCCATTTCCCTCCCACTTGCTCCCTGGGCTTGGAGCACAACCACTCAAACAGAACTGGCTTTTGGTCAGTAAGGAAGAAGTGAGCAACGGCTGCGGTGTAGACCCTCGTCAATGCCTGCGACGGTTACACCTGGAGACAAGCTCCCCAGTGTCCTCAGGAGCAGCGGAGATGAGAATCCATGATAGGGTGGGCTCTGTCCCCCTCAGCTCCGTGATGCCGAAATGCACTGCTGGTCCTGGTCCTGCTCCTCATTCCACACCCGGCTGAGTGCCCATCTGACCCCAGACCTCAACGCGAGGTTCTAAGCACTGTCTCCTGACCCTTCAACCCCTTCGGGATTTTGCATGTGCTGTTGGACCACCTCACTCCCACCTGGAGCCAAATGACACTGTAGGAGGAGGGGAAGAGAACTTATGCTAGTAGAGTGTGTGTGTGTGTGTGTGTGTGTGTGTGTGTGAATGTGTGTGTGTATTATACATAATATATATAATTACAACATTGTTAATGGGGCCGGGCGCGGTGGCTCACACCTGTAATCACAGCACTTTGGGAGGCTGAGACGGGCAGATCACATGAGGTCAGGAGTTCAAGACCAGCCTGGCCAACATGGTGAAACCCCGTCTCTACTAAAATACAAAAATTAGCCGGGCATGGTGGCGTGCGCCTGTAGTCCCGGCTACTCAGCAGGCTGAGGCAAGAGAATTGCTTGAGCCTGGGAGGCGGAGGTTGCAGTGAGCCAAGATTGCACCACTGCACTCCAGCCTGGGCAACAGAGTACGACTCCATCTCCACACACACATACACACACACACACACACACACAAATTGTTAATTGTATATGTATAATTATAATAGTTTATATATATTAACAATTATATATAAACTTGCATATATATAGTATTTGCTGTATTATTATATATAAACAATTATATATGTAATGACTGTATAAAATAGATAAACAATTTTAACTAATAATATTATATTAATTATATTATTATTAGATGTAATAATTATAATTATTTATATATAATATTTATTATTATGTATCATTGTTAGAACACTTAACATGAGCTCTGTCCTCTTAACAAATTTCAAGTGAACAAGACGTTATTGCTGACGATGGGTCGTATGTGGTGCAGCAGATCTCTAGGCCTGTTTGTTAATAACTCCCCATTTCCCCCTCCTCCCAGCCCCCGTAACCACCATTCCCTGCTGTGATGTTGTGACTCTGGTGACTTTGCAGATCTCCTGTAAGTGACATCATGCAGTACTTGGTCTCTGCATCTGCGTCGCTTGGCGTGATGTCCTCAGGTTTCGTCTGTGTTGTCGCCCATGGCAGAATTTTCTTCCTTGTTTAAGGCTGAATAGTATTCCCCTGTGTGTGCACCACATTTTCTATATCAATTCTTCTATCAATGGACATTTAGATGATTTTCACGTCTTAGCTATTGCGAATAGTGCTGCAGTGATCAGGGGAGTTCAGACGGCTCTTTGCATACTGAATTTGTTTCTTTTAAATATAGACCCAGAAGTGGCATTGTTGGACCATACGGTAGCTCTATGTTTAGTTTTTTGAGGAACCTCCCCACTGTTCTCTATAGTGAGTGCACAATTTTTCAGCCTCCCAAAGTGCTGGGATCACAGGCGTGAGCCACCGCGCCCGGCGCACTGTAGGATCTTTTTTAATGCATTATATACCTTGCTGAGATTTTAGCAGAGATCACAATATTAAAAACTTGGGGAAGGATTTCTATGACTCTTATTTTAAATACGAGGACATGTCGACTTCTAGTTTTGTAACATCTTGCCCAAGAGCGGTGGTCGTTAACGTGTGGAGTTGGGATGACATCCAAGTCAGTTGGTTGCACGACCTTTATTCTGTCTTGTCCCATAGATTTAGAAAGAGGCTGACACATCGGGTAACTAGTTTAAGGTCATCTGATCATGCGGGTAAGCGACATTTTTCAGAAACCAAGGCCCTCCCTCTCATCTCACTAGTGGGAAGGGTGGAAAGAACAGAACAGAAAGCTCTCCCTCTTGTGTGAGGCAGTTGCTGTGGAAGCCCCACGGGCAGGAGGCCCCCGGCCAGCACATCCTGTCTGCTTGTGTCTGCTGCAGAGTTCTGGGACCGGGGCCATGTCTCCACACCTCACTGCTCTCCTGGGCCTAGGTGAGTCCTGGAGGGAGCGGGAAGGACTGGAAAGGGGGTCGGGAGGTCTGGAAAGTTCCCTGCTCAAGCCTGACTCTAGTCCAGAAGATTCTGGGGAGGAAAGTGTCCTCCTCCCCCCAAGACTGCCCTACTGCTCTCCCTGGGGCCTAAGTCTGATCAGAGACAACCTTGTCCTAAAAACAGGGGCCCGGGTGTGGGGATGAGGTCAGCTTTAAGAAGGGCTGGGGGGCCAGGCGCGGTGCTCACACCTGTAATCCTAGCACTTTGGGAGGCTGAGGCAGGTGGATCACCTGAGGTCAGGAGTTTGAGACCAGCCTGGCCAACGTGGTGAAACTCCATCTCTACTAATACAAAAATTAGCCGGGCATGGTGGCGGGCACCTGTAATCCCAGCTACTCGGGAGGCTGAGGCAGGAGAATTGCTTGAACCCGGGAGGTGGAGGTTGCAGTGAGCTAAGATCGCGCCACTGCACTCTAGCGTGGGCGACAAGAACAAAACTCCGTCTCCAACAACACCAAAAAGAAGGGCTGGGGGAGCAGGAGCCTTTTTGGAAGAGGAGACTTTGGGATTTATCTTGAAACCATTTTGCAGCAAGAAGGATTACATGGAGACAGTGATGTCGAGGAGGGTTGGCTTGGTCGTTATGAAATGCTGAATGCCCCCCAGCTCCGTCAAGCCCCCTTTTGACAGCAGCCCTGTAAGGAGACTGGGCAGTGGGCATTTTTCTCACTGGGGCTTCTCTTCCAGTGCTCTGCCTGGCCCAGACCATCCACACGCAGGAGGGTAAGTCATGCCTTCGTCCCGTCTTCCCAGTCCCCTCTGTCACCCCAAAGGCAGTGCTGGGTGGGAGTGATGTTGATTCTTAGAGGGCCTGGAGAGATCCCTTTAAATATACCCTAGATTGCAAACTATTCCAAATGTAAAATGCATAACCCTCACCCCTTTCTCTCCTTCATTCTCCACCTGTCATGTTTTGCTTTTCTTATTTTCAAAAATCCTATATTTTATTTTATTTTTATTTTTGAGATGGAGTCTCACTCCATCACCCAGGCTAGAATGCAGTGGCATAATCTCGGCTCACTGCAACCTCTGCTCCCAGTTTCAAGCGATTCTCCTGCCTCGGCCTCCTGAGTAGCTGGGATTACAGGCACCCACCACCACCCCTGGCTAATTTTTTTTTTTTTTGTATTTTTAGAAGAGATGGGGTTTCACCATATTGGCCAGGCTGGTCTCGAACTCCTTACCTTATGATCCGCCCGCCTCAGCCTCCCACAGTGCTGGGATTACAGGCATGAGCCACTGTGCCCAGCCAAAAATCTTATTTTTAATCGACAAATAATTGTATATGTTTGTGGGGCACGATGTGATGTTACAACGTATGTAAACATTGTGGAAAGATTAAATAAGGCTAAATAACATATCAATCACATCACATACTTATTGTGATGAGAACATTTAAAACCTACTTTTAGCAATTTTGAAATATATAATAAGTTATTATTAACTATAGTCAGCCTGCTATGCAATAGATCTCAAAAACTTACTCCTCCTGTTTAACCGAAACTTTGTACCATTTGATCAGTGTCTCTCCCAAGCCCCCCATTTCCCGACTTTAATAGCATCATTCTAATCTCTAACTCTGTGAGATGACCTTTTTTGTTTGTTTGTTTGTTTTGGGATGGAGTCTCACTCTGTCACCCAGGCTGGAGTGCAATGGCACAATCTCGGTTCACCGCAAACTCAACTTCTCAAGTTCAAGCGATTCTCCTGCCTCAGCCTCTCGAGTAGCTGGGATTACAGGTGCATGCCACCACGCCCAGCTAATTTTTGTGTTTTTAGTAGAGATGGGGTTTCACCATGTTGGCCAGGCTGGTCTTGAACTCCTGACCTCAGGTGATCCACCCACCTCGGCCACACAAAGTGCTGGGATTACAGGTATGAGCCACTGCACCCGGCCGAGATGAACTTTTTTAGATTCCACATGCGGTATTTGTCTTTCTGTACCCAGCTTATTTCACTTAGCATAATGTCCTCTGGTTCATCCATGCTGTTGTGAATGACAGAATGTCCTTCCTTTTTTAGGGCTGAATAATATTCCATTGCATATATACACCACATTCTCCTCATCCATTCATTTGGTGGTGGTTATATAACTCAGGTTATTTCCAGGTCTTGGCAGCTGTGAGTAGCGCTGCGGTCACCCTGGGAGTGCAGGCATCACCTCCACACACCGATTTCCACAATGAGAATTCAAACCCAACACAACCAAGGCTGAACCCGGCACTTTTCCCCAGACGAGCCCACACTTCACTCGGCAGCTTCTTGGCGGGGAACGTGACAGTCACAAAGGGCAGACTCTGAACACTCATCCTCTTCTCCATCCTCCTGGATGCACCATGTCACCCAGTCCTGGTGATTTCACTCTAAATTTTTCTCATCTTTCCCTCTCTCTTCATCGACTTTTCCTGCATCACCCCCAGGTGACAGCCCTTCTCCCCTCCGTGGCTCCCCGAGGCCGGCCTCAGCCTGTCCATGCCACTGCTGCCTGCTCCCTTCCTGACCCCAGGGACTGGCGATTTGCAAAAGCACAACCATGACCATTGTACTTTCCACAGTTTTTAAATTGCATTCAAAAATTTTCATTTAATATCTCATCGTAAGATGAAGTTTTTTTCTTAGAGCCCTTCCCCTGTTTATCTTCAGATAGAATCAACCCAGGCACCTCTCTTTGTTCTGGACATGCCCATTTTCCCAGCCACATCCTGTCCCTGTGACCTGGGGCTCACTCATCTCTACATTCCTCCAGGTTCTTTCGCTTTCTCAAACACTCCATATGCCGCTCAACATGGTGGTTCTTCTCACATGCTGATTTTTTTTTTTTTTTTTGAGATGGTGTTTCATTCTTGTTGCCCAGGCTGGAGTGCAATGGCTCGGTCTTGGCTTACTGCAACCTCTGCCTCCCTGGTTGAAGCAATTCTCCCTGCCTCAACCTCCCAGGTAGCTAGGATTACAGGTGCCTGCCACCATGCCTGGCTGATGTTTTTGTATTTTTAGTAGAGACGGGGATTCACCATGTTGATCAGGCTGGTCTCGAACTCCTGACCTCAGGTGAGCCGCCCACCTCGGCCTCCCAAAGTACTGGGATTACAGGTGTGAGACACCGCGCCTGGTCTGATTTTTAAAAGTTAATTAATTCAGTTTAAAATTGACCGATGAAAATTGCATGTATTTGTCATGTCCAATATGACGTTGTGGACTCTGCACACAGCGAGGAATGGCTACATCGAGCTAGGCAACGTAGGCATTCCTCCTGTGCGAATCATTTTTTTGTGGTGAGAACGCTTAGAATCACCTGGATTAGCAATGTCCAATAATGTAATACATTGTTATTAACTGTAGTCACCGTGTTGTACATGATGATTCTTGAATTGATTTCTCCTCTCTAACTAAAACCTTGTTTCCTTTGAGGAATTTTCCCACTTTGAGTGCCCTGGTGTCCCCTGTCTGCTCAGCTCAGGGAGTTTCTACTCCTCCCTCAGCTCTCAGCTCAGAGAGAGCTTCCCCTGACTTTGCAGAGGAGGTCAGCTCCACCGCCCACCTGTCCCCTAGATCCCTGCACACTTACCCACAGGAAACTTATTGCAGTTCGCAGCTGCAGATTTGGACAATTCTTCGATCAATATCTGTCCTCCCTTCTAGACGTCCACCTCCAAAGGGCAGGCATCCTGTATGTGTTTCTCACATTTGCGGAATTAGCAGCTCATGAAAAGCGTCTTTAAACAGATTGATAAGTAACTGAGATATGGTTAAAAGAAAGAAAAATGAACAAATGGGTGGGTTTGGGGAGATGCTGGTCAAAGGATAGAAAATTTCGTCTAGACAGGGAGAGTAAGTTCAGGATTGTGTAACATAATGACTAGAGTTAATCACAATATATCATACGCTTGAAAATCGCTAAGAGGGCAGATTTTAAATGTTCTCACCACAACAATTAACTACGCAAAGTGAGGTTATATTAATTAGCTTGATTCAGCGATTCCACAGTGTATACCTGTATCAAAACATCATGTTGTACACCTTAAATACATGCAGTTTTAATTTGTCAATAATAAGGAATGAATGAAGACGGGACGAGTGAATTGAAGCCCTGCCAGCTCTCTGCCCCGCTCAGGGATTTTGCTAATTTTGACACAACCTTCCTGTTTCAGGGCGTCAAACCCGCCCTTCCTCCTCCACCCCAAGCCCAGTTGAGATAAATGGGGTTTTTCAAGAGCCTTAATAACAAGGAAATGCAAATTAAGCTGAGAAGAAAGTAGAAACTATAGAGGAAAACCCAGAGGTGGTGTCTCCACAGAGATCTGCATTAGCAATGGGGACCTGTCACGGGCTGGGCATCTGCTGTGAGCAGATCAGGGCTGGGGGCTTCACCCTCACCCCACCAGACCCTCAAAGGAGCCTGGCAACCCCCGTCCCACACTCAGTCCCACCCGGGGACCGGCCAGTGCCCTTCAGGCCCCAGCACGAGCCATCTCCAGAGCCCTCGCTTCCCTGTCCCTTGTCCTTCACGAATGACCCTGTCATCCCCATCGTGTGCCTCCCTCCCACCCTCTGTCCCTCTAGAAAGTGGCCCTGGGCTCTGCAGCAGGCATGAAGGGCTCCAGGCTGCTCCGACACTTCCCACGTGACCCTGAGCAAGGCCCAAGTTGTGAGCAAGTCTCAGGGTCCTCACTGTCAACTGGGAAAAAACTCTGCAGTGATGAGAATCACATGCACGTAGAAGGTGCAGGAGGCGTGGGAATGTTCTAAGGTTGGGCTGTGGTCGTGGCTGCATAACTCTATAAAATTGCTAAAATCCCTGAATTGTGATCCTAAAATGACGTGTGTGGCATGGTGACTTCCTACAGTGGACGCTGAGATCCTTCTTTGCTTCCCTCTTAGGGGCCCTTCCCAGACCCTCCATCTCGGCTGAGCCAGGCACTGTGATCTCCCCGGGGAGCCATGTGACTTTCATGTGCCGGGGCCCGGTTGGGGTTCAAACATTCCGCCTGGAGAGGGAGGATAGAGCCAAGTACAAAGATAGTTATAATGTGTTTCGACTTGGTCCATCTGAGTCAGAGGCCAGATTCCACATTGACTCAGTAAGTGAAGGAAATGCCGGGCTTTATCGCTGCCTCTATTATAAGCCCCCTGGATGGTCTGAGCACAGTGACTTCCTGGAGCTGCTGGTGAAAGGTGAGGACGTCACCTGGGCCCTGCCCCAGTCTCAGCTCGACCCTCGAGCTTGTCCCGAGGTCCCTGGTCCCTGTCCCGGCTGCTGTCCTCTCTCTGTGGCCACCGTTGCCCTCTTCCTGACCCCAAGCCCTCCCCTCCCCTTCTTCCTCTGCACACACCTCCCCTCTGCCCTCACACCTGCTTAGGTCCCTGGAGCCCTGATCTCCTCTGGACGCCACAGATGGCGTGGACACTCAGTCCCAGCATTGGGTTGGCTCAGAGCTGGCTCTGCTTGGCTGGGTGGGGAGTGGGTTCCCAGAGATTAGGGGGCAACCCCCCTACAAGGGGATGAGTGTCTTTTCACACAGGATTGATGGTCCCATTTGTTATTCCTTTCCACTGAGCCAGAACCTGCCCCAGGCAATGTGCTTCTCCTGGTGTGGTTCATCTCCCACTGGGCAGAACACAGGGTCCAGGGATGGCCCCTGACCAGGGCGGGACAGTGCTTTGGGAAAACCTTTGGTATGTGACCACATGCACTCCTGTGTGTGCTCAGCCCGAGATGTCCTGGAGTCAAAGTCCACTGGAGAGGATCCAACCCATCTTCATGTCCCCCCAGGACCTCAGCAGTCCCCTGAGGTCAAGAAGAGCTTGTGGTGGGAGGAGCAGAGGGAGTGACCAGCCCCAGGGAGAATGGGGCAAGCAGCGGGGCTCTCCCCAGCCTCCTGTCCCCTGCCCCGTTTTCTCAGGAGTCTCGAGACATTGTCTGGGATTGCGTGATGGTCATGCGGCCTTTGGATGGGGGCTCAGGGTGGAGGAGGGCAGGTTGGTTGGGACGGGTTCTAAATCCTTCTCCTGCCCCTGTTTACAGAAAGCTCTGGAGGCCCGGACTCCCCGGACACAGAGCCCGGCTCCTCAGCTGGTCAGTAGCAGGGCCCTCAGCTGGAGGGGATTACAGGGGAATCTGTGCTGCGGATGCTGTTCCGGGTCCAGCCCTCTGCCCTGGGCTTGGAGTCAAGGTCTAGGGAGGCCACGGGAAGGCACCGACACCCACCAAGCTCTGGGAGGTCGCTAATGCTCACAGAGACCATAGCAGCAATGGTACAGTGATTGCAACCTTGTTCCATGCCAGGAACTGTGGAAAGCACTTAATGCAAGCACCACTTAATGGGGGAGGTACTAGTCTGATCCTCTAACTCCTCCTCCTCTCTAATATGCAAAACATAAATTAAAGTTTCGTGCTTAACGGCACAAGGCCATGAAGGGGCAGGGGCCACCCACCCGGGCAGCCCCACCCCAGACTTCCGGGCTCTCCCGAGCTCCACGCTGCCCCCTTGTGGGCGTGGCCTCACCATTCACCCCGCTCTGCACCTGATGGAGGGACTTAGAACTCACCTTCCAACCTGGGACACCCGGAGAGGGACGGGGCTGCTCCTGTTGGCTCTGTGATCTCCGGGGGAGGCCTGAACGGTGGAGTAAGGTCCCTTAAGAGGAGGAGGGCTCCACAGGGAGGGGACGTAGCTGTGAACGGTGACCAGGATGAAGCCATGAGGCTTCCCTTCCATCTGGCTCTGCCCTGGACTCTGTGATGGGAGAGAAGCTGCCTCTGGCTCTGCCCCTGGACTCTGTGTGATGGGAGTGAAGCTGCCCCAAGTCCCTGGGTCTCAAGTTGTCCATCTCCGCCTGTGATCTGTGACCAGAAACTGCCAGGGGAGGACACGGGGTCATAAGCCATTCGCGGCCCCTTCCCCACCTGGGTTTCTATCCCCAGAGTACGTCCTTGGACCTAGACCCGGTGACTGCCTGTGAGGCTCGGGCTGTGAGCTCAGGCAGGTGGGACCAGGGGCTGAAGCCACATGGGGAGGTGGGAGGAGCGATGCCGTGCTCCATCCGGACCCCCTCAGAGGCTCCTGGGCTGCTGGGGCACAGCGGGACATGCTCCTGAGTCCCGCAGACCTGGTTCAAGTCCAGTGTCTGGTTTTTATTAGCCTTCTGTCTGCGGGAATATCTTGCCTCTGTTTCTCTCCCTCTCTTCTTCTCCTTCCTTCTCTCTTCTCTCACCTTCATGCAGTGACATATAAAGGTCACGAGGGCAGACCCTCCTGCAGCCAGATTGCTGGGTTCATGGTTCAAATCCCGGTGGTTCTGCCACCCCCTGGCTCTATGCCTGACGGTGACTCACCCAAACCTCCTGTGTCCCAAATTCCTCATGTGAAACAGAGGCAATAGAAGAGCTGTCCTGGTAGAATCGTTTAGGGCAGACTTGAGTTCAGGTACACACGGCGCTGACATCAGTGCTGATTAGAAAACCCCAAAGGAGGGATGCTCCTATTAATACTGAGGAAGTATTTTGTCCTCACAGGGACTGTGCCAGGCACTGAAGCCTCCGGATTTGATGCACCATGAATGAGGAGAAATGGCCTCCCGTCTTGTGAACTTCAATGGGGAGAAATAATTAGAATGAGCAATAGAAATGCACAGATGCCTATACATACATATACAAATAAAAAGATACGATTCGCAATGGAGAATTTCAGACCTATCATTTCAATTATATTAAATATGTTCACGTAATGTATTACATATATAAGGAACATAATTATATAATAAAAATATGTTAACATATCACCACATATCACTATAATTATATTATATGAAAGATTTATTTACAATATATAGTACAATAAATTTCAGGTGTTATTATAATTAATAAACAGGTACAAACATAAATATATATTATCTATTATTTATAGATTATAATTATAATAGAAAAATTTTATATTTAATTATATGTTTATATGTAATATACATTATACATTATATATTATAGTGAATATATGCAACATATATTATAAGTATAAATCATATACAATTAACATTATATACATTAAATTATGATGTATATGTCAAGATTACATAATTTAATATATATTTGTTATATATTATACGTTTGCATAATACATGATACATATAACTATAAATAATATAAAAACTGTAATATTGCACATATATAATACATATGTAATTTTAAATGGTGGCAAATGTTATGAAGACCAAGCCCAGGAAGTCATGGTGTAGAATAACGGGTGGTGTCCTGGACCTTGGACCGTGGAGGAGGCAGGAGGGAAGGACATTCCAAGAGAGAATGTCTGCCTTTCTTGAAGGATATTGAAGATGCTGCCTCGGCAGTGGGGGAGGGGAGGGACGCTGTTCCTGGAAGAGGGACGCTTGGCTCGGACCCTGGGTTTGGGGGAGCCCCTCAGGACCGCATTTAGCCACCTGGGAATTGGGTAGTGGCGTGCACTGTGCAGAGGAGGGTGAAGGTTGGAGGAGATGACGGGCGGCCTGCAATGCGCCAGATGCCTGGGATCTCGGCTCGCTGCAACCTCCACCTCCCGGGTTCAAGCGATTCTCTTGCCTCAGCCTGCCGAGCAGCTGGGACTACAGGCACGCGCCACCACGTCGGGCTAATTTTTGTATTTTTAGTAGAGACGGGGTTCCACTATGTTGGCCAGGCTGGTCTGGAACTCCTGACCTCAGGTGATCCGCCCGCGTCAGCCTCCCAGAGTGCTGGGATTACAGGCGTGAGCCACCGCGCCTGGCCGATATATATAATTTTTAAAACTTCAACAAGAGCTCAGCCAGTTCTTTCTATGGGGCAATTGCTAATTTAGTTCTATGCAAATATCGACACATTAAGTCCTTGTACACACTGTCCTCAGCGTGCCTTATTATTTTCCCCCCTTTCCTCAGAGAAACTATCGACTGAGACATGGAGCAACCTCTCCAAGGTTAGCCAGGTCTCAGGGGCAGGGGCTGCCTGAACTCCAGGACAGGCTGCAGCTCACCGCGCTGGGAGGTTTCTGCCCTGCCATACTCTCAAATTTTAATTTGTACTGGGCTTTAATTTTCTTTTCTTTTCTTTTTTTTTTTTTTTGAGACGGAGTCTCGCTCTGTCGCCCAGGCTGGAGTGCAGTGGCGCGATCTCGGCTCACTGCAAGCTCCGCCTCCCGGGTTCACGCCATTCTCCTGCCTCAGCCTCCCGAGTAGCTGGGACCACAGGCGCCCGCCCCCACGCCCGGCTAATTTTTGTATTTTTAGTAGAGACGGGGTTTCAACGTGTTCTCAATCTCCTGACCTCGTGATCCGCCCGCCTCGGCCTCCCAAACTGCTGGGATTACAAGCGTGAGCCACCGCGCCCGGCCGAGCTTTAATTTTCTATTTGTGCTCAAGTTTAATTTCCTTCCAGGATCTGTTTCCTAGACCTGTGCTCTTTATTTTTGCCTTCTTCTGTTACATGATGACTGATTTTCTCTGTTCTTTATGTGGGACACATTCTCCCTGCTCTCTCTGTGTGTGTGTGTGGTGTGCGTGTCTCTGCATCTCTGTATCTCTGTCTTTCTTCTCTCTGGTTGTTTTTCAACTATTAGCGCAGTGTCTTCTCCCATCACGTCTTGTTTGTTTGGCTTGGACCCTGAGGTGGACAGGTGGGTAAATGAGGCCTTCAGCAAAGGGTGGCAGCTTGACCTTAGCAGAGGAGGCTGTGTGAATTTTTCTACCCCTTGCAGAGCACAGGAGGGCTGAGCCGACCCCCGTACCTGCTCCAGTGTAAGGAAGTCCAGGATGTGCAGGCAGCCAGGCCACAGTGAAAAGCAGGACAGTCATGGTTTAAGGGAAATTAAACAAAAGCACCCAACTGTTCTTTTGTGGGGATTGGTGGAAAGAGGATGGGTCCAGGCAGAGGACAGAAAAGCAGAGGCAGCGACTCATCTTTTCTTCTGGATCCTCCAACCCGCCCAATGCAGGGGCTGGGACTCAGCGCGATGGGTCTGGGGACACTGCTGTATGGAGAGGATGTCCCTCCTGCTCCACCGCCCCCAAGCCCACCTGGAGGAGGAGCCACGTTTAACACACCCGGTGGTGCAGTGTGGCCAGGCAGAGAGGGAAGGCCCACCCTGTGATCATGACCGCACCCTAATTCCCCTGAGGAGTGTCCTGGGGGTGAACATCAGGGGGCTGCAGTGGGGCCCAACATGGAGGGGAGGGGAGGCCTCACTTGGGCCAGATGGGGCAGCAGCAGATACTCACAAATGTCCCTGAATCCCTGGGACTAAGTGGACATTGAGTCAACAAGAAGGGTCCCCAGGCCTTGAGGGAGCAGAGAGAGGAAGGAAGGACAAATGGCTATCAGGTACAGACATCAGTGGGATCCCCCCGGCAATCTAGTAAGCAAACCCCACAGACCCCAGTCAGCTCAGGCCCAAAGCCCAAAGGCCAGCAGGAGGGCACAGAACCACTGTCCCAAGCATCACCTTTGAACCCTGCTTCCTCCATATTGGGCACTACCCTGGGAAGGAGCTCAGGAGAGAGGGAAAGTGGGAAGGGGAAATCATACTAAAGAAAGTGAAAAATGATTGTGAAGGGCTGAGTTTAAACTCCAGGGAGTGTGTGCGTGTTCACCAGGGGCAGCTTATGAGGAAGAGTGACATCAATGATAGAAGACGTATTTCTTTTTTTCTTTTCTTTCTTTTCTTTTTTTTTTTTTTTGAGACGGAGTCTTGCTCTGTCGCCCAGGCTGGAGTGCAGTGGCACAATCTCGGCTCACTGCAAGCTCCGCTCCCAGGTTCCCACCATTCTCCTGCCTCAGCCTCCCGAGTAGCTGGGACTACAGGCACCCACCACCACGCCCAGCTAATTTTTTTGTATCTTTAGTAGAGACAGGGTTTCACTGTGTTAGCCAGGATGGTCTCGATCTCCTGACCTCGTGATCCTCCCCTCCCAAAGTGCTGGGATTACAGGCGTGAGCCACTGCATCCAGCTCCATAGAAGACGTATTTCTTCTGTTGAACTGAGTGCACGCTGATCTGTTGCACACACACACGCGAAGCCACACCAACACATACACGGATGGAATCCTCACTGGCGTGCAATGCTATTTAACTCCTCAGGTATTAACTACCTAAGGAAAGAAATGTAATTCATTGGATTTTTGATGATGCTTCAGTGAAATAAACCAGAGTCTGTTCCATCGAAAATGCCAGGTAAACGTTGACTATTTTTATTTTTCTCTGTTTTATCATGCATATATAACAGGCTTCCCCCCCCAACAGGGTCAATATTTTACGGGCCCTTTTATAAACTGCTTGTTCTGTTAAAAATTCACCAGAAGCATCCCTCCTTCTGTTGCACGTCCGCAATGAGCCCTCAGTTTGTAGCACATCCCACACTGCACACCCTCCTGAAAAATGCTTGGTTTGTGTGATAACATGCCCTGTCCCTTTCTCTCTCCACCAGGCTTTTCCATGTGGAGAAACGTCACTTAAAATGTTTCACATTTGATAGGGAGTCAGTGGCGCTATGTATGGACTGTGCTTCAGTTTCTTTGCATGTGGTTTTTTTTTTTTTTTTTTTTTTTTTTTTTTTTTTTTTTTGAGACGGAGTCTTGCTCTGTCACCCAGGCTGGAGTGCAGTGACATGATCTTGGCTCATTGCAACCTCCACCTCCCAGGTTCAAGCGATTCTCCTGCCTCAGCCTCCTGAGTAGAGTAGCTGGGATTACAGGCATGTGTCACCACACCTGGCTAATTTTTGTATTTTTAGTAGAGATGGGGTTTCATCCTGTTGACCAGGCTGGTCTCGAACTCCTGACCTCAAGTGATCTGCCCCACCTTGGCCTCCCAAAGTGCTAGGATTACAGGCGAGAGTCACTGTGCCTGGCCAAAATGTGGAGAATTTTAATAGGTATTTTGTTGCCGACCTTTTCTTCCTGTTTCCTTGGGGATTCGGGTGGTTACTTTCACACAGAAAGAAAACAGCTTTTCCTGAGGACAGTGGTTCCCACCATGGAACTGAGACACGCTGAGCGTGTGAGAGATGCCCAGAGTGGCAGTCATGGCATCCTGATCTGCAGACCACTTCTCGGCTTCTGTCCAGAGCAGAGGCCAGGTGTCTGGACTTCCCTTTCTCAGACCGTTGGACCAGCTGGGCAGGGTGTTGAAGAAAAAAAAAATCCAGTGTCACTTGTTGAGGCACAATAAGGAGGACATTATTCAGGACTATTGCTGTAGGTACAGGGACCATGGTGATGGAATTGCACAGTGTGGGAAAGAGACTGGGCTCAACTCTGAGTAGAACAGGAAAAGTGGGAATTTGTAGCCTTGGAGCAGGGTGAGCGGGGTCAGTCAGTGGAAAATTGCTAAGAGAAGTCCTCAGGGGTTAAGAAGACCCTGGCTAAACCGACCCAGCAGGATTCTTGCTGAAGGCAGGCCAAGGCGGCCAGACATCACCTGAGGCTGATGGAGAATGAAGGTTCTTACCTGTGAACCATCTGATTAAGGGTGATCAGATATCTAGAGTTAAACTGACTCTGCAGGATTCTTTCTTAAGTAAGAATTGGAAAAGAGTTGCAATTCTTACTAAAATTGGGCAAAGCAGAGATAAACATGGAAGCCCAGAGGTCAGGGCTCGTTGGAAAAGAGCTCAGAGGAGCCTGAGTCGAGCATGGTCAAGGAGATCGTCTATCTGAAGGGAGAACGTAGAGCCTGGGCAGGTGTTGGGGAGGAGGGTTTAGACCAAGAATCACAAAGCTCATGGGCCTTGCTTCATGGAGGGATCACAGACCCAAGAGCTTCATTCTCTTCTTCTTGAAGAAATGTGACCACTGGGGCTGGGTCTCTCCTGGGCTTGAGAGTGAGGTCTGGGGAAACCCACAGGTCTGTGCCCTTGGAGAGGCTTAGCCCACCTGTTCCCAGGAGGACACCACAGCCAACAGTGAGAACCTGTCCTCCATCTCTATCAGACTACACCTTGCTGACCCCAAGAACCAGAAGGGAGTGTCTTCCCCTAGGACCCCAGCTCTGCTGGGAGACCTCTCGTACCCATGGCCTCTGCCAGTCACTCTCACCTGTGACCCTAAAAAGTCTCAAGCCCTTCTCTGCATGTTCCTAATTCTTGGTCCATCCTATCCTCTTGGGGATGGCCCTTTGCATGGAACATCACTGCAGGCCTCAGGAACCCCAGGACAGAGCAGAGTCCTCCGCTTCCTCCATCCTGTGAGCAGGTGACTTGGGATTTCAGATGAGGCTGGCAGTGACTGGAGATTTCGGAATCTGACAGATGCTTTTAACTACCTGGAAGGACTGTGCCCTAAGAGACAGAAGATATGAGAAGCATGAGAATCCACTGAAATGTAAAGGGCTTTAGAGCTACAAGAGAAGCTCTAAAAAGACAAGGAAATGCAGAAAGCCCCCAGTTCCTCAGTGGCTTGGGAGGGAGGTGCAGACTTCCTGACTATACAGGAGATGATGGGAAGACTCATTACGGATGGGGGCTAGGAGACCACCCTTCCTTAGTTACGTGTTTTGTGCTGTGTCTTGACAAGAGAGATGAATCAGGGTCCTAGGTGAGAATTCACCACCATCCAAGACCTAAATGGGTGTGTGTAGACTCTGAAGTCCAAGAAGTTCTGCCGACCGACGTCTGCACAAACCACTCTCAGCAAAACAACCACTAGAGTAATCCAGGGTTTCAGAAAGAGTTGGTCTTTTCCAATCTAGCGGAGAATATCTTCTCCCAGTGAGAGAGGGACACACACACACACACACACACACACATACACACACAGTATTGGCTCTGTTTTCTCTGAAGTGTGTGGCCTTTTTTTTTTTAAGGTGTTGTAGATTACTTGGAACTAAATAGAGGTGATGGTTGAAGAAGATTATGAATGCACCAAATTCCACTGATTTGTACACTTTTACATAGTTAATGGTTAGTTTTATGTTTGCGTACTTTATTACAATAAAAAGTAATGATATAGTATTTGTAGAGCAAGTAGCAAAGTCCCAATATGAGTAGAATCTTATCATGCTCATAATTTATACACACAGTGCATTGAAATAAGACACTATTTTCGGACAGGCGCGGTGGCTCATGCCTGTAATCCCAGCACTTTGGGAGGCTGAAGCGGGAGGATCACAAGGTTAGGAGTTTGAGACAAGCCTGACTAACATGGTGAAACTCTGTCTTCACTAAAAATACAAAAATTAGCCGGGCATGGTGGCGTGAGCCTGTAATCCCATCTACTCAGGAGGCTGAGGCAGGAAAATCACTTGAACCAGGGAGGCGGAGGTTGCAGTGAGCCGAGATCATGCCATTGCACTCCAGCCTGCGTGACAGAGTGAGACTCCATCTCAAAAAAAAAAAACAAAACAAAACACTATTTTCTATTACCAAGGCAAGGCCAGAGTGATTCCCTTTTTGCTTCCTCTCTGCCCACGATGGTGTACAGTAGAAAAAAAAATGGCCTTATCCAGATGTCAAGATTCCATAGTTCATATGAACATCATCTACACCTTGAGCTTCTCCACCTCTTGCTAAATTCTGACTCCTATTCCAAATGTTCCCAATATATCTGGCCCTATATCTAGACACCATTCCTATTTCCCCTGTCTGGATGCAGTCCAAGGAGAGTGGTTCTTGCGGTTACTGTTTACAGTACTGACTGGGATGCTGGCGCCTGTCTGTAGTTTCAGCACCATGGCCAGCGTCCAGGAAGCCACACAGCTTTCTCCATTGTCGTCTCTTAGTTGATCATTTGCATATGCTGAGTCCCTATCTTGGGACTCTGAAATAGAGTCTTCCTGGAAAAATCTAATCAGTAACTTTTTTTTCAGGGCAATATTCAGGCATTAGGGTAAATTGGAAAAAGAGGATGCCAGTTGTTAAGGCGATGTTTTTGGAAAAAAAATAACCCTTACATTCCATGGATTCTGCAAGCAAGTAGAATGGCCTGTTGTGGGGTCGGGGGTGGGGGAGGGGGAGGGACAGCATTAGGAGATATACCTAGTGTAAATGACGAGTTAATGGGTGCAGCACACCAACATGGCACATGTATACATATGTAACAAACCTGCACATTGTGCACATGTACACTAGACCTTAAAGTATATACATTAAAAAAAAGCTCAGAATGTGGGCTCCCACACTCATCAGGACAACTAGAATAATCCAGGGTGTCAGAAAGAGTTGGTTCTCTCCAATCTAGCTGAGAATATCTCTTCCCGGACTTTCAAGATACCAGCTATTGGGTAATGGCCAAACGACAACAGGCTTTAAATCACACCAAACTGCTTTCAAAACCTGAATCTGACCTTGCTATCTTTATGTGCTTGGGAGAGTCACATTACCTGTCTAAGACTCACTTTGCTTTTCCATAAAATGGCACTAATAATGCTGTCTGCTTTGTAAGCATGTTTGGAAGACGGATGATCGGGGATTATTATATTCTGCCTCTCTGTTTAGCTAGGAGGGAAGGCTCCGGAGCCAGGAAGGCTGGGATATGATCATTGCTTTGTCTCTGAAAACTATGAGATTTAGGAAAATTACCCACTTGACTCAATTTTGTCATTTATAAAATGAGGGCAATGCCAGTACCTACCTTATATAGAGTTTTGGTGGAGAACACATAGTTACTGCATGTGACGTGCAAAGTAAACTCTGAACATGTTGTTAGACTCACTCAATAATGTGGGCTATTGTGATCACTACTATAATGTTACTCTAAAAACGATGATAATATTATCATAGTTTTGTGGCTACACAGAGCCTGATAAACTTTGCTCAGTAATAATACCTGTTTTTATGAATCATTGTTAACATTTTCTTGAAGGTCCTTGGACATCTGACATATTCCCTGATTTACTTTCCAAAGTTCTGGGCTCCCCATCTCAAGCTTACAGACTTAGCCTGGACGGATGCCGGCATTTGTTTTTTTCAAATATTTACTCAGCAACATCTCCTGGGACTCGGGACTCTGATGTGCCACATCCTGTATAGGAAACAGGTGATGTGGAAATGAGTCAGACTCAGCTCCTGCCCCTGACAGACTCTGACAGAGAAATCTGCAATGCACTGATAAGACTCTGCTACCAGAAGCTTAGGCGCTGCTGAAACGCAAAAGAGATACCAATTTATCTTTTCCTAAGGAGTGAAGGAAAGCCCCTTGGCCATGAAAACCCCTCAGATGGTACCAAAAATATAGACAATTGATCCAGAGAGGAAAAGAGGGGAAGGAAAGAGTAGAGAGCATCCTCAAATGAGAGAGCAGTGTATTCGGAAGCATCAGTAGCTATGAGAAGCTACAGGCTCAAACAAGGGGAAAGATTTAGGAGGAGAATTATTCTCAATTGCTGGAGTGAGGGGTTGAGCCAAATAGGTTAAATTAAAATTTTCATTGTTGACCATGGAAGGGCTGCGCACTGGGGCAATAGGAGAAACCTCCAGGAGTGTTCAGGGAAAGAAAGCAATTAAACGTGGATCATGTTTTTTGTTGTTGTTTTTGTTTTTTGTTTTTTTTTCTGAGATGAAGTCTCGCTTTGTCGCCCAGGCTGGAGTGCCATGGTGTGATCTTGGCTCACTGCAACCTCCACCTCCCGGGTTCAAGTGATTCTCCTGCCTCAGCTTCTGGAGTAGCTGGGATTACAGTCATGCACCACAAGGCCCAGCTAATTTTTGTATTTTTAGTAGAGATGGGGTTTCACCATGTTGGCCAGGATGGTCTCGATCTCCTGACCTCGTGATCTGCCTGCCTTGGCCTCCCAAAGTGCTGGGGTTACAGGTGTGAGCCATGGTGCCTGGCCAGATAAATTTTTAAAAGAGAGGGAGATTTGGCTGGGCATAGTGGCTCACGTCTGTAATCCCAGCACTTTGAGAGACTGAGGTGGGTGGATCACCTGAGGTCAGGAGTTCGAGAACAGCCTGGCCAACATGGCTAAACTCCATCTCTACTAAAAATACAAAAATTAGCCAAGCATAGTGGCAGGTGCCTGTAACCCTAGCTACTCAGGAGGTTGAGGCAGACGAATCGCTTGAACCCGGGAGGCAGAGGTTGCAGTGAGCCGAGATCACACCACTGCACTCCAGCCTGCAATAGAGAGAGACTCCATCTCAAAAAAATAAAATAAAATAAGAAGATGACTGTGGGAATGGTAAACTGATTTCCAGGATGGGATACCCAAAAGGCACTGCAGACCTGGGGAGAGGGTAGCAGCAATATTGACTTTCATTGTGGACACGGCGAGTAGAAAAGTCCTGTAGGGAACTCTATAGGTTCTTGCCTAAGGGAAGAGTCACAAAGCTGTTGGACAGAAATGGAAACACTACCAAAAGCATCAACGGAGAAGAGAAAAAGGAAAAGAGTACAAGGGATGGGGATAGGGTAGAAAAGGATGATTCTCAACAAGTCAGGATTTCTCCTACCCAAACATCTATGGTATACACCTGCCACTCCTTGCCAATACTTTTGTCATTATATATATATTTGAGACAGAGTCTTGCCCTGTCGCCCAGGTTGGAGTGCAATGGCGCAATCTCGGCTCACTGCAGCCTCCAACTCCCGGGTTCAAGTGATTCTCCTGCCTCAGCCTCCCGAGTAGCTGGGATTACAGTCACCCACCACCACACCCTGCTAATTTTTGTATTTCTTTATTTATTTTTTTAGTAGAGACAGGGTTTCACCATATTGGCCAGGCTGGTCTCCAACTCCTGACCTTGTGATCCACCCACCTTGGCCTCCCAAAGTCCTGGGATTACAGGCGTGAGCCACTGCGCCTGGCCTACAAATGTGTTAATATCTCAGGGTGTGTGTGTGTGTCTGGGGAGGGCCAGGTGGTTTTCTGTGCTGAGTTTGCTCTGTAGGGAAGAGCTGTGTTTTCTGGGGCTGTAGAGTTTAGCTCAGTCCTGATCATCAGCAATACGAATGTCAAACAGGAAGGCTTGTGTCTTATTTGGATGAAGATGCAGACCTGTGGAAGGATTTTGATCAGGGCCAGAAACAGGAAAGTTTGGGGCTATGAGAATTAATAGACATCAGCAGCAGTGAGGGTCTGGAGTAGGGGGCTGGGAGGAGGCTGATGTGGTGACAGAGACACGATGTCTTCAGTCTCCAGCTGAGCTTGGACTGTGGGGATGGGTCAGGGGACGTGGGTGAGGAGGGACTCGGGGAAAGAGCTGTTTGGATTTGTTCACGGTGTGGGGAGCAGAAGAGCGTGAGGAACTGAGAGTTGCTCCAGTCTCTGCCTTGGTTCACTGGAGGAGCCGATGGGGCTGTCTCGGGATGGATGACCCCAGGAGAAGCAGCAGGCAGGGGAGGTGTTGATAAGATGGATAACTGGCCTCAGAGAAAGCAGAGCCTCCCTCCAAGCCCGAGTGTGTGGTTTTGTTCCTCCCAAACACTTCCTTCATCTGACTTCCTTTGTTCTATAATTAGCAGCACCTTCTCTTCATTCTTCTCTTTCAAAACCTCTGATTCATTTCTACCTCCTCACTACAGTGTGTTTTCTGAAAGTTCTCAAAGCACAGACTAATTCCCATTTTCCAGGAGAACCACACATTTCATATGGCTTCAAGCCAGACAATGGGAATCCACGCAGAGAGAACATGCACGCACACAAACAGGAAGGACGCAGACGGGCTTTGGGGGTGACGAGGGACAGCTTCACCCTGAGGTCTCAGGCGAGGGGTGAGGAAGGAGACTCATGTGAACTCCTCTGTCTCTGCTCTCAGGCTTGTTCACAAAACCCTGCATCTCAGCGCACCCAAGCCCCCTGGTGCACGCAAGAGCCAGCGTGAGCCTGCGCTGTCACTCAGAGCTGGCCTTTGATGAATTTATCTTATACAAAGAGGGGCACACACAACATTCCCAGCAGTATGGTAGGATGATCCAGGCTGGGGATCACTCCTTCAAGGCTGTCTTTTCCATGGGTCCTATAACGCCTGCCCGTGCAGAAGCCTATAGGTGCTGTGGCTGTTTCAGTCACTCCTGCTATGAGTGGTCGGCTCCCAGTGACCCCCTGGACATTGTGATCACAGGTGAGTGTGGCTGGACCATTCATGGTCTTTTGGTGCCCAGGAAACTCCCCAGGGTGATGTGGTTGTTGATCAAACCGCCAGTAGAGGAAGAAAAATACCAGAACATAGAAACACCAAGTAACTTATTAGAGGGCCAGAGGAGGGGATGAAGGAAAGGGGGAGAAACAGAGAACTTGTGATAGTTAAAGAGAAAACAAGTTAGACAGTGACAGAGAATGTGAAACAGATATTGAGAGAGATTCGCAAACATAGACAATGCCTCCTCCTGACCTCTCACCTGTGTCCTCAATGCCTCCTCCTGACCTCTCACCTGTGTCCTCAGTGCATCCTCCTGACCTCTCACCTGTGTCTTCAGTGCCTCCTCCTGACCTCTCACCTGTGTCCTCAGTGCCTCCTCCTGACCACTCACCTGTGTCCTCAAACATCACTTCCTCATGACTCCCTTTCCGCAACAGAAGAGCTATGCCAGTCTATTTTCTAATCACCCACAGCCAAGGAATGATTCCACATACGAATGTCATAGTGCGTAGTTACCTGTTTTGTAGTTATTTCTAGACATCTATCACATCCCCTAGACTAGCAGGGCTCACAGGACAGGATCCATGTCAGTGAAGCGTATGCTTTATTTTTCATTCTTGGTTAATTGTATGAAATAAGGTTGACATTTATAGACATATGCTGGCAGAATGGATGGAAGCATGGATGGACTATAAATGGACAGACACAGAGGGAAGAGTTGATGATGTATTCAGTATTCAAATGCACACTTAAAATCTGTCGTATATCAAGCCAGCAACCTCTCCTGCTGCTTTCCCCCTTGAATTCTGGGATATTCAGCTCTGCTCTCAGTTTCCTGGCTCAGGGATTTCCTCCTTGTCCATTTTGCCCAGGTGAGACGCACACAGAGATCACAAACTCAGATCAGCCTGACAAATCCTAAAGCAAAATCATACCTGCAGCATTGACTATATAATCCACTGGACCCCATGCAAAATGAAAATAGAGGGCCCCATGTTCAAACATCAAGATGTCAACACGAGGGCATTAAACTCAGCTTGGAACTCTGATGGCACGGCTCCTGGACAGTGAAGCCAGCCCTGCACAGAGACATAAGCAATTGGGGGATTGCACACAGCATATACCAGGCACCTCGAGATCCCAGAGCTGCATGCACCCAACACACGCCAGGTATTCCAGATGCATCAGACAGAAAGTGCCCCTGGAGGTGATGGTTGCAGATCTGGGGGCCTCCAAAGCCCACTTCGCCACTCTCTGCTTCAGTCGTCATACTGGACATGGACTGTGTCCCTGCACAGACCCTGTGTATACCTAGTCCGTTCACTGCACTGCAGGGACTCAGACTTGGTAACTGAGTGTATGAATGTGTATGAATGAAAATAGCATGTTGATTGTGTTGGATTATCTTTACTTAACAAAGTGGCATGCAGTTTTATGAAGTTTTAAATGGAATAAATAGTGACGTCTTCACATAAGCCTCCTTAGGAAGTGACTAATATCACCCACGCTTACAGGATGAGGAGGTTGAGCTTCACAGCTTGTGCAGCAGGCTGAGAGTCACGGAGCAAACAGGCCGCAGATCCTGGAATGAGCCCAGGCTGGCAGAGGTCAGAACCCAGTCTTGTGACCACAATGCTTTGCCACCTGTGTTAGCTTCCTGGGGCTGTCCTAACAAAGTCCTGCAATCTGCGTGGCTTAACACCACAAAATCAATTCACTTATAATCCTGGGAAGTAGAAGTTTGCAAGTAAGGTGTCAAGGAGGCCATGCCCACTCTGTAGGTTCTAGGAAAGAATCCTTCCACATCCCCCCCACCTTTTTTTTTTTTTTGAGACAGAGTCTTGCTCTGTCACCCAGATCTGTGGAGCGATCTTCTCTCACTGCAACCTGCACATCCTGGGTTCAAGTGATTCTCATGCCTCAGCCTCCCGAGTAGCTGGGACTACAGGTGTGCACCACCACACCTGGCTAATTTTTGTATTTTTTTAATTTAATTTTTTTTTGAGAGAGAGTTTCACTCTTGGCATCCAGGCTGGAATGCAATGGTGAGATCTTGGCTCACTGCAACCTCTGCCTCCTGGGTTCAAGTGATTCTCCTGCCTCAGCCTCCCAAGCAGCTGGGACTACAGGCATGCGCCATCATGCCCAGCTAATTTTTGTATTTTTAGTAGAGATGGGGTTTCACCAGCTGGTTTTGGCCAGGCTGGTTTCAAACACGTGATGTCAAGTGATCTGCCCACCTTGGCCTCCCAAAGTGCTGGCATTACAGGTGTGAGACACTTCCTGGCCCCAAATCATTCATTCATTCATTTATTCATTCTTCATTGAGTCATTCGGTAATTCCCCGTATAGTTACTAATCACTAAATGTGTGCCAAGTACGGGGCTCCTCACTTCGTACAATTACGGTATATTGTAGACACAAAGAGTGTCTTCATGGTGGGAACTGGAGGAGAAACAATGAAAAAGTGGAGAAATAGAAATAAATGACATCAATGATAAATTTTATGAAAGAAAATGTTAAAACTAAACCATGAAAACTAATACAGAAGCCTACTTGCCTACGGTGGTAAGGAAAGAAATCTTGGAGCTGGTGATATTTGCACTCAACAGTGATATGAGGTGTGGGGAGAGGGATGGAAGTTGAGATAGAGAGAAGAGCACGTGCAAAAGTCCTGGGGTGAGGGAAATGTGAAGGATCCATTTCTTTTGCTGTAAATAAGACAACATACTGTCCTGAGTGTACGTGGGTATTTATAAAGTAATAATATTTATCTAAAACTTGGAGTGAAGTATCTGAATGAACGTATGCTTCGAGTAAGGGTTATAAACCATTGTGTCTATTTATGTACAGATGAGAATACCACATATTCCAGCCCTGCCGTGAAGGAAAGGTGGAATCAGAGATGAGGAATCTTCAGCTCAGATAGGAGACACACAGAAAGGTTTGCATGTGGAAGTGCCAGCCTGTCAACCTCTCCAGAGGCTCCAGAAGTGAGGCCAGAATTTTGATGATAGGAGATAGACTTTGGAGGTCATCACCCACATCCCCTGTCATGGTCACTGTCATTGTCCCTATTCCAGGCAGTCAGAAGGAAAAATGAAGGATGAACATAATGCGTTGGGTTCAATGGGCCAGGGCTGGAAGCAGCCACCTCTCCTGGGCAAAGCCTCAATTTCACAGATCTTCTCAGGTGAGAATTGAATCACTGCAAATGAAAAGCTTGCCCTTGGGTTGTGTCGACAGGTTTGAAGCAGGCAGGGAAATCTATTCATGGCAGAGATATAAACGGTCCCTTTATTCTATGGGTGGATGTGGATCAAGAATTCTAGACACACAGGGTGAAGCCTGTGTCCAAACTAATAGGACCTTCACACTGTTTTCAGCATGGAGAGCTCACAAGTATTGGAGGATTGGGAGAATGGGGTGTCTAGAATAACGTAAAGCAACAGGAAGCTTGATTCACCCAGATGGGTAACCTGAGCATATGCCCTCCTATGGATCAGCTCAGGAATTCCACGCTGGCTTCAACACAAAGGCCTTTTCACCCGTGCTTGCTAACATTCAGATTCCCATTAAAGATGTGTGTTTTTAATTAATCATTTCAAATAAAACCTTGACATTATTTTGCATTAATTTTTCATGTTTAAGTAATTGGTTTAATCGAGAAACGGAAGTGCATGAGGCAGATACTAAGTTAGTTAGGTCATTGCAAATATTTAGTTGGACTTTTATCATCCCTCGGCCTCAGATTTTCTGAAGCCTCTGATGCCGTTCACCCCTCTGACCTACGTGAAAGTAGCTCTTATCTTGTTCACCTTTTGGACCTTGTTTCAAAAGTAATGATAGAAATGAGCAGTCCAGTTGAGAAAACAAGATACTCTGGGAGGGTAGGTGCTGAAAATTCTTGGAGAAACCAAAGCTGAAGACAAGACTCTCAATCAATTGATCTTGGCAAGGAATTGTGTTTTCTCTCTTCACTGTTTAATACTGGTCAATACAATTATGGATGTTTTGATCTGGAGTGATTCTTTGTTAACATCTCTCGTATTCATCCAGAGAATGTAAATAAGGGCATAAAACAAATGTAAATATTCCTATGATAAAATAATTATTCTGCTATGGAGAATATTGGATCTTGCTCCTTAGCGTGGGTTATTTGGGTGAAACACTGAGAAACATGAATGTCAAAGAGTCCTACACTGTGAAACCCCGTCTCTACTAAAAATACACACACACACACTCACACACACAAATTTGCCGGGCGTGGTGGTGGGCGCCTGTAGTCCCAGCTACTCAGAAGGCTGAGGCAGGAGAATGGTGTGAACCCGGGAGGCGGAGCTTGCAGTGAGCCGAGATCGCGCCACTGCACTCCAGCCTGGGGGACAGAGTGAGACTCCGTCTCAAAAAAAAACAAAAACAAAAACAAAAAAACAGTCCTAAGCTTTCTAGGACCAAGGAAGCAGCTACTCACTCGCAATCGCTAGAGTGTTCCCATCTTCCAACACCCACCTTGATTTTCTCTAGTCCAGCAATGAGTCAGGTCTCAGCATGGTCGAAGCAGGGAAGGAGCATCTCATGCTGCTTTCCTTGTGGTCATACCTTGCCAATGCCACTTCCAGAGGCAGGTTTTTCATTCCTTCTTTCAGCTTTCAGGGTCTGGATACTCTGAGGACACTGGTTTTGCCTCTGTGCATTGATGAATGCCTCCGTTAATCTGCAAGTGAAGAGTAAGGAAATTGCTTTTCACACATTACTTAGAGGGCTTTTGGTACTGTCAGCGAAGGACACTTGTCTGATGATATCGATGTCAACCACAACTTGCAAAATATCCCATAGACTCAAATTTTAGGAAACTATTCTAACCAAAGCTCATCATCTGAAAGCTGTTGCTCTATGCACAGGGTCCTGGGCTTCTCTGTGTGTGGCTCTTCCCCCCACACAGGAGACCCATCCTCTCGTGAGATCTTCACCCTGCGCAGGAGACCCGTCCTCTCCCGAGATCTTCGCCCCGCGCGGGAGATCCGGCCTCTCCCGAGATCTTCACCCCACGTAGGAGACAGGTCCTCTCGCGAGATCATCACCCCATGCAGGAGACCCGTCCTCTCGCGAAATCTGCACCCCTAGCATGAGATTCCCTCCTATCGCGAGATCTTCACCCAACTCAAGAGACCCGTCCTCTCCCGAGATCTTCAAGGCACGCGGAAGACCCGTCCTCTCGCGAGATCTTCCATGCGATGGCTCCTGCCTCTGCTCATATCCAAACTCCTCCTCAGCCAGGTGTCTGATGACTCCACTGCCATCATCCCAGAAATTTGTTCCTAGAGAACACAAACAAATTTCTTCTCTATTCTTCATACCAAAGAAAATACTATGATATTTCTGCATGTTTATATTATTGTTAAGTGAACGGCAGTAATTGCTTATCTTCCAAAACGAAGAGCTGAGTAATGATATATCTTTAAACTCCATCCTTTTGACAGTGATTGAAATGGACAAAACAGTAGAAAGTAGAGCTGATATGTGTGATCACTTTTAATGACACAGATTAACAGTGAAAACCACAAAGACCTGTGGTACTTGTATCTAGGTAGTAGAACATTGGCCTGTAAACACAGCACTTCGGGAGGCCGAGGCAGGTGGATTGCCTGAGGTCAGGAGTTCGACACCAGCCTGCACAACATGGCGAAACCCCGTGTCTACTAATGATACAAAAAATTAGCTGGGCATGGTGGTGCAAACCTGTAATCCCAGCTACTCGGGAGGCTGCCAGATCCAGCCACGAGACACCTTTCAAAAAAAAAAAAGAACTTGGTGTATAAGATAATTTTTACACTGCCATAAAGAACTACCTGAGACTGGGTAATTTATGAAGAAGAGAGGTTTAATTGACTCACAGTTCCACAGACTTAACAGGAAGCATGACTGGGAGGCCTCAGGAAACTTACAATCATGGCGGATGTTGAAGGGGAAGCGGGGACCTTCTTCTCATGGCTGCAGGATAAAGAGAGAACCAGGGGAGACGTGTCACACTTTCAAACCACCAGCTCTTGTGAGAACTCATGATCATGAGAACAGCAAGTGAGAAATCTGCCCCCATGATCCAATCATCTCTCACTGGGCCCCCCTCCAATACATGGAAACTGCAATTCTAGATGAGATTTGGGAGGGGACATAGCCAAATCATATCATTTTGCCCCTGGCCCCTCCCAAATCTCGTGACCTTCTCACATTTCAAAACCAATCATGCCTTCCCAACAGTTCCCAAAGTCTTAGCTCATTCCAGCATGAATTCACAAGTCCAAGTCCAAAGTCTCATCTAAGACAAGGCAAGTCTCTTCCCCGTATAAGCCTGTAAAATTAAAAACAAGTTAGCTACTTCCAAGATACAATGGGGATATAGGCACTGGGTGAATGTTTCCATTCCAAATGGGAGAAATTATCCAAAGCCAAGGGGCCACAGGCCGTGTGGTGATGGGTTTGTAGGTGCAGCAAACCACCAGGGCACAAGTTTACTTATGTGGCAAACCTGCACGTCCTGGACATGTACCCTGGAACTTAAAATAAACAAAATAACATTGATTATAAAAAGATATGAGGCCTAGAGAATCCCAGGAATACCTCCGCCGAACCCCACAACCCACAACCCCAGTGTCACTAGGTTGCTGGGACAACACTGGCACTACCTGCCTCAAAACTTATTGTGAAGTGAAACATTAAATGTCTTTATTATTAAAACAAAAGGAGAGAATGACAATGATCGTAACAAATACTTTCAAGCTTTATGGACATATACAAATTGTACATATTTGGTGGGTGGAATATGATGTTTTGATGTATGTGAAATAATTACCACAATCGAGCTAACAAGAAAGTGTCTCTCCCCTCACAGGGTTATCATTTTTGTCTTCATTTTTTTTTATGTGGTGAGAATATGTAAGACGTATCCTGTTAGCAAATTTCAGGTGTGTAATACAGTCTTTTTACACTATAGTCAGGCGGGTTTTGAGTGTGGGAAATGAGGACACGTTGGTCAAAGGCTACAAAGTTTGGTTATGCAGGATGAAAATGTTCTAGAGATCTAATGTAAGCATGGTGACGATAGCTCACAGAGCTTCCGATGGAAGAGGCTATTTTGTGTGCAGATTTTGCCTTGCTCCAAGATGGCAAAACTGCAGAAGAAATTGTCCAATGGGCAGAAGAAACTGGAGGTTTATTGGGATGTGTTGACTTCCCTCCACCAATTGAAGATAAGAGATGACCAGAATTCAAGGTGCTGCCTACTTCACGTTAGTATTGAGGAAGGAGCTCATTCCTCTTAACAATGAAGAGTAATCAGATTTTAAACTGTCATGGTTGCTGTAAAGAAAAAGCAAAGCGTAAATATACCCTAATAAAATTTTTGTGTATAAGAAGGGAAACTATTCAGAAAGTGAAAGTGATACAAATATGAGATAGCCCCAGAGAAATTTGAGGCACCTCGAGTTTCTTTCAAAAATAAAATGCAATTGGGAAGCCAAGGCAGGCGGATCACCTGAGGTCAGGAGTTCGAGACCAGCCTGCCCAACATGGCGAAACCCCGTCTGTACTAAAATTACAAAATATTAGCTGGCGTGGTGGTGGGGGTCTGTAATCCCAGCTATTCGGTAGGCTGAGGCAGGAGAATCTCTTAAACCTGGGAGGCAGAGGTTGCAGTGAGCCGAGATCATGCCACTGCACCCCAGCCTGGGCGACAAGAGTGAAACTTCGTCTTAAAATAAATAAATGAATAAATAAATAAATAAAATGCATTAAAACACCAAAACATAGAAATGTTATATAAGTTAGAAGAGTTATTTCCCTCATTTTAATGATGCTAAAAGTGAGGTAAAAATAAAAAGAAATTCGTGAATTTATAAGAAATGTATTAAATAAGTGAAACATATTAAAATACAGAAAAGATAAAGTAACTGTAGCTGGAAACAGAGAGAGGCATGCTTGCAGAAAGTATATAAAAAGGGATGGAAACATATACATATTTAAAAAATAATCAGCCAGGGTACAGTCATATGAAGACAGATCAAGAACACCCAATGTTTTTAAAATTGGAATTTTTGAAGAAGAGAACGCAAGCAAGGAATAGATAGGATCTAGTTTATTTGTCCAGGATCCATATTTGAAAAATTCAGGTATGGCTTATTTCTGACCTTCTGAATTTACTCTTTTATATGTTTTTCCAGAGGAATCCATAAGCCTGTTAGGAGATTAGGCTACGAAATTTCTTTAAATGTACCTCAAGTGAATAGAACCTTTTAAATCATCATGAATGGACACGAAACTCACCACTGGCTCTTGCCTGCAAGAGCCTTGTTTCTTTACCTAATTCATCAACTATTTGTATTTATTGTTTGGGCAGCACTTCTGGAAAATTTGCACGATATACCTAAGATCTACAGATGATGTGGGTCCTTCTGGAAATAATTCATGAAGGAAAATAGTTTAAAGACATACTAATTACCATGTAATGCATCACGGGCATTCAATATTTAGTAGAGCTTGTTTTAGTGAAGAGTTGCGAATTTAGGTATTGAATTCAGTAATCAAAATATGCCCCACATCAATATCCCAAATTAACTCCTGTAATTATTTATACTTCTCAACACTGCTTTAAAAAGCACAGAATCACATTCTTCAATATAAAATTAAAAATTTCGAATTTCATGGAACGCTTTGAAATTTTTATGGACTTAACCCTCACCTTCAAAAGCCAAACTTTTGAAGTTATCAGTGTTCAAATTTTCCTTCTTCAAAGGCCACGGCCCCTCTGCTATTACTTATGCTGTGTCTTGTTCTCACAGTCCAGTGTACGCTTACTTCTTAGAACTTTAATTTGTACTAAATAAAAATTGCACTGGATTAAAACAGTTTACTTCATAAAGCTGTTGGCCTCATCCCAATGTGTAAACACTGCTAAGCTGTCTTCCTGGCAAGAAACCCGTAAACACCATGAAGTACATTTAGCAACGTCAATTAACAAGTTCTCCTCATTTTTAACCAATGCATGCGTCATATTTTTAAGTGGGTATTTGTCCCGTGTGTTTGCTTGCAGGGTGACTGTCCACTACTGAGGTCTTGAACTTTGCAAATCTCACTTCCAAGTCAATCAATTATAACACATTTTATGAAACATAGCACAATGTTTAATAAATGGCACCATTGATTTGTAAAAATTATTTCTCATAGGTGATACATTTGCTTACAGGTACAGATATTTGTATCACAGCATTTATTCAACATATTTTTCTATTGTAGAATATATTTAAGTAAATGTTAACATCAAGTTCATCCTCTGTCATCTGTAATCAGGTATTTTCTGAGAAGTGGAAAAAACAACAGAATCTGACAACGGTTGCTGGCAGTTTTGGGGTCATCATTCTGTAAAACATGTGTTTTTGTCAGTTTATTTTTATCTTGACATTCCCCATGTCCTGCAGTCCCACCCTGGGGTGTGTACTCAGGGAAACTCACTCATAAAACCCAGGACACTCAGGCAAGAATGCTCCGGCAAACATTGCTCCAAAAAACAAAATGTCCGGTGAAAACATACATCATATCTGCCCAAAAGGACAAATACATTGAGGAATATGCAAGCGATTTACTGCAGTCTGTCTGTTGTTAAATAAACAAGAGCTATGCAGAGCATTAGGAGCATAGCGGTATCATTTTACAATCAAAAACACAAAACAAACTATCCTTTTGTGTTATATTTAAAACGTAAAAATATACGTACATACACACACACAAATATTACCAGATGATAGCTATGATATCAGAGACACATATTTACAAAAATAACACAGAAAAGATCCAAAATTGTATGTGTGTGGTTTTCATACATTGAGAAGTTCTGGGACAGATGAGAGACAAAGCATGAGTTGATACTATTTTTATGAATATGCTGTTTTTTTTCAGTGTGGATTTCACAGGGCTTTTTTTCTTGCTATAATCTTACTAATTTTTTAATAAAATGAATTGGCTTTTGGGGAGAACCTTCAGCGTTATATGCACATATGTTTGTGTTATTCAGAGTTTATATATGTATGTAAATATACACATAGAGAGAGTAGAGTTTTCTGGAAGAGAAAGATAGAGATCTGTGTCTTGAACTGTGAGTCAAGAAAGGATTTCAGAGAAAACATCAAGAACCAGGATTTTCACGCTCGCTTCTGTGTTAATAATGCAAAATCAGTTTTTCTTGGTGTTAACTTCTTGAAGCATAGGAGAAAAATTGAAGAACTTGAAAATTGTTCTTAATTTGCAAGTAATTAATTTGCAACTTTGAAAATGACAGGATAAACATTTCAGTTTTACTGTACAACCGTTTTACAACACTGACAGTGCATCTATTTTAATTTGGCGGAGAACCTTGCATCACAGAAATCAAATCATGCATAGTTCTCAAAAAAGGCAATAAGATATTAAGATACAATTCTACACTTTTGCACATAGAAAAATTAAATTTGAAATATAGACATTATGGATTGGTCGGTGCTAGGGTTCAAGTCAAGCCTTTGTTAGGGGCTCTGTTGAACCAAGAATACCGTCTGCAAGTTTCCTGTGTCACCCACTATGTTTAGGGTGAGAGCTGGTCATCTTCCTGTGTGGGGCACCCTCTAAACTCTGCAAACTGAAACTGGAACCATGGTTACCACATCCTGTTCATTTTCCAATTTAGCTCAACCCCTGTGTCCTGCCCAATAGAAGTGGCACCATGGCCCCCAAACTCATCACCGTCCTGTGTCTGGGTAAGTCCTGGAAGGGAAAGGAGGACACGGTTGGGATGGAAAATGCTCTCTTGAAGACCTGGCCTCTCCACAACCCAGGTCTGGTGGTGGGAAGCCAGGTTCATCCACCCTCTGAATCCAGGCTGAGCTGACAAACCCAGTTACAAGGAGGGAAGGATTCACATGAAGACAAGCTATTTTTCTCTCCTCTCTTTTTTTTTTTTTTGCCTAGGATTCTGCCTGAACCAGAAGATCTGCCCACATGCGGGTGAGTCCTATCCCAGTCCTAGGATGCTGTGTTGGCCAAACACAAATGATTCTCCAGGCAGGGAGGGTGGACACGAAGTCAGGCTGATGCAGATGACATGGGGTGGGCTTTGCAGTGAGCACTGGGAACACAGGAAGGGAGTCCTCTGGAGACCCCAGGCTCCATTTTGTTCTAGAAACCCTCCATAGGCAGCCCCTCAGGCTCATCCAATCTCCTGAAGGAGCCTGTGATGCTCAGAATCCAGCGTGTCTGGGGGTGGGTAGGGTAGGAGTACTCTCTGTCAGGAGGCAGGGACCCGTGCTGGGCACTTGTGTTGGGAATTGTTAAATGAGTTGATATGTTTTTTGTATTGCTTGAATCTGGTAGATTCCTCCTTCTCCTCCATGTACAGATTTCTGTTGTAGACAAGAACTAGGAGCAACTTGGCTCAATATTGTATCATCATGCTTAGTAGAATTCTGTTCTGGGGAGACCTTCCATGTCCACTCTGGGGTGGCTGTGTCCCTGGCTTGCGACCAGGTATCCCAGGGCATCAGGGGACCCCACGTTACAGGGCAAACCAGAACAATGTAAAGAAGGAAATGCCCCCAAGGACAGCGGGAGACGGGGGGCTCCACATTTCCCTCTCTAGGCTGTGCCTCCTTCTCTTCCAGGTGCTCAGGACAAGTTCTCCCTGTCAGCCTGGCCGAGCCCTGTGGTTCCCCTAGGAGGACGTGTGACTCTCTCCTGTCATTCCCATCTTCGATTTGTCATATGGACAATATTCCAAACAACTGGGACCCGAAGCCATGAGTTGCACACTGGCCTTTCCAACAACATCACCATCAGCCCTGTGACCCCAGAACACGCAGGGACCTACAGATGTGTTGGAATTTACAAGCACGCCTCAAAGTGGTCAGCTGAGAGCAACTCCCTGAAGATCATCGTCACAGGTAGGAGAAGTCCAGCCCACCCCACGTCCAACCGGTGTCCAGATGGACCTGCCCAGAGTCCACACCCAATGAAGCCAGAGAGTTGTTGTGGGATTCCTAGTCATGCACTAACCGTGGACACAGAAGCCATCCTGGGAATTTAAAGAGAGGGCATTTCCTGTGAGGAATCAGGTACCCAGGTGGAGGAGGAGGGAGGAAGCCGAGCAGCAGGAGAATCTGCCTGGGGAGTAGCAGACGCAGGGTGCTGGTACCAATTGCAGCAGGGTGGATCCAGGGAGGAGCCATGTTGCCTGACCCCAGCTGGATCCAGGGAGGAGCCATGTTGCCTGACCCCAGCACCAGTGTTTCCCTCGGGGAAGTCGTTACTCTGCCTCGAAGGAGCCAGAGGCTTGGGGAAGTGACAGTTCCCTCGGGAGATGAGTCCAGTGGCTCAGTGGGACATGGATTGGGAAATGCACCCATTCCTCTCCTCCTCCTTCCCAGTCTCGTGACACTCATCCCTTCTCTCTCATGGATGTGCAGAGTGTCTCACGGAGAGTTAGAAACTCATCCTGTGGAGTCGCCCCTGCCCATCCTATAAAGCAGGGAAGGGAGAGTGTGGAGTTATTCATATTTTATATATGTATGTAAATATACACATAAAGAGAGAGAGAGAGTAGAGTTTTCTGGAAGAGAAAGATAGAGATCTGTGCCTTGAACCGTGAGTCAAGGAAGGATTTCAGAGAAAACATCAAGAACCAGGATTTTCACGGTTGGTTCTGTGTTAATAATGCAAAATCAGTTTTTGTTGTTAACTTCTTGAAGCATGGGAGAAAAATTTAAGAACTAGAAAATAGTTCTCAATTTGCAAGTCATTAATTTGTAACTTTGAAAATGACAGAATAAACATTTCAGTTTTGCTGTACAACCATTTTACAACATTGACAATGCATGTATTTTAATTTGGCAGTCTCACATTCAAGGAGCTCAGAAGAAACAGAGAAGAGATTGGGTCTTTCCACCAAGAGAGCGGGGAAAGCAGGTTGGGGTGAGGCAGGGAGATCCAGGCTACGAAAGCTCCTGGAGGATCTGAATGGAGATTGGGACTGTGAGGGGCTGCCCAGGAAAGGAGTTTACCGTGTCCTTCTGCCTAAACAGGGAAAAGGAGTCATTTCCACCCTCCCCAACAAGTAGTCACGTCTAACCTCTTGGGTTTTGGGGCAAAACCAGTTGTTCCTTCAGTGTGAGCCTGTGAGATTTCTTCTGATCCTCCAGAGAGTCTTGTATTTTTCAACACGCAGAGTTGAAAAACAGTGAGGCTCATAACCTCACAGTCCCATGCCAGGGAACCTAAGTCCAGCAGTGTGTTTTCTGAAGGTTCTCAAAGCACAGAGTAATTCCCATTTTCCGGGAGAACCCCACATCTCATATGGTTTCAAGCCAGACAATGGGGATCCGCGCAGAGAGAACATGCACGCACACAAACAGGAAGGACGCAGACGGGCTTTGGGGGTGATGAGGGACAGCTTCACCCTGAGGTCTCAGGCGAGGGGTGAGGAAGGAGACTCATGTGAACTCCTCTGTCTCTGCTCTCAGGCTTGTTCACAAAACCCTCCATCTCAGCGCACCCAAGCTCCCTGGTGCATGCAGGAGCCAGGGTGAGCCTGCGCTGTCACTCAGAACTGGCCTTTGATGAATTTATCTTATACAAAGAGGGGCACATACAGCATTCCCAGCAGCTTGACCAGGGGATGGAGGCTGGGATCCATTACGTCGAGGCTGTCTTTTCCATGGGTCCTGTAACGCCTGCCCATGCAGGAGCCTACAGATGCTGTGGTTGTTTCAGTCACTCCCGCTATGAGTGGTCGGCTCCCAGTGACCCCCTGGACATTGTGATCACAGGTGAGTGTGGCTGGACCATCCGTGGTCTGTTGGTGCCATGGGAGCTTCATGTAATGCGGTTGTTAATCAAACCTCAGTAGAGGAAGAGAAATAAAGGAAGAGAGGGACTGTGAAAAAGTGCTCAGCAAAGGGGTTTAACATGTCTTACTGCTTAAAGAGGCAGGAGGGGTCACTTCTACCCTCCCCAACAAGTAGTCACGTCTAACTCCTTGGGCTTGGGGGTACAGCCAGTTGTTCCCTGCAGTGGGATCCTGTGAGGTTCCTTCTGATCCTCCCGAGATTCTTATATTTTTCAACAAACACAATTGAAAAATAGTAAGACTCATAACCCCGTAGCCCCATGTCAGAGAACTCAAGGCCAGCACTATGTTTTCTGAAGGGTCTCAAAGCACAGAGTAATTCCCATTTTCCAGGAGAACCCCACATCTCATATGGCTTCTAGGGGCGGTAAACCACAGGGACTCAGTCAAAAGCAGAATCAAAGAAATGCAGAGGAAGTAAAAAGACACAGACATAGGCTGACTCAGGACCCTAGAGATGAACATGAGATTGACAGGGGCACCAGCCGACATTCGGAATCTGCTGCCAAGATAAGAACAGCGAGGCTGGGCGCTGTGGCTTACGCCTGTAATCCCAGCACTTTGGGAGGCTGACGTGGGCGGATCACAAGGTCAGGAGTTCGAGACCAGCCTGACCAACATGGTGAAACCCTGTCTCTACTAAAAATACAAAAATTAGCTGGGCATGGTGGTCCGTGCCTCTAATCCCAGCTACTCAGGAGGCTAAGGCAGGAGAATCACTTGAACCCGGGATGCTGAGGTTGCAGTGAGCCGAGATCGTGCTACTGCACTCCAGCCTAGGAGACAAGAGTGAAAATCTGTCTCAAAGGAAAAAAAAAAAAAAAAAAAAAGAGGGAGAGAGATTACTTTGTTCATACACTCAGGCGTGTGTTCTAAAATCAGCCTCTTTTTCTCCTAGGAAAATACAAAAAGCCTTCTCTCTCCACCCAGGTGGACCCCATGATGAGGCTGGGAGAGAAGTTGACCCTCTTCTGCAGCTCTGAAATCTCATTTGACCAGTACCATCTGTTCAGACACGGGGTTGCTCATGGACAGTGGCTCAGTGGAGGGCAGAGACACAGGGAAGCATTCCAGGCCAACTTTTCTGTGGGCCGTGCAACGCCAGTCCCTGGCGGGACCTATAGATGCTATGGTTCCTTCAATGACTCTCCCTATAAGCCCCCAGTGACCCGCTGCAACTTTACACCACAGGTGAGGAGCCCATGCCTGCTGCATGCTCTGGTGCCCACTGGATCACAGAGCCACACGTGAGGGGCGTCCCGCTGGGCACACAGGGGTATTAGGTACTCTGGATAAAATGAAACAGTGACAAACACACACAGGAAAAAAGAAGCTGAGCATGATGGGGCTGTCAGGGTGTAGGGTGGTAAGACGGGGCAGCTCCACACCCTCTGCCACCTTCTGTATGAAGAAAGAGGTCAGGACAAACACAGGGGGAGGTGAGGCCAGATGTAGTTTGTCGAGGTCAGAGGTTGCCCCTCACCCTTTTCCATTTCTCCAAAGCCCCTCCTGACCCCTCAACACAGAGAGATCTCCCTGCTGGGGAACGTGGAGATTTATCATCCCGATGGGAGACAATGTCTGTTGACATCACCCACCATGCTTCTCCTTATCACCTTCCCATCCCAGGGAAGGAATTGTCCCCCAGAGATTCCAAGGAAGAGACCCCAGGGCCCCCATTAGTCTTTAGGTGGATGACAGAGTAGGGGGTGTGCAGGGACCAAGCCTCCAAAGAAAATGGTGCTAATGCTCGGGAGGCTGAGGCAGGAGAATCGCTTGAACCCAGGAGGTGGAGGTTGCAGCGAGACAAGATGGCACCACTGCACTCCAGCCTGGGCGACAGAGCAAGACTCCAACTCAAAAAAAAAAAAAAAAAAGAAAGAAAGAAAGAAAGAAAGAAAAAGAAAGAAAGAAAGAAAGAAAGAAAGAAAAGAAAATGGTCCTACTTTAATGGGGCAATCAATGACGCTTGCTCACCCCTTCTCTGCCTTTTTTTTTCCTAGGAAACACTAAGAGTACTCCTCTGTCATTCACAGAATCCACCCCTGAATCTGGTAAGCAAATAACTCTTATCCTAGTGTCTGAGTCCCTGGGGAGACAGAAGGCCCCAGTGTGAGTGAAAGCTGTGCCACCTCCCAGCTCCATGACCCTGGGCTAGGCAGCCCCTCCCAGGTCCCCACATTCCCCATCCACATCTGAGACTGTGGTCAGTGCGGGAATCTGTAAGGCCTTTCAGCCTCAGACGCTTTGGGACTGAGGCCTCATCCACAGGGGAGGAAGAGGTCAGAGTCACCTGACCCTTGCTGAAAAGCAATGCTTCTCATTCCTCCAGGGAGGTCTGTGAACATGAAAATGCTGGAAGATGGGAAGGATTTAAAAGACCATATTCGATATTCACTGTCTGTCTTTTTTTGTTGTTTTTTTTTTTTGAGACAGAGTCTCACTCTGTCACCCAGGCTGGAGTGCGGTGGCACAATCTCAGCTCACTGCAACCTCTGCCTCCTGGGTTCAAGCGATTTTCCTGCCTCAGCCTCCCGAGTAGCTGGGATTACAGGTGCCCACCACCACACCCGGCTAATTTTTGTATTTTTAGTAGAGTCAGGGTTTCGCCATGTTGCCCAGGCTGGTGTCAAACTCCTGACCTCAAGTGATCTGTCCGCCTTGGCCTCCCAAAGTGCTGGGATTACAGGTGTGAGCCACCGCACCCAGCCTTATTGTCCATCTTCTAATGTCCTATGACATATTCAACAGTTCCTGTGTTCCAGTGGTGTGTGCAGGGAGGAGAAAAGTTATAATGAATAAACGTGTGAACTGATTTATTCAGATCCATTAATTTTGTATTCATTAAGATAGAGTCATGTGACAGAGAAAGCTTAAGTGGATCCTTTAGAGCAGGTGGAAGGGAAGACTCTATGTCACTCAAGGAACTGACATTTAAGGTGTGATCCTGATGACAAGGACAGCCAGTGTTGGAAGGATTGATGGAAGGACGTTCCCAGCAGGTAAACAGTGGTGCCATAAACTCAACATGGCAGGGCTGGGCGCAGGGCTCACAACTGTAATCCCAGCACTTTGGGAGGCTGAGGCGGGCAGATCACAAGGTCAAGAGATCGAGCTGTTCCTGGTCAACATGGTAAAACCCTGTCTCTACTAAAAATACAAAAATTAGCTGGGCGTAGTGGTGCATGTCTGTGGTCCCAGCTACTCCAGAGGCTGAGGCAGGAGAATTGTTTGAACCCGGGAGGCGGAAGTTGCAGTGAGCCGAGATTATGCCACTGCACTCCAGCTTGGGCGACAGGACGAGACTCCGTCTCAAAAAAAAAAAAAAATTCAACATGGCAATGCCTTGTGTGTGTTCACAGCACCAGTGAGGCTGACATGCCGGGGGAGAGGGGTGGAGCTGAGAGAGGAGGACAGGGACCAACTTGTGTGAACGTTTCTCGTTTTTAAAATGTTTAATTTTTGTGGGTACCTAGTAGGTGTGTATATTTATCAGGCGCATGAGATGTTTTGATACAGGCATGAAATGTGAAATAAGCACATCATGGAGGTTAAGGCATCCATCCCCTCAAGCATTTATTCTTTGAGTTACAAACAATTTAATTAAGATTTTTTTTTTTTTTTTGAGATGGAGTCTTGCTCTGTCACCCAGACTGGAGTGCATTGGCGCGCTTTCCGCTCACTGCAACCTCTGTCTCCTGGGTTCAAGCAGTTCTCCTGCCTCAGCCTCCCAAGTAGCTGGGATTACAGGTGTACGCCACCATGCCTGGCTAACTTTTTGTATTTTAGTAGAGACAGGGTTTCAACATGTTGTCCAGGCTGGTCTCAAACACCTGAGCTCAGGTGATCTGCCCGCCTCAGTCTCCCAAAGTCTTAGGAGTACAGGTGTGAGCCACCATGCCTGGCCCCAATTATGCTTTTTATTTTAAAATGTACAGTAAAGTTCTTATTGACTAGAGCCAGCCTGTTGGTGCTACCAAGTGAGGGTTTCTAAGCAACAGTAAAGAGTTTGGATTTTATTCCAATAAAGAGGTGAAGACAAGTTTTGTTTTGTTTTTTTTTCAGAGTCTTACTCTGTCTCCAGGCTGGAGTGCAGTGGCGTGATCTCGGCTCACTGCAACCTCTGCCTCCCGGGTTCAAGTGATTCTCCTGCCTTAGCCTCCTGAGTAGCTGGGATTATAGGCACCCACCACCATACCCGACTAATTTTTGTATTTTTAGTAGAGACCAGGTTTCACCATGTTGGCCAGGATGGTCTCGATCTCTTGACCTTGTGATCCGCCTGCCTTGGCCTCCCAAAGTGCTGGGATTACAGGTGTGAGCCACTGTGCCCAGCCGTTTTTTTTTTTCTTTTTTTTTGAGACAGAGTCTTGCTCTGTTGCCCAGGCTGAAGTGCAATGGCGTGATCTTGGCTCACTGCAACCTCCGCCTCCTGGGTTCAAGCGATTCTCCTGCCTCAGCCTCCTGAGTAGCTGGGATTACAGGGGGCCCGCCACCAAGCCTGGCTAATTTTTGTATTTTTAGTAGAGACAGGGTTTCACCATGTTGGCCAGGCTGGTCTTGAACTCCTGACTTCAGGTGATCCACCCACCTTGACCTCCCAAAGTGCTGGGATTACACGCATGAGCCACTGTGCCTGGCCGAAGACAAAGGTTTTAGTCAGAAACGTGTCATGATCCACATTCTATTTTAGAGATAGCAATCGGCCGATGTGAATAGTGTTTATTACAGGGAGGCAGGAGTGGAAGCCAGGAGCCTGGTGGGGCTGTGACATCCTTGTAGAGGACACTCATGGCAGCTTAGATGTGCTGGGGCTGGAGAAGGAGTTGAGCAGGTGGATTCAGGAGAGGCTCAGAGCTGGAGTCACTAAGAGGGAGAGTTTGGAAACTTGTTCCAGTATTTCTCAGTGCATGACCTGGGGCACGCTCATTTCTCTCTGAGCCTCTGATTCCATTGATGGCAACTCATACTTGGGCTATCAGAGAAGTAGCAACTCAGCAGGGAGCCTTATGGGGGAACGAGACATAGTCCTTGAAAGAGAAAAGATTATAATCAGACACTTGGGCTCAATGGATGGCTCTGCTAGTTATGGTCACTCATCTTGGAAAGCATCCGTTTTCTTTTCTTTTCTTTTTTCTTTTGTTTTCTTCTTTTTGTTTGAGCCAGAGTCTCTCTGTGTTGCCCAGGCTGGAGTGCAGTGGTATGAAACTGGCTTACTGCAATGTCCCAGTTTCAAGTGATTCTCCTGCCTCAGCCTCCCAAGTAGCTGGGATTACAGGTGTCTGCCACCACGCCCGGCTAATTTTTGTATTTTTAGTAGAGACAGGTTTCACTATGTTGGTCAGGCTGGTTTTGAACTCCTGAACTCCAGTGATCAGCCTGTCTGTGCCTCCCAAAGTGCTGGGATTACAGGCATGAGCCATGGCACCTGGCCAAAGCATCCAAGTTGTTGGATAGAATATTGGGCTAATGATGCCTCCCTCCTTATGGAAAAAAAAAAAGTAGGAAAGAGAAGAAAGAAAAGCTTCCCAAGTTGAATGTCTAGAAGTAGCAGACATGTCTAGAATTGAGCCCAAGAGTACGGCTGGCTACAGTCTTTTCTCTTTCAAGGACTATATCATGGATGAGAGAGTGATGAGATGTGTCCACACATGTGGAAGTCCTCCCACCACCTCTCAGCATGGGTCCTGGTACGGAGGGTATGCTCCTATGTGACATAGCCTGTGCCCCCTCCCCTTTTTCTCTCCTGAATCCTCCACCCACCTGCTCTTACTCATTACTCAGAAAAACACCAACATTGTTTGGAGCAAGTTCAATTCTCAGAAACTGGCATGAGAGTCATCCTCTGGCCACCTCTATCTCCATTCTCAGAAAGTGTATTTGTCCTGGGCTGAGAAGGGACGAGGGAAATGGTATTCAGCTATGGTACATGCAGAGGGTTTCCTTTGTCATGCAAAAACAAACTGTCTTGTCTCATGAGGAAGTGGGAGGGGAGGCACACTGGAGCCTGGTAGGCCTGGGTTCAGACCTCCATGTCTCTCCTTTTTTTTTTCTTTTTTTTTTTTTTTTGAGATGGAGTCTTGCTCTGTCACCCACCCTGTGTACAATCTCGGCTTACTACAACCTCTGCCTCCTGGGTTCAAGCGATTGTCCTGCCTCAGCCTTCTGAGTAGCTGGGATCACAGGCGTGTACCACTACGCCTGGCTAATTTTTGTGTTTTTAGTGGAGACGGAGTTTTGCCATGTAGGCCAGGCTGGTCTCTAACTCCTGACCTCAGGTGATCTGCCCACCTCTGCCTCCCAAAGTGCTGGGATTACAGGTGTGAACCACCACACCAGGCCTCTGCATCTCTCTTACTGGCCATTTGATTTGGACACGTGTCTTCACTTCTCTTGGAATTTTTTGTGTAAGTGATGGAAAATGGAGAAAGTAACTGTTCGGGTGTAGGGATCTTGGAAGAGCTTCAGATAAAGCATGTTGTGTGTTCAGTATGTATTGGCACAAAACAGGCAACCAGTCAATGAGAGGGTTTATCATTTGCTTCTTGACAGACACACCTCGCCCTCAAGGACAGTCCAGCAACCTGCATATGCTCACTGGACTCTCAGTAGCCATCATCTCCATTGGCGTTTGCCTCTCTGCTTTTATTGGTTTCTGGTGTTACATAAAATATCGTAAGTCTCAGGGAGGGGAGGACAGTATCATGTGAGCCCCGTGGGGATGTGACTGGCGCACGGGGGTGCTATTCACGTCCTGTGGGTTGATCTGTGTTTCCGCTGAGGTTCTTTTTTTTTTTTGAGATGGAGTCTCGCTCTGTCACCCAGGCTGGAGTGCAGTGGCGCTATCTCGGCTCACTGCAAGCTCTGCCTCCCGGGCTCACGCCATTCTTCCACCTCAGCCTCCCGATTAGCTGGGACTACAGGTGCCCACCACCATGCCCGGCTAATTTTTTGTATTTTTAGTAGAGATGGAATTTCACCATGTTAGCCAGGATGGTCTTTATCTCCTGACCTCATGATCCGCCCGCCTCGGCCTCCCAAAGTGCTGGGATTACAGGCGTGAGCCAGTGTGCCCGGCCTCCGTTGAGGTTCTTGATGGAGAAACCCTGCTCCTTCCCTTCACTGACCAATCACCCCAACCCCTCCCCTACCTCCACCTCACCTCTGGGGAGGCCACTGACCTGCAGGAGATGGTCCATGAGAGAGGCAGAAGGATGGGGGCCATCTATCGGAGCGGTCCTGGGGCAGTCAAGATTGCCCCAAGGTTGCTGATGGGTGGTTCTCTGAATTTAGTGGGGGAGGCTGGATCACGCTGCAGCCTCAGGCACGCCCTTGCCTTGTTTTGGTCTTGGTATTGCCACCTCTGAAGTGAAGATCTGGAAGACTTTCTTTTTCACCCCACAGACACCACCATGGCAAACACAGAGCCCACGGAAGGCCAACGGACGGATGAAGAGGTGAGTTCTCCCAGCCGAAACCATCACCACAGCTTCATCCCCTCCCATTCCCAGTGCCCCTGCCTTCAGCCACTAAATATGCTCCTCTTTTCACCTTCATCCTCTCAGGAGCCTGCAGCAGAAGAGACACAGGAGATCATATATGCCCAGTTAAACCACCAGGCCCTCTCACAGACAGGATTCCCTCCTGCCTCCCAGTGTCCCCACTACCTCTCGGAGGATCCTAGTATCTACATCACTGTCCACCAAGCCCAGGCTGAGGCCAGAGCTGCCCCCAGTCTTTGGCACAAAGGGCATTAATACGCAAGGACCTGGATCTATTCCTAGGAGGATTTTTTTTCCACGGACATTCTTCCTCCTTCTGGTACCATCTTGACACCTCGAAGCTGGCAACAGCAGTGTCTGAATGCTTGTGGGATTATCTTAAAATTCCAGCACTGCTGAACAGACAACTAGCCATTCTACAATTCTATTTTGAGCATCCAACCATTTAAGGTGATTTGACTCTACCCACACACTCATCCTGGATATCTCATTAATATCATCTGAGTTATCCTGAAACTCTACAGACATGCTTCTGGAAAGCCGATGTATATGCTCAGCCAGTTTAATCTCTAAATTACTCAATAAGGTTTTTTTAAAAAAATTTTTTTAAAGTTCTGGGGTACATGCTCAGGATGTGCAGGTTTGTTACGTAGGTAAACGTGTGCCATGGTGGTTTGCTGCACCTATCAAACCGTCACCTAGGTATTAAGCCCAGCAGGCATTAGCTCTCTTCCCTAATGCTCTCCATACCCCCTGCCCTCCTCTGACAGGCCCCAGTGAATGTGTTCCCCTCCCTGTGTCCATGTGTTCTCATTGTTCAGCTCCCACTTATAAGTGAAAACATGCGGTGTCTGGTTTTCTGTTCCTGCATTAGTTTGCTGAGGATAATGTCTTCTAGCTTCATTCATGTCTCTGCAAATGATATGATCTCATTCCTTTTTATGACTGCGTAGTATTCCGTGGTGTATATGTACAACTTTATTTTTATCCAGTCTATCATTGATGGGCATTTGGGTTGATTCCACGTCTTTGCTGTTACTCAACAAAATTTTGCAGAGATGAAGTGTATTCTATATCTGAGTCATCTAATATGGTAGCCACTAGCCAAATATGGCTTTTTAACTTAGAATTAGAATAGATCAAATTCCATGAAGTTTAAAATTCAGTTCCTCAGCCACATGGCCACAATTTGAGTTCTCAGAGCCACGTGTGGCTGCTGGCTGTGGGAGAGAATAGCATGAACACAAAATGTTTTCCTTGTCAGAGGAAGTTCTAGCTGTTCTAGATTAAAGGTGCAAATTTGAAGATGCAGAGCCTATTTTCTCATGCAGTGCAGGCTCCTGGAAGAGACCTAATGTAACAAAACGATAATATTTCACATCAATGGTGACATGTCTTTATCTTACGAAATGCGGGGAACAAGCAGAGTTCTCTTGTGGAGTGTCTTATCACCTCTTATCCTCATGCAAATTTCTGCCATAGAGATTTTCTCCCAAACTTTGAGAAGGTCACCTCTGTCAGGCCTCTGAGCCCAAGCTAAGCCATCCTATCCCCTGTGACCTGCACGTACACATCCAGATGGCCTGAAGCAACTGAAGATTCACAAAAGAAGTGAAAATAGCCTTAACTGATGACATTCCACCACTGTGACTTGTTCCCGCCCCACTAACTGATACCATATATTCTGCCCCGCCCAAGAAGGTACTTTGTAATATTCCTCGCCCCCTTACCCCCCACCGCCCTGCCCCCGCTCGCCCGCCTTAAGAAGGTACTTTGTAATATTCTCCCCCACAACTTTAGAAGGTACTTTGTAATATTCTCCCCAACTTTAGAAGGTACTTTGTAATATTCTCCCCCACAACTTTAGAAGGTACTTTGTAATATTCTCCCCTCCCCTTAAGAAGGTACTTTGTAATATTCTCCCCCACAACTTTAGAAGGTACTTTGTAATATTCTCCCCTCCCCTTAAGAAGGTACTTCGAGGCTGGGTGCGGTGGCTCATGTCTGTAATCCCAGCACTCTGGGGGGCCGAGGTGGGTGGATCACGAGGTCAGGAGATCGAGACCATCCTGGCTAATGTGGTGAAACCCCGTCTCTACTAAAAAAATACAAAACAATTAGCTGGGCATGGTGGCGGGTGCCTGTAGTCCCAGCCACTTGGGAGTCTGAGGCAGGAGAATGGCGTGAACCCAGGAGGCAGAGCTTGCAGTGAGCTGAGATCGCGCCACTGCACTCCAGCCTGGGCGATAGAGCAAGACTCTGTCTCAAAAAAAAAAAAAAAAAAAAAAAAAAAAAGAAGGTACTTTGTAATATTTCTCCCCACTGCCACCCACCCCCCGCCAAGAAGGTACTTTGTAATATCCTCCCCCCAACGCCAGCCCCCTCCACGACCTTAAGAAGGTACTTTGTAATATTCTCCGCGCCCTTGAGAATGTACTTTGTACGCCCATCTCAAACCTATAAGAACTTATGATAATCCCACCACCCTTTGCTGACTCTCTTTTCAGACTCAGCCCACCTGCACCCAGGTGAAATAAACAGCCTTGTTGCTCACACAAAGCCTGTTTGGTGGTCTCTTCACACAGACGCTCATGACAACCTCCTATTTGTACCTTTTCTCGTCCCCTGGTTTCACATGGAGAGAAAGCACACATCCATTCTCCGCACAGAACATGCTCTGGAAGCTGCTTTCTGATGACGTCTTCCTCTGAGCCTTTATTCTGTTTCTTTCTACTTGAATTGGCACCTACCCAGAGCAATTCACAAACTGCTGCCTGCAACGAGCTGTCACTGGCTCATGGAATTGTCACATGCTGTTTCTTCACCTGGTAATTATCTCCCTTTTTTGAGCATCTCAGTGCAGACATCCACCTTCATACACATGTCTTTATCTCATAGGCTAAGTGAGGAGGTTGATTGACTCACAGTGTCTGTGCCCAATAGGCTGAGTTTTTATGGCCTGATCCCCACTGGTCTTTCATGTGTGGACTGTGAGTTTTTTTTGTTGTTGTCGTTGCCAGGCTGGAGTGCAGTGGTGTGACCTCAGCTCACTGCAATCTCTGCCTCCCAGGTTCAAGAGATTCTCTTGCCTCAGCCTCCCGAGTAGCTGGGACTACAGGTGCGTGCCACCACGCACCGCTAATTTTTGCATTTTTAGGAGAGACGGGGTTCCACCATGTTGGCCAGGATGGGACTATGAGATTTTTGAGGCAGGACTGAGTCTGATTAACCTCTGGGACTCAATGCAACCCTCCAAGGATCCTGCCCATAGGAGGAGGTATCAGCAACTCAGGTCTGGTAAGTGATGAGGACACCCAACCCTTCCAGGGAGCAGAGCGTGGAGCAAACATCAGAGATCCTCTGATGTTACCCAGAAGTAGTTTCTCTGTCTCCCTGGGCCAAAGGGAGGATCATGCTTCCTCTACAGTCTGGGATATGTGAGCTAAGAGACAAATGCTGGTTAGTGGATGTGAGGGTGAATGGCAGGCACACTCCCAGCCTGGCTATTTGCATGACGGCCCTACCCTTACTATTGTATATTCTACAGCTAGGTTGGTCCTGCAGCAATCTCGTTTTGATAAGCAGGGTAAAAGTGAAAGACCAAAACGTGTCTTCTCTCTGAGCCTCTGCACACAGGGTGGTTATGCCGCAGAGTCAACTGATGCTAAAGGGAAACTATGCAAGCCAGAAATGATTTTAATTTTGCTTCCACACCATCCTCTCAAAAATAACAGAAAGTGAGCATTTTTTTTTTTTCTGGAGTCTCTCTCTGTCACCCAGGCTGGAGTACAGTGACATGAGCTCAGCTCACTGCAGCCTCCACCTCCCGGGTTCAAGCGATTCTCCTGCCTCAGCCTCTGGAGTAACTGAGATTACAGGCACCCACCACCACACCTGGCTACTTTTTGTATTTTTAGTAGAGACAGGGTTTCACCATGTTGGTCAGGCTGGTCTCAAACTCCTGACCTTGTGATCTGCCTGCCTCGGCCTCCCAAAGTGCTGGGATTACAGGCATGAGCCACTGCACCTGGCCAAAAGTGAGCATTTTAAAAAGTGATTTACAACCAATGATAAATGTGACCTGATAAGATAATTCAAGTATTCCATGTTCCTACACTTCATAGTTAAGTGTAGCTTCAACATTTATCTGGTGGAAAAATGAATCAACCAACTTTCCACACATGAGTGTTTTACTCTTCATTTTCCTTTCTATCAAGAAACATTATGTGCCCTGAGAAATTATAAATTTCATAATTATTTGGGACGAAAATTGTTTGCACTTTTTTTGTGGGGCGGGGGGATGGAGTTTCGCTCTTGTCACCCAGGCTGGAGTGCAATGGTGCGATCTCAGCTCACTGCAAACTCCACCTCCTGGGTTCAAGTGATTCTCCTGCCTCAGTCTCCTGAGTCTATGGGATTACTCATATGTAATCCCATATATGAGTGATATGGGTGCGTATCAGTATGCCCAGCTAATTTTTGTATTTTTAGTAGATATGGGGTTTCACACTGTTGGCCAGGCTGGTCTCGAACTCCTGACCTCGTGATTTGCCCGCCTCGGCCTCCCAAAGTGCTGGGATTACAGGCGTGAGCCACCGTGCCCGGCCTGTTTGCACTTACTCTCCTGGTTTGTCCATTTTTCCATGTTCCTTCATACTTTCTTTTGATTTTATTTTTACTGTATTTACTTTTAGTTTTTGAATACTTCAAATTCTTGACAATCATTTGACAGGTTTAAATTTGAGATAACCAAAAAGTTAATAGTTCTCTCAAAACTCTCACGTTGTACTCTTATTTACTTATTTTACTTTAAGTTCTGGGATATATGTGCAGAACGTGCAGGTTTGTTACATAGGTATACATGTGCCATGGTGGTTTGCTGCACCTATCAACCTGTTATCTAGGTTTAAGCCCCGCATTAGGTATTTGTCCTAATGTTCTCCCTCCCCTTCCCCTACCCCCAGACAGGCCCTGGTGTGTGTTGTTCCCTTCCCTGTGTCCATGTGTTCTCATTGTTCAACTCCCACTGATGAGTGAGAACATGTGGTGTTTGGTTTTCTGTCCCTGTGTTAGTTTGCTGAGAATGATGGCTTCCAGCTTCAATTTTAACTTTTTTTTTTTTTTTTTTTTTTTTTTTTTTTTTGAGACAGAGTCTTACTCTGTTGCCAGGCTGGAGTGCAGTGGCCCAATCTCAGCTCACTGCAACCTCCACCCCCTGGGTTCAGGCAATTCTCCTGCGTCAGCCTCCTGAGTATCTGGGATTACAGGCACCTGCCACCACACCCGGCTAATTTTTGTATTTTTTTTTTAGTAGAGACGGGGTTTCACCATGTTGGCCAGGCTGGTCTTGAACACCTGACCTTATGATCCACCCGCCTCGGCCTCCCGAAATGCTGGGATTCCAGGCGTGAGCCACCGAGCCCGGCCCAGTCTTAACATTTTTTAAGGCTTAGTCACCTGCATGATACCAACCAGGCTGGTCTCAACTGTGGGGCAACTGGGGTTGTTGAACCACGTGAACTGCAGGTGCTCCCTGCAGAACCCTTGCATAGCCGGCGTCTTTATACCTGTCTGTCCATCCAGGGATGGCGGGGTTGGTGTTTGTCCTCCAGTCGAGGGCACTGACAACCTTGGGGCAGCAGCACCAATCAGCTTCCATCCCATCACGTAAGAGCCACACGTGGAGATCTGGGTGCACACGCATCTCACGTGTTTCCCGGAACAGCCTCAGCGCCTTTCCCCGAGCAGCCCCTTGGACATTCACCTGGCAGAGGAGTCTCTGGTTCTGTTTCTGGACTGTGGACGCGGGCTAGGGCGCATGCTGCAGGTGAATCACTTCTGAGGACAGATGAGTCTCCTGTTCTGCTTCGGGTCACCACGCTGCTCTGTGATCCAGGGAGTCTCTGTCAGCGTCTCTTCTGCTGGATCCAGTCTGGAGTGTCAGGGATTCAGAGCACGACAGAGGTGACCATGGGCAACGTGCACCCGAGCACTTCCCTGCCACAGGGACATGCAGAGCATTTCCCACCCTGAGGAGCGGCCACTCAAGACCATCAGGTCGCAGGTGGAGGACTGTGATGCAGCCGAGCTCCTATCACCACCAGGACTTGTCTCACTGAGCAGAAGCCGGTAACACACCAGGGAAGACGGCCTTGCCCACGGGGTGGCTGTTGACGGAATCTTTCTGTTCTGCGTTCTCTCATCATGGATGTGGGTCCCTTTGATGCCTCTGTCTTCGCTCAGGGCCCCAGGAAGATTCATTCCCCCTAGACTCTCTGCTTCCTGGGAAATGATTACATTCTGAGCTTTGGCGAATTCCCGCAGCACCGCTCCTTGGCTCCCTCACTGCTACCTGGACAGGCAGAAACATTAACATCCCCGGCCAGCACCTAGGCCCCGAAGTGAGGGGATACATGAGCCGTGTGCAGGCTTCCAGTCCCTGGAATGTGTGTAGGGGGTTCACTGTCCACCACAGCTTAAACACAAAATGAACATTTTGACTGGAAAAGGGTAGATAGAAAGAAAAAGACCTAAATGTGGAGCGTAGTCTGGAGCCTTCTATGGGGCAGAACAGCACTCGTGTGCAATAATGCTGCAGTGAGCCACAGCCTCGCCTCTCAGCTGCACAGGACAGATGTGCAGTGGAACGGGAAGTCAGAATGACCATCCCTGCGGCCGTTATGAGGAGCTGTTCCCTAGGTCTCTACAATGAAAGCTCCTGAAAACAGTCAATGTAGATTTGCACGCTGAGAACAGCACCTCCATTCCCAGCTACCCAGAGCCAGGTCCTAATTCTTGCTTATCCACCAACTCAGTAAATATAAGTCACGAAGGTTGCTTTTATTTTATGTTGAACTTTTTGTAGTTTACTAGCTTGCATTATTTTTTTTAAAAAAGAAAACGAGTTGATATTTTTAACTTTTAAAAATATCATGATGATGGCCGGGAGTGGTGGCTCACGCCTGTAATCCCAGCACTTTGGGAGGCCAAGGTGGGCAGATCATGAGATTAGGAGATTGAGACCATCCTGGCTAACACAGTGAAACCCCGTCTCTACTAAAAATACAAAAAAATTAGCCGGGCATGGTGGTGGGCACCTGTAGCCCCAGCAACCCGGGAGGCCGAGGCAGAAGAATGGCGTGAACCTGGAAGGCAGAGCTTGCAGTGAGCCGAGATCACGCCACTGCACTCCAGCCTGGGTGACAGAGCGAGACTCCGTCTCAAAAAAAAAAAAAAAAAAAAAAAAAAAAAAAAATATATATATATATATAAAATCATGATTTCTCCATTTTTTTCCTTTCCCATTCTCTGACTTAGAATATTTGAGCAACAAAACCATAATTTCCGGTGCAAGAATGACGAAGTTCCTAATTTGAGTCTGCTTAGATACCTGAGCTTAGTCTCAGGCCCACCATGCGCTGTGAACTCATCCCAGGTTACATGATGTGCCTCTTGGCAACTCTGAGTGATGCTAAGTTTCAGGGAAGTGTGCACAGATCTAGGACTTCAGTAATGTTTAATCATCAGAGGCAAATTTGGGAACTTTTTATTTGTTTGTTTGTTTTTTGAGACGGAGTCTCGCTCTGTCGCCCAGGCTGGAGTGCAGTGGCGTGATCTGGGCTTACTGCAAGCTCCGCCTCCCGGGTTCACACCATTCTCCCGCCTCAGCCTCCCGAGTAGCTGGGACTACAGGCGCCCGCCACCACGCCCGGCTAATTTTTTGTATTTTTTTAGTAGAGATGGGGTTTCACCGTGTTAGCCAAGATGGTCTCAATCTCCTGACCTCATGATCCGCCCGCCTCGGCCTCCCAAAGTGCTGGGATCACAGGCGTGAGCCACCAGATTTGGGAACATTTTGTAATGGCAGTGTGTCCTCAAATACCTTGCTTACAGTGAGTTATATTTTTAGAAATTACAGTGCCCATTACACACACACAGCTGTTCCTTCTCTGTACTCACGGGAAACCCACAGAGACCCCTCCACAAACACCTCCGTATCTGCATGAAAGTGTAAAACCACATGAAAGCCGAGCTTGCTATTTACTAGTTGTGCATAGGGTTGTTTGTGTGCATGTGTGTGTGTGTGTGTGTCTTCTAGATACAGTCAGGTTCAACGGCATTATGCTAAATACTTGCCGCTCTAATGAATAATCATCCTCTTGGGGTTTCTCCAGGTCATTTGAATATGGAGACCCACTTCTCCAGTATCTCTCCTAAGAATAACCTTTCAACAGGTTCTTAACATCGTCAGCAAAAATATTTTCAACAAATGTTCCCAAAAGCACCTTAGACTCTGAAGACCTAAAAAAGATATAATACATTCTTTCAGAGCTGTTGGGGAGATCCTCAGCAAACCTACATTATACCATAAACGGTCTCAAAAATAGCTCATTTTCCCATAAGCCATGAGAGATAATGAGATGGGAAGTCCGGAGGAGGGTCTGAGGTGTCTGTGAGGAGCCGCCTCCTCCAGTTTCAGGTCATTGTTCCCTCCATGTGTGTCTAGGAAGCCCTCCCTCCTGACCCCCAAGGACCCTGCGTGGACTGACCCTCCAGTGCAGCTCTGATGTCGGCTACCACAGATTCGCTGTGTACTAGGAGGGGGCACGTGACTTCCTCCAGCGCCCTGGCCAGCAGCCCGAGGCTGGGCTCTCCCAGGCCAACTTCCCCCTGGGCCCTGTGAGCCGCTCCCAAGGGGGCCAATACAGATGCTACGTATGGTGCACACAACCTCTCCTCCGAGTGCTCGGCCCCCAGGGACCCCCTGGACATCCTGATCGCAGGTTGGAGCCCAGTGGGTTCAGACAAGTTCCAAAATTCTGTGCAGAGCTGCGTGTGCGTTTGTAGGGGTGTTTCTGTGTGTGCTTGTGTGTGTGTGTTTGTATGTGTTTGGGTGTGTATATGTATGCATGTTTGTATTTTTGTGTCTGTGTATATTTGTGTGTTTTTGTCTGTACGTGTTTGAATTTGTGTGTTTTTGTTTCTCTCTCTGTAGTTGCATTTGCATGCATCTGTGTGTATGTGGGGAGGTGTGTGTGTGTGTGTAGGTGTGTGTGTGTGAGTTTGAGTGTGTTTCTGTGTGGGTTTATTTGTATGTGTATGAGTGTGTGTGAGTATATGTATGTGTGTGTGTGTTGTGTGTGCGTGTGTGTATGTGAGTGTGTGAGATTGTATGTGTGTGCATGTTGTGTGTGTCTGAGATTGTGTGTGCGTGTGTGCATGTGAGATTGTATGAGTGTTTGCATGGTGTGTGTGCGTGTGTGTGTGAGATTGTGTGTGAGTGCGCATGTGTGTATGTGAGTGTGTGAGATTGTATGTGTGTGCATGTTGTGTGTGTGTATGTGAGTGTGTGTGAGATTGTATGAGTGTGCGTGTGTGTGTGCATGCATGTGTGTAGACGGCATAGCACAGATGGTCACGAGGTGCGCCTGGTTCTTCCGCCATGTCACCGTGTTGTTGGGGAAACGCTGAGTTGAGGGCTCTCCGACAGCCAGGAGCAGCATCTGAGATTCTGTAAAACCCTGCCCACCCGCTCTCTGCACAGGGCCAGGCAGCCTGGGCTGTGGCAGGGCCAAGACTCTTGGATACACCCCCAGACTGCCTGGAAAAATGATGTCCACTGGCGGGAAGAGACAGACAAGGCTGACTCCGCCTCATCCTGGGTGCTAGTGACGTAGCGCCCTGCAGCTTTAGCCTTTTAAAGGACATTCTGGTCCTGTGGAGGACGGGACGGCCCTACGCAGGACCACGGACCCTCTGCTGTCCCCTCACCGCAGACCTGCACCCTGTCCCTCAGAGTCAGGACGTGGGTGGGCGGGCATCTCTCAGTAGAGCCTGAGCTGCGGACGTGGACACAGCAGAGTCAGGAGCATCATCAAACTGACGACCAGAATGAGTGACCGAGGCAAAAGTCTCAATCAATGGAGGATTATTATTGTTATTGTTATTATTATTATTATTATTAGAGACGGAGTTTTGCTGTTGTTGCCCAGGCTGGAGTGTAACAGCACGATCTCAGCTCACTGCAACCTCCGCCTCCCGGGTTCAAGCGATTCTCCTGCCTCAGCCTCCCGGGTAGCTGGGATTACAGGCATGCGCCACCACGCCCGGCTAATTTTGTATTTTAGTAGAAACGGGGTTTCTCCATGTTGGTCAGGCTGGTCTGGAACTCCCAACCTCACGTGATCCGCCTGCCTCGGCCTCCCAAAGTGCTGGGATTACAGACGCGAGCCACCGCGCCCGGCCTCAATGGAGGCATTATTAAGCCAGCTTTAAGGCACAGCCGGGAAAAACGCAAGCCACAGACACATCTGTGTCTCCTTTTTCCAAAGAGGCTCTCCGAAGATTTATTCTTTACTCATTTCCTTAAAGAAAGACAGGCACAGAGGCCGAGGGGCAGGTAGGTGGTGAGGTGAATGGTTCCAGTTACTGCCCAGTAAATCTACCTTTTACCTAAGATAAGGTGCATGCTTGAAGAGAAAAGGGGAGTAAAGGAAAAATCAATTACGCAGACGTCTCTGGGTAGGTGGAAGAATGGCTGATCTCATCTTGTCTTTGCTCTGTGCCTGGGAAGATAAGCTTGTAACGGACATTATCAGTGTGGAATAAAACAGACCTGAGTTTTAGCTAGACTTAGATTGCAGACCTGGAGGCCAGCAAGGAATTTCCTTATGAATGATGTGTGAGGGCCTCGGTGGATGCCCGGAGCCTCTTCCCGTGGGGGATCTGGCTGATGCCAAATGCCAGCAACCGCTGTCCAACTGGAAGAGGGTGCCGCTGACTCAGCCTCCAGGCTGACCTCCCCTTTTACATTAGGAATTTGGGAGTCCTGAGGTTTTGTTCTATTTTTCCTTTACAAAATGTTTGGCCGGATGCAGTGGCTCACGCCTGTAATCTCAGCACTTTGGGAGGTCAAGGCGGGTGGATCACGTGAGATCAGGAGTTCAAGACCAGCCTGGCCAACATGGCAAAACCCCATCCCTACTAAAAATACAAAAATTAGTTAGGTGCGGTGGCTCATGCCTGTAATCCCAGCACTTTGGGAGGTGAGGCGGGCGGATCACCTGGGGTCAGGAGTTCAAGACCAGCCTGGCCAACATAGTGAAACCCTGTCCCTACTAAAAATACAAAAATCAGTCAGGCACGGTGGCTCACGCCTGTATGCCCAGCACTTTGGGAGGCTGAGGAGGGAGGATCACCTGAGGTCAGGAGTTCAAGACCAGCCTGGCCAACAAGGTGAAACCCCATCTCTACTAAAAATACAAAAATTAGCTGGGCCTGTTGGCAGGCACTTGTAATCCCAGCTACTCGGGAGGCTGAGGCAGGAGAATCGCTTGAACCTGAGAGGTGGGGGTTGCAGTGACCCGAGATTGTGCCAATGCACTCCAGCCTGGGTAGCGGAACAAGAGTCTGTCTCAGATAAAAAACAAAACAAAAAACAAAACAAAACAAAAAAACCCAAAACGTTATGCGCACCCATTATCCCGAATCTTCTTAGCGGATCCTCACGGCACACCTTAGAGGTGGGGAGCAACCCAGCTTTTAAAGTTGAGATCATTGAGCCTCCACCCACCGAGGTTGGACTCCCAGACTCAGCGTTCTGTGAAGGGTTGTGGTTACGATTCCAGCGCTGCCATGCACCTGGCTCCAAAGCCTGCACGGCCACAGCTGCAACGTTCCCCTGCCCTGGCCATGTTTATAGACAGCGCTCCAGGTGAAGAGCGCCTATAGCCAGGGCAGAACCCCTATCGGGGCAGAGGCACTGTCGCTCCATCAGAGTTCACCAGCAGCAGCACCATGGACGCACTCTCATTGCTGAAGTCCAGCCGTGTTCGTGGGCAGACGCTTCTCAGCTTGTGTGAGCCCTGGGCTTCCTGAGGTGGTTGTTTTGGAGCATTTCGTCCAGCTTCTCCCTTGTTCCTGGGGAATGGTTTGCCCCATGCCCCAGCTCTGTCGTTCCGGAAGTTTCTACTTCACACAGTTAAAAAAAAATTCTCTAAATATATAAACACCATGACCCAATTTTTCTGGCAAAAACAAACAAGCAAACACACCCACAAACATCTTTCCAGACACGTAAGCAAAATCTGCAATTACACGCTCTTCACGTGTTTAGGCACTATAACCTTCTTCATTTCCGGCAGGTCCTTGGTCCTGTGTTTCTCTAGGGGGTGTCTTTCCAGCAGCCTCTCCTTATGATGTCCTGGGATTCCTGTATCCACTTCTCTTTCAATAACCTTGTAACTCAGCTTGGGAATCAGAGTGGTCACTTTAATGTCTAACATGCATTTTTTTTTTAATTTTTGAAAAGGTTTAATCACAAGTTAAAGAGTCGCTTAGTCAAATACATAATTATATTGTAGATCCATCCATCCCCTCCTGGCAGATAATTTAGCTCAACTAAATTGTACCAATAAATCCATCTACAGGTCTCATGGAACTTAGCTGGAAAACAGGAAAAACCATGGAATCCGACAATGTCAAATATGGCAGACTTTGTGAATCGACTCATTGACTTATCTATCTGCCTACCTATTTACCTGTATTCCTATGGATCTGTTCATCAGTTAATCTCTCTATCTGAAGGAGCCACAGGGAATGCCAACAGCCACCCAGAGCTGGAAAGGGCAAGGGAGGGTTCTCCCCAAGAGCCTCCAGAGAGAACGCTGGCCCTGGCCCTGCCATCACCTTGATTTTTAGCTTCGCAACTCTGAGAGAATAAATTTATGTTGTCTTAAGCCACCCAATAATAATTTGTTATGACAGCCTAGAAAACTAATTGCTCATCTCCCCCAACCCCCATCCCCTCTCTCTCTGAATTCATACTTATGTAGTGTATGTGTGTTTCTATACACACATGTGCCATGAATTTTGTTTGTTTGTTTGAGAGACAGAAGGAACTGAGTTTTGAGTCATAGCTAAAGTGTGGTTTCAGATAAAACACCACCAGCTGGTATTTGCATGCCCTATTCTCTTCTAGAAATGCCGAAGTTTCTAGTTAACTGGTTTTATTTGTCAGGAGAAGTAAGGGAATTGCAAATATTCAGCCTACTAACATTAGGTGGAGGACACATTTCCTTTTTATTCTGCAAAGAGGATCATGATGGTAACAATATTTATGTATTAGTTTGACAAGAGAACATTGCATTAGGAGATATACCTAATGTTAAACGACGAGTTAGTGGGTGCAGCACACCAACATGGCACATGTATACATATGTAACAAACCTGCACGTTGTGCACATGTACCCTAAAACTTAAAGTATGTATTACAAAAAAGCGCCTCCTAATTATTCCTTGGCCTATTTCTTCTTGGTGTTTTAAATTTAATTATACTCTAGTAATTTATATTTAAGCTAAGAAGTAGTCTACTGGTGTTGAAAACAGATGTATATAGAGAGATTCTTTTTTGATCTATAAGATAATTTTGTAAACTATTTTTATAGCCAGAATTTTCATATATTGGTCTTTACTAATCCTGTCGAATTCCAATGGTGTAGGTAATTTTTTGGTGCAGCTGCAGAAGAAGACTTTGCAAGAAATTTGCTTGACTTTAGCAAGTACAAGTGGACTAAATTGCTTCTTTTGTCCTGGAAAGTTCAGAACTATTTGGGCATTTCTGATTCTCAGATTCTTCCATCCACACATTTCATCCTATGCGACAAGGTTTTACATACCTCCCAAGAAACTTATTTTGACATAGAAATATTCAACTATTTTGTGCTATAACTCAAGTTATCTTGCTGCTGGTGAAAAGATGTGGGTGCAAAAATATTTTGAATTTATTATGCTACAAATAATATGTGATATTAATGCACTTATAAATTAATTTGTTAGAGTAACTTTGTATATTGTAAATAGAATACCACTCAGAAAATGCTACACAACACATTAAACAAACAGCATGATTTAGTACAAATGAATCTGGGAATAGTCTTTCAAATGAATCACAATCAAGAATCCTACATTGAGTACAACACACTGCTTTTAACTGGTGCTTCATATTCTTTTTGTTTCCAATGAAGTTGAATACATTTGGTTGTCTTAATTAAAAGCTTAAGTGTATTTTGTTCTAACTTATATTTAATGGATTAATTTTAGTTAATTGATTTTATGAAGACACTTGAAAGGTGAACTGAAGTGTGTGGTGCAGATATAAAGCTAGTTAAGTCATTGGAAACATTAACTTGGCTTTTATTGTTATTTCTCAGCCTGGAATTCTCTGAAGCATCTGATAATATTGACCCTCTGAACTGCTTGATCATTACTCTTTTTTTTTTTTTTTGAGGCGGAGTCTCGCTTTGTCAGAGTGCAGTGGTGTGATCTCAGCTCACTGCAACCTCCACCTCCCAGGTTCAAGCAGTTCTCTGCCTCAGCCTCCTGAGTAGCTGGGATTACAGGGACCTGCCACCATGCCTGGCTAATTTTTGTATTTTTAGCAGAGATGGGGTTTCACTGTCTTGGCCAGGCTGGTCTTGAACTCCTGACCTCGTGATCTACCCGCCTCGGACTCCCAAGGTGCTGGGATTACAGGCGTGAGCCACCGCACCCGGCCCTGATCATTACTCTTAACCAGTCATCAAGATAATAATGTCAGGAGGATGGTCTATATTATTATACATTTTTCATTTTTCTTCTATTTCTATCTCAAGATTTCTTCGGGAAGCTTGCCGTTAATGTTCTTTTTTTTAAAAAAAAACATATGCTCCACCTTTGAGACAGTATTGCCGATTGAACTTCACTTTACTAAGAAATTCTTCACCAAAAGCTCATCTATAAAACTGCCCAGTGGGAGTTTAGCACTTTTTCTGATTTATGAACATTGCCAACTCGGTAGTGCCAAGAGATTTCAAAATTTTCACCCTAGAATACCAAGGTCAGGACATCTCTCCTACTTGCAGGAAAGATGAGCTGAACTGGACCTGATCTAGCCTTGAACAGAGATATGCATGAGAATCTAGAGGGTTTTCCCTGAGACCATGGACCAGCAACTTCTCCCTTACTGCCTCTCACTTTGTATGGGGATCCTCAGACTGTAACAATGAATTCAGCACTGGGTCTTGGATAGTTCCACCCTGGGATGCCCAGATCTAAATTTAGCCAATTGGCCTGTGAATGTGACATAAAATACGGTATTTATGGCTGGGCACAGTGGCTCACGCCTGTGATCTCAGCACTTTGAGAAGCTGAGGCGGGTGGATCACTTGAGGTCAGGAGTTTGAGACCAGCCTGGCCAACATGGCCAAACCTGATCTCTACTAAAAATACAAAATTTAGCTGGGCATGGTGACATGCGCCTGTAGTCCCAGCTACTTGGGAGGCTGAGGCAGGAGAAAGGCATGAACCCGGGAGGCGGAGCTTGCAGTGAGCCAAGATCGCACTATTGCACTCATTACAGCCTGGGTGGCAGAGCAAGAATCTGTCAAAAACAAAACAAAACAAAACAAAACAAAACAAAACAAAAAACAAGTCTTTTACAAGTTCGAAGCTATTTCTTATGGAGTTGTTATTTGTAAAACCATGACTGTAACCCACCTGACTTGGATCAAAGAGAAACGGAATCAATCCCAAGGCGTCCCCTCAATAGGGCACTGGGCAGCTGTGGATGTCATGGGGAAGTTCTCCTGACGGATGACCCTCCAGGACACATAGCTATGTGGGGAGTTAGAAAAGAAAAAGACAACACTCAGGACATTATTAGTCATTAGCTTTCTTTGAGAAAGAGCCAGAGAGAACTAGTATATTGCTATGCTTTTCTGTGTGTGTGTTTGTATTTTACATTTTAAAAATGAAAGAATACATGAAAACCTTTAAAACTGGGTACACTCAGCTACTTGGGAGGCTGAGGCAGAAGAATGGCTTAAACCCAGGAGGCGGAGGTTGCATTGAGCTGAGATCGTGCCATTGCACTCCAGCCTGGGTGACAGAGCGAGACTCCGTTTCAACAAAAATAAAAACAAAATCAAAACGACAACAAAAACCACAACAAAACCCTAGGTACTTGTGACGGAGGGAGAAAACAGCAGAGGAGATGGGATGAAGCTAGACTAACCTCATTGTGCTTTGTTTGTTGTTTCAGTTTGGAAATAGACATATATTTTCTTGAATAGGTGTAGTGCCAAAATATTTTCACATACGATTTATGAACCTAAAGACAAAACCTAAGTAAAAAGAGTAATGAAACTAATCTTAACACCAAATTAAGATTTTACTAAACAAAGGTGAATTATTTCCACTGAATTTTAAGCAAAATTATTTAACTATGTTTTATAAGTAATACATATTATACATCATTTTATATTATAGATTTTTAATGTTTTAAAATAATCAAATATGATATATAATATATTGATTTATAATTATTACTGTAATAAAGAATTTTGACGATTGCATATACCTCATTTTATATTATAATTTTTTAAAATTTTTAAATAATCAAATAATATATATGATTATTATAATAAATAATTTTGACGATGTATAGTAAATACATATATCATCGAAAATATTTAATCTTAAAATATACTTAGATAGTGAAATGTTTTTTATTTCTGTTTGAGGAAATAGGTGAGTCCACATTAAGACAGAATGCATGAAATGAACTCAGAACCCCTTATTATACAAGAGAACAAAGGAGTCACAATTACCTTCAAATTCATTTGACTTAAACAGAAAGGCAATCATGAAGGATCCCACTGACAAAGAATGGAATATTTATAGCATCAAATAATATTTCAATGGATTGAAATAAATGAATATATATAAACCATATATGTTTACTAGTGCTAAAACAAAAGAAAATAAGCCAAACAAACAAAATACCTCATTTACAGCACCAAATTACCACATTCCAAAAGTGGAAATGGACGCAAGAACCAGTATCTCCCTTTTCTATCTGAAGTATTCCACAGGAAACATTCTTTTCTCTGTAGAAGATTTCTGCAGAAAATTTCAGACCATTTTTAGTCTGAATAATCTGCATAATCTGAATAATCTACAGATTATTCTGTGGGAATAATTCATCTTTGTTTAGTGAAACCTTAACTTGGTATAAGATTAGTTTATTTTTTACCTAGGTTTTGTCTTTGGGTTTATGAATTATATGTGAATTTTTTTTTTTTTTTTTTTTTTTTTTTTTTTTTTGGGACGGAGTCTCACTCTGTCCCCCAGACTGGAGTGCAATGGCGCCATCTCGGCTCACTGCAACCTCTGCCTCCCGGGTTCCCGCCATTCTCCTGCCTCAGCCTCCCGAGAAGCTGGAACTACAGGCGCCTGCCACCACGCCCGGCTAATTTTTTGTATTTTTAGTAGAGACAGGGTTTCACCGTGTTAGCCAGGATGGTCTCGATCTCCTGACCTCTTGATCCGCCCGCCTCGGCCTCCCAAAGTGCTGGGGTTACAGGCGTGAGCCACCGCGCCCGGCCGAAAATATTTTTGCACTGCACGTATATTCATGAAAATATGTGTATACTTCCAAAGTGAAACAGGACATAGTTTCCAAACTGGAAGATGGACAGAGTTGCAAAATCTGTACACTGAGTGTACAAGCAATAAACATCAATGGCCTCCCAAACCCTTAGACTTCAGGTTCGTGGTGAATGTAGTACTGGATGGATCCTGTTGATGACAAAGCCATGGGGGCAGGAATGCAAGCTGGAGAATGCAAGACGCAAACAAATGAGTCACTTACTGTGTCAGATCTAATTTTTTAAAAAAACTTTTGTGTTATCTTGCCCTCAGATTCATATTTTCAAAATCTTTAATTTTTGTTTAAAAAATTACCGCTAAAACCAAGGCAGGAGGAGTGGAATTCCAAGACGGTGGATTACGTGATTCTGTTCCTCATAGCCCCACAGAAACATCAGCTGTGACCGCCATCCAGGACCAGAAATATTTCTGTGACAACCTAGAAGTGCAGTGAGAGTTGCCAGCACCACAACGAGCAAAAAATTGCAGAATAAGATACAAGAAATAGTTACAAAATTAGGTAATAGTATAGCAGAATGCTATAATCAAGCTTTATTCACTAGCCCTGTTTCACTTTTTTATTACTCAAAACGTCTAGACTCATTGGAGACAGGGAGAGTTATGTTGATCTGCAATATATTCCCAGTGTCTTGCATTTATTTTTATTTTTTTATTTTTTCTTTTTTTATTTTATTATTATTATACTTTAAGTTTTAGGGTACTTGTGCACAACGTGCAGGTTTGTTTTTGAAATGGCATAAAGCAATATATTTGAAAATTAAAAAAAAGATTTTTGAAGAAAAGAGAAAGAACAGCTTTTCTCTTCTTTCTGCATCTCTTCTTCCCCAGGGAGGCACAGTTCAGTGCCAGGAGAGACTCCGCGGGCTGCGAGCTCTCCCACAGAGGAAAGTGAAAGCAGAGGGAACACCCAGGTTCCTCAGCCTCAGGGGAAACTGCCCACGTCAGCCTCTCAGCACCAGATCGTCGAGGGGACTGGAATGGCGGAATAGTCTTGGAGGAGGCGGGAGCACCGGAAGCTGTGAGCGCTCACAGCAGCCATCACGCAGATCTAACAAAATGGCTGCAGATCTGACCCACAGACTCATGGGAGCCGAATAGACATCTTTCCAAAGACACAGGAATGGACGGCAGGTTTAGAAAAAGGCTCCACATACCTAATCATGAGGAAAACGCATTAAAATCACAGTGAGGCATCACCTCTCTGGTTAGGATGATAACAAAGGCAAACGAAGGTAAGTGCTTCGAAGGGCGTGAAGAAAAAGGAACCCTGGAATACCATTAATAAAAATGCAGATTGGTGCAGCCATTTTGAAAAACGCATAGAGATTCCTCAAAAAATTAAAATGGAACTACACGACACAGCATTTCTCTGCTGGATACTTCGCCAGAGCAATTGAAATCAAAATACTGAGGAGGTGTTGCACGCCTATATTTATTGCACCATTATTCACAGTAGCCAAGATACGAAAACAACATAAATGTTCATCGATGGATGAATGGATAGAGAAAATGTGATATATACCTATCATAAAATATTATTCAGCATTTTTTTAAGCATTAACAAATTTACTTAATTATTTGAGGCAAGGTCTTGCTCTGTCTCCTAGACTGGAGCCCAGTGGTGTGATCACAGCTCACTGCAGCCTCAACCTCCCAAGCTCAGTCAATCCTTCCACCTCAGCCTCTTGGGTAGCTGGGACTACAGGCGTGCACCACCACGCCTGGCTAACCTTCTGTATCCTTGGTAGAGATGGGGGTCTCGCTGTGTTGCCCAGGCTGGTCTTGAACTCCTTGCCTCAGGTGATCCCTCCGCCTCAGCCTCCCAAACTGCTGGGATCACAGGCGTGAGCCACTGTGCCTGGCCAAGGGGTACAACGTTTTAATTCTCCAAGATGAATAAATTATCGATATCTAATGTATAGAATGAAAACTATTGGTAAGAGTACTGTACTATACGCTTGAAATTTGCTAAAATAGTAGATTCTAAGTAGTTTTACCACACACACAAGTGAGGTGATGGATTGTGGTGATTATTTCACTATATATATAAAGTCGTCAAGGTATACATCTTTAATATGTGCCTTAAAAATACTCAAAGTGGAAAAACAAAATGAGTCTGTTATTTAGGTGAGACCTACGAGCACTGCCTCCTGAGCTCAGTGATGGACAAACCTGTGATATATTAAGGGTCACTATCTCTTCTACTATTTTTACTATTTTTCAATATTAAAAAGCACCCCTTTTTACTATTACAGTTATATAATTAGCAGCACATGGAAATTGTTCAGAAACAAGATCGCAACCCTGAAATTCACCATATTTTAATTTTTAATTTGTTGTTGTTGTTGAGATGGAGTTTCTCTCTTGTTGCCCTGGCTGGAGTGCAATGGTGCAATGTCGGCTCACTGCAACTTCCACCTTCTGGGTTCAAGTGATTCTCTTGCCTCAGCTTTCTGAGTAGCTGGGCTTACAGACATGTGTCACCATGCCCGGCTAATTTTGAATTTTTAGTAGAGACGGAGTTTCACCATGTCGGTCAGGCTGGTCTTGAACTCCTGACCTCAGGTGATCCGCCCACCATGGCCTCCCAAAGTGATGGGATTACAGGCATGAGCCACAGTGCCTCACCCATTTCTAAAATATAATATATCTCTAGTAAATCCAACTAAGAATTGAAAAAAAATGTTTAAACATGAATGTATATTTTGGCAATCAAAATATTACCTTTGTAACATTTGGACACAATTCTGTTTCATAGTTGCTTAATAAACTGCTACATAGAATACAACAGATATTTATTAATATTTATGAGTTGTGCAAATACATACAACACTGGGTAAAAAATAATTTGTAAATTCTTCTTTGTAGAGGCAGTATTGTATTTGCAATTTTGATGAAAAAATGGCTTAAGAAAATGTATGTAATTGTACAAATCAACCACTCAATTGAGTAAATGTGGAAGAAATACTTTTTTTGAGACGGAGTCTCGCTCTGTCGCCCAGGCTGGAGTGCGGTGGCGCGATCTCGGCTCACTGCGAGCTCCGCCTCCCGGGTTCACGCCATTCTCCTGCCTCAGCCTCCCGAGTAGCTGGGACTACAGGCGCTCGCCACCAAGCCCGGCTAATTTTTTTGTATTTTTAGTAGAGACGGGGTTTCACCCTGTTAGCTAGGATGGTCTCGATCTCCTGACCTCGTGATCCGCCCGCCTCGGCCTCCTAAAGTGCTGGGATTACAGGCGTGAGCCACCGCGCCCGGCCCCTGGAAGAAATACTATTAAAAAAAAAAGAAAGGGTGCTTAAGACCTGACAAAATGCAATAAACCACTATACTGCGTGAAGTGAGTCAATATCTTAAATAATTTGACCAACAAAATATGTGTGCATCAACAATGTATTTTACAACCAAATACTAACATTCCCAAATGTCCTGTACTGGTCAAAAAAAAAAAAAGACACAGAAAGAAAATTAATTATAATATTAAAAATAGTTTTATCTAATATTTTAAAATTACAGATAAAAATTGGTTATAGTAAACCAAAGAAAAAAACAGTCTACAAAATAATGTGAAGTATTTGATAGGTAGATATGTAAAGAAATAGATGCAGATCAGAGATAGAAATTTTGTTTGATCTTTGAATTCCAAAGATTAGAGACCAGGAGAATTATAGGTATAAAAAAATTAAGAACTTAGTATTTGAGTAAAAGTTAATTCCAAAATGAGTTGGAAGAATATTTGTTAAATACATGGATTTAAATATTTTGACATTTAGTTTAAAAACTAAAACCAGTTTCTACTGGATGCCATTTAGGCAAATAAAAATATTTATGTAAAGGCATATAACCATATAAATTAATATCTAGTAGATTAAGCATATAGAAACAGGTATATATATTTTAAAACATGAGTTGAGGCAAATACTTAGTAAGCAATTTTAAAACATGAGCCATAGAACAATTAAAAATATTACAATATTTCAAATAGTAAAACTTATTTAAGACTAACGACATATAATATGGAACTCAGAATATTAGAAATATTTTATATATCAAAATTGAAAAAAGGAGGCTGTCATTAATATTTTAAGTGCTCATTCTAAACAGTAAAATAAAATATCATTTGTTATCTAAGTAGGGAAATTATGTAAACAAGGATTTCTGTGGGTAAGAAAAAAAGCCTCACAAATATATGTTTTTCTCGGAGATTATCAACCAAATGCAAAATAAAATTTAAAAAAGATTTCTTTAAATTTGAAATCCATTTTTTTGTTACATGTTTAATTTATGGTCATAGCGTCACTGTACATAATTACTATTCTTCTTTTTTTTTTTTTTTTGATGGCGTCTTGCTCTGTCACCCAGGCTGGAGTGCAGTGGCACAATCTTGGCTCACTGCAACCTCTGCCTCCTGGGTTTAAGCGAATCTCCTGCCTCAGCCTCATGAGTAGCTGGGATTACAGGTACCCACCATCATGCTTGGCTAATTTTTGCATTTTTGTAGAGAAGGGGTTTTACCATGTTGGCCAGGCTGGTCTTGAATTCCTGACCTCAGATGATTAACCCGCCTTGGCCTCCCAAAGTGCTGGGATTACAAGCATGAGCTACCGTGCCTGGCCCATAATTACTATTCTTCTTGCAGCTATGGATTTTTATATCTGGGTGAAAATTAAATGAAGAGTAATGGTTTCTCAGTTTGAAATGAATGAATGTGAGATGCGAGTGAAACCTTATATGATACTATGAAGTAGAAGATAGAGTATTTTAGCCATATTTAACTTGACATACTATTTTATAATACCTAAAAATGTAGATGCATTGCAAAAACATTAGGACTTACCAAAACAAGAACAGCATTTTTATAATAATTTTTTAACTGGTTTAATAATTAAAACGTTGTTAAGCTACAATGGGATTTAACTGTCATTAAAATTTGGAAAATACTAGAATCTTGGTAAAGTGTAGATTAGTTTAGAGAAATAGATGCTTTAGAAAATCAAAACCGTTTCTGGAAGGCTATATAATAATGATAACAGTTTGGTCCCAGTGGACAGGGAGAAAAGTAGGAGAGTGAGAAATAAAACCATGCATTTTATGTAGCATATACACACAAACTTATTCAAAATTTTCTTGGAAAGAAAATGTCTTGTGACAAGTATGAGAAATTTAGCAAATTTATAGTAGACATTGGTCAGCAAATCCAAACAAGAGAAAGAAAGGAGCTATGCACGAATCATAAAGGAAACATACAACTAAATTTAAATTCCACTAAACTTAGTTGAGCAGCAGTGAGAACAACAAAATGATGGAAAATCATGGACACAAGAAAATATCTGTGAGTCCTAGACCAGCTGGGACTATGGGTCTCATCTGCTCTTTAAGAATGGCAGTCATTCGTGGGGAAATGAAAACCTCTGTTTCATCTCTTATCAAAGTGATTTGCAGAGAGGCACAATAGTAGGCTAAATGAGGCACATCTTACTTCCTGAGATCCTGGCAGGAAAATCCCCACCCCACGGCTCTTCTGGCTGGGATCTTAGCTGTCAGAACAGACTAAGTGCTCACTGTTTTAAGACTGAGTGGAGTGACAGCTTTAGAACGCTTGATCTTTAAATTCCAACGGATCTGGACCAGGTGCAAAGGTTTGGGGTGTAGCACAGCACTTTTAAAGCTGGCTAAGAGTCAGAGATGCATTTATACCTGAACACATTTATAGTCCCTGATTATCCCTGCTCCCTAAGCCTTGAAAACAGTCACTCACTTTAAAAGGTGAGATTCTATTTGGTGAAGTGAGAGATAGAGTTTACCTTCTTTACACTGGTTCCAGGATTTTCTACGGACATGAAATTATTGTTGCAGTTAAGTGCATGGTAATCCCCAGAACCCATGGGAAAGAGATGGAGGTGTATGGCTTTGCACTTATGACAGAAAGTTTCCGGAGACATATGCCATTGCCAACCAAAGCACAACACGCAACCACCACAGGTAATTTTAAATCTCCTAAGTTGCAGGTGTCATTAGACAGGAAGTGTGTAAGCAGGTGGCAAGAGCTGACACACTCTTAACCCTCATACAAGCAGCAGAGTGAAGACTGTGAGGCTTGGCGTGTTCATTCAGAGACAGTGTTTCGGATGGGGCTATGACAGAAGAGGAAAATAAGAGATGCCAGGCAACTCTTGAGCGGGAAGGCTGGGGCAATTCTATGTCTCAGGAACCCTCAGAAAATATTATTACTTTAAGGGTTTTTTTTTAATGGTCCATGCTGATGCTAGGACTAAACAATAATTTTGTGTACACACCAAGTTTTTTATGATAAACACTCTAATTCCCTGAGAATATGGCTCTGTATCAAAGAAAATTCCTCTTACCAAATGCCATTTCTTGCTGAAGAAGTAGCCTTCATGGTCACAGTCTGGGCACCTGTGCAAAAGGGGACATCTTATCCCTGATATAAAGGTTTGGGACACCATGAGGTCATCTTCTTGCTGACAGGTAATTATTATATCATCTGTGAGTACACTGACAGTATTTGCATGGGGATTTGAGATGCTCTCAGAAAAACATTTTTGAAATGTTCAAATGACTGAGAGCTAATAGTAGTGATTAGATCCATTCAACTGAGAAAAAGAGAGCAAGAGACAGAAACAGAGATAGAAAGAGATAGAGAGAAAGAGAGACAGAAAAAAGATAAAGACAGTATGACAGAAACAGAGAGAGAGAGAGAAAGAGAAAGGAAGGAAGGAAGGAAGAAAAAGAAAGAAAGAGAAAGAAAGAAAAAGAGAAAGAAAGAAAGAAAGAAAGAAAGAAAGAAAGAAAGAAAGAAAGAAAGAAAGAAAGAAACATCTCTGAAATTCTTGGAGAAACCACATGGAAATAAGATATCAGATGAGGACCCTGATGTCTAAGAACTGAGATGAAGGAGGAGGCAATGAGTCTGGATGTGTTTCTTCCCAACCTTGGGGTCTTGCCTCCTGAATGTTATTCTTTTTCTATTCTGAGAACTTTGTACAAAAGGCTGCCTGGAAGGGAGAAGAAAAGAATCAAGTTGGAACAAATTGTCTCTGTGATAGAAATGAACTTGGCAGGAGTGGAGAAACTTTTATTCCCTGTTTCCATAGGCACATGTGAAGTATCTGATCTGTGTCAAACATGGTGTATGAGATGTCTCAGAATAAAGGACATGAAAACTTCCAAAGAGCCTGCCTGTATTAAGTCAATATTGTAGTCAAGAAAAGTGGACATTACACACAATAAATAATAGATAGAGTATGCATTGTGTTAAAAGATAATAAGTGCATTGTGAGAAGGAAAAGAAGTAATGTGCTCCACAGAATAGTAAAAAATTTTGCAAGCAGGTTGTTTGGCTGACTGGAGCTGAAACTCTTCCCCAAGTCTTCAGGCTGTTTGTCCTGCAGATTTTGGACTCACCAAGTGCCAACAATTACATGAACCCATTCCTAGATAGCAAGATAAGTAGATATAGATATGCACATATGTACATATATCGGTTCTGTTTCTCTGGAGAACACTTACAAATACATAATTTGATCATAGGAATGATTCTAGATGAACTGAATCTTAATATGTTTTGTCTACTGTTTCTGAGGTTTATGGAACTGGCTGTCTGATTAGATTTAAAGACATTAAGACAGTATGACAGAAACAGAAAGAGAAAGAAAGAGAAAGGAAGAAAGGAAGGAAGGAAGAAGGAAGGAAGGAAGTCTGTGATAGTCCGTGGCATGATGTGGCATTAGGGGTACACCACTAGATGCTCCTAATCCTACACTTATAAGGAACGAGAATCTGGGTGGCCTTGCATACACCTTTGAAGATTGTTGTCAAACTATTAAGTATAGTATGTGTGGCTGTTTTGTCATTGGATAAAGAGGTAAAGAAAAAGATGAGCCCAGAGATTAGAATTTCCAGTTCAAGCACCACTACATAAATATCTGAGGTTTCTATGTGTGCCCTGAAAGAGACTCTTATCATCTGTAGCTGTAGGGGTGAGATTGCTGAAAATCAAACCGAGAATCTCATCCTTGAAGTGGCTGTATTACAATTCAAGCGGAGTCCCCAGCCTCACAGGGTATCTACTGTTCAAGTAATGCCATTGGTCAGGAATGGGTGAGATCTTGAAAGATGGAATGAGGATGTATATTAAGACCCTGATACAGCTGAGGATATCAAGCCCCTAACTTTGAATGAGTCTTCTTTGCCAATAGAAGCATCCTCTCTATCTGCAAGGGAGGAGATTAACCCTGTACTGTCTGAGGAAACAATACTGGCCTCCCCTGAGGCAGTTGCCATGCAAGGCTATGCTGATTCTCCTTAGGATACATCCTGACCAACCCTCTTTGCTTCTAGACCTATAACTAGATTCAAGTCTCGCAGGCCCTGAAAAGTGTGTTACAAAGTGTGGCTCATGAGAAGTTGTGCTACACTCCAAAGTAATTTATTTATTTTTCTAATTTATCCATACAGAAGTCTGAGGAACACGTGTCAGAGTGGATATTAAGGGTTTAGGATAATGGTGAAAAGAACATAAAGTTGAGTCGGACCGAATTTATATATATAAGCTCACTAAACAGAGATTGCACATTTAATGTTGCATCTTGGAGAACCGGAAATGATTCTACCAGTTTGTCTGGTTGATTGGCTGAAACATGGAGCAAAAGCTGGCCTGCAGTAAATAAACTCAAAATGCCAGACATGCCTTGGTTTGCTGCAGAGGAATTAACTTAAAGGCTTAGGAAGACTGTAATGTTACCATGCATGTATCAAACCTAGTAACCCACATTGGAAGCATCAGAAGATGTATCTTTCAACAATATTGCAAAGGGAGCTCTGGCATCCTTGAGGAGCTCTGTGATTTCTCTTCTCTGGAAGCTGGAACCTACAGTGGAACTGCTGAATTTTAAAAAATCTAAATGTAATGGGAGTAATTTGGCCCCTACCTCTTGGCCCCCAGAGAGACAGGGGCCAAGTAGAGGAACTCAGCCACCAAAGGCAAGGTGGGTTTGGTTACCATGATGGACAGCAAAGTCAAACCAGCGATCGGAATAGTCCCGCAGACTTATGGTGTTGGCTAGTTGATCACGGCATTCTAACAAGGGAGATAGATAGGAAACCTACTAAATTCTCACTTGATCTGTATAAGCAGAAAATTTCTATGTCAAGTGAACAAAAGTCAACCCAAATCATAAAAGCAGAGAGCCACAGTCTCTCAATCAATGGCTAGCACTGAGTCAGTTCATAGAGCCAGAATCCCCTGAATTAAAGGGATCCCAGGCAGGGTTCCCGTGAGGGCACTGTCCCTGGTACACTACCAAGAATATATACTCTTAATCTTTCTCCTGGACTTTGGTTAAAGGGACCTGCAGCCTTTTACAATGGCAATGGAGCCTTGGGGAAAATAATCAGATAATTTGGGCATTACTGGAAATGGGGTATGAACTGACATTAATTCCAGGAGACCCGAAACGTCACTGTGGCCCTCCAGTCAGAGTAGTGGCTGCTAGAGGCAAGGTGATTGGTGGAGTTTGAGCTCACGTGTTCCATAGTGAATCCAGTGTATCCCTAAACCCACCCTGTGGCTGTATCCCCAGTTCCAGAGGGCAACATTGGAATAGACATATTCAACAACTATCACAACCCCCACAGTGGTTCCCTCACTTGTTGAGTGAGGGTTATTAGAGTGGGCCCAGTGGGAGCCACTAGAACTGCCTCTTCCCAGCTAAACTGTAAACCAAAAGCAGTCTTGCATTCCTGGAGGAATTCCATATATTGGGACTTGAAGCGTGCAGAGACAGTGATTCCCACAACCTTGCCATTCACCTCTCCTATTTTACCTCCACAGAAGACGCAGGGATCTTGGATAATGATATTAGATTATTGTAAGCTTAATCAGATCCAATTGAAGATGTTGTAACAGATGTGGTTTTGTAGTTTGAGCAAATTAATACATCCCCTGATACCCAGTATTCAGCCATTGATGTGTTAAATATTTTTTTCTCCATCACTGTTAATAAGAACCATCAGGAACAGTTTCCTTTCATTTGGCAAGGGCATCAGTACACCTTCACAGTCCTACCTCAGGGTCTGGGAAAGCACCTGGGGGTTGTGATCGGGGTCTCAGTGGCCTTCAGCTGGTGCTCTTCCTCCTCTTCTTTCTCCTCTGACACTGGCCTCAGGGCCAACACAGGACATTGGGTGAGTAGGAAGTTGGCGGGGAGACCCATGGGCTGACTGAAGGTGGGGTCAGGGCACCACCAACCAGACAGATTCCAGATGGGAAAGTTCAGCTCAGAAAAACGGCTCCAGCATTTCCCAGTGAGAAAACCTAGAAAGAAGAGAATAAATGTGAACATACATGAACATACCTTATTCTTTTGGTTGTTTCATCTAACGACGTTTTTAAAACATCTATGCAAGTGTGTTTTCAGCTTTCCTTCTTTTCTCTTGAGTTCTCTGTGCAGGGCAGGTGGCTCTCATGATCCCAAGGCTGAAGCTCTGTCCCTCTTCACCCAGCCCAGAGGGAGGCTGATTTCCAAAGTCCTGTGGGGACTGTGGAGTCAGAGAACGACAGAGGCCTGTGGAGGAGGTAATTCTGCCCGAAGACCCCAGACGCCCACCTACCCCCACAACCTCCTCACTGGCCCTCACACTCCCATGTCCTTCCCCGGGTCCAGCCCAGCTGCTGATGTCCAGGAAGAAAACTTCTGTGACAGGAAGAGGGGGGCACCTGAGGGTGGAGACAGAAGCCCCAAAGTTTCGGTAGCAATGATAGCAGGGGAAAAGGCTGAGAAGGGCTTGGGACTCTTTTATATAATATATAAATTAATATAAAAATTAATTCACCTTCACAATGTCTGTCTAATGCATTTCAACAACTGTCTGTGTTTTCCTCATGTATCTTGGTTGTCATTCCTGTGGGGCGGCTCCTCCCACGCACCTGACCTTTCATAAAGGGTTTCTCCCACGGCTGTCCAGGCATCAGCCTGATGAAGGGGATTGTTGCCGCTGCTCCTCCCCACTCCCCCAAACTCAGTGTCAGCTCAAGATTGTGCCCAGCAGGGATGGGACCAACGCCAGTCTCACACTCACCTGTGGGGCAGAGCAGACGCCCATGTCAGACCACCGTGGATTGAATCTGTTTCTCACACACAGGGGAGGGGCTGAGCACTGACCATGGCCTCCAGTGAGTGAGCAGAGACCCCCCAGCGCCTGTCCACACACACAGGGGAGGGGGAGCCACAGCTTCCAGCGTCACCCAGAGCCCTGACCCCTCCCTGCCTGGGAGGACGTGGGGTTCCTCTTCTGTCCCACACGGAGGTGGGAGCCTCCTCCTCCCTAATGACCCTGGGTGGTCCCAGACACCTGTGGCCACTCAGCATTGAACTCTGCTCATGGAAGGGGATGCGTCTCAATGTGAGGAACTGTTCTTCCTCTTTCTGTGCCCGTGGCTGTGATGATCTGCATATTTCAGATGTATCACAAGGAGAATTTCATGGTATTTGGAGCCGATGTGGGCTCTTGAGTGGGGGCGTCAATCATCCTCCTGGACTGTGGAGCCCAGCACCAGGATCCTCTCCCGTCCCCACCCTCCTGTCTGAACTGGTCTGGAAATTCACCATGGCTGAGCCTCCCATGTCCTGGGCACCACTGACCCCCACAGCCACTGTGATGAGTGGGGTTCACGACAGCAGGCTCAGAGGTGACATTCATGTCCAAAGTCACATAAACCCTGGATGATAATCAGGAATTAAATACAAATCAGCTCACCTTCCCCAGAATCAGATTACAGACCTAACAAATTCTTCTGAAAACTCTGAACATGGACGGAGGTGCCGAGGGAAGGCCAAGGACGCAAGGGACACTGAGGGGGCGGGACCGACTCAGAGCCTCATTCCCGGGGTGGGGGTGGGTGATGTTGCAACAAAGAGAAAAGGGGAAGTACAGGAGAGGGACGGTTTGGTAGGAAGGAAACACACACTCTCAAGACAGAACAAATATGTTTTATTATAGTTAATCCCTGCATTTCCCCTTTTGAGACAGGGTCTCACTCTGTCACTGAGGCTGGAATGCTAAGGGGTGATCATAGCTCCCTGCAGCCTCCGCCTCCCAGGCCGAAGTATTCCTCCCACCTCAGCCTCCTGAGTAGCTGGGACTAGAGATGTGAGCTGCCATGCCTGGCTAATTTTTTGCTTTTTTTATACAGACAAGGTCTTGCTATGTGGCCCAGGGTAATCTGAAGCTCCTGGCCTCTAGCCTTCACCCACCTCAGCCTCCTGAAGTGCTGGGATTCCAGGCATGAGCCACCATGGTAGACCCTGCATTACTCCTCTGTGCTCACTGCCACACGCAGCTCAACCTGAGCTACACAGCCAGGTGTCAGGTGCGTCTCTGCTGATCTGAGTCTAACTGCAGCATGGACCTGGGTTTTCCCTGAAGCATCTCCAGGGCTGGAGGGACGACCGCCATGGTAAGGACCCCGCAACGCTGAGCTGATGGACGGGCTGAAGGAGGGAGGGAGACCCCATGGGGAAGCTCTGAGAAGGAAGAGGAAGCCTCTGCTCACCCTCATCTGGAAGGGCAGACGCAGGAGGGCACCAGTTCTATTTGCTGCTACATCCCAGGTCTCAAGGAGATGAGGATAAACCAGACAGACAGTGGCTGGGGGGCAGGAAAGACCCCATTACAGTCTGAAATGTCTGCAGAGGGCCTGGTGCCTGCCCCCACCTCAGCCCTAAAGGTATGACAGCCAGGCTCCTGAGAGGGCAGTTGCACTTCCTGTGTGGTTGCACATAACAAAACCCCATGACAAGAAGGATCCAGCCTCCGAGTGTCCACACCCTGTGCGTCTCTCTGTCCTGCCAGCACTGAGGGCTCATCCATCCGCAGAGCAGGGCAGTGGGAGGAGACGCCATGACCCCCATCCTCACGGTCCTGATCTGTCTCGGTGAGATTTGAAGAGGGAGGGGAGCTTCTAACCTAGGAGGGACCTCACCCCACAGCCAAACTCTGGTCCCTAAGGAGACCCCAGGGGCTCACAAAGATCCCAGGGAGGGGAGGACCTGCCCAGGCTTCAGGGGAAAAATCCCTCACAGGGAACTCTCTTCCAGGGCTGAGTCTGGGCCCCAGGACCCACGTGCAGGCAGGTGAGTCTGTTCCCAGCTGTCCCAGGTCCCTCCTCCTCACTAGGGACAAGGGGCCACCCCCGTGCAGCTGGGGATGGGGAATAGCAGTTCTGGGCTGACTGATGGGGGTGTCTGGAGGGTCCTGCAGCTGAGAGCTGAGATCTGTTGGGTGGGAAATGACTTAGAATCCGACCTCTGATTTCCTTCCAGGGCACCTCCCCAAGCCCACCCTCTGGGCTGAGCCAGGCTCTGTGATCATCCAGGGAAGTCCTGTGACCCTCAGGTGTCAGGGGAGCCTTCAGGCTGAGGAGTACCATCTATATAGGGAAAACAAATCAGCATCCTGGGTTAGACGGATACAAGAGCCTGGGAAGAATGGCCAGTTCCCCATCCCATCCATCACCTGGGAACACGCAGGGCGGTATCACTGTCAGTACTACAGCCACAATCACTCATCAGAGTACAGTGACCCCCTGGAGCTGGTGGTGACAGGTGAGAGGACACTCAGGAGTCCCAGCCCCAGGCTCTGCCCTCAGGAAGGGGGTCGGCTCTCAGGGGCATCTCCGCTCTCACAGCTCAACCCTGGGGATGATGTGGGAGGTGGGAGCCCCATTTAACACAGTGCCTCCTTCTCTCCTAGGAGCCTACAGCAAACCCACCCTCTCAGCTCTGCCCAGCCCTGTGGTGACCTCAGGAGGGAACGTGACCCTCCAGTGTGTCTCACAGGTGGCATTTGACGGCTTCATTCTGTGTAAGGAAGGAGAAGATGAACACCCACAACGCCTGAACTCCCATTCCCATGCCCGTGGGTGGTCCTGGGCCATCTTCTCCGTGGGCCCCGTGAGCCCGAGTCGCAGGTGGTCGTACAGGTGCTATGCTTATGACTCGAACTCTCCCTATGTGTGGTCTCTACCCAGTGATCTCCTGGAGCTCCTGGTCCCAGGTGAGAAATTCACAGAATTGCTTGGAGTTCCCTGAGTCTCCCTGAGTCTCCAGGCAGGTGGGGAGCAGCCGCGTCTCAGGGCAGCTCCAGGTGGGATGATGTTGGGGCGAGAGGGCTCAGGGCTCCTGGGGCCGGAGACACAGGAAGATCAGCGGGGGAGAGGGAGGGTTTGTGGGGAAGCCTGAGGGTCGGCTCCTGGAAACCATGAACACCTTTTCCCAGGTGTTTCTAAGAAGCCATCACTCTCAGTGCAGCCAGGTCCTATGGTGGCCCCTGGGGAGAGCCTGACCCTCCAGTGTGTCTCTGATGTCGGCTACGACAGATTTGTTCTGTATAAGGAGGGAGAACGTGACTTCCTCCAGCGCCCTGGTTGGCAGCCCCAGGCTGGGCTCTCCCAGGCCAACTTCACCCTGGGCCCTGTGAGCCCCTCCCACGGGGGCCAGTACAGATGCTACAGTGCACACAACCTCTCCTCCGAGTGGTCGGCCCCCAGTGACCCCCTGGACATCCTGATCACAGGTGAGGAGCCCAGCGGGTTCAGTCAGGGACCCAGGCTCTGCACAGGCCCTGCCAGGGGAGCCCAGGTGGTGATGGCCGGAATGAGGGTTGGGGGTCCCAAGGGAGGGAGAGACAGAGAGAGACAGGGGATGGGCGGGGAGGGGAGACTCAGAGAAAACAGAGACAGAGAGACTAAGGGTCCCAGGGAGAGGCCTGGGGAGGTCTCAGCTCAGAACAAGGTGGGGCAGCCCCTCACCCATCCTTCTTCTCTCTAGGACAGTTCTATGACAGACCCTCTCTCTCGGTGCAGCCGGTCCCCACAGTAGCCCCAGGAAAGAACGTGACCCTGCTGTGTCAGTCACGGGGGCAGTTCCACACTTTCCTTCTGACCAAGGAGGGGGCAGGCCATCCCCCACTGCATCTGAGATCAGAGCACCAAGCTCAGCAGAACCAGGCTGAATTCCGCATGGGTCCTGTGACCTCAGCCCACGTGGGGACCTACAGATGCTACAGCTCACTCAGCTCCAACCCCTACCTGCTGTCTCTCCCCAGTGACCCCCTGGAGCTCGTGGTCTCAGGTGAGGGCCCTGATCTTGTCCTCTCCGAGCTCAAAGGCTCAGCTCAGGCCCTGCCCCCAGCAGAGCTCTGGGACAATAATGAATGAGGGGAGTGAAGCGGGAGGGTCCACAGGGGAGGGTCCAGCCCATGGGAGAGTGGAAATAGGCAGGGACCTCCCACCCCTGGCTCCCACCCCTGAAGTCTCAGTAAAGAGCATGAAGGGCTGGGAGGAGACGGGGGCGGGGGGGCGGGTGGTGAACCTCAGAGATGTGATTAGACTGAGGGTGGAAGACGGAGACCCCACCCGCTCCCCTCCTGATGTCTCCACCTCAGAATCAGAGCCTCTGGGGGTCCCAAACCCTATGTCCTGACCCCATGGGTGACAAAACCAGCCACTCCCAGCTCAAGAGAAGTTTCTAGACTCATCTCAATGCTACCTCCAATATTCAGGGTCTGATTTCCAGGGCAGCAGCGGGGAGGGTGGACAGTAAGGGTGTGGTCTGCGTGGCTTCCTGGGGCTTCAGGGATGGGGCAGGTGTTCCCTCCGTGGTGTTCAGAGGGGAGGGAGGTGTCTGAGGTTCAGCATTGATGAGCGGAGCAGAGGGATCTTTCCCCCTCCCTGAGCAGGATTCCCAGGAGCCGTCACCTCTCATGGGGGAGCCAGGGTCAGGGGAGATCACAGTCAGGTACTTGGTCTAGGAGTCAGGTGGGAGGAGCCCGGGGAGGTGGGGCTGGGTCTGTGATGGCTCAGCCTCTCCTTGGGAGGTGGAACTTCTGAAAGAGCCCATTCCCCTTGCACCCTGGACTCCTCATCTGAATAAGGGGGAGCTGCCTGGATGTGACTGCCCCAAAGCCCCTTCATTTCTGACCTTCTGGGGCATCTGGGATGTGGCTCATCCTAGACCTGCTCCCGTCTACAGCCCTCTCTGGCCCTCTCCTAATTCTCCCAATAACTGAGACTTGTTAAGAGTTAAAAAACCAACGGAGATGGGGGCAGGTGCATGCAGTTTTACCCATCCCTCCTGGAATCTCAGCTTAGTAAGACAAAGACACAATATTTTGGAAAAAACAAAAGTTTACAAAACCCCGCTGGTTGAGAGTCTCCCCTCTCTCGTGTACAAGAGAAAATGTCTCCAATTTTCTACCAAAATCAATAGCTGGCACAGCTCTGCAGGACCCCCAGCCCCTGGCCTTGTCCTGCAGGATGTGTGATGAGTAGAGGAAGGAGAACAGGCTGGGTGGGGAGGATTTGGGGTCCAGGCCTGACTTGGACACTGGGAAGATGCTGGGGCTGATGGAGGAGGAAGAGAGGCAGGTGAGTTGGAGAGAGGACAGATGGACAGTGTATTGGCAGCTCTCATTTCTCATTTCCAAGAGCCCCTGAGTATAAGCCCTTCACCCACACCTGCGGGGTCCCTGGGCCATCTCAAGACAAGAGAGGAGGCTGCTTGGGCCTCGGTGGGATCTGACTGTGATGAGGCTGGAGTCCACCCCAGATGTGCTCCTTTAGAGAGAAGCACCCCAGCTGTGGGTGCCGCTCACACTGCCCCTCCTGTGCTCACCTGGAGGCCTCTGTGCTCAGGGCATCCCTGAGAATAAGGAGGGGCCCTGCACCTGCTCCCTGGACAAGTCAGGCAAGTATTCACAGCACGTCTTTCTGTTTAACTCATTTCTACTCTGCATTTTCTGTATGCACTTGTCCTTTGTTACTTTTTTTCTAAAACTTTTAAAACAGTATTTGAATATATGAATTTATAATATATGAACTTAAAATTGTATGCATATATTATTTAAAAATCCTTATTTATACTCCCCTTTAATTGAGTCTTGATTTAATTTATACATTCAATGTAGAAACAAATTTCTCATTAATATCAACTCTTCCTCCTTCACACATTAAAAATGAAGATTTTCTTAATGAATTTAAGACATGTTTTGAAATTTTACTCCTAAGAATATTGTATGCTCATTTTAACTTAAAGAATTATTCAACATCTTTAACAATTGATAAGTGAGGTATTTGATTTCTTTATATATATATATATATTTTATTATTATAGTTTAAGTTCCAGGGTACATGTGCACAATGTGCAGGTTTGTTACGTAGGTATACAGGTGCCATGTTGGTTTGCTGCACCCATCAACTCGTCATTCACATTAGTATTTCTCCTAATGCTATCCTTCTCCCAGCCCCCCACCCCTAGACTGGCCCCGGTGTGTGATGTTCCCCGCCCTGTGTCCATGTGTTCTCATTGTTCAACTCCCATTATGAGTGAGAACATGCGGTGTTTGGTTTTCTGTTCTTGTGACAGTTTGCTGAGTGATGGTTTCCAGGTTCATCAATGTCCCTGCAAAGGACATGAACTCATCCTTTTTAACGGCTGCATAGTATTCCATGGTGTATATGTGCCACATTTTCTTAATGCAGTCCACTGATGGACATTTGGGTTGGTTCCAAGTCTTTGCTATTGTGATTAGTGCCACAGTAAACATATGTGTGCATGTGTCTTTGTCGTAGAATGGTTTATAACCCTTTGGGTATATGCCCAGTAATGGGATTGCTGGGTCAAATGGTAGTTCTAGTTGTAGATTCTTGAGGAATCGTCACACTGTCTTCCACAATGGTTGAACTAATTTACACTCCCACCAACAGTGTAAAAGCGTTCCTATTTTTCCACATCCTCTCCAGCATCTGTAGTTTCCTGACTTTTTAATGATTGCCATTCTAACTGGCATGAGATGGTATCTCACTGCTGTTTTGATGTGCATTTCTCTGATGACCAGTGATGATAAGCATTTTTGCATATGTCTGTTGCCTGCATAAATGTCTTCTCTTGAGAAGTGTCTGTTCATATCCTTTGCCCACTTTTTGATTTTTTTTTTTTGTAAATGTGTTTAAGTTCTTTATAGATTCTGGATATTAGCACTTTGCCAAATGGGTAGATTGCAAAAATTTTCTCCCATTCTGTAGGCTGCCTGTTCACTCTCATGATAGTTTCTTTTGCTGTGCAGAAGCTCTTTAATTAGATCCCATTTGTCTATTTTGGCTTTTGGTGCCATTGCTTGTGGTGTTTTAGTCATGAAGTCCTTGCCCATGCCTATGTCCTGAATGGTATTGCCTAGGTTTTCTTCTAGGGTTTTTATGGTGTTAGGTCTTACATTTAAGTCTTTAATCCATCTTGACTTAATTATCGTATAGGGTGTAAGGAAGGGATCCAGTTTCAGCTTTCTACATGTGGCTAGCCAGTTTTTCTAGCACCATTTATTAAATAGGGAATTCTTTCCCCATTTCTTGTTTTTGTCAAGTTTGTCAAAGATCAGATGGTTGTAGATGTGTGGTTTTATTTTTGAGGGCTCTGTTCTGTTCCATTGGTCTATGCATCTGTTTTGGTACCAGTACCATGCTGCTTTGGTTACTGTAGCCTTGAAGGGTAGTTTGAAGTCAGGTAGCGTGATGCCTCCAACTTTGTTCTTTTTGCTTAGGATTGTCTTGGCAATGCGGGCTTTTTTTTGGTTCCATATGAACTTTAAAGTAGTTTTTTCCAATTATGTGAAGAAAGTCAGTGGTAGCTTGATGGGGATAGCATTGAATCTATAAATCCCTTTGGGCAGTGTGGCCATTTTCACAATATTGATTCTTCCTATCCATGAGCATGGAATGTTCTTCCATTTGTCTGTGTTCTCTTTTAATTCATTGAGCAGTGGTTTGTAGTTCTCTTTGAAGAGGTCCTTCACATCCTTTGTTAGTTGGATTCCTAGGTATTTTATTCTCTTTGTAGTAATTGCAAATGGGAGTTCACTCATGACTTGGCTCTCTGTTTGTCTATTATTGGTTTATAGGAATGCTTGTAATTTTTGCACATTGATTTTGTATCCTGAGACTTTGCTGAAGTTGCTTATCAGCTTAAGGAGATTTTGGGCTGAGTCAATGGGGTTTTAAATATATAATCATGTCATCTGCAAGCAGAGATAATTTGACTTTCTCTTTTCCTAATTGAATACACTTTATTTCTTTCTCTTGCGTGATTGCCCTAGCCAGAACTTCCAACACTATGTTGAATAGGAGTGGTGAGAGAGGAAATTCTTGTCTTGTGCCGGTTTTCTTTTCTTTTTTTTTTTTTTTTATTATACTCTAAGTTTTAGGGTACATGTGCACATTGTGCAGGTTAGTTACATATGTATACATGTGCCATGCTGGTGTGCTGCACCCACTAATGTGTCATCTAGCATTAGGTATATCTCCCAATGCTATCCCTCCCCCCTCCCCCGACCCCACCACAGTCCCCAGAGTGTGATATTCCCCTTCCTGTGTCCATGTGATCTCATTGTTCAATTCCCACCTATGAGTGAGAATATGCGGTGTTTGGTTTTTTGTTCTTGCGATAGTTTACTGAGAATGATGGTTTCCAATTTCATCCATGTCCCTACAAAGGATATGAACTCATCATTTTTTATGGCTGCATAGTATTCCATGGTGTATATGTGCCACATTTTCTTAATCCAGTCTATCATTGTTGGACATTTGGGTTGGTTCCAAGTCTTTGCTATTGTGAATAGTGCCGCAATAAACATACGTGTGCATGTGTCTTTATAGCAGCATGATTTATACTCATTTGGGTATATACCCAGTAATGGGATGGCTGGGTCAAATGGTATTTCTAGTTCTAGATCCCTGAGGAATCGCCACACTGACTTCCACAATGGTTGAACTAGTTTACAGTCCCACCAACAGTGTAAAAGTGTTCCTATTTCTCCGCATCCTCTCCAGCACCTGTTGTTTCCTGACTTTTTAATGATTGCCATTCTAACTGGTGTGAGATGATATCTCATAGTGGTTTTGATTTGCATTTCTCTGATGGCCAGTGATGATGAGCATTTCTTCATGTGTTTTTTGGCTGCATAAATGTCTTCTTTTGAGAAGTGTCTGTTCATGTCCTTCGCCCACTTTTTGATGGGGTTGTTTGTTTTTTTCTTGTAAATTTGTTTGAGTTCATTGTAGATTCTGGATATTAGCCCTTTGTCAGATGAGTAGGTTGCGAAAATTTTCTCCCATGTTGTAGGTTGCCTGTTCACTCTGATGGTAGTTTCTTTTGCTGTGCAGAAGCTCTTTAGTTTAATTAGATCCCATTTGTCAATTTTGTCTTTTGTTGCCATTGCTTTTGGTGTTTTGGACATGAAGTCCTTGCCCACGCCTATGTCCTGAATGGTAATGCCTAGGTTTTCTTCTAGGGTTTTTATGGTTTTAGGTTTAACGTTTAAATCTTTATTCCATCTTGAATTGATTTTTGTATAAGGTGTAAGGAAGGGATCCAGTTTCAGCTTTCTACATATGGCTAGCCAGTTTTCCCAGCACCATTTATTAAATAGGGAATCCTTTCCCCATTGCTTGTTTTTCTCAGGTTTGTCAAAGATCAGATAGTTGTAGATATGCGGCATTATTTCTGAGGGCTCTGTTCTGTTCCATTGATCTATATCTCTGTTTTGGTACCAGTACCATGCTGTTTTGGTTACTGTAGCCTTGTAGTATAGTTTGAAGTCAGGTAGTGCTACAAACCACTGCTCAAGGAAATAAAAGAGGACACAAACAAATGGAAGAACATTCCATGCTCATGGGTAAGAAGAATCAATATCGTGAAAATGGCCATACTGCCCAAGGTAATTTACAGATTCAATGCCATCCCCATCAAGCTACCAATGACTTTCTTCACAGAATTGGAAAAAACTACTTTAAAGTTCATATGGAACCAAAAAAGAGCCCGCATTGTGCCGGTTTTCAAAGGGAATACTTCTTTGCCCATTCAGTATGATATTGGCTGTGGGTTTGCTATAAATAGCTGTTATTATTTTGAGATATGTTCCATCAGTACCGAGTTTATTGAGAGTTTTTAGCATGAAGGGCTGTTGAATTTTGTCAAAGGCCCTTTCTGCATCTATTAAGATAATCATGTGGTTTTTGTCATTGGTTCTGTTTATGTGATGGATTACATTTAGTGATTTGCCTATGTTGAACCAGCCTTGCATCCCAGGGATGAAGCTGACTTGGTCATGGTGGGTAAGCTTTTTGATGTGCTGCTGGATTTGGTTTGCCAGTATTTTATTGAGGAGTTTTGCATCAATGTTCATCAGGGATATTGACCTAAAATTATCCTTTTTTGTTGTGTGTCTACGAGGCTTTGGTATCAGGATGATGCTAGCCTCATAAAATGAGTTAGGGAGGATTCCCTCTTTTTCCATTGACTGGAGTAGTTTCAGAGAGAGTGGTACCAGCTCCTCTTTGTACCTCTGGTAGAATTCGGCTGCGAATCCTTCTGGTCCTGGATTTTTTTTGGTTGGTAGGCTATTAATTATTGCCTTCATTTCAGAACCTGTTATTGGTTTATTCATAGATTCAACTTCTTTCTGGTTTAGTCTTGGGAGGGTGTATGTGTCCAGGAATTTATCCATTTCTTCTAGATTTTCTAGTTTATTTGTGTAGAGGTGTTTACAGTATTCTCTGATGGTAGTTTGTATTTCTGTGGAATCGGTGGTGATATCCCCTTTATCATTTTTCATTGCATCTATTTGATTCTTCTCTCTTTTCTTGTTTATTAGTCTTCCTAGCGGTCTATCAATTTTGTTGATCTTTTCAAAAAACCAGCTCCAGGATTCATTGATTTTTTTGAAGGGTTTTTTGTGTCTCTATCTCCTTCAGTTCTGCTCTGATCTTAGTTATGTCTTGCCTTCTGCTAGCTTTTGAATTTGTTTGCTCTTGCTTCTCTAGTTCTTTTAATTGTGATGTTAGGGTGTCGATTTTAGATCTTTCCTGCTTTCTCTTTTGGGCATTTAGTGCTATAAATTTCCCTCTACACACTGCTTTAAATGTGTCCCAGAGATTCTGTTATGTTTTGTCTTTGTTCTCATTGGTTCCAAAGAACATCTTTATTTCTGCCTTCATTTCATTATTTACCCAGTAGTCATTCAGGAACAGGTTGGTCAGTTTCCATGTAGTTGTGTGGTTTTGAGTGAGTTTATTAATCCTGAGTTGTAATTTGATTGCACTGTGGTGTGAGAGACAGTTTGTTGTGATTTCTGTTCTTTTACATTTGCTGAGGAGTGGTTTACTACCAATTATGTGGTCAATTTTGGAATAAGTGCAAAGTGATGCTGAGAAGAATGTGTATTCTGTTGATTTGGGGTGTAGAGTTCAGTAGATGTCTATTAGGTCTGCTTGGTTCAGACCTGAGTTCAAGTCCTGGATATCCTTGTTAACCTTATGTGTCATTGATCTAATATTGACAGAGGGGTGTTAAAGTCTCCTATTATTATTGTGTGGGAGTCTAAGTCTTTTTGTAGGTCTCTAAGGACTTGGTTTTTGAATCTGGGTGCTCCTGTATTGGGTGCATATATATTTAGGATAGTTAACTCTTCTTGTTGAATTGATCCCTTTACCATAATGTAGTGGCCTTGTCTCTTTTGATCTTTGTTGGTTTAAAGTCTGTATTATCAGAGACTAGGATTGCAACTCCTGCTTTTTTTTTTTCTTTCCATTTGCTTGGTAGATCTTCCTCCATACCTTTATTTTGAGCCTATGTGTGTCTCTGCACATGAGATGGGTCTCCTGAATACAGCACACTGATGGGTCTTGATTCTTTATCCAATTTGCTGGTCTGTGTCTTTTAATTGGAGCATTTAACCCATTTACATTTAAGGTTAATACTGTTATGTTTGAGTTTGATCATGTCATTATGATGTTAGCTGGTTATTTTGTCCATTAATTGATGCAGTTTCTTCATAGTGTCAGTGGTCTTTACCATTTGGCATGTTTTTGCAGTGGCTGGCACTGATTGTTCCTTTCCATGTTTAGTGCTTCCTTCAGGAGCTCTTTTAAGGCAGGCCTGGTGGTGACAAAATCTCTCAGCATTTGCTTGGCTGTAAAGGATTTTATTTCTCCTTCACTGATGAAGCTTAGTTTGGCTTGATATGACAGTCTGGGTTGAAAATTATTTTCTTTAAGAATGTTGAATATTGGCCTCCACTCTCTTCTGGCTTGTAGAGTTTCTGCCAAGAGATCCGCTGTTAGTCTGATGGGCTTTTCTTTTTGGGTAACCAGACCTTTCTCTCTGGCTGCCCTTAATATTTTTTCCTTCATTTCAACCTTGGTGAATCTGATAATTATGTGTCTTTGGGTTGCTCTTCTCAAGGAGTGTCTTTGTGGTGTTCTCTGTATTTCCTGAATTTGAATGTTGGCTTGCCTTTGTAGGTTAGGGAAGTTCTCCTGGATAATATTCTGAAGAGTGTTTTCTAACTTGGTTCCATTCTCCTCGTCACTTTCCGGTACACTAGTCAAACATAAATTTGGTCTTTTCACATAGTCCCATATTTCTTGGAGGCTTTGTTCATTTCTTTTCATTCTCTTTTCTCTAATCTTGTCTTCTTGCTTTATTTCATTAATTTGATCTTCAGTCACTGATATCCTTTCTTCCACTTGATCGAATCAGCTATTGAAGCTTGTGCATGCATCACGAAGTTCTTGTGCCGTGGTTTTCAGCTGCATCAGGTCATTTAAGGTCTTCTCTACACGGTTTATTGTAGTTAGCCATTCATCTAACCATTTTTCAAGGTTTTTAGCTTCCTTGCAATGGGTTAGAACATGCTTCTTTAGCTTGAAGAAGTTTGTTATTACCGACCTTCTGAAACCTACTTCCATCAACTTGTCAAACTCATTCTTCATCCAGTCTTGTTCTGTTGCCGGTGAGGAGCTGCGATCCTTTGGAAGAGAAGAGGCACTCTGTTTTTGGAATTTTCAGCTTTTCTGCTCTGGTTTCTCCCCATCTTTGTGGTTTTATCTACCTTTGGTCTTTGATGTTGGTGACCTAGGGATGGGGTTTTGGTGTGGATGTCCTTTTTGTTGACATTGATGCTATTCCTTTCTGTTTGTTAGTTTTCCTTCTAAGAGTCAGACCCCTCAGCAGCAGGTCTGTTGGTGTTTGCTGGAGGTCCAGTCCAGCCAGACCTTATTTGCCTGGGTATCACCAGCAGAGGCTGCAGAACAGCAAATATTGCTGCCTGACCCTTCCTTTCGAAGCTTCATCCCAGAGGGGCACCCACCTGTTTGAGGTGTCTGTTGGCCCCTACTGGGAGGTGTTTCCCAGTCAGGCTACACGGGGGTCAGGGACCCACTTGAGGATGCAGTCTGTCCGTTGTTGGAGCTCTAATGCGGTGCTGAGAGAACCACTGCTGTCTTCAGGGCTATCAGACAGGGACGTTTAAGTCTGCAGAAGCTACCTGCTGCCCTTTGTTCTACTATGCCCTGCCCCCAGAAGTGGAATCTGTAGAGGCAGTAGGCCTTGCTGAGCTGTGGTGGGCTCCACCCAGTTCGTGCTTCCAGGCATCTTTGTTTACACTGTGAGCTACTCCAACCTCAGCAATGGTGGATGCCCTTCCCTCCATCCAGCTGCAGCATCGCAGGTCGATCTCAGACTGCTGCGCTAGCAGTGAGCAAGGCTCCGTGGGTGTGAGACCTGCCGAGCCAGGCACGGGAGGGTATCTCCTGGTCTGCCAGTTGCTAAGACTGTGGGAATAGTGCAGTAGTTGGTCAGGAGGGTACTGTTTCTCCGGATACAGTCTGTCACGGCTTCCCTTGGCTAGGAAAGGGAAATCCTCCGACCCCTTGTGCTTCCCAGGTGAGGCGACACCCCATCCTGCTTCAGCTCGCCCTTTGTGGGCTGCAGCCACAGTCCAACCAGTCCCAATGAGATAAACCAGGTACCTCAGTTGGAAATGCAGAAATCCAGCTGCAGACCGGAGCCATTCCTATTCGACCATCTTGGAAGCGACACCTATATTTTTTTTAAAGAAGGATAGGTATCCATGAGAAAGTGACTGGTTTCATTATGTTCTTTTTATTTGTTATTCACCCACTAGAGAATGGCTCCTTTCTAATTACTCTTCAATGATCTCCTTTAATTTCTGGTACAATTTTAGAAATCATAATACATGGAAATTTTATTTCTTTATTTCTAAATTACATGCCAATATTTCTCAAATATTAACGTGTATATAACTACATAATAAATACATTTCTGAAGTTTTACATATATACACAGGTTCTATACATTACACATGATGTGAGTGGAGGTATATCTAAACACATTTTTATATGTATTCATCCATATGCTTCACATATTTGACATGACAGGTCTTTACAGGTTTGTTATTGGTCTTCTTATCTAGACTCACACTTGCTGGAGCAGAAGTATTCATTTATGAACCTCGGATAGCACCAGCATTTAACATATGCATATTTGTGTGTGTGGGTGGGTGTGCATGCACGTGTATTGCATTCTAGGGGTTACTGCCTGTATGAGGAATTAGTTACCTAAGGATTAAACGGAAGATGAAACCCCAGGTGAAGTGGTTGAGGGCATGAAGGGGAGGCAGACCCAGACTTTCACCCCTTTGTGTTCCTGACATTCAAGAGCCCCTGAGGTCCAACCCCTCCTCCATGGAGCCTGGGTCCTCAGCTGGCGGATCCGTGAAACTCATCTCTGGGGAGCATTGGCTTCTGTGGTCCTGCACCTGCTCCTTGCAGCCAGTTAGGGCTCAGAGAGGACACAGAGAGCACACAAGGTCCCAGGCTGCACAGAGAGCACATAAGGTCCTGGTTATTTCTGTATTGGGGACCACTTACCATATCCATGCTGAGCTCCCGGGATGCAGGAAAACTCTCCCAAATGACTCAGGAGCTGAGTTTGGATTTGTAGAACACAGGAAGTCTGAAATAATTCAATGAGGAGACTGGAGGGAACCCTGCTACAGCAGAGGAAGGGTTTATTGAGGAACTCCATAAAACTCATGTCAAGAGACACAGGGGAAAAGAAGAATGCAGAGCCCAGGAGTGAGGCTGGGCTCAGGGCTCTTCTCCACTGTTTTGATTCTCAGAAGCAGCTGAGACCCTCAGCCCATCACAAAACAAGACAGACTCCACGACTAGTGAGTGAGGAGATGCTCTCAGTTATGGGACTGGCACAGAGGGTCAGGTCCTGTAAAGGGGAGGTGGGTGCCCTGGGTGGACATACAGGAGTCCCGGGGTGATTCCGATCTGCCCTGACCTCTGTGACCTCTTTGTCCAGCATCCCTAGGCCAACACCCCCAGGATTACACAGTGGAGAATCTCATCCGCATGGGTGTGGCTGGCTTGGTCCTGGTGGTCCTCGGGATTCTGCTATTTGAGGCTCAGCACAGCCAGAGAAGCCTACAAGATGCAGCCGGGAGGTGAACAGCAGAGAGGACAATGCATCCTTCAGCGTGGTGGAGCCTCAGGGACAGATCTGATGATCCCAGGAGGCTCTGGAGGACAATCTAGGACCTACATTATCTGGACTGTATGCTGGTCATTTCTAGAGACAGCAATCAATATTTGAGTGTAAGGAAACTGTCTGGGGTGATTCCTAGAAGATCATTAAACTGTGGTACATTTTTTTGTCTATGAATGTTGACTTCCCTTGACTGGATCCCCTTTTTTTCCCATCCCCAGACATGAGGCTCCATCCCACATGGCACCGTTGGGTCCACACCTCCACACACCTGTGTGCTCTGGTCCACGGCATGTGACACAGTCTTCCTTATTCCTCATTGTCACACTCCTTGATGTCACTTACTGAGTCCCCGTCTCTTCAGTTCAGAGATCCAAACCTGAACCACCAACTAAATCAACGACAGGAGATCAGATTCCAACCAGGAAAACATAAATCCACCCTGCTGCCCTGACACCCTCTCTGTACCTTATGAGCCCTTCCCTCTTTCTCAGATGCTATCTGTGTAATTTCTCCTGAAATATCACCACTTGGAATCATCACACTGGCATTTCAAGTGACACCACAGCTATGCTGATTCAGAAAAAGACATCTCTAAAATACTGTAATTAGTGGTATCTACCAATTTCTGTGACATAAATATTTTTCTCATGGCCCAAATCAAGGTGCCAATGGGTTCTCACTGAATACAGGGTTGGGAAGCAAGGGACAGAACTGTCTTCACTAATGAGCACCAGGGACCTGTGGCACATCCCACTGAGAGCTCACCCATATACCTACAGTCCTTTCTATTTCAGAGGCAATGATCACTTCTACTTCAGTGTTATGGCACAGGTCAAATGAAATTCTGACACTGTTATCCTAGCATATCCACAAAAGACAAACCTATTAATATCTGATGTGGGAGATAACACGGCTCACCTAAAAATCAAAGTACATGCCGGGCGCGGTGGCTCACGCCTGTAATCCCAGCACTTTGGGAGGCCAAGGCAGGCAGATCACGAGGTCAGGAGATCTAGACCATCCTGGCTAACATGGTGAAACCCCGTCTCTACTAAATACACAAAAAAATATTGGCCGGGCGTGGTGGTGGGCGCCTGTAGTCCCAGCTACTCAGGAGGCTGAGGCAGGAGAATGGCGTGAACCTGGGAGGCGGAGCTTGCAATGGGCCGAGATTGCGACACTGCCCTCCAGCCTGGGCGACAGAGCAAGACTCCGTCTCAAAAAAAAAAAAAAATCCAAGTACAACATAAGAAAAATGTTAACAGAACTATGCAGTTTCGATGAAAGAATTTTTTTTGAGATGGAGTTTTGCTTTGTTGCCCAGGCTGGAGTGCAATGGTGCAATCTCGGCTCACTGCAACCTCCACTTCCCAGGTTCAAGCAATTCTCCTGCCTCTGCCTCCCGAGTTACTGGACTACAGGTGTGCACCACCATTCCCGGCTATTTTTTGTATTTTTAGTAGAGACGGGGGTCTCGCCATGTTAGTGAGGCTGGTCTTGAACTCCTGACCTCAGGTTATCCACCTGCCTCAGCCTCCCAGAGTGCTGGGATTACAGGTGTAAGCCACTGTGCCCGGCTGATGGAAGAATTCTTAAATGACTCGTTCTACTTTCTGCTGGTCCAGGCACTCCTTGGCTTGGGGCAGCATCCCACCAGTTTCTGCCTCCATCTTCTCAATGCTTACACCTACCTGGTTGCCTCTGTCTTCACACCCATTCTTCTGTGTGTGTCTTTTCTCTTCTTCAGATTATGATATCACTCAGATCAGATTAGGACTCATCCTAATTCGTTATGATCCCTTGATCATAACTTAAATGCATTTGCAAAGACTCTATTTCCAACTATGTTCACATTTATAGCTAATGGGGCTCAGGATTTCAACGTGTATATTAGGGGGAACAAGTCAATTTATGACAGTGTCTACAAGAAAAGTATGCATAGAAATACATTTAACCAAATACAAAAATTAGGTGGGTGTGGTGGTACACGCCTGTAATCCCAGCTACTCAGGAGGCTGAGACAGGAGAATCGCGTCAACCCAGGAAACAGAGGTTGCAGTGAGCTGAGATCTTGCCATTGCACTCCAGCCTGGGCAACAGAGTGAGACTCTGTCTCAAAAAAAGAGAAATACATTTAACCAAAGAGATGCAATACGTATACATTGACAATTTTAAAATACTGCTCAAAGAAATAACAAAAGACCTAAATGAGGAAAAAGTCATCCCAGTATCATAAATCAAAAGGCTTAAAATTAGTTATCTCCCTCTAGGGAACCTAGACTAATACACTCACCCCGTCTCCTTGTTCGGAGGCTCTCCTGCCTATCAGCTTTTCTCCTCTGTGCTTTCCATGTCCCTGTGGTTCTCTGGTGAGCCCCATCATGCTGTCCTAGAAGATCCACTTAGAATTTCGGTATTTACTCACCATTTTGACTCCTCTTAACGAGACAGGCACATGCCAGCTGTTTCCATTCATCCAACCTGAACCTGAGCCCCCGATCATTTTTTCTACCACTTTTCAGTCCTGGGAAACTCAGTCCCAATGTGCTTGTCATTCATTTGAGAATAATTTTCATTTTCTCCAGTAGTTTTAAAATTACTTTGTATCTATTCTAGATATCGTTTGCTCTATCATAGTTAAGACATTAATGTTATTTATGAATTTGTGCACATTAAACTCATGATCTTTCATTTCTGTAAAAATGTCAACTATTTCCTTTGCAAGTATTTATTGACTAACATACTCCTTATTTCCTTCATTCTGAAAGTGTGACACATAGAGATATATCTGTTTCCTCTTCTCACTCTATTCTTTGTGTGCATTAATTATCTTTTCTATTTTTTTCATTTCTAGTTTTTCTCCGATGACTAATGAAAAATTTAATAAATATTCTACACCAATACAATGTTTATCATTTCAGCAGTGTCTGGTTCTTGATGAAAGTATTTCTAAATGTGTTAATATAATTTACTATTTTCACATCACAATAGCTTCCTAATTCATTTCTATAATTGCCTGTTTTTTCTCTAATGGACTCTTCGATTTTTATTCCTCTGGGGTGGGTTTTTCTCCCACACACCTGATCTTCCATACAGGGTTTCTCCCAGGGATGACTCAGGAAGGAAAACTGATGAGGGGCATTTTTGTACCCGCTCCTGCCCTGCGGTGTCCATGCTCCCAAGTTTAGAATCAGCTCTGTGTTATGCCTGGCATGGTGGAGCCCATGAGACCCTCACATTCAAGTGCCAAAGATGCCCGGTCCAGCAGTGATAAAGCGAGACTGTGTCATGCACACCCGGGAAGGTGGCTCAGTGCTGAATGTGGCCTGGGTCACCAAACCAAGCAATCCCAGATTCTGTCCACAAATACAGAAGAGAGGGAGCCACAGTCTCTCTAGGATCCCACGGTTTCCTCCACTTTTTCCTTTGTTCTGAGAGAAAGACAAAGTGCCATGACTGCTCTGTGGGCTGGACAGATGCCTGTTTTCACCTGCAGGCTTGAACTCAAGCTGAGGTCTTGAGCATTCCCAGGTACTGATAAAGCACCTTAGATTGTTTCTAGAAAACACTGAAAAATTAACCCTTTGTTAATTATGTAGAAACAAACCCTGCCCTGAACCAAACTCCTGAAACGCTCAGGTTAAACTTTGTAACTCAATCCCTTCACTGCAGATACCCAGTAGGAAAGTCACATGAGCAAGGATGAGATGACTTTGGTTAAACTCAGACCCCACAGGGCCAGGAAGGCCTGACGGAGAGGAGGCTCGTGTTGCCAGGTCTCAGATAAGAACTGTTTCTAAGGACTTTTTTAAAAACCCCATAAGAAACTCTTCCATGTCTTTCACCCCTCTCCTGCTTTGACATGGTTTATTACTAGATATTCTTTAGGACATCAGGAATGCAGATAGGCTGCTCTCGAGAGAATACTTGCCCAGCAATGGCATCTCCTCCAATGGACTGACAGCAACTCTGGCTTTGAACCTCTGGAACCAGGGAACTCTGCTTCTAAGCAGCTCTGTCAGCCTCTCCCTTGTTGCTGATAAGAATTTCCTTTACCTCTCTATGTACAGAGAGCTCTCTCTATGATGTTTTTCCTCTACTCTCACACCACAACAGTCATCAACACAGGAGACTTGTAGGATCAGATGTGTGGGATTGTTTCCCAGACCCAATAGCGAACAGCAGCTGGGTGTCCTCTAAGTCGGCTCCGAGCTGTCTACCCAGACACAGTCCCAGATCCCACAGATTGAAGGCCCATTCTCCAAGATTGCCCCCACACACCATTCCCAAGTCCAGACCTCCAGAACTTCTGACTGACTGGCTTCAAGTTGGGGATCCCATGACCACCTCTTTGGGTTTGATTAATTTGCTGTAGCAGCTCACAGAACTCAGGGAGACACTGACGTTTACTGGTTGAATACAAAGCACACTGCAGAGGACACAGATGAAGAGACTCATAGGAGGAGGCATGGGGGAAGGGACCGGAGCATCTATGCCCTCCCTGGGCGCCACGCTCCAGGAACCTCCGCATGCTCAGCCATCCAGAAGCCCATGAAACCCAGTCCTCTTGGGCTTTTAAGGAGCTTCGTGACATCAGCATTTCCTCCCACAAGGAACAGGGTGAGACCATCTTCTGGGAGGGTCTTAAGAGCCACCATCAGAAAGGCAGGGAACATTCGAGTCTTGCCTTGGGCAGGTGAAGGAAGGGCAGGAGGAGGTCAGAGGCCTCCCCTAAGGCCTAACACAGCCAATACTCTAACAAAAGACTGTAACCAGTGGTATGGAGTTATAAGCCAGGAACCGCGGGTGAAAACCAGTGTGTATCACAACATCACACTTCCCTCTCCGGATGCACTGTGTCTTGCCATGCCATGCACTCCAGATTGTAATCTTTGCTTCTCATTGTCAAATACAAGCAAAATCCAGGCAACCCTGGAGCAATGCAGCCTTGAATTCCTGGGGTCTCTTGTATGCACACTCTCTTCAACCAAACGGGGATCATAACTATGGCATTTGTGGGATGCAAATCCTGTGTATACGAATGGCAGACTTTCCCTATACATGGTGCAGTGGAGCCAGCTTCAGGGCTGGAGTACAGGCAGGTTTTGTGACATGTGGGCCACGGACTGGAGCCAGTTCCCTTGTACACCAAAGAACAACTGTACTTAGAGATAATTTTCTCTAGATTTTTGTTTTGTTTTGTTATTTTAGGTTAAAGCATTGGATAGAACACCCAGTGTCACCTTGTCTACCTCCAGGACATGCTGCAGGGCCCACTCTATGGAAGTCCCTCTAACAAATGCTCTATGAACACCCTGGTGTTTAGTGCTTCTTTCTTTGGAATCCCAGCAGCTCTATCACTGGACGGTTTGGTGCACTCCTTTGATGGAATTCCTCTGGGCTGCTTGGGGTCCACTCCAGCCTCAGGTGTAGCTGGAGGACGCAGCCTCCCACCTTGGTCTGGAGCCCTGAGGCCCTCACTGTCATTGCAGATCCCGAGGTTCCTCTCCCACCTCCATTCAGTGGTGGAAAACTCCATTCTAATTACCCCTTGAAGGTCCTGGGACCCTCTGGCCTCTGTTCTTTCTTGTGGATCCACCTACACTTGGGAACTTCCTCACCTCTTTTTCTGCTCATGACATTGATGCTCTGGGTATTTCAGAAATGCCTCATGTACATTTCTCCATTAGGGTCAGATGTGAGATCCAGAGTGGACACATCAATCATCTACACAGACTGGGGGGTCCAACATCGAGATCCTTTCACATCCCAAACAGTTCAGGTCTTACCCTGGTCTGGAAATCAAGCACAAATGAGCCCCTCCGAATGTCCCAGGCACCACTGACCCAACAACCACTGTGACCAGTGGGATTCATGACAACAATCTGCAAAGGAGGAAACTGAGGCTCAGTGATGGGACATTACAAACCAAGGTCATGTAGGCAGCGGATGATAACCAGTCATCAAATAAATATCAACTCCCTCCCCCACTCCCCAAATCAAAGCTCAAACATAAGTCATTGTTCTCAAAACGTTGAACAGGGATTGAGGTGCAGAGGGATGGCCAAGTAAGCAAAGGGCACCGAGGAGGCAGGAAAGTCTCAGATGTTTGTTCCCAGCGGGTGGGAGTGGACACTGTAGCAAAATATTTTAAAAAGGGGAAGTTGAGAGGGGACTATTTGGTTGAAAGAAAACCCACAATCCAGTGTCAAGAAAGAAGTCAACTTTTCTTCCCCTATTTCCCTGCATTTCTCCTCTGTGCTCACTGCCACACGCAGCTCAACCTGAGCTACACAGCCAGATGCGAGATGCTTCTCTGCTGATCTGAGTCTGCCTGCAGCATGGACCTTGGTCTTCCCTGAAGCATCTCCAGGGCTGGAGGGACGACTGCCATGGTAAGGACCCCACAACGCTGAGCTGATGGATGGCTGAAGGAGGGAGGGTGACCATGTGGGAGGCTGTGAGAAGGAAAGGGAAGCCTCCGTTACCCTCATCTGGAAGGGCAGACGCAGAAAGCACCAGTTCTATTTGCTGCTACATCCCGTCTCTCAGTGAGAAGAGGAGAAACCAGACAGACAGTGGCTGGGGGTCAGGAAAGACCCCATTACAGTCTGAAATGTCTGCAGAGGGCCTGGTTCCTGCCCCCACCTCAGCTCTAAAAGAATGAGAGTCAGGCTCCTGGTAGGGTAGTTCTGCTTCCTGTGTGGCTGCAGATGACAACACCCCATGAGAAGGACCCAGCCTCCGAGTGTCCACACTGGGTGGGAAGGAGGGGAGGCTATTTCTCTCTGTGTGTCTCTGTCCTGCCAGCACCGAGGGCTCATCCATCCGCAGAGCAGGGCAGTGGGAGGAGACGCTATGACCCCCATCGTCACAGTCCTGATCTGTCTCAGTGAGATTTGAAGAGGGAGGGGAGCTTCTAACCTAGGAGGGACCTCACCCCACAGCCGACCTCTAGTCCCTAAGGAGACCCCAGGGGCTCACAAAGATCCCAGGGAGGGGAGGACCTGCCCAGGCTTCAGGGGCAAATTCCTCACAGGGAACTCTCTTCCAGGGCTGAGTCTGGGCCCCCGGACCCACGTGCAGGCAGGTGAGTCTGTCCCCAGCTCTCCCAGGTCCCTCCTCCTCACTGGGGACAAGGGGCCACCCCCGTGCAGCTGGGGATGGGGAATAGCAGTTCTGGACTGACTGATGGGGGCATCTGGAGGGTCCTGGGCTGAGAGCTGAGATATGTTGGGTGGGAAATGACTTAGAATCTGAACTCTGATTTCCTTCCAGGGACCCTCCCCAAGCCCACACTCTGGGCTGAGCCAGGCTCTGTGATCACCCAGGGGAGTCCCGTGACCCTCTGGTGTCAGGGGATCCTGGAGACCCAGGAGTACCGTCTGTATAGAGAAAAGAAAACAGCACCCTGGATTACACGGATCCCACAGGAGATTGTGAAGAAGGGCCAGTTCCCCATCCCATCCATCACCTGGGAACACACAGGGCGGTATCGCTGTTTCTACGGTAGCCACACTGCAGGCTGGTCAGAGCCCAGTGACCCCCTGGAGCTGGTGGTGACAGGTGAGCTGACACTGAGGGCTCCCAGCCCCAGGCTCTGCCCTCAGGAAGGGAGTCAGTTCTCAGGGGCATCTCCCTCTCACAGCCCAGCCCTGGGGATGAAGTGGGAGGTGTGAGCCCCATTTAACATGGTGCCTCCTTCTCTCCTAGGAGCCTACATCAAACCCACCCTCTCAGCTCTACCCAGCCCTGTGGTGACCTCAGGAGGGAACGTGACCCTCCATTGTGTCTCACAGGTGGCATTTGGCAGCTTCATTCTGTGTAAGGAAGGAGAAGATGAACACCCACAATGCCTGAACTCACAGCCCCGTACCCATGGGTGGTCCCGGGCCATCTTCTCTGTGGGCCCCGTGAGCCCGAGTCGCAGGTGGTCGTACAGGTGCTATGCTTATGACTCGAACTCTCCCCATGTGTGGTCTCTACCCAGTGATCTCCTGGAGCTCCTGGTCCTAGGTGAGAAATTCACAGCATTGCCTGGAGTTCCCTGAGTCTCCCTGAGTCTCCAGGCAGGTGGGGAGCAGCCACGTCTCAGGGCAGCTCCAGGTGGGATGATGTTGGGGCGAGAGGGCTCAGGGCTCCTGGGGCCGGAGACACAGGAAGATCAGCAGTGGTGAGGCCCCGGGGGAGAGGGAGGATATGTGGGGAAGCCTGAGGGTCGGCTCCTGGAAACCATGAGCACCTTTTCCCAGGTGTTTCTAAGAAGCCATCACTCTCAGTGCAGCCAGGTCCTATAGTGGCCCCTGGGGAGAGCCTGACCCTCCAGTGTGTTTCTGATGTCAGCTACGACAGATTTGTTCTGTATAAGGAGGGAGAACGTGACTTCCTCCAGCTCCCTGGCCCACAGCCCCAGGCTGGGCTCTCCCAGGCCAACTTCACCCTGGGCCCTGTGAGCCGCTCCTACGGGGGCCAGTACAGATGCTCCGGTGCATACAACCTCTCCTCCGAGTGGTCGGCCCCCAGCGACCCCCTGGACATCCTGATCGCAGGTGAGGAGCCCAGCGGGTTCAGTCAGGGACACAGGCTCCGCACAGGCCCTGCCAGGGGAGCCCAGGTGGTGATGGCCGGAATGAGGGGTGGGGGTCCCAAGGGAGGGAGAGACAGACAGAGACAGGGGATGGGCGGGGCGGGGAAGACTCAGAGAAAACAGAGATAGAGACTGAGGGTCCCAGATAGAAGCCTGGGGAGGCGTCAGCTCAGAACAAGGTGGGGCAGCCTCTCACCCATCCTTCTTCTCTCCAGGACAGTTCCGTGGCAGACCCTTCATCTCGGTGCATCCGGGCCCCACGGTGGCCTCAGGAGAGAACGTGACCCTGCTGTGTCAGTCATGGGGGCCGTTCCACACTTTCCTTCTGACCAAGGCGGGAGCAGCTGATGCCCCCCTCCGTCTCAGATCAATACACGAATATCCTAAGTACCAGGCTGAATTCCCTATGAGTCCTGTGACCTCAGCCCACTCGGGGACCTACAGGTGCTACGGCTCACTCAGCTCCAACCCCTACCTGCTGTCTCACCCCAGTGACTCCCTGGAGCTCATGGTCTCAGGTGAGGGCCCTGACCCTGTCCTCTCCGAGCTCAAAGGATCAGCTCAGGCCCTGCCCCCCAGGAGAGCTCTGGACACTAAGAAAAGAGGGGAGTTGGCTGGGCACGGTGGCTTACACCTGTAATCCCAGCACTTTGGGAGGCCCAGGCGGGTGGATCAGGAGGCCAGGAGATCGAGACCATCCTGGCTAACACAGTGAACCCCGTCTCCACTAAAAAATAGAAAAAATTAGCCAAGCGTGGTGGCAGGTGTCTGTAGTCCCAGGTACTCGGGAGGCTGAGGCAGGAGAATGGCATGAACCTGGGAGGCGGAGCTTGCCGTGAGCTGATGTCATGCCACTGCACTCAATCCTGGGCAAGACAGCGAGACTCCATCTCAAAAAAAAAGGAAAAGAAAAGAGTGGAGTGAAGGGGGAAGGTCTGCGGGGGAGGGTCGAGCCCATGGGAGGGTGGAAATAGACGGGGCCTCCCACCCCTGGCTCCCACCCTTGTAGTCTCAGTAGGGTAAAGAGCAGGGAAGGCTGGGAGGAGATGGGGGTGAACCTCAGAGGAGATGAGAGTAGACTGAGGGTGAAAGACAGAGGCCCCACCTGCTCCCCTCCTGATGTCTCCACCTCAGAATCAGAGCCTCTGGGGATCCCAACCTCTAAGTCCTGACCCCATGGGTGACAAAAACCCAGTCACTCCCAGCTCTAAAGAAGTTTCTAGACTCATCTCAATGCTACCTCTAATATTCAGGGTCTGATTTCCAGGGCAGCAGAGGGGAGGGTGGACAGTAAGGGTGTGGTCTGCATGGCTTCCTGGTGCTCCAGGGATGGGGCAGGTGTTCCCTCCGTGGTGTTCAGAGGGGAGAGAGGTGTCTGAGGTTCAGCATTGATGAGTGGAGCAGCGGGGTCTTTCCCCCTCCCCGAGCAGGATTCCAGGAGACATCACCTCTGGTTGAGACTCTCCACTGTCTCATGTACATAACAAAATCTCTCCAATTTTCTACTGAAAGCAACACGTGGCACAGCTCTGCAGGACCCCACACCCCGACCTTGTCCTGCAGGATGTGTGACGAGTAGAAGAGGGAGAACAGGTCGGGTCAGCAGGATTTGGGGTCCAGCCTGACTTGGACACGTGGAAGATGCTGGGGCTGATGGAGGAGGAACAGAGGCGGGCGAGTTGGAAAGAGGACAGACAGACGGTCCCTTGGCAGCTCTCATTTCTCATTTCCAAGGGCCCCTGAGGATGAACCCCTCACCCACACCTGTAGGGTCCCTGGGCCATCTCAAGACAAGAGAGGAGGCCTTGGTGGGATCTGACTGTGATGAGGGTGAAGTCCACCCCGAGCAGAAATGAGTGATACACAACACGTGCTGTGAATAATTCCCTAACTTGCCAGGGAGCAAGTGCACGGCCCCTCCTTAGTCTCAGGGGTGCCCTGAGCCCAAGCCCACCAGGTGAGCACAGGAGGGGCCGTGTGAGCGGCACCCACAGCTGGAGTGCTTCTCTCTAAAGGAGCACGTTTTGGGTGGACTCAACCCTCACCACAGTCAGATCCCACCAAGGCTCTGTGCTCAGGGCACCCGGAGACTAAGGAGGGACCGTGCACCTGCTCCCTGGATGAGTTAGGGAATGATTCACAGCACGTCTCATATGTCATTCATTTCTACACTGTATTTTCTGTACGTATGCTTTCTATATGTATGCTCTCTCCTTTACTAAAACTTTTAAAGCAATACTTCAATATATAAATTTATATTTTTTATTTCAATTATATGAACCTATTATTTAAAAACATTTAATTTTACTTTGCCTTTCATTGGGGCTTGATTTAATTTATATATTCAATGTAGACATCCATTTTTCATTAACCTCAAGTCTTCCTCCTGTACATATTAAAAATCGAGGTTTCCTTAACGAACTTCAGAAATGTTTGGATGTTTCCAAGCACAATGGCCCGAGCGAAACTGACTGGGCGGCTCCCTGTGGCATGAGAAACCCGGGGGAGGTCAGCGGGAGCTACAGTGCAGCTCAGCCCTGGGCCTGGGGGGTTCATGCCCAACCTTGTCCAATCACTGGATAATTCTAACATCTAAATAAACGTCTTTTATATGAAAAAAGTGCTTTAAATTGTTAATTTAGATTTAAATTAGAACAGGGCAATTTGGTAGTGGGTTAATATGAAATACAATGAATATACCCAAACCAGTGGCTTTCTCATGAGTACTTATCTCTCGTTTTAAAAAATGTAAAGGAATCAAATACTTCACTTATAAATTGTTAAAGGTGTTGAATAATTCTTTAAATTAGAACGAATATAATTAAAAAAAATTTTTTTTGAGATGGAGTTTTGCTCTTGTTGCCCAGTCTGGAGTGCAGTGGTGAAATCTTGGCTCACTGCAACCTCCGTCTTCCAGTTTCAAGCAATTCTCCTGCCTCAGCCTCCCGAGTAGCTGGGATTACAGGCGCCCGCCACCATGCCCCGCTAATTTTTGTATTTTTAGTAGAGACAGGGTTTCACCATGTTGGCTAGGCTGGTCTTGAACTCCTGACCTCATGATCTGCCCACGTCAGCCTCCCAAAATGCTGGGATTACAGGCATGAGCCACTGTGCCTGGCCTGAATATAATTTTTTAAATGTCTACCCAGGACACCCACCTCTCCTTGACAGGGAGGTTATATAAGTTATACATAATCTTATATAGAATTTGTTATATAAGTTACCTCTGAATATGTCTCTTCTCCTCTGTTTTGATTCTCAGGAGCAGCTGAGACCCTCAGCCCACCACAAAACAAGTCCGATTCCAAGGCTGGTGAGTGAGGAGATGCTTGCCGTGATGACGCTGGGCACAGAGGGTCAGGTCCTGTCAAGGGGAGCTGGGTGTCCTGGGTGGACATTTTAAAAAATTACATTCATTCTAATTTAAAGAATTCTTCAACACCTTTAATGATTTATAAGTGAAGTATTTCATTCCTTTACATTTTTAAAATAAGAGATAACTATCCATGAGAAAGCTACTGCTTTGAGTATATTCATTGTATTTCATGCTAACTCACTACTAAATTGCTCTGTTCTAACTGCTTTTCAATGGATCTCCTCTAATTTACTAATACAATTTGTATAAACCGTAAGACAATGGGAAATTTTACTTCTTTATTTCTAAATTATGTGCCAATATTTCTCACTTTAAATGTCAATATATATGTTACTACATCTTAAATAAATATCTGAAGTTTTACATATATACATATTTATGTGTGGTTAAGTAAGATACTTTTGAATATGTGTGTAAGTATATCCAAATTCATTTGATGTATATTCATGCATATGCTTAATATATTTGATGCGGTAGGTGTTTACATGTTTGTTCCTGGTCTAGATTCACCTAGATTCACACTTCATAAAAACAAATACTGATTTATGAACCTTGAGTGACATCTCCATTTAGCATATATATATATATGTTTGTATGTGTGTGTGAATGTGGGAAACTGTATTGCATTCTAGGTGTTACTGCCTATATGAGGAATTAGTTAACTAGAGATTAAATGGAAGATGAAACCCCAGGTGAACTGGCTGAGGCTGTGTGAAGAAGAAGCACCCCCAGACTTTCACCCCTTTGTGCTTCTGACACTGGGGAGCCCCTGCAGACCAACCTCCCATGCATGGAGCCTGGGTCCTCCGCTGGTGGATAAGTGAAACTCTCATCTCTGGGGGAATTGGCTCATGTGCTCCTGTGTCCCTGGCTGCACAGACAGCGCACAGGGCTCAGTGACTTCTGTATTCCTTTGCAGATCCTGAGCTCCCAGAGTGCAGGAAAACGCCCTCCCCAAATGCCTCAGGAGTAACATTCGAATTTCTAGAATGCAAGAAATCTGAAATAATTCAATAAGGACACTGGAGGGAACCCTGCTACACAGGAAGGGTTTATTGAGGAACTCCCTAGAACTCATGTCAGAAGACATAGGGGAAGATAAGAATGCAGAGCCCAGGGGAGAGGCTGGCTCAGGGCTCTTCCCCTCTGTTTTTATTCTCAGGAGCAGCTAACACCCTCAGCCCATCACAAAACAAGACTGGTGAGTGAGGAGATGCTCTCGTTTACGGTGCTGGGCACAAGGGTTGGGTCCTGTCAAGGGTAAGGAGGTGCTCTGGGTGGACATCCAGAGGTCCTGGGTGAAGTTGATCTGCCCTGACCTCTGTGACCTCTTTGCCCACCATCCCCAGCCTCACACCCCCAGGATTACACAGTGGAGAATCTCATCCGCATGGGCATAGCTGGCTTGGTCCTGGTGGTCCTCGGGATTCTGCTATTTGAGGCTCAGCACAGCCAGAGAAGCCTCTGAGATGCAGCCGGGAGGTGAACAGCAGAGAGAAGAATGTACCCTTCAGAGTGGTGGAGCCTTGGGAACAGATCTGATGATGCCAGGAGGTTCCGGGAGACAATTTAGGGCTGATGCTATCTGGACTGTCTGCCAATCATTTTTAGAGGGAGGAATCAGTGTTGGATTGCAGAGACATTTTCTGGAGTGATCCATGAAGGACCATTAACCTGTGATACCTTTCCTCTCTATTAATGTTGACTTCCCTTGGTTGGATCCTCTTCTTTCCCCACCCCCAGACAGACATGAGGCTACATCCCACATGGCAGCGTTGGGTCCACACCTCTGCACATCTGTGTGCTCTGGTCCATGGTGTGTAACACAGTCTTCTTTATTACTCATTGCCATACTCCCTGGTGTGCTTTACTGAGCCTCCATCTCTTCAATTCAGAGTTCCAAACGTGCTTCAGTAACTAAATCAATGGGAGAGTATCGGATTTCAACCAGGAAAAGATAAATCCACCCTGATGCCCTGACACCCTCTCTGAACCCTACGAGCCCTTCCCTCCTTCTCACATGCTACCTGTGCAGCTTCTCCTTAGATCATTGTGTAACCATCACTGCCATCCTGTTCCACACATGGTCATCACCCTACACCCATTCAGCAGCCACTCCCCATTCCCTCTTCCCTCCAGCACCTGCTAACCACAAATGTGCTTTCTGTCTCTACGGATTTGCCTATTCTGTCTGAAAACATTTCAATCTCCTTTGACCTGTGAGCTCCTCACTTCGAGACTTCCTGCCTTTCCAGGCAGAACCAAAGTACACCACGTCAAAAGCAATGATAGGCATTTGCAGTGTGTTGGTGATCCACGAAAGGAAAATCACGGAAGCAGGATAGAAATCCAGCTGCAGACAAGACCTCAGGTCGATGAATCTTGACAAGCAGTTGAGCTGTTTTTTTCTACTCACCTAGGACAGTCAGGCAGAAGTATGCAAAATGACTGGGGCTGATTCTTTTCTGAATTGTCGCAAACAGCAAGAGGACTTGAGTCCTAGCATTAAAGAGTTCAACATGTCTAGGTCCAAGACCACTGTTGTGTTTGAAGGATGTAAAACCCTGCTGCATAGGATGGAATATTTGGAGGGAGGATCCTGAAAAACATGAGGGATCAAATAGTCCTCAACTTTCTAGGACAAAGGGAGCAGCTATTTGCCATCTACCCTCCAGAATAAAGAAATCTTATCATTCACCATCTACCCTCTAGAATAAAGAAATCTTATCATTCGCCATCTACCCTGTAGAATAAAGAAATCTTATCATTCACCGTCTACCCTCTAGAGTAAACAAATCTTATCATTCACCATCTACCCTCTAGAATAAAGAAATCTTATCATTCGCCATCTACCCTCTAGAATAAAGAAATCTTATCATTCACCGTCTACCCTCTAGAGTAAACAAATCTTATCATTCGCCATCTACCCTCTAGAATAGAGAAATCTTATCATTCATCATCTACCCTCCAGAATAAAGAAATGTTATCATTTGCCATCTACCCTCTAGAATAAAGAAATCTTATTAAGGACATTTTCAAAGCCTTAACAGAATATGAATGATTACAATATTATGTTTTACCTATACAGCATCTTCCAAGTTCTAGTTTGGTTGTGCCAGGCCAAACATTTGAGCCAGATTTCGGCAAGATCAAGCAGGAGACTCTGGCGTCTGTCGCTGATTACCTTCCCGCCATACCTGGCCACCAGCCTTTCCCATGGACCCCACGTGTGTCTCCAGACTCTTGGGTATGAATCCTGTGAACACACTGACCTCTGCTTTCTACATGACTGACAAGCACTATGAAATTTGCATAAATATGAATAGAAAATATACTGTCCCCACATCCCCTAAAATAAAACTGAGTCCTCACCCATGGGCTTTTGCTGGATTATACTAAGAAAAGGCAGGTCTTACAACACACATTCCATAGACTCACATCTCAGAGAAGATTCCTTCCACAGGCTCAGGGTCCTGAACACACTGCTCCACTCTCAGGGCTCGGAGACACTCTGCAGGTGGGTCTTCACCCCATCCGGGAGCCCTAATTCCTTCTTCCTCGGTTTTTCATACAGTGATTTTTCCCAGTACTGCTGTCTACTTTCCTCTGCCAGAAATTCCTTGCTGGATCCATGGCAATCTCCTCAGGACTCCTATTTCATAAAATGGAAATGGAATTCTTCATATGCCTTAAAAAGTAAAATAATTATCCAAACAATATAAAATACAAACACCCATCTAGCAAAATATTTCTTAGTACATCATGAATTCAAATATATATCGTACAAAATGACTGAGGATTTTATTAATTTTGAGCAATATTGAGGTTTTCTCATAATATCTTTTTATTGTTAACTTCAAACTAAATAACAATCATGTCTGGGAATAAAATGTATAAGATAGTCATTTAGAAAAATTTGGAGATTTTTCCTTCCTTGTCCAGTAAATACTTAACATTTTACGTGCAATGTATGTCATAAATATGGGCATTCCCCCCTTTGAGGTATGTGTTCATTAATATACACACATATATATACTCACACACACATATATACTGTACAGTGGCATCTACACATACTATATATCCACATATAATGTATTTGTATGCAATATGTAAATATATACACACATAACACCTAGAGTAAGTGTATGTATACAATATATCAGAATATATATGTGAATTCTTTTTCCATACAAACTGTGTAACATTTCTTTACACATCTACACACATATATACCGTGTGTGTATACATATAGTGCTTATGTACATAATAGGTAAATATATACACAAATTAACATATATATGTATACATACATAGAATTTGTTTTTCTATATACAAACCCTATAACATATGTAACTAGAGAGTTTTACCATATGTATGTAATTCAGATTGAACATTAAGTTGTATACTCATTCATTTTTTTTCTTAACCTCTCAGTTCTTGATAAATATTTCTTTGAATCACCAAATATATACAAATTTATGTTGTATATATTTCAATAACCCATGGTTAGATGAATGAAAGTTTACAATTATTTTATCATTTTTTATACCGTCTCTCTCTCTTTTTTTTTTTTTTAACACAGATGAGTCTCACTATGTTGCCCAGGCTGGTCTTGAACTCCTGGGCTCAAGTGATCTTCCCACCTCAGTCTCCCAAAGTGCTGGGTTACAGGTGTGAGCCACCGTACCCAGCACTTAATACCTTCATTAAAACATAAAACTTCACTATTTTCAAAAAAGTTTTGTATTATGTTACATTTTGTGGACTATTAATGTTTCTAATAGATAATTTTAACAGCATGTCTTTCTTCCCTTACTGATTTTAAATTATGATTTTATATTAGATGATACTATTGTGTCTCATGCCTAATGTGTTATTGGGGGTGTTGGGCTATTTAACTCATCCTGAGTAGGGGAATCACTCTTTAACATACGGGGTAAAAAATGAATAATTTAGAATAATTTCATGAATTTAGTTAAGTATTCGATTATATATTTTTGAATGAAGATTCATTTATCCTTGTCCTTTAGAAAAGACATGTACTCTTATATGTGTGTGTAGTTACATTCGTGTGTGTGCGTGCATGCAATTTTCAAATACTTGCCTGTTTCCCACTTTTCATCACCGGCATCTCACATCCTACATTTTGGATTCATTGATCTATCTGGATAACATCATTTAAAATTGCTTTCACTGAGTATGAAAACAGTAATATCTAGTAACTTGCAGCTCAGATAATGCTTTATTTTTCCTCCCACTTTCTCTATCAAAATAGATGAAAACATTTCTATATTAATTAAAGGGTAAGATATAACACCTGGAAGAGAAAGCACATCTGATGATTGAGGGATCCACCCTCCAATCCCTCCTCAGCCCTCATGCAGGGGAAGCCCAACCTAATGGGCTTCACAGGTCTGTCTTGCTCTGAGCCTTTTTCTGCTTAGGAATTGGTCCCCTGCTGACCCCTTTAACTTTTAGGTATTAACCTGAGTAAGCATAGAGTTCCTCACTTGCTGTTAATCCCTTGAGAGTACATTTTCAACATTTCCTTGCCTTTCATTTTTCTGTTGGGAAGTCCGATCCCAGTGATCATGCTATTCTACTGACATGTTGAGTTGAAAATCACAGGACACAAAAATGTGTTTTAAACTATACAATTTATGCTAGACAATTTCAGTCTAGCATATATACTTTTTAATCTACTTCTGGTATTTTTCAATTTATCATGGTAGGTCAAGGTTTACATTGCATGTTTAAATGTATGCATCTTAGCACTTAATTAGTCTTTCCTCGTCTCTGTCAAATGTTCAACTCTTTAATTCGTGAGCTGTTGCCAGACATTATTCTCCCTTCTTTCCTTCTGACACGTACAATAGATATGAGGTTCTCCCTCCTCACAATATTCCCCCAAATATGGTGAATTTTCACTTTTGGTGTCTCCATAGTGCATTCTGGAAAATTCTCCCAATTTTGTTTTCCAATTTAATAAATGTCTCTTTAGCTGTATCTTGACCTTGATAGAATAAATATTTTGAGTGTGCTTCTTCAACTGAATTTTTGCCTCTAGGATTTCTAACTCATTTCTCTGATGCTCATTTTTTGCCAGTATAATCCATATTCTTGTCTCAGAAATTTAATTTCCTCTTGTATTTTTTTCAGATATTTAAACATGTTTAATTGAAAAAGGGTCTTATGCGTTCCTAGTATTCTATTTCTTTGCACATAATAATCCTTATCAACAAATGTGTAGACTGATGATCATAGCACTTTTTATCATTAGAAGGATGGCTCTTGGTTGTCTATTTTTGTTGGACACTCACCTCCTACACTCCTGAGCTACCATGGAGGGATCCTCTCAAGGCAGTTTTTAGTAATCCAGGACTGAAAATGGGGGACTGTTCCAGCTACTGATGACACGTGGCATTCATTTCCCAAACATAGTGTCTGCTCAGGTTGCTCCCAGAAGGAAAAAAATGCATGTGAAATTCACACTCATGGCCGGGCACGGTGGCTTATGCTTGTAATCTCAGCACTTTGGGAGGTCGAAGTGGGCAGACCACTTGAGGCCAGGAGTTCAAGACCAGCCTGGCCAACATGACAAAACCCCGTCTCTACTAAAAATGCAAAAAAATTAGCCAGGCCTGGTAGTGGGCACCTGTAATCACAGCTACTCAGAAGGCTGAAGCAGGAGAATCACTTGGTCATGAGAATCAGGCAGGAGAATCACTTGGGAGGTGGAGGTTACAGTGAGTGGAGATCATGCCACTGCACTCTAGCCTGGGCAACAAGAGCAAAACTCCATCTCAAAAAAAAAAAAAAAACTCATACCCACACATGATACAGATACCCACATGTAAGAACTCTGCAGTGAATGAATTTGTTTCACACACACCCAGGGGAGTTGGCTCAGTGGTGGCCATGGGCCTGGGTCGGTAAATAGACATATTCCATCACAGCTTTCAGCCTTGCCCAGAGCCCTGGCCCTTCTCTGCCTGTGAGGACCCAGGGCCCCTTTTCTGTTCTGCACAGAAATGGAAACTTCCTCCCTAATGACCCCTAATGGCACCAGACACAGATGCCCTCTCTGTTTCGTGTGTATCCTTCTCCTTCTGATGAACTTTCATTTCTCATTTTCTGGACATGACTGTGATAACCGGGGTGTTGATGAAATATTATGAGAAGCATCTCTCAAGGGCAGGAACAAAGGGGCTCTCCTTAGTGGAAACATCAATCTCAGGCCTTGATGGTGGGCGCCAGCATCCCCTCATGCCCCCACCCCTCCTGTCTTCACCTGCTCTGGAAATTACCCATGGCTGAGCCCCCTGCAGCCCCCAGGCTCCAATGACCCAGCTCCCCTGTGATAAATGGGGTTCATGACAGGCTCCAAATGAGGAAACCAAGGCTCAGAGATGGGAGGTTACTGCCCAAGTTCACACAGGCAGGGGGTGACACAAGAATATTTAAATAAAGACAAGATTTCCCCTCAAAGCAGAGTGCTAACCCCACGTATTGTCCCAGAACCTTGAACTCAGGAGCACAGGATGGGAACAGGAGTGTTTGAAAGAAGACGGGGGCACCAAGAAGGCAGAGTCAGGTCAATGTTGTTTCCAGGGAGACGGGGGCGGATGCTGTTGCGATGAGTCAATGAGAAGTTCGTGAAGGGAACGTTTTTGCATAAAGAAAACCCACACTCCAGTTCTGGGGAAAGAGTCATGATTCCTTCCCTTGTCTCCCTGTATTTCCCCTTTCTGTTCATTGCCGCAATAAAGCTCAACTGGAACTGCAGAGCAAGATGTGAGATGAGTCTCTGCTGATGTGAGTCTGCCCCGCAGCCTGAATTTGCATCTTCCCTGAAGCTTCCCCAGGACTGGTGAGAAGACTGGCCATGGTAGTTTCCCCACAAGAGTGTGTTTATGGGTGAGCTGAAGGAGAGAGTGAAACCCCATGAGGAGGCTCTGAGAGGAAGGAAGAACCCTCCGTTGCCTTCACCTGGAAGGGATCAACTCAGGAAGGCACCACGTCCATTTGCAGCCACGTCCTGGCCCTTAATGAGAAGAGGACAGGACAGGCAGACAGTGAAAGGAGATGAGGAGAGACCCCATGTGTGTCTGAAATATCAACAGAAAGCCTGGTACCTGTCTCAGGCCAAGCACTAGGAAAACAAGAGCCAGGCTCGTGGCGGGGTCCGGGACAGTACACTACCCATGGAGATGCTGGTGGGAAAATCCTGTAAGGGAGAGAACCCTTCCTTTGTGTGTGTTCTGTGGACACCATGGTCTTATCCACCCACACAGCCGGGGCCAGTAGGAGGAAACATCATGACTCTCACCCACACGGCCATGGTCCACTTCACTGAGATTTGACAAGGGGAATGGGAGATTCTAGCATGAGAGGGACCCTGCCCCACAGGTAGGCCCTGGTCCAGTAGGAGACCCCAGGGGATTAGGGAAGATCTCAGGAAGGAGAGGACCTGCCCAGGCTTCAGGGGCAAATCTCTCAGCGGGAACTCTCTTCCAGGGCTGAGTCTGGGCCTCAGGACCTGCGTGCAGGCAGGTGAGTCTGTCCCCAGCTGTCCCAGGTCCCTCCTCCTCACCGGGGACAGGGTCCCACCCCCGGGCAGCTGGGGCTGGAGAACAGCAACTCTGGGCTGACTGAGAGGGATCATGGGGGGATCTTGGGCTGAAAGCTGGGATCTGAGGGGTGGTAAATGATATAGGACCCAGTTTCTGATTTCCTTCCAGGGACCCTCCCCAAACCCACGTTCAGGGCTGAACCAGACTCTGTAATAACCTAGGGGAGGCCCGTGGCCCTCTGGTGTCAGGAGACCCTAGAGGCTCAGGAGTGTGGTCTGGATAAAGAGGAAAGCCCAGTGTTCAGGAGCACACAGAGCTCGCCGAAGCCCAGGACAGCGTGAGTCCTCCGTCTCACTCAGGACAAAGCACCATGCAGGGGAATATTGCTGTGAGTATTTCAGTCCTGCTGGCAGGTGAGCACTCAGAGACCCCCTGCAGCTGGTGGTAACAGTGAGGGGACACTCAGGGGCCCCAGCCCCAGGCTCTGCCCTCAGGAAGGAGGTTTGCTCTTCGGGGCATCTTGCCTCTCAGAGCCCAGGCCTGGGGGATGATGTGGGAGGTGTGAGCCCCATTTAACACGGTGCCTCCTTCTCTCCTAGAATTCCACTAATAAAGGTCCTATTTGACAGTTCCAATATTGGAAATAAGAGTTCCATCTTCGGCCAGGCACAGTGGCTCACACCTGTAGTCCCAGTACTTTGGGAGGCCGAGGCAGGCAGATCACTTGAGGTCAGAAGTTCAAAAGCAGCCTGGCCAACATGACAATAACCCGTCTCTACTGAAAATACAAAAATTAACCTGGCGTGTGGTGTGCGCCTGTAATTCCAGCTACTGGGGAGGGTTCGCTTGAACCCACTTAGCACCTGGAAAGCGAGAGCACGGACTAGGCTGACCCAGCCCGCACCTGCCTCTGCCCATACCCCCACCCTGGTAGGTTAACACAAAGGACAAAGACTTTCGGGAGCTCAATGGCCTCGCCCTTTGCCTGAGACACCGGACAGCCTCCCTTGCGTAACATAAGGAAGGCAAAAAGCCCATGAAGACCAACACAGCAAAATTCATAATTGCAAAGATGTGGAGCGCTTTTGCAACCGCTGCCTCCGGGCTGGAGGCCGACTGACACCGTGCAGGACAGCATCCGCAGGCTCAATAACACAGCACCCAGGAAGGAGAACACGTGTGCATGTCCTCAGCTATCACCATTGCCAGCAACCCCCTGGATAACCAAGAGGTCCTGAGTCTGTTCACATGGCCGGTTCATTACCAAAGCTGGTGTTTGAGAAAGCCAAAACCCCAAGGCTATTTATAACCGAGGAAATCTCACATAGTGTATCTCACTCCTGCAAACTTCACCAGCCCGCCCCACTCCCTCGCCCCACCTCAGTGTCCCCGAGCCACTTTGCTTGCACTCGCTCGCCCACAGCCACTGCCGCCAGGGCTTTGCCAGCATTATGTGCTCCTGAGCAGACCTTCTCTCCCCTCCCCAACGGCATGTGTGTTGCACGTGCACCTCGCAGTGCCACAGCTGCCGGTGTGAGTTCACCCACTCACCCAACGACCCCCGAGCACTGGGACTGCTGTCAGAGCATTCGTGGGTACAGAGATTCCCTGTCCAGTACCCATCTGTCCTCCACCCTCCCGGCGCCAACACTACCACCGGTGTGATCACACACAGGGAGACCAGCGGATCCACCCCCACCGCAAACAGCAGCAGCCGCCAGCGTGGAAGTGCACACAGAGGGTGCACACAGTCCCATGAGGCCGGAGCCCCGCCACCTTGCTAACACCACTACCGGTGCAAATGCGCACACGAACGCCTGCGGGGCTCCCGCGCACCCCACCCAGTCTTGCTGACGCCACCGCATTGAACACCGACATGGAGGCCAGCACCCCTGCACCCACTAGCATCCCACTGCAGTCAACAAATGTGTACATCCCAGAGGAAAAGACATCATTACATCAGAAACACACTTGCATACAAATGTTGATTGCAGCAAAATTCATAATTGCAAAGATGTGGAATCGACGTAAGTGTCCATCAGCTGATGAGTGAATGTGGCACATATACACAAGAAAACACTATTCAGCCATTGAACAAAATGAAATAATGTCTTTTGCAGCAACTTGGATGAAGCTGGGGGCCATGACACTAAGTGAACTAACTCAGCAATGGAAAGCCAAATACCATATGCTCTCACTTTATAAGTGGGAGCCAAGTTATGGGTAATCAAAGACATGTAAAGGGGTGTAATGAACACTGGAGACCCAGAAGGGAGAGAGGGGGTGGAGAGTGAGTAATGAAATACTATGTACCAAGTACAATGTACACTACTTGGGTGATGGGTGTAGTAAAATCTCAGGCTTCACCACTATACAATTCATTCATACAACTAGAAACCACTTGTACCCCAAAAGCTATTGAAATAAAATACATTTTTAAAAAAACTGTAATACAAGGCTACAGTAACCAAAACATTATGGCACTGGTACAAAAACAGACACATAGACCAATGAAACAGAATAAAGCCACACACCTACAACCATCTGATATTTAACAAGGCCAACAAAAACAGGCCTATTCAAAAAATAATCCTGTGATAACTGGCTAGCCATATGCAAAAGAATGAAACTGGACAGACCCTACATATCACCATATACAAAAATTAAATCAAGACAGATTAAATACTTTAATGTAAGATTTAAACCTATAAGAATCCTAGAAGAAAACATGGTGAAACCCTGTCTCTAATAAAAATACAAAAAAGAAAAAAAAGTAGCCTGGCATGGTGACAGGTGCCTGTAATCCCAGCTACTTGGGAAGCTGAGGCAGGAGAATCGCTTGAACCTGGTGGGGAAAGGTTGCAGTGAGCCGAGATCACACCACTGCACTCCAGCCTCGGCAGCAGAGCCAGGCTCCATCTCAAAGAAAAAAAAATAGGAAACATCTTCCTTAATACAGGCATTGGCAAAGTATTTACAGCTAAGTCCTCAAAAGCAATTAAACGAAAGCAAAAATTGATGAGTGGGACCTAATAAACCTACAGATCCAGCAAAGGTCTAATATTCAGAATCTGTAAGCAACTTACACAAATCAACAAGCACAAAACAAACAGCCCCATTAAAAAGTGGGCAAAAGACGTGAACAGACACTTTTCTAAAGAAGACACACATATGTCCAAGAAGCATATCAAAAAATCTTCAATATGACTAATCAGTAGGGATATGCAAATTAAAACTACAATGAGATACCCACACCACTCAGAATAGTTATTATTAAAAAGTCAAAAAATAACAGATGCTGGTAAGGCTGCAAAGAAAATGGAACAAGTGTTGGTGAGAACGTAAATTAGTTCATCCACTGTGGACAGCAGTTGGGAGATTTCTCAAAGAACTAAGAGTTGAACTACAATTCGGCCTAGCAAACCCATTGGTAGGTATATGCCCAAAGGAAAATAAATTATTCTACCAAAAAGGCAGATGCACCTATATGTTCATTGCAGCACCATTCCCAATAACAAAGATGTGGAATAAACCCAGGTGTTCATCCAACAATGGATTGGATATATGGACCATAGAATACTACACAGCAATCAAAATGGAAATCATGTCCTTTGCAGCAGCATGGATGGAGCTAGAGGTCATTAGCCTAAGTGATGCCATGTGGAAACAGAAAGCCAAACATAGCACATTCTTGTAAGCAGGAGCTAAACACTGGGCACATGTGGACATAGATAAGTGTCTGTTCATGTCCTTTGCACACTTTCTAATGGGGCTGTTTGTTTGTTGCTTGCTGATTTGTGTAAGTTGCTTCTAGATTCTGAATATTAGGCCTTCACTGGATCTGTAGGTTAATGAGGTCCCACTCATCAGTTGTTATTTTTGTTTAATTGCGTTCAAGGACTTAGCTGTAAACGCTTTGTCAATGCCTATAACAACAGGATGTTTCCTGTGATTTTTTTTTTCTTTGAGACAGAGTCTGGCCCTGGCACCGGAGACACTTAGAGTGGGGAGAGAGGGAGGAGGGCAAGGGCTGAAAAAGTGCCTGTTGGGCGCTATGCTCACTACCTGGGTCTACGGATTCATTCGTTCTCCAAACCTCAGCATCACGCAATATACCTTTCTAGCAAACATGCGTTATGTGCCCCCGCATTCTAAAATAAAAGTTGAAAACAATAATAATAATATGGAACTAAAAATTAATAGGCATGCATCTTAGCAATATAAACTCAAGTACAAAATGGAAGAGGCCCACGTTTTAGAGATTTTGAAATTTAAAACACCTATAAATGTGATTGTATATATAGGCATGTAGGGACAACTGGGCTTCATCTGTAAGAACTACAGGTGGAAAGTGGAGACTCCTTACTGGCCTGAGAGCAAGGAGACAGCCCTGAGTCTTGGTGTCTGAGGAGAAGAAGTATGTGTTTCTGTTCGATTCTTGGTCAGAAAAAGGTGTTATAAAGAAGAATCTTGGTTCCCTGTCTCTTTTCTCATGCCAGATACTTATAATAGTAACTATACATGTGTATATATATGTGTATATATATATTTGTCTTTATAAAAGCTCACATCTCCCAAGTATCACACAAAACCCTTTTTGTCTTTTTTTCTACACCCCATGGAGAAGTACAAACAGGATGTGATACTCTAATATCACTCAGTTTTCTAAAATAAGTAGGTTGCAATTTCCTATGAAGTGAAACTATTCCTAGTTCACATTGAGAAAGTACCAGATTCAGTTTCTCATAGGACCAACAATTGTCTGGACCAAGGGAAATTACAAATGGTCTGGTCTTACATTTTTCTCCAGCTACCTGTGATGATCTCTAAGAGTCTGTTGTTGCAGATAAAAAAGTATATCACTCAAGGCAGGGTGCAGTGGCTCACGCCTGTAATCCCAGCACTTTGGGAGGCAGAGGCCGGCAGATTATCTGAAGTCTGGAGTTTGAGTCCAGCCTGGCCAACATGATGAAACCCCGTTTCTACTAAAAATACAAAAATTAGCTGGGCATGGTGGCAAGCACCTGTAATCCCAGCTACTCGGGAGGCTGAGGCAGGAGAATCGCTTGAACCTGGGACGTAGGAGGTCACAGTGAGCTGAGACTGCCCTACTGCACTCCCAGCCTGGGCGACAGTGTTAGACTCTGTCTCAAAAAAAAAAAAATGTGTATCACTCAAACTGACACCTTCATGGATCTTAGAACCCTGATCATGTTCCCATGAGAATTCCATTCATTCCATTCAAGAAGATCTAACTTTCACATATACACCATGGAATACTATGCAGCCATAAAAAATGATGAGTTCATGTCCTTTGTAGGGACATGGATGAAATTGGAAATCATCATTCTCAGTAAACTATCGCAAGAACAAAAAACCAAACACCGCATATTCTCACTCATAGGTGGGAATTGAACAATGAGAGCACATGGACACAGGAAGGGGAATATCACACTCTGGGGACTGTTGTGGGGTGGGGGGAGGGGGGAGGGATAGCATTGGGAGATATACCTAATGCTAGATGACGAGTTAGTGGGTGCAGCGCACCAGCATGGCACATGTATACATATGTAACTAACCTGCCCAATGTGCGCATGTACCCTAAAACTTAAAGTATAATTAAAAATAAATAAATAAATAAATAAATAAATAAATAAATAAATAAAAAAGAAGATCTAACTTTCCTAAATATCTATGCATCCAACACAGCAGCACCCAGATTCATAAAAGAAATTTGTAAAGACCTTCAAAGAGACTTAGACTCCCATACAATAATAGTGGGAGACTTTAATACCCCACTTACAATAGTAGACAGATCATCAAGACAGAAAATTGACTAAGATAATCAGGACCTGAACTCAGCACGATAGATATCTACAGAACTCTCCACACCCCCAAACCAGAATTTACATTCATCTCATCACCACATGGCACATGCTCTAAATTCAATCACATAATTGGAAGCAAAAGACTCCTCAGCAAATTCAGTTTGTTACAACTGAAATTGGCACAAACCACTCTCTGACCACAGCATAATCAAATTAGAAATCGAGACTAAGAAACTCACTTAAACTCATACAATTACATGGAAATTAAACAACCTGCTCCTGAATGACATCAGGGTAAATAATGAAATTAAGGCAGAAAATAAGAAGTTATTACAAGCTAATGGGAGCAAAGATACAACATGCCGGAATCTCCGGGACACAGCTAAGGGGGTATTAAGAGGAAAATATATAGCACTAAATGTCCACATCACATTAGTTGTGATGACCTAACATCACAACTAAAAGAACTAGAGAACGAAGAGCAAACAAACCCCGAAGCTAGCAGAATACAAGAAAGAACCAAAATCTGAGCTGAACTGAAGGAGATTGGGTTCCTTCACACACAAAAAAATCATTCAAAAGATCAGCAAATCCAGGAGCTGGTTTTTTGAAAAAAATAATAAAATAGACTGCTAGCTAGACTAATTGAAAAAAGAGAAGACTCGAATAAACACAATCACGAATGACACGGGGAATATTACCATTGACCCCAGAGAAATACAAACAACCATCAGAGAATATAATGAACCCGTGTATGCACATAAACTAGAAAATCTAAAAGAAATGGGTAAATTCTCAGACACGTGCAGCCTCCCAAGACTGAACCAGGATGAAATTGAATTCCTCAACAGACCAATAATGAGCCTGAAATTGGTTCAACGTACACAAATCAATAAACAGATTCATCACATAAACAGAACTAAAACAAAAAACCACATGATTATATTAATGATGCAGAAAAGCCTTCTGATAAAATTTAACATCACTTCTTGTTAAAAACTCTAATTAAACTAGGTATTGAAGGAACATACTTCAAAATAATAAGAGCCATTTATGACAAGCCCACAGCCAACATCATGCTGAATGGGCAAAAGCTGAAAGCAATCCACTTGAAAACTGGCACAAGAATGCCCTCTCTCACCACTCCTATTCAACAGTATTGGAAATACTAGGCAGGGCAATTGGGCAAGAGAAAAAAATAAGGCGTATTCAAATAGGAAGAGAGGAAGTCAAACTATCTTTGCTGCAGATGAAATGATCCTGTATCTAGAAAACATCAACCCAAACATCAACCTGAGATCTTCTTAAGCTGATAAACAACATCAGCAAAGACTCAAGATACAAAATAAATGTGCAAAAATCACTAGCATTTATATACCAATAACAGTCAAGTTGAGAGCCAAATCAGGAATGCAATCTCATTTACAGTTTACACACACACACACAAACACACACACACAATACCTAGGAATACAGCTAACTAGGAGGGTGGACAATTTCTTCAAGGAGAACTATAAAACACTGCTCAAAAAATTAGAGATGACACAAACAGATGGAAAAATATTCCATGATCATGAATAGGAAGAATCAATATCTTAAAAATGGCCATAGTGCTCAAAGCCATTTATAGATTCAGTAATATTTGTATTAAGTTATCATTGAGATTCTTCACAGAACTAGAAGAATCATATGGAACCAAAAGTTTTAAATTTAAAAATTCATATGGAACCCAAAAAGAGCTCAAATAGTCAAGGCAAGCCTAAGCAAAAACAAAAACCGAAAACCAAAGCTGGAGGCATTATGTTACCTGACTTCAAACTATACTACAGGGCTACAGTAACCAAAACAGCATGGTACTGGTACAAAAACAAACACATAGACCAATGGAACAGAATAGAAAACCCACAAATAAAACCACACACCTACAACTATCTGATCTTTAGGAAACCTGACAAAAAAAAAGTGATGGGGAAAGGATTCCCTATTCAACAAACTGTGCTGGGATAACTGGCTATCCATATGCAGACAATTGAAACTGGACCCCTTCCTTACACCATATACAAAAAAACTAACTCAGGATGGATTGATTGATGGATGTAAAACCTAAAACTATAAAAACCTGGAAGACAACCTAGACAATACATTCAGGACACAGGCACGGGCAAAGATTTTATGACTAAAATGCCAAAAGAAATTGCAACAAAAGCAAAAATTGACAAATGAGATCTAATTAAACCAAAGGGTTTCTGCACTGCAAAAGAAACTGTAAACAGAGTAAACTGACAATCTACAGACTGGGAGAAAGTTTTTGCAAACTGTGCATCTAACAAAGGTCTACTCTCCAGTATCTTTAAGGAACTTAAACCAATTTACAAGAAGAAAACAAACAACCACATTAAAATGTGGGCAAACGACATGAACACACGCTTTTCAAAAGAAGACATACATGTGGCCAACAATCATATAAAAAAAGCTCAACATCACTGATCATGAGAGAAATGCAAATCAAAACCACAATGAGATACCATCTGATACCTGTCAGAATGGCTATTATTAAAAAGTCAAGGGACACATGTTCTCAGGACCTCCTGAGTGCTGATCACTCATATTTGGCTCAGAAAAATCTCTTCTAATATATTACAGAGTTTGACTCTTTTTGTCCACAATAATTTGGTGCCTGAACACGTGAGGCCTCAGATAAGACTCAGGACCCCAAAGGAGTTGTCTCAACCTGGAGCTAAGGTACCAGCAGGGGCCCACTGAAAGCCTCCAGGATTTTGAGCTTCTTCTCTGCCAGAAGTGGTAAGTCCTCCTGAGCCCCGACCTCCCTTTGGTTGACGGCCCTTTATTTATTCTGATCTACTATTTCTTTTTCTTTCTAGGAAGTTGTTGTTTAAGGATCCTACTTCTAGTTGGGAGATACATTCTAAAGGGTCTTCTCCATTGCTTTTCTCCCCAAATTAATCTCGATTTGGCTTGTCTGTTCACATTTGCATGAGGAACTGAACTGTTGTTTTCATAGGGAAACGAGAGACTGTGTTTCCTCAGCTTAAAAAAGAAAGGGCATTTTGCTCCTCCCAGCCAAAATGTGGGAAGTGATGAGGGGTGCTTGTGGGAATGTCTGGGGGTGGATGGACCCCATCGTGATGTGAGTGGCCTACAGGGAACACCCAACAAAATGAGTTTTAAAAAGGCTTGTCCAGGAAGCACATATGGGAGCTGGTCACTCTGCATTTTGGGCCCTCCTGGAGGTGTTTAGACCTTCCGAGAGAGAAACTGAGACACATGAGAGGGAAGAAATGACTCAGTGGTGAGACCCTGTGGAGTCCCACCCACAACCAGCACACTGTGACCCACTGCACAAACCTCTAGCCCACAGCTCACTTCCTCCTTTAAGAAGAGAAGAGAAAAGAGGAGAGGAGAGGAGGAACAGAAAAGAAAAGAAAAGAAAAAGTGGGAAACAAATAATCTAAGAATGAGGAGAAAGCAAGAAGAGTGACCCCCTTGTGGGCACTCCATTGGTTTTATGGCGCCTCTACTTTCTGGAGTTTGTGTAAAACAAAAATATTATGGTCTTTGTGCACATTTACATCAAGGTAAGAGAGCCCTAATGGCGGCTTGCACGCTATAGAGTTCCTAAGTTCTCTCTTTCTCTATTTTCTTTTCTGCCTGCTTTACATCTGCTGTTACCTTTCTACTGAGATAAAAACCACTGTTTAGATCCAAATTTTTTTTGCAAGCTGGTAAATTTATATTAATATCTCATGGCTAGAGTTTTGAAGTAAAAGCTACAGGATGTCTGTGTGTGTGTGTGTGTGTGTGTGTGTGTGTGTGTGGTGTGTGTGTGTTTAAAAGCCTTTATGATAGATTTGTATAATTTTATGTTTAATTGGCAGTGAACCCATTTTAATTTCCCTCTAACACACCAGACTTCTTCCTCTGTACTTTGAGATGTAAGTTTTGCTGATTTTTTCTCCTAAAAAGTGTTTCCTGTAACATGGAAATTTAGGGTTATTTAGCTGACAACTGCCTGGGGTAAGGAAACAGGTTATGAAGAGTTTGAAAGGGTTGGGCGTGGTGGCTCACACTTGTATTCCCAGCACTTTGGGAAGCTGAGGTAGGTGACTCATGTGAGATCAGGAGTTCAAGACCAGCCTGGCCAACATGGTGAATCCCTGTCTCTACTAAAAATGCAAAACTTAGCCAGGCAGTAGTGGCACACTCGTAATCCCAGCTACTTGGGAGACTGAGACAGGAGAATCACTTCAGCATGGGAGATGTAGGTTGCAGTGAGCTGGGATCATGCCACTGCATTCCAGTCTGGGTGACAGAGTGAGCCCCTGCCTCAAAAAAAAAAAAAAAGAAAAAAAGAAAAAAAGAAAAAAAAAGAGTTTGAAAGTTTGAGATAGAAAAAAAAGAGGTTTTTTGAATCTATAAGATGTACTTCTATCAGCATGCCTAATGCGTCCATGAATCTGTGTGTGGTGTACATAATGTTTCACTACTAAAAATATACAAAAGAGCTCTAATTAATTGGCTTAAAGAGAATAAAAGTGCTTAAATCAAATACTTTATCAGGACAAGATGCTTCTTCAAGTTCACTTAAGTAAAATCTTTAATAAATAAGCTGGCTTTAAAATTATTGGTAAAATAAGATTAGAAATGTCTTAAGAATTGTTAGCGTTTTTGTTTGCACTTATTGCACAAGTGGTTTTGTGCTTATCCCTGCAGAATAGTATAAGATTTTCCATAAGGGTTATAAAACTATAAACCTGGCCGGGCACGGTGGCTCACGCCTGTAACCCCAGCACTTTGGGAGGCCGAGGCTGGTGGATCACCTGAGGTTGGGAGTTCAAGAGCAGCCTGACACACACAAAACAAAATTATAAACCCAGCCCAAAACAGAATGATCTTTGCTTGTATAATTTTTAATAAATAAGCCATGTAATATTGTTGGTTAAATAAAAACAGCTAACTACTGAGATATTGGTTAAAAAAAATAACTTTATATTTAACCATAAGTTCCCTTACTTAGGTAAACACCTGAAATTCATAGTTTATAACATTGGTTAACAGGGAATTAACTTTAAGTGATGACTGTCACAGTGTTCATAAATAATCTAGGTAAACTATTAAATAAGTTTATCAAGTAAATGCAATGGAATAAATGCCTATAAACAAACTTGTCACATAATTTACAATCTAAAGTTATATTAAATAATAGATATTAATTGATTAGCTGGGTAATTTATAATTTAAAAATTACAGGAAAACATTTTTAAAAAACAATTCTTATTAAAAGATAAATATCTGTGTTTAATTCAAAGCTTTTTTAAAAGTTATGTATAAAACAAGATAAATGGAAACAGGAAATAAGAGATGTAAAGACAGTTATAAATATAAAGAGGAATTTTGGTAAAAAAGATGAAAAGGAAAGTAATTTTACACAAGAAAGTCTTATGTAGTGAATTTTTGTCCTGAAATAAAATAACTGATAGTTCAAGAAAGAGGGATATTTAGGACAAAACAGGCAGTTTAAGCATGTTGTAAGTGGTCTCTGTAAGTCACAATAAGACTTTTTTTAAAAAAAGAAAGGTAGTGTAATGTAGTTGGTTATGATTAAGAAATATAATAGTCATTCTACAGATGGGTCTTTGATATTTAAAAAACACACCCTAATCCAAAACTAAATAATTGGTTAAAACAAGGTTTTAGTAAAATATTAACTTATTCTTAATGCAAAAAGTTTTTAATTTTTAAATTCTATAATCTGTCTTTTTGAAATTCTTCCAATGAATATATCAAAGTTCAGCTTTTTCTCTTTTGAAAGGCCTTGGATGATAGCTCTCTCCTTCACCTTGTGTTGGCTTCTGTAACTTTTATTAATTATCTAAAGTAAGAGAGGAATTTTTATTTAAAAACAGAAAAATGAAATATCCTTTAGACCTGCTTTTTTTCTTCTGTATGCCTGTTATATCTGTATCTTCATATGTGTTATCTGGAAGTGATATTTCACTACCAAACTACATGAAACAGCTCATCAGTTGTCTTTTTTAAAAAAAAGTAAGTGCTTATCAGATTGGCAGACACTAGCTAAGATGCCTTTGAATTCACCTGATTTTAATATTTAGTAAAATTAATTTAGTAAATTTAATCTTAAAACTCTCTCCAGTAATTAGAGCTATGTTATGTTAAACCTCGTTTTTTTTTTTTCACTTGAAATTTGGGTTACTAAATTAAAATAGTAGGAGTATAAAATGTTTTTGGTGATGCATATAAAACACAAGGATATAGGTTTTGCAAAAAAAAAAGTAGGTTTTTTTCTAGTTAAGAAACTATTTAAGAGTTGCTTTAAAATGAAGAAAAAATTACGGAGATAAAACTAAATAAAAAGAACAATTTAGCCAGGACAACAAAAGTTAACTCTGAGACCTGTGATTACCAAGAAGATAGTTGATATAGAGGAAGGGCAAAAACAAGTAACTATTAAAACCAGAGGGTATAATGCAAAGGAATTGTTCTGCTTTTTAGATTGTTATAATCAGTTTCTTAAAAATAATCTATGTGGTAGATTGTAAAAAATAACCACTTTAAGGGCCAAATTCTTAATTTTTTTTTTGAGATGGAGTCTTGCTCTGTTGCCCAGGCTGGATGGAGTGCAGTGGCGTGATTTCGGCTCACTGCAAGCTCTGCCTCCCAGGTTCACGCCCACATTCTTAATTTTAAATGCTTCAGAATTTAAGAGCTTGTTTGGATTGATGCAGGACCCGTAGCTCACTATTAAACAATCACTAATGAGTATATGAGATCCAAATGCACAGGAGGTTATTCCAGAGAGAACAACCAGCTTAGTGGACCAGACAAACGCCACTGAAAGGTCTGTTGGCCCTGAGAAGGGGACTAGCCAACTCTCCCTATAAAACACCAAGTGCAGCATCCCAGATGAAGCAGTGAATATGCTTTGTATGCGAGCCAGGTGGGGCTGGTGTATGAAGCATATGAACCAAGTAACCATTAAAATCAATCAACCGTTGGTGGACACTTAGTTTGGTTTCATGTCTGTGCTGTTGTGAATAGTGCTGCAACAAACATAATGAGTGCAGTTGTCTTATTTATTTATTTATTTTTTATTTTTTGAGATGGAGTTTCATTCTTGTTGCCCAGGCTGGAGTGCAATGGTGCCATCTCTGCTCACTGCAACCTCCGGCTCCTGGGTTCAAGCGATTCTCCTGCCTTAGCCTCCCAAGTAGCTGGGATTACAGGTGCTCGCCACCATGCCTAGCTAATTTTTTGTATTTTTAGTAGAGACAGGGTTTCACCATGTTGCCCAGGCTGGTCTCACACTCCCAACCTCAGGTGATCTGCCTGTCTTGGCCTCCCAAAGTGCTGGGATTACAGGCGTGAGCCACCACACCTGACCCAATTGTCTTTTTAATATAATGACTTTTCCTTTGGCTGGATACCATGTAATGGGATTGCTAAGTGAAATGGTAGTTCTATTTTTAGTTGAGATAGCTCCATATTATTTTCCATAGAAGATAAACTCATTTACATTCCTACCAACCATGTATCTTGCTAACATCTGTTGGTTCTGACTTCTTAAAAGTAGCCATTTTGACTGGTGTAAGTTGATACTCAGTGTGGTTTTAAGTTGAATTTCTCTGATGATTAATGATGTTGAGCATTTTTTAATGTGTTTGTTGGCCACTTATATTTCTTGTTTTGAGAAATGTCTGTTGATGGTCTTTACTCAGTTTTCCATAAAGTTGTCTGTGTTTTTTGTTTTTTTTTTTTCATGTTGAATTCTTTGACTTCCTTGCAGATTCTGGACATTAGTCTTTTGTTGGAGGCATAATTTGCAAATATTTTCTTCCATTGTGTAGGTTGTCTGTTCATTCTGTTGATTGTTTCTTTTGCTGTGCAGTAGCTTTTAATTTTAATCATGTCTCATTTGTCTATTCGGGGGTTTGTTGCATTTTTAAGGGTCTTTACCATAAGTTCTTTGCCTGGACTAATGTCCAGAAGGGTTTTTCCTAAATTTTGCTTTAGGAATTACATAGTTTCAGGTCTCACATTGAGGTCTTTAATTCATCTTGAGTTGATTTTTGTACATGGTGGGAGATAAAGGTCCAGTTTTATTCTTTTGCATATGGCTACCCAGTTTTTCCAGCATCCTTTATTGAATAGGGTGTCCTTTCCCCATTGTTTACTTTGTTGACTTTAGCAAAGCTCAGTATGTTGTAGGCATGTATCTTTATTTCTAGTTTCTCTATTCTGTTCCCTTGATGTCTGTGTATATTTTTGTACTAGTAAATGCTGTCTTAGTTACTATGGCCTTATAGTATAACTTGAAATCAGGCAATGTGATGCCTCCTGTTTTGTTCTTTTTGCATAGAAGTGTTTTAGCTGTTCAGGCTGGTTTTTGGTTCCAAATGAATTTAAAAATTGCTTTTTCTCTAATTCTGTTAAAGAAATGACATTTGTAATTTAATAGGAATTGTGTTGAATCTGTAGTATGCTTTGGGCAATATGGTCATTTTAACAATATTGATTCTTCCCATTTGTGAGCAAGGAATATTTTTCTATTTGGTTGTGTTGCCTACAGTTCCTTTCATCAGCCTTTTGTCACTCTCTGTGTAGAGGTCTTTCACCTCCTTGGTTAAATATACTCCTCAGTGTGTGTTTGTGTTTGTGTGTCCTTAATTTGATTCTCAGCTTGAACGGTACTGATGTATAGAAAAGCTACTGATTTTTGTAGCTTGATTTTTTTATCCAGAGACTTTACTGAAGTCACTTACCAAGTCTACGAGTCTTCTGGAAGAATCTTCAGGGTTTTCTGGGTATATGATCGTGTCATCAGCACACACAGATAATTTCACTTTCTCTTTTCCAATGTGGATGCACTTTCTTTCTTTCTGTTGCCTGATTGCTCTGGCTAGGACTTCCAGTACTGTGTTGAATAGGAGTGGTGAGAGTGGACATCCTTATCCTGTTCCATTTCTTGGGGAAATGCTTTCACTTCTCCCCATTCAATTTTAAGGTTGGCTGTGCGTTTGTCTTATAAGGCTCTTATTTTGGGGTATGTTTCTTTCATGCCTAGTCTGTTGAGGGATTTTATCATGAAGGGATATTGGACTTTCTCGAACGCTTTATCTGCATCTATTGAGATGACCATATGCTTTTTGTTCTTAGTTTATGTCATGAGTCACTTTTATTGACTTGCATATATTGAACCATCCTTTCATCCCTGGAATCAAGCCAACTTGATCATGATGAATTATGTTTTTGATACACTGTTAGATTCCGTTTAATAGCATTTTCTTGAGGATTTTTGCACCTGTGTTCCTCAGGTTTCTTGGCCTGTAGCTTTATTTTTCTGTTGGATCCCTGTCTGATTTTGCTATCAGGGTGATATTGGTTTCATAGAATGAGCTAGGAAAGAATCCCATCGCCTTGATTTTTTGGAATACTTTCATTATGATTGGCACCAGCTCTTCGTTGTGTATATGGCAAATTTCGACTGTGAATCCATCTGTTCTTGGGCTTTTTTGCCGGAAGATTTTTAGTACTGATTCTTTTTGGTTACTTGTTATTGGTCTGTTTAGGGTTTCTATTTTTTGCCTGTGCGATCTTAGGAAGTTGTATGTGTCTAGGAATTCATCCATTTCTCTAGGTTTTCTAGTTTACGTGCATAAAGGTGTTCATAGTAGTCTCTGATGGTCATTTGTATTTCTGTGGCGTTGGTTGTAATGTCAACTTTATCATTTCTGATTGTGCTTATTTAAATCTTCTCCTTTTTTTGGTTAGTGTAGTCAGCCATCTCTCAATTTTATTTATACTTTCAAAAAACCAACGTTTTCTTTCACTGATTCTTTGTAATGTTTTTGTCTCAATCTCATTCTTTATCTGTCCTTTCAGAGTTTCCATTGTTTTCAGCATCCATCACTAGCAAGCCAGTGCGATCCTTTGGTGGTGCCACAATATTCAGATTTTTCACAGCGTCAGAATCCTTACACTGATTCCTTCTCTTCTGGAGAGGCCTCCACTTACTCTCTTCGAATTTATTTTCATTTGGATGGGATTTGTTTTGCACATTTTCCCCCGGCCCCGCAGGGAGGGTGACTGTAGAGCATGTTGGGAAGGGTCTTTTGGCTTTTCCCATGGCTTTGGGAGCTTCTGCAGCAGGGTTTGTGTTGGGCTGTGCAGCTCAAATTGCAGGCCAGGAGCTGGTGCTTAAGGGTAAGAGCCACCCTCGGCACAAGCAGGTGGATATGGACCTGGTGTGTTTCCTGTGAGGTGCTGACTGTTGTTTCAGGGGAAGGGCTGGACCGTGGAGTGTCAGGTGCCCTGAGCTTTGTGTTCCACAGGGGCGAGGGAACACCCCTGGGCAGAGCTGGAACCCCCGGCTTGCCCACAGATATCCCAGTGATGAGTGCAGGCACTAGTCCTGATGGACATGGCTGGAGCAGCTCCTAGTGAAATGCCCTGAGGTCTCTGCGGGGGGTGAAGGAGCTACACCGTTTCCAGTCCCATAGGGAGGAACGTTGTCTGTCTCCCTATCACACCCGTGCTCCAGGGCTCATGAGTCTCAGTTCAGACACACACTTTTGTCTCTCCCCAGGCCACAGTGTGGCTGAGGGCCGTGGGAAACACCTGCCTTGCCACTCTCTGCAGGCGTGGTTCCAAGGCAGAGCCTCCTCCCTCAGCCCAGTGCAGACCCTGAGCGGCTGTCTGTTGTCTGACGTGGTAGCTGCTTCATGTAGGTGGGATGTGGGGCTTCTGCCTCTCTGGATGGGAGAGTGGACGTCAGTTGTGGTGGTGTTGCTGGCTGGGTGGGCCCGACCTCAGGCCCTGGGGTGAGTGGTCAGGTGCCAGCAGGGTAGGAAAGGGCAGGTAGTTCCCGGATCACAGGCCCCTAGGTGGCCGGCTGGACAGCGTGTGTGAGTCCTGAAGGGGCTGGACTGGGTTTTGGCTGCTCCGGGGTTCAGATGCTGGCTGTGATGGGGAGGGATGGGCTGGTCCCCAGGGCACAGGCAGAACCCTCAGGCGGGGCAGGCAGAAGGCTCAGGTGGTAGAGCCTGCGGCAGATCACAGACCTGTGGGGACTGGGCTCTCAGAAGGGCTGGGGGCTGCAGCTGAAATGTCCAGGTGGGGGCAGGGTGGCTGTGCTGTGGGCCTGTCACTAGGGAGGGCAGGGCCCCTCTGCTGGGGCACTGGAGACTGGCAGCTGTGAGGCACAGGGCCCGCTCACACTTCCCTCCTGAAGAAGTGTCACTCGGTTTTGCTCTGGGGACACGTGAAAGTGCCAGGCCTCCCCACACCCTCCCTGGGCCTGGGGCAGCAGGGACAGAGGCAGAGGTGGCAGTGACTGCAAAGGGCTTGTCAGGGGCCTCTGAGCATTGGACTTTCAGAGGGCACTGAGCCAGGGCCACGGTGTTCGGGTGGGGGCAGGACGGGTGACTGGGGCCCTGCAGCTGGCAAGCCCCATTAGCAGGAAGGAAGCCCCATTTCGCAGGAAGCAACAGAGGTGGGCAGCTGTGTGGTGCTCAGCTTGGCTGCTCCTGTGCCCCAGCTGTCATACTTATTCTGGGGCCCACAGAGGTGCCTGGCCTCCTCCCTCCCTGCTAAGGCAGTGGCAGCTGGACCCAGGCTGCTCAGGGATCAGAAGCCTGTGGGATTCCACGTGGGCTCCAGAGGCGCCTCTGCACCATCTCTGGGAACTCCCTGTGCCTCTGTAGGCCAAGGGGGGTCAGGGGCTCTCCTGTGACCAGGATTGTAAAGGGCCAAGACAGGGGTGTGGATCCCAGGGGCCTCACACCCACTCAATCTTTCCCTTTGTTAAGGAGCCTCTCACTCACTCACCCCTTCCCCGTGTTAGGGAGCCTCGCACTCACTCACCCCTTCCCCGTGTTAGGGACCCTCTCACTCACCCCTTCCCCGTGTTAGGGAGCCTCGCACTCACTCACCCCTTCCCCGGGTTAGGGAGCCTCGCACTCACTCACCCCTTCCCCATGTTAGGGAATCTCTCACTCACTCACCCCTTCCCCGTGTTAGGGACCCTCTCACTCACTCACCCCTTCCCCGTGTTAGGGACTCTTTCATTCACTCACCCCTTCCCCATGTTAGGAGCCTCTCACTCACTCACCCCTTCCCCGTGTTAGAGAATCTCTCACTCACTCACCCCTTCCCCGTGTTAGAGAATCTCTCACTCACTCACCCCTTCCCCGTGTTAGGAGCCTCTCCTGGCTCCCACCTTTTCTCTTCTCTTCTTTCCATGTCCTCATGTTTCTCAGGTGAACCCCAGCATCCTCTTGGAAGATCCACTTGACCTGTTGGTATTTACTCACTATTTTGGGTCCTCTTAGTGAGTAGGCAGACTCCAGCCCTTTCCATTCAGCCAACTTGAACCTCAGCCCACAATCATTTTCTTGTCACTTTTTACTCTTGGGAAATCCGGTCCCAATGTGCTTGTCTTTCATTTGAGAATAATTTTCATTTTCTCCAGTAGTTTTAAAATTACTTTGTATCTATTCTAGGTATCTTTTACTCTATCATAGTTAAGACATTGATGTTATTTATTAATTTGTTCACATTAAACTCATGTTCTTTCTTCATTTCTGTAAAAATGTCAACCATTTTCTTTGCAATATTTACTGAATAACGTACTCCTTATTTCCTTCATTCTGAAAGTGTGATCCATAGAGAGATACCTGTTTCCTCTTCTCATTCCATTTCTTGTGTGCATTAATTATGTTTTCTACTTTATTCATTTCTAGTTTTTCTCTGATGACTAATGAAAAATTTAATAGATATTCCACACCAATACTATGCTCATCATTTCAGCTGTGTCTTGTTCTTGATGCAATTATTTCTAAATGTGTTGATATGATTTACTATTTTTCACCTCACAGTAGCTTCCTAATTCATTTCTATAATTGCCTGTTTTTTCTGTAATGGACTTTTTGATTTTTATTTCTCTTGGGTGGGTTTTTCTCCCACACATGTGATCTTCCATACAGTTTCTCCCCGGGCTGACTCAGGAAGGAAAGCTGATGAGGAGCATTGCTGTGGTCACTCCTGCCCTGCGGTGTCCATGCTGCCAAGCTTAGAATCAGCTCTGTGTTCTGTCCGGCATGGTGGGGCCCATGTGAGCCTCACACTCACGTGCTAGAGATGCCTGGTCCAGCAGTGATAAAGCGCATCTGTGTCATGCACACCCGGGAAGGTGGCTCAATGCTGAGTGTGGCCCGGGTCACTGAGGGGAGCTATCCCAGGGTCTGTCCACAAACACAGAAGAGGGAGAACAACAGTCTCTCTAGGGTCCCACGGTTTCCTCCATTTTTTGCTTTGTTCTGAGAGAGAGACAAAGTGCCATGGCTGCTCTGTGGGTTGGACAGATGCATGCTTTCACCTGCAGGCTGGAACCCAAGCTGAGGTCTTCAGCATCCCCAAGTACTGATAAAGCACTTTAGGTTGTTTTTAGAAAACACTGAAAAATTAACCCTTTTGCTAAAGAGGTAGAAACAAGCCCTCCCCTCAACGAAATTCCTGAAACTCTCAGGTTAAACTTCGTAACCCAATCCCTTCACTGCAGACACCCAATAGGAAAGTCACATGTGCAAGGATGAGATGACTTTGGTCAAGCTCAGACCCCACAGGGCCAGGAAGGCCTGAAGGAGAGGAGGCCCATGCTTCCAGCTCTCAGATAAGAGCTGCTTCTAAGGACTTTTTAAAAACCCCACAAGAAACCCTTCCATGTCCTTCACCCCCTCCTGCTTTGACGAGGTTTATCACTAGATATTCTTTAGGATGTCAGGAATTCAGATAAGATGCTCTCGAGAAAAAACTTGCCCAGCAACGGCATCTCCTCCAATGGACTGACAGCAACTCTGGCTTTGAACCTCTGGAATCAGGGAACTCTGTTTCTAAGCAGCTCTGTCAGCCTCTCTCTTGTTGCTGATAAGAACTTCCTTTACTTCTGTATGTCAGAGAGCTCTCTCTATGGTGCTTTTCCTCTACTCTCACACCACAGGAATCATCCTCACAGAAGAAGACTTCTAGGACCAGATGTGTGGGATTTTTTTTCCTAGACCCAGTAGCGGACGCCAGCTGAGTGTTTAAATGCTTCTTCCCCAGTGCCGTAAACAAATAGCACTTGAACATAAATTTAATTTACTCAGCAAGACCATTTTTATTTTCTGCAGCAAGGGTACACTCACCAGCAGTTTTGCTTCGAGAGTACACAAAACAAAAGAGACAGGGTCATTTATAACCTGACACGTCCACCCTACTGCTCTGTCCGGTTTCCACTGGCTGGAACAGGACCTCACACTCTGTATTTGTCCCGATTGGCTAGTAACTTAGAACTTCTGAAAAGAGGCAAAGGTAGAGCAGAACAAAGGAAGGAGGAAGTAACTTGTGGAATGCTGAGAAAGGTGAAAACACCTTCAAATAAGGAAGAGGAACAGGCTATGACCTAATGCTTGCTTGGACCAGTATAAGCATGCCAGGGCAAATATTTAGGCTAAATTGTGGGAGCTAATAACATAAAGTACATTGATTTATTTATCACGGCTAGCAGATATTTGAGAATGTTAGCATAGCTCTGACACTGTCTACCCAGAGACAGTCCCAGATCCCACAGATTGAATGGTTCAGTCCCCAACACTGCCCCCACACCATTCCCAAGTCCAGACCTCCAGAACTTCTGACTGACTGGCTTCAAGTTGGGGACCCTATGACCACCTCTTTGGGTTTGATTAATTTGCTGTAGCAGCTCACAGAACTCAGAGAGACACTGACGTTTCCTGGTTGAATACAAAGCACACTGCAGAGGACACAGATGAAGAGACTCATAGGAGGAGGCATGGGGGAAGGGGCGCAGGGCTTCCATACCCTCCCTGGGCATCACCCTCCAGGAGTCTCCACATGCTCAACCACCCAGAAACCCACGAAACCCAGTCTTCTTGGGTTTTTATGAAGCTTCATGATGTCAGTATTTCCTCCCACAAGGAACAGGCTGAGACCATCTTCTGGGAGGGTCTTAAGAGCCACCATCAGAAAGGCAGGGACATTAGAGTCTTGCCTTGGGCAGGTGAAGGAAGGGCAGGAGGAGGTCAGAGGCCTCCCCTAAGGCCTAACACAGCCAATGTTATAACAAAAGACTGTAACAAGGGCTATGGAGCTATGAGCCAGGAACCGCAGGTGAAAACCAGTGTGTATCACAACATCACACTTCCCTCTCCGGACACACTGTGGCTTGCCATGCCATGCACTCCAGATTGTAATCCTTGCTTCTCACTCCCAAATAAACTCAAAATCCAGACAACCCTGGAGCAACGCAGCCTTGAATTCCTGGGGTCTCTTATATGCACACTTTTTTCAACCAAACGGGGGTCAAAACTGTAGCATTTGTGGGATGCAAGACTTGTGTATATGAACGGCAGACTTTTCCTATATGCAGGCCCAGCAGAGACAATGTCGGGGCTGGAGTACGAGCAGGTGTTGGTGCATGTAGCGGGTACTGAAACGAATTGCCTGTGTATCCCAAGAAACAACTCTACTGAGAGATCATATTCTCTAGGGGTTTATTTTTGTTTTTATTTTTATTTTAAGTTAAAGCTTCGGGTAGAACACCCAGTGTCTCCTTGTCCATCTGAAGAAGATGCTGCTATGTGGAAGCACATCCTTGAGATCCACAAGGAGACACTGGGCAAGGAGACGAGGGTGCCCCACTGTGCAGAAGTCTCCCTAATAAATGATCTATGAACACCCTGGTGTTTAGTGCTTCTTTCTTTGGAATCCCAGCAGCTCTGTCACTGGACGGTTTGGTGCACTCCCTTGAGGGAATTCCCCTGGGCTGCTTGGGGTCCACTCCAGCCTCAGGTGTAGCTGGAGGACGCAGCCTCCCACCTTGGTCTGGAGCCCTGAGCCCCTCACTGTCATTGCAGATCCCGAGGTTCCTCTCCTGGCTCCACTCAGTGGTGGAAACCTCCACCCTAATGAGCCCTTGATGGTCCCAGGTCCCTGTGGCATCTCACCTGTGGCCTCTGTTCTTTCCTGTGGATCCATCTACACTTGGGAACTTCCACATCTCTTTTTCTGCTCATGACATTGATGCTCTGGGTATTTCAGAAATGCCCAGATAGATGGACAAATACACGTCCATCTATCCATTAGGGTCAGATGTGAGATCCAGAGTGGACACATCAATCACCTACGTAGACTGTGGAGTCCAACGCCAAGATCCTCTTATGTCCCAAACACCTCAGGTCTTACCCTGGTCTGGAAATCAGGCACAAATGAGCCCCTCCTAATGTTCCAGCACCACTGACCGTACAACCACTGTCACGAGTGGGATTTGTGACAACAGTCGGCAAAGGAAGAATCTGAGGCTCAGAGATGGTTCATTACCGCCCGAGGTCACGTAGGCAGTGGATGATAACCAGTCGTTGAATAAATATAACTCCCCCCCAACTCCCCAAATCAAAGCTCAAATATAAGTCATTGTTCCCAAAGCGTTGAACAGGGATTGAGGTGCAGAGGGACGGCCAAGTAAGCAAAGGGCACCGAGGAGGCAGGAAAGACTCAGAGATTTGTTCCCGGGGGGTGGGGTTGGACACTGTAGCAAAATATTTTAAAAAGGGGAAGTTAAGAGGGGACTATTTGGTTGAAAGAAAACCCACAATCCAGTGTCAAGAAAGAAGTCAACTTTTCTTCCCTATTTCCCTGCATTTCTCTTCTGTGCTCACTGCCACACGCAGCTCAGCCTGGGCGGCACAGCCAGATGCGAGATGCGTCTCTGCTGATCTGAGTCTGCCTGCAGCATGGACCTGGGTCTTCCCTGAAGCATCTCCAGGGCTGGAGGGACGACTGCCATGGTAAGGACCCCACAACACTGAGCTGATGGACGGCTGAAGGAGGGAGGGTGACCATGTGGGAGGCTGTGAGAAGGAAGGAGATGCCTCCGCTACCCTCGTCAGGAAGGGCAGACACAGGAAGGAACCAGTTTTATTTGCTGCTACATCCTGGCTCTCAGTGGGATGAAAACAAACCAGACAGACGGTGGCTGGGGGTCAGGAAAGGGCCCATTACCATCTGAAATGATGCAGAGGGCCTAGTGACTGCCCCCACCTCAGCCCTAATGGAATGAGAGCAAGGGTCCTGGGGAGGGCAGTTCCACTTCCTGTGTGGCTGCAGATGACAGCACCCCATGAGAAGAAGGACCCAGCCTCCGATTGGCCACACTCTGTGTGTCTCTCTATCCTGCCAGCACCGAGGGCTCATCCATCCACAGAGCAGGGCAGTGGGAGGAGACGCCATGACCCCCATCCTCACGGTCCTGATCTGTCTCGGTGAGATTTGAAGAAGGAGGGGAGCTTCTAACCTAAGAGGGACCTCACCCCACAGCCAAACTCTTGTCCCTAAGGAGACCCCAGGGGCTCACAAAGATCCCAGGGAGGGGAGGACCTGCCCAGGCTTCAGGGGGCAAATCCCTCACCGGGAACTCTCTTCCAGGGCTGAGTCTGGGCCCCCGGACCCACGTGCAGGCAGGTGAGTCTGTCCCCAGCTCTTCCAGGTCCCTCCTCCTCACTGGGGACAAGGGGCCACCCCCGTGCCGCTGGGGATGGGGAATAGCAGTTCTGGGCTGACTGATGGGGGCGTCTGGAGGGTCCTGGGCTGAGAGCTGGAATCTGCTGGGTTGGGTGGGAAATGAGTTAGAATCTGACTCCTGATTTCCTTCCAGGGCACCTCCCCAAGCCCACCCTCTGGGCTGAACCAGGCTCTGTGATCACCCAGGGGAGTCCTGTGACCCTCAGGTGTCAGGGGGGCCAGGAGACCCAGGAGTACCGTCTATATAGAGAAAAGAAAACAGCACCCTGGATTACACGGATCCCACAGGAGCTTGTGAAGAAGGGCCAGTTCCCCATCCCATCCATCACCTGGGAACACACAGGGCGGTATCGCTGTTACTATGGTAGCGACACTGCAGGCCGCTCAGAGAGCAGTGACCCCCTGGAGCTGGTGGTGACAGGTGAGCTGACACTCAGGGGTCCCAGCCCCAGACTCTGCCCTCAGGAAGGGGGACGGCTCTCAGGGGCTTCTCCCTCTCACAGCCCAGCCCTGGGGATGACGCGGGTGGTCTGAGCCACATTTAACACGGTGCCTCCTTCTCTCCTAGGAGCCTACATCAAACCCACCCTCTCAGCCCAGCCCAGCCCCGTGGTGAACTCAGGAGGGAATGTAACCCTCCAGTGTGACTCACAGGTGGCATTTGATGGCTTCATTCTGTGTAAGGAAGGAGAAGATGAACACCCACAATGCCTGAACTCCCAGCCCCATGCCCGTGGGTCGTCCCGCGCCATCTTCTCCGTGGGCCCCGTGAGCCCGAGTCGCAGGTGGTGGTACAGGTGCTATGCTTATGACTCGAACTCTCCCTATGAGTGGTCTCTACCCAGTGATCTCCTGGAGCTCCTGGTCCTAGGTGAGAAATTCACAGCATTGCCTGGAGTTCCCTGAGTCTCCAGGCAGGTGGGGAGCAGCCGCGTCTCAGGGCAGTTCCAGGTGGGATGATGTTGGGGCGAGAGGGCTCAGGGCTCCTGGGGCCAGAGACACAGGAAGATCAGCAGTGATGTGGCCCCGGGGGAAAGGGAAGATTTGTGGGGAAGCCTGAGGGTCGGCTCCTGGAAACCATGACCACCTTTTCCCAGGTGTTTCTAAGAAGCCATCACTCTCAGTGCAGCCAGGTCCTATCGTGGCCCCTGAGGAGACCCTGACTCTGCAGTGTGGCTCTGATGCTGGCTACAACAGATTTGTTCTGTATAAGGACGGGGAACGTGACTTCCTTCAGCTCGCTGGCGCACAGCCCCAGGCTGGGCTCTCCCAGGCCAACTTCACCCTGGGCCCTGTGAGCCGCTCCTACGGGGGCCAGTACAGATGCTACGGTGCACACAACCTCTCCTCCGAGTGGTCGGCCCCCAGCGACCCCCTGGACATCCTGATCGCAGGTGAGGAGCCCAGCGGGTTCAGTCAGGGACCCAGGCTCCGCACAGGCCCTGCCGGGGGAGCTCAGGTAGTGATGGCCGGGATGAGGGATGGGGGTCCCAAGGGAGGGAGAGACAGACAGAGACAGGGGATGGGCGGGGAGGGGGAGACTCAGAGAAAACAGAGACAGAGACACTGAGGGTCCCAGAGGGAGACCTGGGGAGGTGTCAGCTCAGAGCAAGGTGGGGCAGCCCCTCGCCCATCCTTCTTCTCTCCAGGACAGTTCTATGACAGAGTCTCCCTCTCGGTGCAGCCGGGCCCCACGGTGGCCTCAGGAGAGAACGTGACCCTGCTGTGTCAGTCACAGGGATGGATGCAAACTTTCCTTCTGACCAAGGAGGGGGCAGCTGATGACCCATGGCGTCTAAGATCAACGTACCAATCTCAAAAATACCAGGCTGAATTCCCCATGGGTCCTGTGACCTCAGCCCATGCGGGGACCTACAGGTGCTACGGCTCACAGAGCTCCAAACCCTACCTGCTGACTCACCCCAGTGACCCCCTGGAGCTCGTGGTCTCAGGTGGGGGCCTTGACCCTGTCCTCTCTGAGCTCAAAGTCTCAGCTCAGACCCTGCCCCAGGAGAGCTCTGGGCTGGGATGGAGTGAGCGGGGGTCTGAGAGGGGCTCAGCCAGTGGGAGACTCACCCTCAGAGGGAAGGAGGAGAACAGGGCCCTCCCAGGCCTGCCCACCCTCAGTGGCATCGCCAGCATCATGGACAGGAGAGGCGGGTGGAGGGAGGGGCCTGGGGAGGCCACAGGTCCCATGTAGAGAAATTTGGTTTGAGGTGGAGACTTCAGGAAAGCCCCAGCTCCTCAGCCTCCTCTCATTCTTTTACCCAGGACCGTCTGGGGGCCCCAGCTCCCCGACAACAGGCCCCACCTCCACATCTGGTGAGTCCCTGAGGCTTCTGAACTCAAGGGAGTGCGGCCTCCCCCAGGGCAGCCCTGGGTCTCCCAGAGAATCCCATTCCCCTCAAAGACTCGAGCTTCCCTCCAGGGAGCCGGGCAGAGCCAGAGGAGGGGCCACAGGGTCCCCAGGGCTCTGAGGCTGGGCTGGTGAGGGGTGGGGGGTCAAGGCAGAGAGAAATGTTGGGGCCCAGCCTGGGGGAGGAGCAGCCGGGCTGATGTGGGGAGCAGGGCAGCCCCAGCCCTCACCTCCCCGTCCTGACCCAGCAGGCCCTGAGGACCAGCCCCTCACCCCCACCGGGTCGGATCCCCAGAGTGGTGAGTGACGGGCTCTGAGTGGGAGGTGGGCAGGGTCCAGGGGAGGCAGGGGTGGGTTCTGTCCTAGGTTCAGTCTCCTCTGGAGGTGGTGATATAGACAGGCTCCTCCCCTGCTTGGGCCTCAGTTTCTCCAAATGTAAAGGTGAGAGGCCTGCGGGTGGGAAAGTTCCTTTCAGCTCTGACTCCCAGCTGTGACCTCCTGGGAGAGGAGGCCTCCCAGGGAACCTCCCAGACCCGATTCCGCGGGGGCCTGTCCCGTCCCACCTGCAGCAGAGACGGTGACCTGGGGCAGGGGAGGGGAGAAGAGTCATGGTTCAGGACGGTCAGGCTCTTTCCCTGCAGCTCCGGGGCTCGGCTCTGGTGCAGGAACAAGGGCTGCAGGTCAGACTCCTGGGCTTCCTTCCCAGCTCTGCCGCTTCCTGGCTGGGGGCCCCGGGCAGGCGATTCCCCTCTCTGAGCGTCAGTTTTTCATCTGTACAGTGGGTGGGGTGGATGTTTCTGTGCTGCACGACTGTTGTGGGGGTTGGAGGTGGTGAACAGAAGGTCCAGCAGTCACCTGCACACAGTAGGCGCTCATTTCAATGACATCACCCCCATCCCTGACATCATCGTGCTCAAGGTCTGGGAAGGCACCTGGGGGTTGTGATCGGCATCTTGGTGGCCGTCATCCTACTGCTCCTCCTCCTCCTCCTCCTCTTCCTCATCCTCCGACATCGACGTCAGGGCAAACACTGGACATCGAGTGAGTAGGGAATGGGGGGACCCTGAGGGCTGACCGAGGGTGGGCTCAGGGCACAGCCAAAGAGAATCCAAACCACTGGGCAAATGCAGCTTTGAGAAACTGTTCCAGCATTTCTCACCAGGCCAATCGACAGTCAGTCCCATCTACAAATGTAAAGTGTCCTTCGGGCTCAGTGCCATCTACAAATGTAAAGTGTCCTTCGGGCTCTGTCCATCCTATGAGGCATTTGGAACATGGAGGCAGGAGTGTTTTTAGGTTTCCTTCCTTACCTTCGAGCTGTGTGTGCAGGGCAGGGGGCTCCAATGTTCCCAGGGCTGAGGCTCTGTCCTTCTTCCCCCAGCCCAGAGAAAGGCTGATTTCCAACATCCTGCAGGGGCTGTGGGGCCAGAGCCCACAGACAGAGGCCTGCAGTGGAGGTAATTCTGCCCGAAGACCCCAGACTCCCACCTGCTCGTGGCCCATACACTGCCCCTAAAGCTCCCATTCTTCCCCCAGGTCCAGCCCAGCTGCCGATGCCCAGGAAGAAAACCTCTGTGAGTGAGAGGAAGAGGTGACCAGCCAGGAGGGAGATGGGGGCCCCGAAGTTTCCGTAGCAATGGGGAAAGGGGCGCTGGCTGGAAAGGGTCTGGGGCTCAGGGTGAGATCATCTCACCCCACACTGTGGGGCCTCAGGGACATCGCAGCCCCTCCCTGCATCTCAGTGGCCCCATCTGGGAGCTGAGCAGGGGCTGGCAGGACTCAGAGGTCCCAGGGAACCTTCCCAAGAGACAAACCCCTTGCTCTGCCCCAGCAGATGCTGCCGTGAAGCACACACAGCCTGAGGATGGGGTGGAGATGGACACTCGGGTGAGACCCCACCCCTGTCCCAGGCACCAAAGGCCTCCTGGTGCCAGATCTAATCCTGCAGAACTTCTCTGTCCTCCTTCCCCCGGCTCTCAGCATCGTCACGGTGGACCCCTCCTTGTCCAGCACGCTGCCTCCCGCCTGCTGCGACCTCACTCTCTCCTGCTGTCCTGGGACCTCGTGGGCCTCCTCCCGGGTCCCCTTCCTGCTCCTCATCCTCTGTTTGGCCGTCTGGTTGTTAGAGCTCTCCCCAGGCCTCAGGAGGATGAGGAATAAATGAACCACCCCGGTCCCCCAGGCTCCCCTTCATTCATTCAACCAGCAAGTGTTCCCAGGGAGCTCACTGTGGATGGGGCTCCCCATGGGAGCTGCAGACACAGCAGGGAGGAAAGCCGCCCCCGCCTCCTGAGCTCACCTCGTGGTGGGAGACAAAATGCAAATAAATGTGCCGCCTCCAGGAGTGCAACGTGCTGTAAGGAACATAAACCAGAGAAAGGGCAGAGAGTGTGGGGCAGTGGGGCCAGTCTGAATGGAAGGGGAGGGCTGTCTGCTCAGCTGTCATCTGAGAAGCCTGGACAGAGTGGGGCACACGATCCTCTGATGGACGAGCCCCTGCAGGCAGAGGAAACAACCCTGCAAAGGCCCCCAGGCAGCAGCGAGCTCTTGCAGGAAGGCCCGTGAGGCTGCAGCCAAATGGGCAACGTCAGAGTGAGGAGCAGAGGCCAGAACCACAGCGAGGGAGCGGCCAGACCCTCCACGGCCTTAGGGCGTCCCTGAGATTCCATCGGGAAAGGGATGTAATCGGATCACCCGGGGAACAGTGAGGAAAATTGACTCCAGGGGGTCAGGAGGATTCAAGGACACCCCCCACCACTGTCTCTCTCCAGCAGAGCCCACACGATGAAGACCCCCAGGCAGTGACGTATGCCGAGGTGAAACACTCCAGACCTAGGAGAGAAATGGCCTCTCCTCCTTCCCCACTGTCTGGGGAATTCCTGGACACAAAGGACAGACAGGCGGAAGAGGACAGGCAGATGGACACTGAGGTGAGTCCTTTCCTCTCCAGGCCCCCAGGCCTCCCCCACCCCCACCACGTTCCTTCCCTCTCACTCTCCCCCGCTGCAGGCTGCTGCATCTGAAGCCCCCCAGGATGTGACCTACGCCCAGCTGCACAGCTTGACCCTCAGACGGGAGGCAACTGAGCCTCCTCCATCCCAGGAAGGGCCCTCTCCAGCTGTGCCCAGCATCTACGCCACTCTGGCCATCCACTAGCCCAGGGGGGGACGCAGACCCCACACTCCATGGAGTCTGGAATGCATGGGAGCTGCCCCCCCAGTGGACACCATTGGACCCCACCCAGCCTGGATCTACCCCAGGAGACTCTGGGAACTTTTAGGGGTCACTCAATTCTGCAGTATAAATAACTAATGTCTCTACAATTTTGAAATAAAGCAACAGACTTCTCAATAATCAATGAAGTAGCTGAGAAAACTAAGTCAGAAAGTGCATTAAACTGAATCACAATGTAAATATTACACATCAAGCGATGAAACTGGAAAACTACAAGCCACGAATGAATGAATTAGGAAAGAAAAAAAGTAGGAAATGAATGATCTTGGCTTTCCTATAAGAAATTTAGGGCAGGGCACGGTGGCTCACGCCTGTAATTCCAGCACTTTGGGAGGCCGAGGCGGGCAGATCACGAGTTCAGGAGATCGAGACCATCTTGGCCAACATGGTGAAACCCTGTCTCTCCTAAAAATACAAAAATTAGCTGGATGTGGTGGCAGTGCCTGTAATCCCAGCTATTTGGGAGGCTGAGGCAGGAGAATCGCTTGAACCAGGGAGTCAGAGGTTTCAGTGAGCCAAGATCGCACCACTGCTCTCCAGCCTGGCGACAGAGGGAGACTCCATCTCAAATTAAAAAAAAAAAAAAAAAAGAAAGAAAAAGAGAAAAAAGAAATTTAGAAGAATAACAAGTTATTCCAAATGAAGGCGTAAGAAAGGGAATAATAACAATAATAAGAGGAGTTGTTCATGAGGAAAAACCAAAGCTTGAAAATTCAACAAAGCCAGTGAAGCTCATTCTTGAAAACATGAATCACACTCATGAATTCTAACTACAATGAAAAAGAGAAAGAAAGAGCAGGCATGCATTTCCATATGGGAGTGAGCCAGCAGACAGCCCTACAGATCGTACACACGTTTTCCAAAACTAACAATGGAACAGGCGGCAAACCTATGCCAATATACTAGAAATTGCAGATTAAATAGATGAAATATTCTAAACTGGAGTTTACATAATGAACATAAGAGTAATCAGAGAATCTGACTCATTTTAGATGTGTGTGTGTGTGTATATATATGTGTGTGTGTGTGAAAAACATTGACTATAATAAAAATAATCTCGAGTTCACGAAGCTTCATTGGTGATTTCTTACAAATATTGACACACTAATGAAACACACAAACACACCCAGAGCATCACAAATGTTTCTTGAGAATAGAAAAAGTGGCAATGTGCCCAGGTGCGGTGGCTCACGCCTGTAATCTCAACACATAGGGTGGCAGAGGCGGCAGATTACTTGAGGCTGGGAGTTCAAGACCAGCCTGGCCAACACGGCAAAACCCCATCTCTACTAAAAATACAAAAATTAGTCGGACATGGTGGCGCACACTGCAGTCCCAGCTACTTGGGAGGCAGAGGCAGGAGAATCACTTGATCCCAGGAGATGGAGGCTGCAGTGAGCTGAGATCCCGCCCCTGCGCTCCAGCCTGGTCAACAGAGCCAGACTCTGTCTCAAAAAATTAAAAAAAAAAAAAGTCATGACATATAAAATAGAATTTTCCATTCTATAACAGGCATATTTTAAACTCTACAGTTTTTCTGTTTCAAAATAATATTTTTTTAAATTTTATTTTAATGTTTTACTTTATTTTATTTGGCAGTTTAAAATTCTACATATTTAGGATGTGCAACATGGTATTTTAATATGCCTGTGAAATCGCTAGGTCAAGCTAATTAACATCTGTAACATCACGTAGTTATCTTTCTGTTAAGAGAACATTTAAAATCCACTTTCTTACCAATTTTCGCGTATGCAATCCATTGTTAGCAACTGTAGTCACCATACTGTACAACAGATCTCCTAAACTTACTCCTCCTGTCCAACTGAAGTGCGGTATCCTTCGATGCAGCTCTCTGATTCCACCCCAGCCCAGCTCCCGGGGACCACCTTCTACTCTCTACTTCCATGAGTTCAACTGGGGCAATCCGCACATAAGTGAGATCAGGCAGCAGGTGTCTTCCCGTGCCTTCTTTATTCCGCGTAGCGTGACGTCCTCTAGGCTCGTCCATGTTGTCACAAATGAAACAATTTCCTTCTTCTAGAAGGCGGAATAGTTTTTCGCTGTGTTTATACTGAGCGCTTCATTTTCTGTATCCATTCGCCTGCTGATGGACGCTTGGCCGGGTTCCATGTCTTGGTTATGGTGGCTAAAGCTGTCATGAACATGGGAGGGCGGGCATCTCTTCAACGTACTGATTCCATTTCCTTTAGATACACACCCAGCAGTGAAATTGTTGAAACACAGGGTAGCTCTGATCATTAACTTCTGAAAAACATCTATAGTATTTTTGTGGTCATTGTACTCATTTACATTACCACTAGCGGAGGGCAGCGGTTCTATTTTTTCTACATTCTCGCTAACACTTGTTATTCTACTCTTTTTCATAGTAACCATCCTAACAGATGTGAGGTTATAGCTTCTTAAAGTTTATATGTATGTAAGTATATGCCTATATGTATATATGCAAATGTATGTATTCATACATAAACATCCATACGTACATATGTGCAGATACGTATGTACATATATATGCATGTGTATTGTATGTATATATGTATACACAGGTATACACATATATGTGTAGAAAGTGAAATTTTGCAGTGAGATATCACCTCACAGCTGTTAGATTGCCTATTATCAGAATGGTGAAAGATCAGTGTTGGTGAGCATGAGGAGAAAAAATCCTTACACACCATTGGTGGACATGTAAATTAACACAGCCATTTTAGAAAACAGTATGGAAGCTCCTCAAAAAACTAAACATGCCACCACCATATAATCCAGCAAGCCCACTGCTGGGTGTATACCAGAAGAAATGAAATCGGCCACAGAAGAGACGTCCACACTCCTAAGCTCATTGCAGCACTATTCACAATTGCCAAGTTACAAAAACAATTCTATATTTTTGAAAAAGGATTCATTTCTCCTGTCCCTGTAGAGAAAACGGGCTCAAATTACACATTAGCTGAGCTCTGAGTACTCACTCATGTGTGTATCTATGAGGGTGCATGTTCGTGTGTGTTTCAGTATGTGGTTTTTCCATTCTGTGTACTCACCCATGTCTGTAACTATGAGGGTGCATGTTCACGTGTGTGTGTGTGTGTTTCAGTGTGTGGTTTTTCCCATTTTTCCTCCCTTGAGGATATCGCATTGTATGTTTTGGATTCTTTGATCTTCCAATTAAATTACATCATTTAGAATTGCTTTCACTAAGTGTGAAACAATAAAAATTTTTTTTAATTGTGGCTCTGGAAATACCTTCCTTTCCCTTTCACTCTGTATCAAGATTTGTAAATTTTTTAAAATTTTTGTTGTTATTTTAAGTTCTGGGGCACATGTGCAGGATCTGCAGGTTTGTTACACAGGTAAACATGTGCCATGGTGGTTTGCTGCACCTGTCAACCCATCACCTAGGTATTAAGCCCAGCATGCATTGGCTGTTGTTCCTAATCCTCTCCCTGTCCCAACTCACCCTCCTCCAACAGGTCCCAGTGTGTGCTGTCCCCCTCCCTGTGTTCATGTGATCTCACTGTTCAGCTCCCACTTATAAGTGAGAACATGCAGTGTTTGGTTTTCTGTTCCTGCATTGGTTTGCTGAGGATAATGGCTTCCAGCTCCATCCATGTCCCTGCCAAGGACATGATATTGTTCCTTTTTATGGATGCATAGTATTCCATGGTGTATATGTATCACATTTTCTTTATCCAGTCTATCATTGATGGGCATTTGGGTTGATTCCAGGTCTTTGCTACTATGAATAGTGTTGCAAAAAACATATGCATGCATGTATCTTTGTAATAGAATGATTTATATTCCTTTGGGTATATACCCAGGGATTGCTGAGTCAAATGGTATTTCTGGTTCTAGATCTTTGAGGAATCACCACACCATCTTCCACAATGGTTGAACTAATTACATTCCCACTAACAGTGTAAAAGCATTTCTATTTCTCTGCAACCTCACCGGCATCTGTTTCTCCTTGACTTTTTGATAATCGCAATTCCAACTGGTGTGAGATGGTATCCCATTGAGGTTTTGACTTGCATTTCTCTAATGACCAGTGATGTTGAGCTTTGTTCCATGTTTCCTGGCCACATGAATGTCTTCTTTTGACAAGTGTCTGCTCATGCCTTTTGCCCACTTATTAATGTTTTATTCCTGTAAATTTGTTTAAGTTCCTTGTGGATTCTGGATGTTAGACCTTTGTCAGATGGACAGATTGCAAAAATTGTCTCCCATTCTGTAGCTTGTCTGTTCGCTCTGATAATGGTTTCTCTTGCTGTGCAGACGCTCTTTAGTTTAATTTGATCCCATTTGTCAATTTTAGCTTTTGTTGCAATTGCTTTTGGTGATTTCGTCATGAAGTCTTTGCCCATCTTTGTCCTGAATTATATTAAATAAAGTCTTTGTCCTGAATTATATTAAATAAAGCATAAGGGAAAAGATGTAGAAGGGAAAGTACATGTAATGGTTAAGGCGTCTACTGCCAATCCCTCCCCGTTCCTCAAGATGAAGCCTGACATGCTGGGTTTAATGTGTGAGACAAGCTGCCGACAGGTCGTTTGCCTTTGTCTTTAATAATTTAGATTAACACAGAAATCTTCACCATGAATTTCTGAAGGCCTTTCTTTAGTATCTCCTGGTGTTGAATTTGCTGTTGGAAGGTCCAATCCCAGTGAGCATGCAAATCCATTGGAAATAATTTGCATTTTTACAAATAAATAATTTTAGGATTTTTTTTTTGTTTCCAGGACAGACTTCCTTGTATTTTTTTAATGAGTTAAAAATTATATAATATAAAAATAACATTTAAAAACCCACAATTCAGGCCGGGCACGGTGGCTCATGCCTGTAATCCCAGCACTTTGGGAAGCCGAGACGGGCGGATCACTTGAGGTCAGGAGTTTGAGACCAGCCTGGTCAACATGGCAAAACCCCGTCTTTACTAAAAATACAAAAATTAGCCAGGCATGGTGTCAAGCACCTGTAATCCCAGCTACTCGGGAGGCTGAGACAGGAGAATTGCTTGAACCTGGGAGGCAGAGGTTGCAGTGAGCAGAGATTGTGCCACTACACTCCAGCCTGAGTGACAGAGCAAGACTCTGTCTCACACAAAAACAAAAACAAAAGCAAAAACAACCCCTCACAATTCAGCCTAGGATATGTTTATTAAATTTACATTTGTCTTTTTGCTTAAGATTGCTTTGGTATTCGTCCTCTTTTTGGTTCCATATGAATTTTAGGATTGTTTTTTCTAATTCTGTGAAAAAAATGATGTTGATATTTTGATGGGAATTGCATTGAATCTAAATATTGCTTTGGGAAGTGTGATCATTTTCACAATATTGATTCTTCCAATCCATGAGCATGGGATATATTTCTATTTTGCTGTGTCATCTACAATTTCTTTCAGCAGCATTTTGTTGTTCTTCTTGTAGAGATCTTTCACCTCCTCGGCTAGGTATATACTTAGATATTTTTAATTTTTGCAACTGATGTACAAGGGATTGAGTTTTGCAGCAACCTGGATGAGCTGGAGGCCATTATTCATGACACCACATCCAGCTAATTTTTGTATTTTTTGTAGAGATGCGGTTTTGCCATGTTGCCCAGGCTGGTCTTGAACTCCTGGGCCCAAGTGACCCGCCCGCCTTGACCTCCCAAAGTGCTGGGACTGCAGGCATGAGCCACGGTGCCCGGCCTATCATAGCACTTTTGATCATTGGGATAATTCCTCCTCCTTGTCATTTTTGGACACATGCTTCCCACATGCCTCATCTTCCAGAGAGGGTTTCCACCAGGGCTGTGCTGGGAGTTAAGGCTGGAAAAGGGGAGATGGTTCCAGCTGCCAGTGCCACATGAGTCTACTCAGGGCTGTAACCAGCAGGGAAGGTCCAGTGTGAGCCTCAGACTCGCATGTGGGACAGACGCCCATGTGTGACAACGCTGCAGTGAATCTGTTTCACACACATGGAGGAGGCGGCTCAGGGCTGACCATGGACCTGAGTCAATGAGCAGAGATATCCCAGTGCCATCCACAAACACAGGGGAGAAGGAGCCACAACTTCTCACTTTCATCCAAAACCCCGACCCCTCCCTGTCTGTGAGGGCCTGGGGTTCTCCTCTGTCTCATACAGAGGCAGAAACCTCCCCCTTAGTGACCCCCAGACTTTGCAAGTCACCAGCAGCCGCTCGGCTCTGGCCTCTTCTGCTTCTTAAGGTTTCCTGCCTATGACAGGAAGTCTCATTTCTCATTTTCTTCATCGGACCATGGCTACATATTTCAGACACATTATAAGTAGGTTTTCCCAATGTTAGGAGCAGATGTGGGCTGTTGAGCATTTAAGTTGCTCACCGTGACTGTGCAGTCCAACACCAGGATCCACTCATGTTTCAGCCCCTCAAGACTTAACCCGGTCTGGAAATGTACCATGACTGAGGCCCTCCCATGACCCAGGCACCACTGGCCCCCAAAACCACTCAGGAGGGGGGTTCATGACAACAGGCTCCAAATGAGGAAACCGAGGCTCAGAGATGGGACTTACTGCCCAAGGTCATGCACGCAGGGATGAAGGTGAGCAATTCAGAAAAAATTAACTCCCTATCCCACCGCCAAATCAGAGCTCAAGACAAGTACTTGTTCCCAAAACCTTGAAGGCAGACTGAGATGCAGGGGAATGCCCAAGGAAGCGGGGCTGGGGGTGGGAGGGACCCCGAGGAGGCAGGAATGACTCAGAGGTTACTTTTAAGGGAAGGGGAGCTGAACGCTATTAAAAAATAGGAAGAAAAAAAGAAGGGAAGTCTAAGAAGGAAACTGGAAGAAATAAAACCCATACTCCAAAGACAAAAGAAGAGTCAGCATTTCTTTATTTCTCCTTTTTTTCTCATTGCCAATTGCAGCTCAACTTGAATTTCACAGCCCGATGTGAGATGCGTCTCTGCTGATCTGAGCCTGTCCTGCAGCATGGACCTGCAACTTTCCTGAAGCATCTCCAGGGCTGGATGCCATGGTAAGGATCCCGCAATGCTGTGTTGATGGACGGGCTGAAGGAGGGAAGGAGACCCCACGGGGAGGCTCTGAGAAGAAGAAAAAGCCCCCAGTCACTCTCACTTGGACAGGACAGACTCAGAAAGGTGCTGTGTCCTGTGTCCTGACCCTTGATGAGATGAGGACAGATGAGGCAAATCGCAGAAAAGGGTCAGGGAGATACCATTTCTGTATGAAATATCTGAAGACAGCCTGGTGCCTGCCCCAGTCCCAGCCTTGGGGAAATGAAAGCCAGGCTCCTGGAGAGGGCAGTTCCCCTTCTTGTGGGGCTGATGACGGGACAACCTCGTGATGGAGAACCCAGGCTCCCAGTAGATTTACTCCATCCAGGAACTGTGGTCTCGTCCATCTGCACAGCCAGGGGCTGTGGAGGAGATGCCATGACTTCCACCCGCAAACCTCTGATCTGTCTTGATGAAATTGAAAGAGGGAGAGGGGAGACTGTAGCCTGGAAGGAATCCCACCTCACAACTTGGTCCTGATTGAATAGAAGACCCCAGAGGTTCACAGAGATCCCAAGGTGGGGAGGATCTGCCCAGGGTTCAGGAGGCGAATCTCCCTCAGGAAGCTCCGTGACCCCCTCCTTAGTGTCGCTCCTGTGCCTCAGTGGGATTTGGAGAGGATGCCTTAGATTAGAGGGTATTGTTCAGTGGGATTTGGAGAGGATGCCTTAGATTAGAGAGTATTGTTCAGTGGGATTTGGAAAAGATGCCTTAGATTAGAGGGTATTGTTCAGTGGGATTTGGAGAGGATGCCTTAGATTAGAGGGTATTGTTCAGTGGGATTTGGAGAGGATGCCTTAGATTAGAGGATATTGTTCAGTGGGATTTGGAGAGGATGCCTTAGATTAGAAGGTATTGTTCAGTGGGATTTGGAGAGGATGCCTTAGATTAGAGGGTATTGTTCAGTGGGATTTGGAGAGGATGCCTTAGATTAGAGGATATTGTTCAGTGGGATTTGGAGAGGATGCCTTAGATTAGAGGGTATTGTTCAGTGGGATTTGGAGAGGATGCCTTAGATTAGAGGATATTGTTCAGTGGGATTTGGAGAGGATGCCTTAGATTAGAGGGTATTGTTCAGTGGGATTTGGAGAGGATGCCTTAGATTAGAGGGTATTGTTCAGTGGGATTTGGAGAGGATGCCTTAGATTAGAGGATATTGTTCAGTGGGATTTGGAGAGGATGCCTTAGATTAGAGGATATTGTTCAGTGGGATTTGGAGAGGATGCCTTAGATTAGAGGGTATTGTTCAGTGGGATTTGGAGAGGATGCCTTAGATTAGAGGATATTGTTCAGTGGGATTTGGAGAGGATGCCTTAGATTAGAGGATATTGTTCAGTGGGATTTGGAGAGGACGCCTTAGATTAGAGGTATTGTTCAGTGGGATTAGGAGAGGACACCTTAGATTAGAGGGTATTGTTCAGTGGGATTTGGAGAGGATGCCTTAGATTAGAGGGTATTGTGTCTTTCAGCAACAAAACCGTACAAAAAACACCTGGGCATTTCACATCAGTGGATAAAGCATATCTTGTGCCAAATCAGGACCAAACTGCGGTGAAATTTAGGGTTCACACTACAGTTAATCACTTTTGAGGAAAGCATTCCAGGTTGGTGCCTATCTCTGTGATAAACATCTCCCTTCCTGGCTACAGGTAATGGATTAAAGTAACACTGGCCGAACAGACACTATCTTCACTTGATGATTATACTGAAAAATAGCCATAAAATTGTTCCCTCCAAATCCAATTCCCCTTTTGACTTTAGACAATTCTCTAAAGAAGATATACAAATGGCCAACAAACATATAAAAAACATGTATATATGCGTATATATACATATATATACACACACACACACACACACACACACACACACACACCATGGAATACTTCAGTCATAAAAAGGAACAAAATAATGGCATTCGCAGCAACCTGGAGGCAGTTGGAGACCACTATTCTAAGTGAAATAACTCAGGAATGGAAAACCATCATCATATGTTCTCATAAGTGGGAGCTAAGCTATGAGGATGTAAAGGCATAAGAAGGATATAATGGACTCTGGGGACCCAGGGGGAGCAATGGGAGGGGGTGAGGGATAAAAGACTACGCATTGGGTACAGTGTACACTGCTCGGGTGATGGGTGTTCCAAAATCTCAAAAATCACCACTAAAGAACTTATGCATGCAACCAAACACCACCTGTTCCCCCAAAACTACTGAAACTTAAAAATAAATAAATAGATAAAAATAAATTCACCACATTCAAAATGACAACCGCTGAAGCCCCAGTGGGCGCATGTTACAGGGTGCTCTTTTAGTTTCGGCCTTCCATAGGCAACTTGTGTGTATCAGCTCCATTAGACCCCTGCCTTCCTGCAAGGACAGACGGCTCTCTGTATCCCAGGGTTCTCGCCTTGGTGTACCGGAAGAACCGGATCACATGAGGGCTTGGAGAATGAGTGCAAGGTTTGATTGAGTGGAAACAGCTCTCAGCAGAAGGGCGATGGTTTTCTCCTGGAGTCGGGCCCCTGGCGGCCCGGGATCCTCTCTGACTGTCCCAGCCAAGCTCCATGTCGTTCTGCCAGTCGGTGGCCTGTGGTGTGCTGGTGCCCGTCCTTGCGTTCCTCTCGACATCCAGCCATCTGTGTGTTCCTGCACTGACGTGCTCCTCTCAGCCGCCAGTGTCTTCTTCTTCCGCTGATCTGCGGACGTCCAGCTGCTTGTGTGTCTGCCTGCTCAGGTCTCGGAGTTGTTTTTTTTGTTTGTTTGTTTGTTTTTTAATTATACTTTAAGTTTTAGGGTACATGTGCACAATGTGCAGGTTAGTTACATATGTATACATGTGCCATGTTGGTGTGCTGCACCCATTATCTCGTCATTTAACGTTAGGTATATCTCCTAAAGCTATCCCTCCCCACCCGCCACCCCACAACAGGCCCCGGTGTGTGATGTTCCCCTTCCTGTGTCCATGTGTTCTCATTGTTCAATTCCCACCTATGAGTGAGAACATGCGGTGTTTGGTTTTTCGTCCTTGCAATAGTTTGCTGAGAATGATGGTTTCCAATTTCATCCATGTCCCTACAAAGGACATGAACTCATCATTTTTTATGGCTGCATAGTATTCCATGGTGTATATGTGCCACATTTTCTTAATCCAGTCTATCATCGTTGGACATTTGGCTTGGTTCCAAGTGTTTGCTATTGTGAATAGTGCCACAATATAGTTCAACCATTGTGGAAGTCAATGTGGTGATTCCTCAGGGATCTAGAACTAGAAATACCATATATTAATCACCTCAGTTAGTTATTATTTCTGTGTGCATGTGTGTGTGCAGTGAAAATACTTAGGATCTACTCTCAGCTAATTTTAAGTGTACAATACAGTATTGTTACCTATAGCTTTCATTCCATACATTAGCTTTCCAGAATTATTCATTTCGGAGAATTGAAACTTTGTATCCTTTGACCAACATCTTATTTTTCCCATTTCCAGCCCCTGCTAACCACCATTCTACTCTCAGCTTCTATGAATTTCACTATTTAGATTCCACAATTATGTGAGATTATAAGATATTTATCTATTAAGAGTTGGATTCATTTCACTTAGCATAATGTCATTTGGGTCCAATCCTGCTATCACAAATGATCTGATTTTCTTCTTTTTCAAGACTGAATAAAACTTTATATTTATTATACTATGTTATCTTAATCCATTCCTCCATCAATGGGCATTTATGTCATTTATTTACCTCGGCTATTGTGAATACTGGTGCAGTGAATTCATCAGTGTGGATATATCTCTTCAAGATCTTGATTTGAGTTCTTTTGGATAATTATCCGGAAGTTGAAATCTGGTGTCTTATAGTTCAATTTTTAACATTTTGAGGAAATGTGATACCGTTTCTATAATGGATGGATCGGTTTCTGTTAACTTAAATCAGGGTATTGTCTTTCTCACTCAGACCGCTGCTGGAATCCTTGGAAATTCTTCACTCCTTTACTTTTTTAGCTTTACTTTTATCACTTCACAGATATTGAGACCCAGAGACCTGATTCTCAGCCAGCTGGTCTTAGCCAACAACCTGGTTCTTTTCTCTAAACGAATCCCCCAGACAATGGCAGCTTTTGGAATGAAATCCTTCCTGGACGAGGCTGGATGAAACTTGTCTTCTATCTATACACAGAGTGGCCAGAGGGGTTTCCCTCAGCACCGCCTGTCTCCCCAGTGGCTTCCAGGCCATGAAGCTTCAACCTCAGTATCTCTAGGAGGATGGAACTCCGAATTAGGTCCACAAAGTGCATTGTTTTCTGCTGCCCCCTCTGCTGGATCTTGCAAATTGTGGCATATACCCATATTGCAATGCATGTAACTGGCCCAATGAAGAGCAAAAACGTGAGTATGGAATAAATGTATAGGTACTCTCCTCACCCATTCTAGGATGATTGCTATTCTTAGCAAATGCAGTCATTTTCTCCCTTGTGGATGGTATGTCTTTGGCCCTCATGGACTACACCAGCAGCTCCATGATCCTCTTCTTATATAGACACAAGCAGACAGTCCAATGCATTCGCAGCCACGGCCTCTCCCCCTGAAAATCTCATGAAACTAGAGCCACACACACCATCCTCGTCCTGGTGAGCATGTTTGTCTCCTCTCATGGTCTAGCTGGTATTTTATCACTGTGGGTAACCTGGATTCAGAACCCAAGCCATTGGCTGAGAAGCATCTCTTTCCTGGTGTCTGCAGGATTCCCGACATTCAGCCCCTTTGGGTTCATTGTCAGTGATGCCCGCGTCTCACAGTTCTGCACTGTCTGCTGGACAAGGAAGACAAATGCTCCAAGTGTGGTCTCTGGGCTCTAAGTTCCCTCTAGACAATTGCGTCCTTTATTTAATCACTTCTCCCCACAATATCTGTTGGATCATACATTATGCCAGTTAATACGCAAGGACTTTGGGACTCAGTATTGAATAAAAATGATAATAACCATAGCCTCATATTGCTTCTTAGGCTCTCAAAAAATGAACGCAGTGTAAAAATTACCCAGATGTATGTCAGTTCCTCAGAAGATTAAACACAGAATTACCATATGACCCGGCAATTTCTGGGAAAATTAAAGCAAGGATTTAAAAGGATGCTCATATACTCATGTTCATAACAGCGTTATTCACATTAACAAAAAAGTAGAAAAAACCCAAAGATGGATAAATGGATAAACAAATGTTATAGAAACTAGGAAATACTGTTCAGTCTCTCAAAGAAATGAAATTGTGACTGACATACACTATAATATGGAGAGCCTTGAAGATATTATGCTAAGTGAAATAAGCCAGTCTCATAAAGGACAAATATTGCAAATATTGCTAAGATTCTATCTATATGAGCTACCTGTCAAACTCACAGACTCAGGAAGTAGAATCACGGTTAACAGAGGCTTGGGGGCCTGGAAACTGAGAGTTGGTGTTTACTGAATATAAAGCTTCAATTGGAAAGATAAAATACTTTGGGGATGGTGATGGCGATGGTTGCATAGCAATGTCAAACCACTTCACAATACTGCACTGTAGAGTTAGAAAGAGTAAATATGGTAAATTTTATTTCATTTGTTTTTTTTTTTACTATAATTTAAAATGAGAAAGAGTAGTAAAAACACACAAAAGAGAGGAGCTAACAGATAAAAAGTGCACTAAGTTAGCCAAGCCAGAGCTTTAAGAACCATTATCACTTCTCTCTCTCTTTCACCCCACAATCAACATTAATCAGGTCCAACCATGTGTTCTGCCTTCTTAGCACTGCTCACGTGTGTCCCCTCCTCTCTTATTTCCATGCACTCTGGCCCAGCTGGGCTTCTTCTCTCTTTGCCTGTGATTTGCTCTGTTGTCCTCCCTGGCTCAGACGTGCAGTCCCAGTCTCTCCTGATGCTTTGTCCCCACATTGAGGGCACTGCTGTTTCCCCACAGGCCACTCCTTTTTTTTTTTTTTTCTTGAGACAGAGTCTTACTCTGTCACCTAGGCTGGAGTGCAATGGCACGATCTCGGCTCACTGCAACCTCCACCTCCCAGGTTCAAGTGATTCTCCTGCCTCAGCCTCCTGAGTAGCTGGGATTACAGGTATACACCACCACACCCAGATAATTTTTTGTATTTTTTTTAGAGACAGGGTTTCACTGTGTTGGCCAGGCTGGTCTCGAACTCCTAACCTCGTAATCCTCCCACCTCAGCCTCCCAAAGTGCTGAACTCCTAATACACCCTCTGTCCTTTCCCACCTTGTCTGTGCCCTGGAGGCTGACTCTATGGATTGCATCATCAGTGTCTCCTTGCCTTTAGCGTCTGATTGAGTTCAACCATGGAGGCACTGTCAGGAGAGCAGAGGGTGAGAGGAGAGAGAGGCCGGGGAATCAATTCCCACACATATGCCCTGCCAGGCTGTGGTTTGTCAGCAACTGTGCTCCTCTACCCATGACATCAGCTCCCGCAAGGCACCTCCCATCTCCCACACAGGGCTCTCTCCACCCCTTGACCTCCCATCCTGGGAGTGGCAGTGGCTTCCTGGGGTGCTTCATCCCTCTCATTTGCCCACACCTTTATACACTTCTTTTTCTTTTTTCTTTTCTTTTTTTTTTTTTTTTTTTGACGGAGTCTCACTCTGTCACCAGGCTGGAGGGCAGTGGCACCATCTCAGCTCACTGCAAGCTCTGCCTCCCAGGTTCACGCCATTCTCCTGCCTCAGCCTCCAAAGTAGCTGGGATTACAGGCGCCCGGCTAATTTTTTGTATTTTTAGTAGAGACAGGGTTTCACCATGTTAGCCAGGATGGTTTTGATCTCCTGACCTTGTGATCCACCCGCCTGGGCCTCCCAAAGTGCTGGGATTACAGGCGTGAGCCACCGCGCCCGGCCTATACACTGCTTTTTCTATTTCCATTTTTATTTTAGAATTGGGGGTACATGTGTAGGTTTGTTACCAAGGAATATTGTGTGGCATTGAGGTTTGGAGTAAGACTGAGCCCCTCACCCAGGTAGGGAGCATGGTACCCAACAGGTAGTTTTTCAGCCCCATCCCCCTCCTCTCCACCCTCAGTGGTCCCCAGCGTCTACTGTTGCCATCTTTATGGGAAGATGTGTACCTAATATTTAGCTCCCACTTATAAGTGAGAATATGTGGTATTTGGTGTTCAGTTTCTACATTAGTTTACGTAAGATAATGGCCTCCAGCTGCATCCATGTTGCTGCAAAGGACATGAGTTCATTCTTTTTTATGGCTGTGTAGTCTTCCATGGTGTATATGGACCACATTTTCTTTATTTGGTTCACTGTTGATGGGCAACGAGGTTGATTCCATGTCTTTTCTATTGTCAATAGTGCTGCAATGATCATCCAAGTGTGTGTGTTCTTGACTAGAATGATTTATTTTCCCTGGATATATACCCAGTAATAGGACTCCTGGGTCAAATGGTAGTTCCATTCCTAGTTATTTGAGATATCCTCAAACTGCTCTCCACGGCGACTGTTAGTCCTAGCTCTTTGAGAAGCCAAGGTGGGAGGATTGCTTGAGGCCAGGAGTTTGGGGCCATTCGATTCTCTAACTACTACCCCTGCTGTATAGAAATGTCATTGATATGGATTTGTTTTTATTTTCTTATAAATCCTAATGGACTTTGAATTTTCTATTTAGAGAATCTTACTACCTACAAGTAATGAAAAAATCTCTCTAGCCCTCATATATCTTATTTTTAGTTTTTTACTTTTACTGATATTATTACATCAGTTAGGACACCTCAGTAGAAAATGGAATAAAAGTGGAAAGACCATTAAGCCTCGTTTTGTTCATATTTTAGTGGAAATTGATCTAAGCTTCATCATTAAATATAATATTTGCTATTGATTTGTTGCTGGGCATCCTTTAACATGTTTATGATGTTTCATTCTATTCCTAATTCATTAAGATTTTTTAAACCATAAATAAGTGCAGATTATAGTAATATTGAGCAAATATTTTCTTCTCACCTCCAATGGGCCACCCTCTAGACCCCCTACCCTCACCCTCATCTCCCCTACCTCACCGCGGGTCTCTGTCCTCAGACCCCTGCTGCAGGGGACCCCTGGAGGTGACATATGCTCAGCTGGACCACCAGGCCTTCACTTGGAGGACAGCCCAGGCTGTGTCCCCAGAGTCCATGGTGCCCATGGCTGAGTCTAGCATGTACACAGCCCTCGCCAGGCACTGACTCCGGGACCACTGCCCCCTGCGCCTGAGGAAGTCATGCTTGGAAAAGCCTCAAGAAGCCATCTGGAGGGCTTCCCCTTGGAATCATCCTGGTCTGCAAAACCAGTCAACTGTTCTGGAGATAAGAGGTAGAGCCCAAAGTTCTCTAGTCAGCATCTAGAAAGTTCATTAACCAGGTGATTCCTTCCACAACTGACCAGCACCTCAAAGAGGTGGCATTGCAGCTACTTCTAGAAACCCAGCTGCAATCACCTGGCTGTTTCCAGACACCTAGTTCCAGTCACCTGGTTGTTTCCAGTGATCCAGCTGCTGTCACTTCTCTGTTTCAAGACACCCAGCTCCAGTCTCCTGGCTGTTTGCTGAGTCTCAGCTATAGCCATCCCAGCTGATTCCATTAACAATGTTGCATCCCCCTGCAGTTTCCAAATGTCTTCTGTAAATCCCCCCAGCTGCCCCAGCAATCGTCTACTCAGCTGATCCTGAACATTCTCCTAGAGTTTAGTTGTTGACCTTGAGAATGAGCTATACATATGGATCTGAGAGCTGAGACCAGTCCTCTGGGTCATGCTTTACTTCATGCACCAATGAATAGTTTAAAGACCTCACATCTGGCAGTCCTGTGTCATGTTCTGGGGTGTATAGATCACTTGGACCCAATCTCTGCCTTCATGTTGTTCAAGGTTACATGGGGTTAACAAGAGCTACAAAGGAGGTGTCAGTATTTTTTTAAGGATTTCATTGGCAGTGATTGCATATATTCAAGATGCACAAGGTGATAATTTGATATACATATACATTGTGAAATAATAGCCACGGTCAAATGAATCAGCGCATCCATCACCAGCTACGCTGTACATAAGATCCCCTGAACTTGCTCATCTTAGGCCTCCAAGATGGAGCATATGATCAGGGATCAATTAAGGTGTCTGAGCGGATGCATGGATGGGTGAAGACAGAGAGCTAATCCCACTTATGCACTTACACACATATGCACATGTACTCACACATTCACACATGCACACACATGCACAAACCTGAACGCACTCACACATGTCAGGAGACCTCTGAATCCTCTGTGCGCTGGGACTTGGTTGTCTCCACCCCTCTTAGAAAGTTAGATGCTCTCCCTATTCAGATTAAAACGGAAAATTACTTGAGAACCACTAGGGGGAGACAGTACCTCATTTGAATTAATTTTTGTGCACATTTAAAATAAACAATAACACACTTACCATGGGCATGCCTTTGGCCGGATTGCAAAGGTAAACATATATCAAAGCATCTCATGGTACCCAATAAATATATACAATTATTATTTTTCAATTAAAATATCGTAATAAAATAACAGAAAAGAAACCTGCATACTTGTAACAGAGTGGATTTTTAAATGTCGTTTTATACAAGAAAAAGAATATTTTTTAAAAAACTCAACAATAACTCAATCAGCTTATCCTATGGAGCAATTACTAGTTGAATACTATGCAAACATCAACACATTCACTAGTCTTACATATGCCCCACAGCTTGTCCTATTTTTTCCCCACTTGTGGGGATTTTGATAGTTGTTGAGTATGTCTAATCCAATTATACATTCCAGAGCAAGGAATAAAGCCACAGGATGCATTTGGTGGCCAAGAAAATTCAACAGGAGACAAATCTGAGCTAAAGGTTCATTGACTACCTGACCTCCATAAGCTTCTAATCTGACTGGAGGGTCACCATGATGTTTTGGGTCTTCTGAAGTTAGTGTTAGCTCAGAGCCAGTGTCTAGTTGCACCCAAAATATCTGATCATTTCCTTTACCCAGTACACAGCTACCATGATAAAGGCCATAGGTCCATTTAAGGGAAGCTGAGATAAATATAATTGTTTAACTTTTTATAGTATATACCGGGGCAGCGCCTTCAAGGATACCTGGTCTTCCCTTTAATTCAAGGGGTTCTGGGTCTATAAACTGGTGAAATTCTAGTAATTGATTAAGAGACTGTAACTGTCTATTTTATGATTTTAATTAGATTCTTGTTCTCTTTGCCAAGAAATGTTCTGCTTATACAAATCAAGTAAGAATGAAGTAAGTTTCCTATCTATTTCACGTCTTAGAACGCTGCGGTCAACTAGACAACACTAAAGGGCTGCATGAGACAGTCTATTCTGATTACTGCCTTGATTCTGCTTTCCATTATGATCACCACACCCAGTTCTATGATAACCACACCCAATTCAACACACCAGATTCTCACCTTTGTCGACTGACTTCTGACACTTGAGTCCTGCCACTCTAGGATCCAACTACTCCCCTTACATTTAGGTTTCTCGGTTCAGTGGCAGCAGTTCCCACTGGAAGTTCTGGCCTCTCCTAATACACCCTCTGTCCTTTCCCACCTTGTCTCTGCCCTGGAGGCTGACTCTATGGATTGCATCACCAACATCTTCTTGTGTCTAGTGTCTGGTTGAGTTCAGCCATGGGAGGCACTGTCAGGAGAGCAGAGGGTGAGAGGAGAGAGAGGCCGGGGAATCTATTCCCACACGTACGCCCTGCCAGGCAATAAACTGTGCTCCTCTACCCATGACATAAGCTCCCACGAGGCACCTCCCATCTCCCAGCTCAGTCCTCAAGGTGACTTTCCAGAGACCTAGTTACATTCGGCTGTTACTAAAGAGTCAGCTACAGTCATCTAGCTGTTTCCAGTGACCACCCCCAATCCCCCATAGCTGCCTGCCTGTTTGCAGAGACCCAGCTACATGCACCTAGCTGTTTCTAGAGACCCGGCTACATCCACCTGGCTGTTTCCAGAGACCCGGCTACATCCACCTGGCTGTTTCCAGAGACCCGGCTACATCCACCTGACTGTTTCCAGAGACCCGGCTACATCCGCTGGCTGTTTCTAGAGACCCGGCTACATCCACCCAGCTGATTTCATTATCACTGACGCAGTCCCCAGCTGCTCCTATGTCTCCTGGAAATCCCCAATTGCCCCAGAGACTTTGTTGTAATTTTCTGTTCAGCTGACTCTAGGGATCTTCCTGGAGCTTAATTGCTGGCCTTAAGAATGGGCCATATTTATGCAACTGAGAGCAGAGCCCAGTTCTCTGGGCCATGCTTTCCTTTGTACATCAACAAATAATCCTAAAGACCTAAAGTCTGGCAATCCCACGCCAGGTCCTAGGGTGCACAGGTCACCTGCATCCAGTCTTTGCCTTCACAGTTATTCAAAGCTGAGCAGGGAAAAAGGAGAGCCACAGAGAAGTTCAGTGTTTTCCTTTTTATCTTTTTAAAAAATCCTTTTTTATCCTTAAAATGATTTAATCAACCAAGATTGTATATATTGAGGTGTACAACATGATGATTTGATATACGTATACATTGTGTAATGATTGCCACAATCAAATTAGCACACTCAGGACAACCAGTGCCCTAAATAGATCCCCTGGATTTGTACACGTTATGCCTTAAAGTTGGTGCCAGAGTTCCATTTATTTATTTTTATCCATATATAATAGTTGTATATAGGTTTGGGGTACTTATGATATTTTGATACTTGTATGCAATGGGTAATAATAAAATCAGGGTAATTAGAATATCCATCACCTCAAATATTTATCTTTTCTTTTTGTTGGGGAGCATTACAATTCTTTTATTCTAGTTGTTTTGAAATACACAATATATTATTGTTAACTATACTTCCCCTACTGTACTGTCAAATACTCAGTTATTTCTCCTATCCAGCTGTATTTCTATACTCCGTAACTAACATCTCCTTATCTCCCACCCTTTCCAGCTCTAGTAACCACCAGTCTACACATTTTTTTTTTTTGAGACAGAGTCTTGCTGTGTCACCCAGGATGGAATGCAGTGGCGTGATCTTGGCTCACTGCAACCTTTGCCTCCTGGGTTCAAGAGATTCGCCTGCCTCAGCCTCCTGAGTAGCTGGGATTACAGATGCATGCCACCACGCCAGGCTAAAGACAGGGTTTCACCATGTTGGCCAGGATGGTCTCGAACTCTTGACCTCAAGTGATCCACCCGCCTCAGCCTCCCAAAGTGCTGGGATTACAGGCATGAGCCACCACGCCCGGCCTTTTTTTTTTCTTTTGAGACAAGGTATTGCTCTGTTGCCCAAGCTGGAATGCAGTGACACAATCATGGCTCACTGCAGCCTCAACCCTCCAGGGCTCAAGCGATCCTCCTGCCTCAGACTCCCGAGTAGCTAGGACCACAGTGCACACCACCACGCCCAACTAATTTTTGTATGTTTCGTAGAGAAGGGGTTTTGCCACATTGGCCAGGCTGGTCTGGAACTCCTGACCTCAAGTGAACCACCTGCCTTGGCCTCCCAAATCACTGGGATTACAGGCACAAGCCACCACACCTGGCCAACCAGTCTACTCTCTCTGTTTAGGAATCCACTTCTTTAGCTCCCACGTATGAGTGAGAACATTCGAGATTTGTCTTTCTGTTCCTGGCTTATTTCACTGACCATAATGACCTCCAGTTCCAACTATGTTGCTGTAAATGTCAGGATTTCATTCTTTTTTATGGATGACCCCTCTTCCATTGTGTATACATACCACATTTTCTTTACCCTTTTATCCACTGATGGACACTTAGGTTGATTCCGTATGCTGACTTGTGAAGAGTGCTGCAATAAACACACGGGTGCAGGGACTCTTGTGATGTCCTGAGATTTTTTTCCTTTGCATGAATATTCAGTAGTGAACTCACTGGATTTTACGATAATTGCAGTTTCAGTATCTTGAGGAATCTCCGTGTTTTTTTTTTTTTTCTTTTTTTGAGACAGAGTCTCACTGTCGCCCAGGCTGGAGTGCAGTGGCGTGATCTCGGCTCACTGTAGGCTCTGCCCCTCGGGGTTCACACCATTCTCCTGCCTCAGCCTCCCGAGTAGCTGGGACTACAGGTGCCTGCCACCTCGCCTGGCTAATTTTTTGTATTTTTAGTAGAGACAGGGTTTCACCCTGTTGGCCAGGATGGTCTTGATCTCCTGACCTCGTGATCCGCCCGCCTCGGCCTCCCAAAGTGCTGGGATTACAGGTGTGAGCCACCGCGCCCGGCCGGAATCTCCATGTTTTCCATAATGGCTGTACTAATTTATATTCCCACCAACAGTGTCTAAGAGTTATTTTGTCAGCACATCCTCACCAGCATGTTTTTATTTTATTTTATTGATCTATTTATTTATTTGTTTGTTTGTTTAGATGGAGTCTCACTCTGTCGCCCAGGCTGGAGTGCAGTGGTGCCATCTCAGCTCACTGCAACCTCCAGCTCCTGGGTGCAAGCGATTCTCTTCCCTCAGCCTCCCGAGTAGCAGGAGCCTCCTGATTACAGGCGGGCGCCACCACGCCCGGCTAATTTTTGTCTTTTTAGTAGAGACGGGGTTTCAACATGTTGGCCAGGCTGGTCTCAAACTCCTGACCTCGTGATCCGCCTGCCTCGGCCTCCCAAAGTGCTGAGATTACAGGCGTGAACCACTGTGCCCAGCCCAGCATGTTTTTATATGTTTCTTTGATAATAGACATTTTAACTGAAATAAGATGATACTCATTGTAGTTTCGATTTGATGCCAGTGATGATTGTGGGTTTTTGTTTGTTTGTTTGTGTTTTGAGATGAAGTCTCGCTCTGTCACCCAGATTGGAGTGCAGTAGTGTGATCTTGGCTCACTGCAACCTCTGCCTACTGGGTTCAAGTGAGCCTCCTGCCTCAGCCTCCTCAGTAGATGGGACTACAGGTGTATGCCACCACGCCCAGCTGTTTTTTTTTCTTTTTTTGTATTTTTGGTAGAGATGAGGTTTCACCATGTTGCCCAGGCTGGTCTCAAACTCCTGGGTTCAAGTGATCCACCTGCTTTGGCCTCCCAAAGTGCTGGGATTACAGGTGTGAGCCACCGCGCTTGGCCGATGATTAGTGTTTTATATAGCTGTTGGCCATCTGTACATTTTCTTTTGAGAAGCAACTATTCAGATGCTTTGCATACTTGTTAATGGAATTATCTGGGGATTTTTTGTTGAGGTGTGTTTCTTCTAGGCCTAATTTGTTGATAGTTTTAATGATGAAGGGATGTTGAATTTTGTCAAATGTTTTTTTAACATCTATTGTGATGATCATATAATTTTTTTTTTTTTTTTTAGACAGAGGGTCTCTCCTTCACCCAGGCAGGAGTGCAGTGGCGCGATCTTGGCTCACTGCAACTTCCACCTCCTGGGTTCAAGAGATTCTCCTGTCTCAGCCTCCCGAGTAGCTGGACTACCGGTGCACACCACCACACCCAGTTAATATTTTGCATTTTTGAGAGAGATGGGGTTTCATCATGTTGGCCAGGCTGATCTCGATCTCCTGACCTCAAGTGATCCACCCATCTCAATCTCCCAAAGTGCTGGGATTGCAGGCATGAACCACCGCGCCTGCCCATGATTATATGTTTTTTGTTCTTCCTTCTGTTGACATGAGATATCATATCTATTGATTTGAGAATGTTGAAATATCCTCCCTTCTGGCTGCTGTGTGGACTGCGAGCTCTCCTACCCTCCATGGTCTTCCAATCCCACTGTCCCCAGGCCAACTGCTCCCAGACTATGCAGTAGTCTCATGTGCATGGAGCAGTTGCAATTGATCCTGGTGGTGACAGAGGGGTTGGTGTTTCAGGCATGGCACAGTCAGAGGAGGTCCCAAGGAGAGACCAAGAGGTAAACTTAAGTAGAGCTGCACCCCTTCCTTGGCATCTGTAGAACCCTGGATAAAATCAAATACGCCAACCCAAATGCCCATCAATGATAGACTGGATAAAGAAAATGTGGCACATATACACCATGGAATACTATGCAGCCACAAAAAAGGATGAGTTCATGTCCTTTGCAGGGACACAGATGAAGCTGAAAACCATCATTCTCTGCAAACTAACACGAGAACAGAAAACCAAACATCACGTGTCCTCACTCATAGGTGGGAGTTGAGCAATGAGAACACATGGACACGAAGAGGGGAAAATCACACACCGGCACCTGTCACGGGCTGGGGGGCTGGGGGAGGGATAGCATTAGAAGAAATACCTAATATAGACAACAGGTTGATGGGTGCAGCAAAATACCATGGCACGTGTATACCTATGTAACAAACCTGCACGTTCTGCACATGTATCCCAGAACTTGAAGTATAATAATAAAAAAAAAGAAAACGAAACAATGAAACATGGGTTCTTATGAATCACAGAACACCCGTGACCCCAAGTTAAGATGGAAATTTATGATTCATTCCAACTAGGTCCTGTTTTCAGTATCTCACAAAAGCTTGACTCTAGAGTGAAATATACTTGGAAATGAATGAACGACTCTTGTGGTCTTTTTACTTCTTGTAAGGCTTTAGGATCCACCCGTTTGAATACCTATGACCAGGACCTCCTGCAATGCTTCTCTCTCCACCTCCAGGCATCCCTTCATTCAGATAATACCAATTCATCATCACCATCTGACCTCTCCTTCAGCTTCTTCACCACCCTCCATCTCAATTGCTTTCTGTTTTTCTTCTTTATTTTTTGAACTTCAACTTTTATTTTAGATACGAGGATACATGCTCAGGTTTGCTACATGGAACTATTGCACCCAGGTGGTGAGTGCAGGACCCAGTGGGTATTTCTTTTATCCTGTCCTATTGCGTTAAATCTTTCCTTCCCGGGACTGGTCCTATCTCTAAACTTTTTGCGTAGTGATTTTATCAACTTAATTTTTGCTAGGATGCTAGATTTTCTAGGAGGGGAGGTAATTTGAAATGAAGTCTGGGTTACTGTGAATCCAGTATATCTGCTTTGCTCGCCTTTATCTCTTGTGTCCTGGGATGGCCACAGGTTGACATGTTTAAATGTTTCTTAAGTGAGGATGGATAAGATTTACTGAGTGGTGAGTGCACGAATACAAAAGCAAAATGAGGCCGGGCGCGGTGGCTCACGCCTGTAATCCCAGCACTTTGGGAGGCCAAGGCGGGCAGATCACCTGAGGTCAGGAGTTCGAAACCAGCCTGGCCAACATGGTGAAACCCCATCTCTACTAAAAATACAAAAGTTAGCCGGGTGTGGTGGCAGCTGCCTGTAATCTCAGCTCTCAGCTACTCGGGAGGCTGAGTTAGGAGAATTGTTTGAACCCAGGAGGCCGAGGTTGCAGTAAGCCAAGATTGCACCACTGCACTCCAGCCTGGATGACAGAGTGTCACCCTGTCACAAAAAAAAAAAAAAAAAAGAAGCAAAATACAAGAAGTCCAGGACTGGTAAAGGCAAGGCATGTTGAGCGGTTAGAAAAGGGGTGATGACATCGAAAAACCTCCTGGCATTTCCCAGTCCTTGCCTAGCACAGGTTACTCTGAAAGCAGGACTTAAGACAAGGATATGAGCGCAGGTAACTGATTTGGGAACCAAGTTTAAGGGAATAGGGTTCCCTTATGAAAGAGAGAAGGAGAGGAATTCCTGAAATCAGCATGCATTGCGGACACCACTACAGCAGGTAATATGGACAGGTCCACACCAGGATCTCTGATAATGTGCAGACCATCATCCAGAACTTCCCGCCAAAACAGGAGATACTCGCCAATATGTGTATGGCTTTCTAGCCCCCATTTCTGGGAGTTTCTTTTTCCCCAGCCACTGTCAGACGCATCAAGCTTTGGCTGAAATAGCTTCCAATAAGGTCCTTACACACAAATGTGGAGAGACACATGGAAATCCTCGAAATGAGATACTGTCCCGTGATTCTGAGAGTGACCCAAAAGGATACGGAATGAGGTACTAAAAGCAGGTGCTTGGAAACCTGAGGGCAGTGGTGTTCATGCGTTTCCCGGCACTTTGACTTTCAGCCTCCTGCAAGCCTCTCCTTCTTTGCCTTCCTGACCGTTAGATACAATTAATTTGGGGTTTGTTTTTTCTGCTTCCTCTTTCCCCTCCCACCCTATGTTTCAGTTCTAAAGTTAGAAGGTCCTCTCATCCTTTTAAGAAGAACAGAGACAGAAAATGGTTAGTCACCATCTAGGACAGACTACAATTCCAGATCATTGCAGGACGTGCCCACTCAAATGGATGATTATTGAGAGCTGGCCACCTGAAGTGTTTTACACAGGCAGTGATCTAAGGGTTGAAGCTATCTGGCCTTTTTGCTTGCTTGTTATGTATTTATGGCTTTTTTCCTTTTCAAAATAATTTTACTAAATATTTAATTCACCAACTATATATATTTATGGGGTACAATGTGTTATAAATGTATACACTGTGGAATGATGGAATCAAGACAGTTAACATGTCCATCACTCCGCATACTAACATCTGTGAAAACATTTAAAATCTATGCTTGGCTGGGCGTGGTGGCTCATGCCTGTAACCCCAGCAACTTTGAGAGGCTGAGATGGGCGGATCACCAGAGGTCAGGAGTTCGAGACCGGCCTGGCCAACATGGTGAAACCCCATCTCTATTAAAAATACAAAAATTAGCTGTGAGTGGTGGCGGGTGCCTGTAATCCCAGCTACACAGGAGGCTAAAGCAGGAGAGTCTCCTGAACCCAGGAGGCGGAGGTTGCAGTGAGCTGAGATCACACCACAGCACTCTAGCCTGGGCGACAGAGTGAGACTGCATCTCAGAAAAGAAAAAATATATATATATATTTTGGAGCTACATCGTGCTAGCGCTGCAGAGAATGAGTTTTGTTTTGCGACACAGTTTTTAGATGTCTACCGGGCTCTGGTGGAGATGGAATGTTTGGCCTCAAGTGGGCAGGTCCCATGGGACATGAGTAGCCGACCATGACCTGGCTGCGTACTGGCCCACCAAGCATTCGACTGGCGTGCCCAGCCACTCTCCGTCATCGCAGAGAAGTGCTCTATGTGAGATTTGGTTAAAGGAGTCCCTGAAGGCCTGTGGGAGGCAGAATAGTGACCTCCCAGAGATGTCCACCTCCTGAGGCCCAGACCCTGTGAGTTGGGGAAGCTTATGTGGCAAAAGGGACTTTGCAGATGTGATTAAGTCAAGGATCTTGGGTTGGGGAGATTACCCAGGTGGGCCTGATGTAATCACAAGGGGCTGAGTAAGTGAAAGAGGAAGACAGGAGGGTCAGAGTGAGAGAAGGAGGTGAGTGCATGGAAGCAGGGGGCAGATAACGGGACTGGTGGCTTTGAGGTTGGAGGGAATGGAGAGGCAGGAATGCGGGAGCCTGCAGAGGCTTGAACAGGCGAGGGAACAGATTCTCCTTGGAGCCTCCAGGAGGACACGGCTCTGATAGCAGCTTCATTTTAGCCCAGGGAGACCCATTTTGGACTTGTGACCTCCGGGACGGTAAGTCAATAAACCTACATTATGTGAAGCCACTAAGCTTGTGGTGATTTGTTATGGCAGCAAAAGGAAGCTTTATGGTTCATCTGTACCCTGAAAATGCAGGTTTTTGGTTTTTTTTTTTTTTCACTTGTTCAATGATGTACCCCCAGTGTCAGGCGCTTTGCAAACACACGATACATACGGGTTGATGTTTGGTCAAGAGAGGAATTAAGACCAGGCAGACAGCAGGCTGGGATCAGAGAGACCCCATTTCTGTCTGAAATGTCTGCAGAGAACCTGGTGCCTGCCTCAGCCCTAGCTCTGGGGAAATGAAAGCCAGGCTGGGGTTCAAATGAGGGCAGTTTCCCTTCCTGTGGGCTGCTGATGGAACAACCCCATGACGAGAAGGACCCAGCCTCCAAGCGGCCACACCCTGTGTGTCTCTTTGTCCTGCCGGCACTGAGGACTCATCCATCTGCACAGCTGGGGCCCCTGGGAGGAGACGCCATGATCCCCACCTTCACGGCTCTGCTCTGCCTCGGTGAGATTTAAAGAGGGGGAGGGGAGACCCGAGTCTTGGAGGAAATTTGCCTCACAGCCAGGCCCTGGTTCTTTAGGAGACTCAAAAATCTCAGGGTAGCCGGGCGCGGTGGCTCACGCCTGTAATCCCAGCACTTTGGGAGGCCGAGGCGGGCGGATCACGAGGTCAGGAGATCGAGACCATCCTGGCTAACACGGTGAAACCCTGTCTCTACTAAAAATACAAAAAATTAGCCGGGGGTGGTTGCAGGCGCCTGTGGTCCCAGCCACTCGGGAGGCTGAGGCAGGAGAATGGCGTGAACCCGGGAGGCGGAGCTTGCAGTGAGCCAAGATCGCACCACCGCACTCCAGCCTGGGTGACAGCGAGACTCCGTCTCAAAAAAAAAAAAAAAAAAAAATCTCAGGGTAAAGAGAGGACCTGCTCAGGCTTCCGGGGCAAATCCCTCACAGGGAACTCTCTTCCAGGGCTGAGTCTGGGCCCCAGGACCCACATGCAGGCAGGTGAGTCTGTCCCCAGCTGTCCCAGGTCCCTCCTCCTCACTGGGACAAGGGGCCACCCATGGGCAGCTGGGGGAGGAGACAGCAGTTCTGGGTGACTGATGAGGATGACGGGGGGGTCCTGGGGCTGAGAGCTGGGATCTGAGGGCTGAGGAAGGTCTTGGGATCCAGCCTCTGATTTTCTTCCAGGGCCCCTCCCCAAACCCACCCTCTGGGCTGAGCCAGGCTCTGTGATCAGCTGGGGGAACTCTGTGACCATCTGGTGTCAGGGGACCCTGGAGGCTCGGGAGTACCGTCTGGATAAAGAGGAAAGCCCAGCACCCTGGGACAGACAGAACCCACTGGAGCCCAAGAACAAGGCCAGATTCTCCATCCCATCCATGACAGAGGACTATGCAGGGAGATACCGCTGTTACTATCGCAGCCCTGTAGGCTGGTCACAGCCCAGTGACCCCCTGGAGCTGGTGATGACAGGTGAGAGGACACTCAGGGGTCCCAGCCCCAGGCTCTGCCCTCAGGAAGGGGGTCAGCTCTCAGGGGCATCTCCCTCTCACAGCCCAGCCCTGGGGATGATGTGGGAGGTGGGAGCCCCATTTAACACGGTGCCTCCTTCTCTCCTAGGAGCCTACAGTAAACCCACCCTTTCAGCCCTGCCGAGTCCTCTTGTGACCTCAGGAAAGAGCGTGACCCTGCTGTGTCAGTCACGGAGCCCAATGGACACTTTTCTTCTGATCAAGGAGCGGGCAGCCCATCCCCTACTGCATCTGAGATCAGAGCACGGAGCTCAGCAGCACCAGGCTGAATTCCCCATGAGTCCTGTGACCTCAGTGCACGGGGGGACCTACAGGTGCTTCAGCTCACACGGCTTCTCCCACTACCTGCTGTCACACCCCAGTGACCCCCTGGAGCTCATAGTCTCAGGTGAGGCTCCTGACCCTGTCCTCTCTGAGCTCAGTGGCTCCGTTCATGCCCTGCTGCCAGGAGAGCTCTGGGCAGGGATGGAGGGAGAGGGGCTCAGCCAGTGGGGGACTCAGCCCTCAGAGGGGAGGAGGACAACAGGGGCCCTCCCAGGCATGCCCATGCTCTTCTCCCTCACCTAGGGTCCAGAAGGTGCCAGGTGGACAGAGAAATGGTCCTTGGGAAGCTGCAGGGCAGATATAGGGAGAGGTTCAATTTGATGTGGAGACCCAAGGGCAACCCCAGACTCTCACCCTCCTCTTGTCCTTCTACCCAGGATCCTTGGAGGGTCCCAGGCCCTCACCCACAAGGTCCGTCTCAACAGCTGGTGAGTCTCAGAGGCCTCTGTCCAGAGAGTTTCCAAAGCCCGAGGCCTGTCTCAAGACATGCTCAGTGGATCTAAGTCCTCGTTCCAATTCTCAGCTGGGCTTGCTTCCACGGGTGTGGGAGTCGGGCAGCGACTTGGGAGGCACCACAGGCTCCCAAGGCCCTGAGGCTGGGCTGGTGAGGGGTGAGGGGGTCAAGGCTGAAGGAGATGTTGCGGGGAGAAGCCGAGCTGATGTGGGGAGCAGGGCAGCCCCAGCCCTCACATCCCTGTTCTAACCCAGCAGGCCCTGAGGACCAGCCCCTCATGCCTACAGGGTCAGTCCCCCACAGTGGTGAGTGAGGGGCTCTGAGTGGGAGGTGGGCAGGGTCTAGGGGAGCCAAGGGTGGGTTCTGTCCTAGGTTAAGGCTCCTCTGGAGGTGGTGATGTGGACAGGCCCCTCCCCTGCATGGGCCTCAGTTTCTCCAAGTGTAAAGGAGAGAGGCCTGCGGGTGGGAAAGTTCCTTTCAGCTCTGACTCCCAGCTGTGCCCTCCTGGGAGAGGAGGCCTCCCAGGGAACCTCCCAGACCCGATTCCGCAGGGGCCTGTCCGGTCCCACCTGCAGCAGAGACGGTGACCTGGGGCAGGGGAGGGGAGCAGGGCGGTGGTTCAAGACAGTCAGGCTCTTTCCCTGCAACTCTGGGGCTTGGCTCTGGTGCAGGAACAAGGGCTGCAGCTCAGACTCCCGGGTTTCCTTCCCAGCTCTGCCGCTTCCTGGCTGGAGGGGTCTGGGGCAGGCGATTCCCCTCTCTGAGCCTCAGTTTGTGCATCTGTGAAATGGGTGGAGAGAGGGTGGCAATCTCAGGTTGCACAACTGCTGTGAGGGTTGGAGGTAATGAAAGAAAGACCCAGCACACACAGTAGGTGCACACACAGTAGGTGTGCACATCAATGACATCATCCCCATTCCTGATGTCATCACGCCCAAGGTCTGAGAAGGCACTGGGAGGTACTGATCGGGGTCTTGGTGGTCTCCATCCTGCTTCTCTCCCTCCTCCTCTTCCTCCTCCTCCAACACTGGCGTCAGGGAAAACACAGGACATTGGGTAAGTAGGAAATTGGGGGACCCGTGGGCTGATGGAGGGTGGGCTCAGGGCACCAGCCAAAGGGACTCCAGATAGGAGAGGTCATCTTAGAAACTCTGCTCCAGAAATTCCCAGTGAGAAAATCTAGAAAGAAGAAAATGAATGAGGGAGTAATGGAAGTGCTTTATTCTTTCGGTTTTTCTAAACTTAGAAAGTATTTAAAACATCCTTGCAAGTGTATTTTCAGGTTTCCTTTCCTCTTGACTTGCATGTGCAAGGCAGGTGGTTCTAACGTTCCCAGAGCTGAGACTCTGTCCATCTTCCCCCAGCCCAGAGACAGGCTGATTTCCAACGTCCTCCAGGGGCTGCCGAGCCAGAGCCCAAGGACGGGGGCCTACAGAGGAGGTAATTCTGCCCAAAGACCTCAGACTCCCACCCATCCCAACAGCCACCTCACTGTCCCCTTACACTCCCGTATCCTCCCCCAGGTCCAGCCCAGCTGCTGACGTCCAGGGAGAAAACTTCTGTGAGTGAGAGGCAGAGAAGGTGCACCTGGGGTGGAGCTGGGGGTCCCAAAATTTCAATAGCAATGGGGGCAGGAGCACAGGCTAGGATTGGTCAGGGACTCAGGGAGAAGTGGTCTGAACCCACATTGTGGGACCTCGGGGACATCACAGCCCCTCCCTGCGTTGCAGTGGCACTAATGGGAACAGGGCAGGGACCAGCAGGAATGAGAGGTCCCAGGGAACCTTCCCAGGAGATGAACCCCTTGCTCTACCCCAGCAGGTGCTGCCGTGAAGAACACACAGCCTGAGGACGGGGTGGAAATGGACACTCGGGTGAGAACCCGCCCCTGTCCCCGGCACCAAAGGCCTCCTGGTGCCAGATCTAATCCTGCAGGACTTCTCTGTCCTCCTTCCCCCGGCTCTCAGCATCGTCACGGTGGACCCCTCCTTGTCCAGCACGCTGCCTCCTGCCTGCTGGGACCTCACTCTCTCCTGCTGTCCTGGGACCTCATGGGCCTCCTCCCGGGTCCCCTTCCTGCTCCTCATCCTCTGTTTGGCCATCTGGTTGTTAGAGAGCTCCCCAGGCCTCAGGAGGATGACGAATAAATGAACCACTCCAGTCCCCTGGGCTCCCCTTCATTCATTCATCTAGTGAGTGTTCCCAGGGAGCTCACTGTGGATGGGGCTCCCCATGGGAGCTGCAGACACAGCAGGGAGCAAAGCCGCCCCCGCCTCCTGAGCTCACCTCGTGGTGGGAGACAAAATGCAAATAAATGCATCGTGTCCAGGAGTGCAACGTGCTGTAAGGAACATAAACCAGGTAAAGGGCAGAGAGTGTGGGGCAGTGGGGCCAGTCTGAATGGAAAGGGAGGGCTGTCTGCTCAGCTGTCATCTGAGAAGCCTGGACGGAGAGGGCCACGTGATCCTCTAATGGACGAGCCCCTGCAGGCAGAGGAAACAGCCGTGCAAAGGCCCCGAGGCAGCAGCGAGCTCTTGCAGGAAGGCCGCGTGAGGCTGCAGCCAAATGGGCAAGGTCAGAGTGAGGAGCAGAGACCAGAACCACAGGGAGGGAGCGGCCAGACCCTCCACGGCCTTAGGGCATCCCTGAGATTCCGTCAGGAAAGGGATGTAATCGGATCACCCTGGGAACAGTGGGGAAAATTGACTCCAGGGAGTCAGGAGGATTCAAGGACACCCCCCACCACTGTCTCTCTCCAGCAGAGCCCACACGATGAAGACCCCCAGGCAGTGACGTATGCCAAGGTGAAACACTCCAGACCTAGGAGAGAAATGGCCTCTCCTCCCTCCCCACTGTCTGGGGAATTCCTGGACACAAAGGACAGACAGGCAGAAGAGGACAGACAGATGGACACTGAGGTGAGTCCTTTCCTCTCCAGGCCCCCAGGCCTCCCCCACCCCCACCACGTTCCTTCCCTCTCACTCTCCCCCGCTGCAGGCTGCTGCATCTGAAGCCCCCCAGGATGTGACCTACGCCCGGCTGCACAGCTTTACCCTCAGACAGAAGGCAACTGAGCCTCCTCCATCCCAGGAAGGGGCCTCTCCAGCTGAGCCCAGTGTCTATGCCACTCTGGCCATCCACTAATCCAGGGGGGACCCAGACCCCACAAGCCATGGAGACTCAGGACCCCAGAAGGCATGGAAGCTGCCTCCAGTAGACATCACTGAACCCCAGCCAGCCCAGACCCCTGACACAGACCACTAGAAGATTCCGGGAACGTTGGGAGTCACCTGATTCTGCAAAGATAAATAATATCCCTGCATTATCAAAATAAAGTAGCAGACCTCTCAATTCACAATGAGTTAACTGATAAAACAAAACAGAAGTCAGACAATGTTTTAAATTGAATGATCATGTAAATATTACACATCAAACCAATGACATGGGAAAATGGGAGCTTCTAATGAGGACAAACAAAAAATAGAGAAAAATTAATAAAGTCAAAATGTTTATTCTTGAAAACATTAATGATACATGAATCTTGGCCACAATGAGAAAAATAAAAATGAAAAAAGAGCAGGCATCCATTTCCATACAGGAACAAAATAGGAGGCAGCACTACAGACCCTACACACAGCTTTACAGAGGTGAAAGAAAACTGTCAGCAATTCTATGCTGACATAACAGAAAATGTAGATGAGATAGATGAAATACGAAAAATTACAGTTTACTTAATGAACATAAGGATAAATAGAAAAACTGAATCATCATACATAAACATATATAAAATGCATTGATCCTGTAATCAAAAATGTTCCCACAAAGTAAATGCCACTTCAGCAAGGTTTGTTGGTGGTTTTTTCAAACTCTTATGCACTCATGAAACACACAGACACACACACACACAAACTTGCATAAATTTTCCCTGAGAATATTTTGTATATATTTACACAAATACATTTGATCAGACTAGGAACAAGTTGATACCAAAACCTGAAAAGGAAACTACAGAATGGGAAAGTCATAGAAGATCTCTCACAGAAATATAAATCCCTTAACAAATATTAACAAGTAAGATTCATGTCTCTATAAAATAGACAGTATATCATGACCACACTGGTTTTTTGTTATCCTTTGATTTTGTTTATGAAAAGCAAGGATAGCTTAATTTTCAAAAACTCAATCAATGTAATTCAGTATTTTAACAAAAGGAATGAAAAATTATCATCTCAATAGACAAAGCTTTTGTCTGAGCACCTTTTCATATAGCTGCTGACCATTTGTATGTCTTCTTTTGAGAAATGCCTGTTCAGCTACTTTGCCCATGTTTCAAGTAGTTTTTGGTTTCTTGCTGTTGCTTTGTTTTAGTTCCTTACATATTTTTGCATATTAACCCTTTATCAGGTATACAGCTTGCAACTATTTTCTCCCATTTCTGAGTTGTCTCTTCATTCTGTTTGCAGAAGCTGTTTAGAAGCCACACCTTTTGTCTATTTTTGCTTTTGTTGCTTGTGTTTTCAGGGCCATATCCAAAAAAACCTTGCCCGGACCAACGTCTTGAAGCTTTTCTCCCACCCATTTTTGTATATGGGATAAGGGTTCAATTTCATTCTTCTTCATATGAATATCCCCAGGATGTGTCCTATGCCCAGCTGCACAGCTTACCCTCAAACAGAAAATAATGAAGCCTTCTTCCTCCCAGGAAAGGGGACGTTCAGCTGAGCCGAGTGTGTATACTGCTCTGGCCATCCACTAGCCCAGGGAGGACCCAGACCTCCACACTCCATGGAGACTCAGTTCTCCTAGGACCATTTATTCAAAAGGACTGCCCTCTCTTGTTCTTGGAAACTTTGTTGAGGATCAATTCACCATAAATATGTGTGTTTCCTTCTTTGCTTTCATCCCTGTTGCACTGATCACTGTACCTGTTTCTATTCCAGTTCCATGATGTCTTCCTGGCTGTAGCTTTGTAGGATATTTGGGGATTCCATAGTGTGATATCCCCTTCTTCCCTTTGCTCAAGATTGTTTTGGCTATTTGGGGTCCTTTTGTAGTCCCATTCAAATTTTAGGATTGTTTTTCTATTTCTGTGGAAAACGACCTTGGAATTTTGTTAGGAATTGCATTGAGTCTGCAGGTATGAACTTTTTTTTAAAGTTCCAGGGCACATGTACAGGACCTGCAGCTTTGTTACATAGGTAGGCTTGTGCCATGGTGGTTTGCTGCACCTATCAACCCATTACCTAGTTATTAAGCCCAGCATGCATTAGCTCTTTTTCCTGATGCTCTCCCTCCCTTCATCATCCGCCCTCCCACTACAAGCCCCAGTGTGTGTTGTTCCCCTCCCTGTGTCCATGTGTTCTCATTGTTATACGAACATTTTAACAATGTTAATTCTTGCAGACCATGAACATAAGCTACCTTCCCATTTATATGCGTCTTGTTCAATTTCATTCATCAATGTTATAAAGATTTTAGTGCAGAGATATTAAACCTCCTTGGTTAAATTTAATTCTAAGTAATTTTTTAGCTATTATAAGTGTAATTTTTCTTTCGATTTCTTTCTGGATAGTTTGTTTTTAGTATATAGAGATGCTACCAATTTCTGCATGTTGATTTTGTATCCTGCAACTCTACTAAATTCGTGGATCAGTTCTAAAAGTTGTTTGGTTGAGTCTTTAGAGATTTTTATATATAAAATCATGTCAGCAAACAGAGACAATATCACTTTTTATCTGATTTGGGTGCTTTTGTGTATTTTTATTGCCTAATTGCTGTGTCTAGGACTTCTATTACTATGCTGAATAGAAGAAGTGAGAGCATATACTTTTGAGCAAGGATTCTTCCATCCTCCTCCTACAGAAAGGGCAGGTTCTAATTGCACTCTGGCTGAACTATTAGCACTTCTCATGCACTTGTGTGCTCAGCCCTCAGTCAGCCTCATTGGAAAGGGTCCAACTGAGGAAGGCACCAGATGTATTTGCTGCTAAGTCCTGGCCACAGACAGTGGATGACAGATGATTATTTAAATAAAGATTAGCTTTCCTTTCAAAGTTGGAGTGCTAACCCACCCAATGTCCCTAAGGCTTCAGGGCAGGACCATGGAAAGAGGAGGAGGAAGGTTCTGAGAACTAGACAAGGGGCACTGAGGAGGCAGAAATGAATCAAGTGCTGTATCCAGGGAGATGTGGAGGAGACTGTTAGAAAATAGTAACAAAAAAAGGGAAGCCCAAGCAGAGAATTGTTTGGTAGAAAGAATACCCACGACCCAGGGTCAGTGGAGGAGTTATGTTTTCTTCCCCTATTTCCCTGCATTTCTGCACTATGCACAGTGATATCGCTGTCACTTTCTCAGCCCTGCAGGCTTGTCAGAACCCAGTGACCGCCTGGAACTGGTGGTGACAGATGAGAGGACACTCAGGGATCCCAGCCCCAGGCACTGCATTCAGGAAGGGGTTCAGCTCTCAGGGGGTGTCTCCCTTCTCACAGCCCAGCCCTGGGGTATGATGTGGAAGGTGTGAGCCCCATTTAACATGGTGCTTCCTTCTGTCCTAGGATTCTACAGCAAATCCACCCTCTCAGCTCAGCCCAGCCCTGTCCTGACCTCAGGAGGTAAGGTGACACCATTATGTCCTTCACGGCTGGGATTTGACAGGTTCATTCTGACCGTGGAAGGTGAACACAAGCTATTCTGTCTCCTGGACCCCGAAAAACAGTCCGATGGACAGTTCCAAGCCCTGATCCTGGCAGACCCCATGACTTCTAGCCACAGGTGGAGGTTTACCAGTCTGGTTTAGCAGACTTTAGCACCTGAGACCAAGAGCTCCAGCAGCTCACTAGATTCTGACCATACCTGGAGGCAACCTGGTGAAAGAAGAGGCTTGGAAGGAACCAGCCCTCTGAGTCCCAGCTCCTCGCACACTCCAGGTGTGCCTAGGGAGCCCTCCCATTTGACTCCACAGGGTCCTGTCATGGCCCATGGAGAGAGGTTGACCCTCCTGTGTTGCTCTGATGTTGGCTGCAAAATATTCTCTCTGTCCAAGAAAAAGATACATCACCTTCCCCAGAGTTCTGGCCAGAAGTTCTCCCAAGATGACTTCCCCTTAGGCCCTGTGAGCATCTCCCATGGGGGCCAGTACAGATGTTCAGTGGACACAACCTCTCCTCTAGGTGGTCAGCCCCCAGTGACCCCCCTGGACATCCTGATCGCAGGTGAGAAGCCCAGCGGGTTCAGTTAGGGACCCAGGCTCTGTACAGGCCCTGCCAGGGGAGCCTAGGTGGTGATGGTTGGGATGAGGGGTGGGGGTCTCAAGGGAGGGAGAGGCAGAGAGAGAGAGAGGATGGATTGGGCGGGGACGGGGAAACTCAGAGAAAACAGAGACAGAGATACTGAGGGTCCCAGAGAGAGGCCTGGGGAAGTCTCAGCTCAGAACAAGGTGGGGCGGCTCCTCACCCATCCTTCTTCTCTCCAGGACAGATCCGTGAGACAGCCTCCCTCTTGGTGCAACCAGGCCCCACTGTGGTCTCAGGAGAGAACATGGCCCTGCTGTGTCAGATGCAAAGCTGGGTGGACAGACACTTTCCTTCTATCTGAGGAGGATGCAGCTGACAAGACCCCACCCTCGTATCTAATATCAAAGTACCCTACTCTGTGGTAGAGGTTGAATTCTCCATGAGTCCTGCGACCTCAGCCCATGCGGGGACCTACAGGTGCTATGCCTCATAGAGTGTTTACCCCAAGCTGTTGTTCCCCCAGTGACCTCCTGGTAATACAGGAGTTACTAAGAAATTGTTTTAGGCAGATAGTAAGGGTAAAGGTTCTTGGTGGAAATTTTCCAGTAATAAGGAACAATCCCTGAACCATCTCTTTTCTAACAGAAATGACAGCTTAAATGGCCCGGCCAGCAAGCTTTAATGTGCAAATGCCAACCATTAAAAACTGGGTTCACTCAATATGGTGATTCCTACTGTCTTCTCTTTGTTACCACCTGTGCCAAGTGTGATGGCCACCTCCAGACAACACCATGTATTCAAAACATCATGGTGACCCAAATGAATGAAAAAGCCCTTTTTAATATGCATTTTTAAAGGCCTACAGAAAACCAGGGCCAAACCTCTCAATTACTCTAAACTGTCTATAATGGAACAAAAGCCAAATAAAAATCTTGTAGCCTTTATAAAAAGGCTAAAAGAGGCACTAAAAAAGTATATCTTTTTATTCTCTAATCCAGTTAAGTAACAGCTCATCCTGAGGGACAAATTTATTACACAGGCAGCTCCCAATATTAAAAAAAAAAAAAAAAAAACTACAAAAGAAAGCTACAGGACCAAATAGCACCTTAAAAAACCTCCTGAAGGTGGCCACTTTGGTCTTTTATAATATGGACCAGGAGGAGTCCCAAAAGAAAGAAAAAAAGCTCAGGAGAAGGACAAAGTCTCTAGCAGCAGCTTTGAAGGCTCGCAAAGTCCCAGATCACCAAGATGCATCCTCTAGTTGCTATTAGTGTAGCAGGCCAGAATGTCCAGTCAGCAAAATGAAGCAACCTCCACTCTGTCCAGCCTGTGGCAAAAACCACTGAAAACAGAACTGCCCCCAGACATGGAGGTCACTGAGTTCAAAACCAGTCTCACAGATGGTCCAGCAAAACTGATGGATCCTGGTGCTTGAACCTAGGCTCCAGTAGCTCAAACTGCCATTATAGCACAAGAGCCCTGGATAATTCTGGAAATTAAAGGAAGGAAAGTAGACCTCCTTCTAAACACTAAAGCTAGTCTCTCTCTCTTTTCTATTCTCTAATCCAGGCCTCCCTTCTTCCTTCATCACAACCGTAAGGGGCATCTTAGGAAAAAGTCTAATCCAATATTTTCTCAATCTTAGTTAAAACATGCTTTCGGTCAGGCACGGTGGCTCACGCCTGTAGTCCCAGCACTTTGGGAGACTGACGTGGGTGGATCACCTGAGGTTGGGAGTTCAAGACCAGTCTGGCCAACATGGAGAAACCTCATCTCTACTAAAAATACAAAAAATTAGCCAGGTGTGGTGGCACATGCCTGTAATCCAAGCTACTTGGGAGGCTGAGGCAGGAGAATTGCATGAACCCAAGAGGCAGAGGTTGCAGTGAGCCGAGATCGCTCTATTGCACTCCAGCCTGGGCAACAAGAGTGAAACTCCATCTAAAACAAACAAACAAACAAACAAAAAATCAAAAAAACATGCTTTCAAGCCATTGAAGCCATTGTCATGATAGCTCTACTAGTCAGAAAAGCCTGCAAGTTAACCCTAGAAAATAAAAATAATTTAACTGTTTACAGCCCACATAATGTAGCAGAATCACTGTCCTCTAGGGGGAGCTCTTAGCTGGTAAACAGCCCGTAAAGCAAAAAGTAAATAAGGCAGAATAAGCAGTAGTCACTCTCTCCAGGCACAAACACTCAATTAGCTGAGTTAATAGCTCTTTAAAAAGCACTTAAATTAAGCAAGGAAAAGGCAGCTAACATTTACACTAACTCCAAGTATGCTTTCTTGGTTCTCCATGCTCATGCTGCCATTTAAAACAAAAAAACATGTTCTTACTGCTAATAAATCTCCTATAAAAAATCACCAAAAAATTAGCAAGTTATTCTTATTTTTTCTTCCACAAAAAGTAGCAGGGATGCATTGTAAGAAACATCAAAGAATAAACAATAAGGTAGCCAAAGGAAATAAGTTAGCCAATCGGGCAGCTAAGTCAAAGGCATAAAAGCTTCAAGGCCTTAATGCACTTCAAGCCCCTTCTAATCTAAAAAGGCTCCATAAGAGAAATCACACCTCAGTATTCCCCTGAAAAAATAGAATAAGCCACTTCTCAAGGGCATACTTTTCAGCCCTCAGGATGGCTACAGTCAGGATGGCAAATTTATTGGTCAGCCTCCAGCCAACAGAAAGTTCTTGAAGTCCTAAGCTTTTCACTCAGGAAAAAATAAAACTTATCAATGGGCTCAAACATTGTTTTCAGACGGGAAACCTCTAGAATGGTTAACCACGTAACCTCTCTAGCTCACTTCCAACAAAAATTGACACAATAGCAGAAGCCCAGCCCTAGGAAATAAAACCACCTTTATTTAACTCAGGAAATTTAGTATTAGTAAGAACTCTCATCTCTGTCTCCTTCCCTAAGCCAAGCTAAAAAGGGCCCTACACTGTTCGTCTTTCAACCTCCTCGGCAGTAAAAGTTACAGGAATCAACTTCTACATGCATCACACTCAAGTCAAAGCCAAAAAGCTAAAAAACCAACCCCTAACAGTAAAAAAAAAAAAAGCTAAATATTAATGTAAAAAAATAGAAGATCTTAAGCTAAAAATCATAGAAGATAAGTAACTAAGTAAGGGCTACACATCTTACTCAGTCCCACTCCTACCCACCAAATATGTTTTATTATTTCTAACCTTTTCTCACAAAGTTCACGGCCAAATATTAAAACTTCTTTTTAACACTTATTTGCAGCAAAATTTAAATATTCATAAAATCACATTTGTAACTTTCTGAATCCCCAAAGGAAAATGTTATATCTTGGCAAGTTTTTTTTTTTTTTTTTTTGAGACAGAGTCTCGCTCTGTTGCCCAGCCTGGAGTGCAGTGGTGCAATCTCAGCTCACTGCAAGCTCCGCCTCCCGAGTTCACACCATTCTCCTGCCTCAGCCTCCCGAGTAGCTGGGACTACAGGCGCCCGCCACCACGCCTGGCTCATTTTGTGTATTTTTAGAGAGACGGGGTTTCACCATGTTAGCCAGGATGGTCTCGATCTCCTGACCTCGTGATCCACCCGCCTGGGCCTCCCAAAGTGCTGGGATTACAGGTGTGAGCCACCACACCCGGCCAGCAAGTAAAGTTTTAAACAAAAATTACTGGCCAGAAAAAAAAAAAAAGCCATTCTTGTGAAAATTGTTGTAGTCACACTGCTATTTGCAATGAAACTATACTCTGTGGCACCCACAATGTAGAATTCTGGTTGTAAAATTGTAATTGTGGTAATATTTTGCCTGATTATCATCCTTATAACAAAATTAATAATTGCAGAAAAAATTTAATCAAGGTTGTTTTGCTTATAGCAGAAGTAATAGTAACGAATAAAAAGCAAGCATTAAAGTTTTACTAGCATTAAGTGTAATAAAACTTTTTACCAAAGGTTGGTGATATAATGCACTGTAAGCTATAAAAAGGTTATAAAAACATTTACATAAAAAAGGATTTTGTATGGTGAATACTTGTCCTAAAAGAAAATAACTGGTTGTTTAAAGGAAGAATGTTTAGGACAAGTCTAAAAGTTTAAGTGTGTTGTAAGAGAGTCTGTGAAAGTCATAAAAAATTTAATAATTAAAAAAAGTCAAAATTAACGCTAAAGTTATTTTAGCCACCCAATAATGTATTTCTCCCAATCATACTGCAAGTAGTAAAAATGGCCTAAGCCTAAAGTTATTCTCTACTGGCACGTTAAGGAGGAAACATATGCTTTTCTCTAGGAAAAAGTTACTTTTACAGTAACGTTCCTGGTAATGTACACCGACATCTAGTGGAGGAAAACCTGTATTGCAATCCATTGATACAACAACAGGTGTCAAACTCCACTGTCACTTAGGGTCTGTAGGACTGCCACTAACGATGGTATTTTTTTTTTTTTTGAAACAGAGTCTTGCTCTGTTGCCCAGGCTGGAATGCAGTGGCACAACCTCAGCTCACTGCAACCTCCGCCTCCCGGGTTCAAGTGATTCTCCTGCCTCAACCTCCCAAGTTGCTGGGATTACAGGAACTCACCATCATGCCCGGCTAATTTTTGTATTTTTAGTAGAGATGAGGTTTCACCATGCTGGCCAGGCTGGTCTTGAATTCCTGTCCTCAGGTGATCTGCCCGCGTTGGCCTCCCAAAGTGCTGGGATTACAGACATGAACCACCACACCCAGCCCCAATGGTGGTAATCTTAATACTCATATTCTAACCCTATATTTTAAACCTTCTTGTAAAATTTCTCTCTTTTTGCCTAAAAGTAATTAAACTCCAAATGGTGCTGCAAGCAAAGCCACACATGGACACGCCATTCTTTTGAGAAACCTTAAATCAACCTCAGAAAAAGGCCCAACTGCTGTTCCCCCACACAACACCCCTTTTCAGCAGGAAGTAGCCAGAAAGAAACATGATCCAACACGCACTAACAGCAGTTAGCTTTGCCTCTCTTTAAGGGGAGGAATAATACAGGAGTTATTAAGGAATTATTTTAGGCACATAGTAAGGGTAAAGGTTCTTGGTGGAAATTTTCCTGTAATAAGAAACAACCCCTGAACCATCTCTTTTCTAACAGAGAAGCTGTCTTAAAGAGCCTGGCCGGCAAGCTTTAAAATTCAAATGCTGGCCATTAAAACATGGGTTCATGCAATATGGTGATTTCTGCCATCTTCTTATCACCACCTGTGCCAAGCGTGATGGCCACCTCCAAATAACACAAAGCATCATGGTGGCCCACATTTGCATATTAAAAGGCTAAGGTGGGAGGAACAAGTTTTTCGAGGGCTATGTAAATGACACACCTGGCCTAACCAATCCCCTGGGCCCTATGCAAACCAGACACTTGCCTCCTCCAGCCTCCCAATATAAGCAACCACTTTTCCACCACACACGGGGTTCTTCTTTGTTCCAAGCTCCCCTCCCTTGGCTCTGTACAGAGGAGCTCTTTTCTTCTTTCTTTCTTCTTTCTTGCCTATTAAACTTTTTGCTCCTTAAAACCACTCCACGTGTGTCCTTATTGTTTTATCTAAACTGGCATGAGACCAAAAACCCTAGTCACCAAAGCCATATCACTGGAGCTCATGGTCTCAGGTAAGAAACCTCCAACCCGTGTCCATTGAAGCTGGCATTAGTCGTGTGAATGTAGAACTTCATGTTAGTAACACAGCTTTTAAAATGTTTCCCTAAATTGAGGCGGAGCTTGCAGTGAGCCAAGATTGTGCCATTGCACTCCAGCCTGGGCGACAAAGAGAGACTCCGTCTCAAAAAAAAAAAAAAAAAGTTTCCCTAAATTGTATATTTTTACTGTATACAACATGTGGTATTGCAACATTCCTATTTGTGGGTTGGCTAAATCGATCTAATAAACATACACATCAGTTCACATACTTACTACTGTTTGTGGTGAGAACTCTTAAATCTACTCTCACAGTGATTTTCAAGAATAGAATATATCGTTATTAACTATAGTCACCATGTTGTAGCATAGATCTGGAAGTTATTCTGTCAAACTGGAATTTTGGACCCCTCTATCAACATCCTCCCAAGATATAGGAATAAATGTGAGCACATCAAAAGACACCCAAACCATTACTTATTATAAAAATTCATAGGAATCCACAGTGAGACACTACTTCAAACACTGGATTGGCCATATTCTGAAAAATAACAAATGTCAGGAAGGGTGTGCGGAAAGAGAACCTTCACGCACTGCTGGCATGATTGTGAAATTTTTCGGTGACTGTGAAAAGTGGTTTGGAGGCCGGGCGTGGTGGTTCACGTTTGTAATCCCAGCACTTTGGGAGGCCGAGGCAGGAGGATCACCTCAGGTCAGGAGTTTGAGACCGGCCTGGCCAAAATGGCAAAACCCCTTCTCTACTGAAAGTGCAAAAATTATCTGGGCACGGTGCAGGTGCCTGTAATCCCAGCTACTCAGGAGGCTGAGGCAGAATAGCTTGAACCCAGGAGCAGAGGTTGCAGTGAGCCGAGATCGTGCCGCTGCACTCCAGCCTGGGTGACAGAGCCAGACTCCATCAAAAAGAAAGAAAGAAAGAGAGAGAGAGAGAGAGAGAGAGAGGGAGGGAGGGAGGGAGGGACGGAGGGGGAGAGAGAGAGAGGAAAGAAAAGAAAGAAAGAAAGAAAAAGAGAGAAAGAAGAAAAAGAAAAAAGCGGTTTGACAGTTCCTTAAAAGATGAACCTAGGAAGGCTTATATGCTGTTGGTGGTAAATTAGCTCAACTTCTATGGAAAACAGCATAGAGGTTTCTCAAAGAACTAAATACAGAACTGCCGTTTGACCCAGCAATCCCACTACTGTAAAAGAAATAATTATATTAAAAAAGACACACGCACTCGTATGTTCACCGTGGTGCTATTCACAATAGCAAAGTCATGGAACCATCCTAGATGTCCATCCATCGTGGCATGGATAAAGTAAAAGTGGTAAATATATAGCCCAGAATACAGCATAGCCATAAAAAATAGTGAAATCATGTCCTTTGCAGGAACATGGATGGAGCTGGAGGCCATGATCCTACGTGAACTAACTCAGAATCAGAATACCAAACACTGCATGATCTCACTTACAAGTGGGAGCTACACAATAGGCACTCATGGACATAAAGATGGAGATAAACACAGGGAAACCCAAAAGGGGGGAAGGGTGGGAGGAGGGCAAGAGGTTAAAAAAATATATTAGGGCTGGGTGCGGTGGCTCACGCCTGTAATCCCAGCACTTTGGGAGGCAGAGATGGGGGGGATCACCTGAGGTCAGGAGTTCGAGACCTGCCTGGTCAATGTGCAGAAACCCCATCTCTACTAAAAATACAAAATTAGCTGGGCATGGTGGTGCATGCCTGTAATTCCAGCTACTCGGGAGGCTGAGGCAGGAGAATTGCTTAAACCTGGAAGGTGGAGGTTGCGGTGAGCCGAGATCGCACCACTGCACTCCAGCCTGAGCAACAAGAGTGAAACTCCATCTCAAAAAAAAAAAAATCTATCTATCTATTTATATATATATATACACACACACACATACATACACCAAACAAGCACATGTACCTTTTGAATATAAAATAAAATAAAATAATAATATAAAATAAAATAAAAAATAAACCTAGAATTACTCTATGATCTAGAAATTTCACTTCTAGGTATGTGACTAAAGGTTTAGGTTATACAAGACGAATGAAGTTTGCAATGTACCCTACAACATTTTGTCTTTAGTTAACAATACTGCATCATGAAGTTAAAAATTGGTAGGAGAATTAACTCTTCCTACCACAATAAAAAAAAAGACTGATAGTAGATATTGTGAAAGGAAATTAAATTTTGGGACCCCACACTCATTTAGCTAAGGGGGAAAGTCAAGCTGGGGACTGGGTCACACAAACCTGCCTCTCCATTTTGGTTCGTGAATAAGATGGCTACAAGGTGAAAAGCTACATGCCTCCCCCACGTTTTGCCCACAAGAAGATTCCTAGTGAGCTGTTAAAATTTCACCATGGCAATGTAAATTGATAGCTTATCTTTCCAATGTATATTGATAGCTTATCTTTCCAGTGTATACTGATAGCTTATCTTTCCAGTGTATATTGATATCTTATCTTTCCAGTGTATGATAGCTTATCTTTCCAATGTATACTGATAGCTTATCTTTCCAGTGTATACTGATAGCTTATCTTTCCAGTGCATACTGATAGCTTATCTTTCCAGTGTATACTGATAGCTTATCTTTCCAGTGTATGTTGATAGCTTATCTTTCCAGTGTATATTGATAGCTTATCTTTCCAGTGTATATTGATAGCTTATCTTTCCAGTGTATATTGATAGCTTATCTTTTCCAATGTATATTGATAGCTTATCTTTCCAGTGTATATTGATAGCTTATCTTTCCAGTGTATACTGATAGCTTATCTTTCCAGTGCATACTGATAGCTTATCTTTCCAGTGTATACTGATAGCTTATCTTTCCAGTGTATGTTGATAGCTTATCTTTCCAGTGTATATTGATAGCTTATCTTTCCAGTGTATATTGATAGCTTATCTTTCCAGTGTATATTGATAGCTTATCTTTCCAATGTATATTGATAGCTTATCTTTCCAGTGTATATTGATAGCTTATCTTTCCAGTGTATATTGATAGCTTATCTTTCCAATGCATATTGATAGCTTATCTTTCCAGTGTATATTGATAGCTTATCTTTCCAGTGTATATTGATAACTTATCTTTCCAGGTACAGTCTCCCCAGCCCATCAGACACAAATGCATATCTGATCATTCCCCCACCCAATTTTGTCTATGTTTATCTTATGTAAAATGCAGATTCACTGCATATTTTCCTCTGCCCCATTTGTTTTTGTCGTCTGATGTAAAAAGTGCAGATTCACTGAACCAGACAAAGGCATGAATGACTATTTTTAAAAAAAATACAGATTCACTGAGCTAGACAAAGGCATGCGTAACTATTTTTCCTTACCCTCCTCTTACATGAAAATTGTGTGCTTCTCAATATCCCGCCCTTTACCCTTTAAATTTGGATCCCTCAAAATCATCTTCAGAGAAAGGCATAGATCTGTCTCCCAGGCACATCTTTAACTTTGGCAAATAAATCTCCTGAAATGATAAGAGACTTATCTCATTGGACAATATCCAAACACTTGTGCCCAAGTGTTTATAGAAGCATTATTCACAATAAAAAGATAAAAGTATCACAAATGTCCACCAACCAACGTGTTGCATCCATATGTTAGAAATTTACTCATCCATAAAAATGAAGTACTGATGCATGCTGCAATTTGGAGATTCAAAATATGAAGCTAAGTGAAAGAAGCCAGATCCAAAGGTCACATACTATATGATTACATTTATATAAAATGTCCAGCAGCTGGAAATCCACAGAGACAGAAAGCAGATTGATGGTTGCCTGGGGCTGAGCAGGGGTAGGGAGAGGAGAGGGACTGCTCCGTGGAACGGGGTTCCTTTTGGGGTGATGAAAATCTTTGGGAACTAGAGGTGGCAGTTGCTGCAATGAAAATCTACTAAATGCCACAGAGTTGTATATATATATATATGTATTTTTTTTTTGAGACGGAGTTTCACTTTTATTGCCCAGGCTGGAGTGCAGTGGTGTATTCTCGCGTCTCTGCAACTTCCGCCTCTCAGTTTCAAGCGATTTTCCTGCCTCAGCCCCCCAAGTAGCTGGGATTGCAGGTGGCCACCACAACACCTGTCTAATTTTTCTGTATTTTTAGTAGAGACGGAGTTTCACCATGTTGGCCAGGCTGGTCTTGAACTCCTGACCTCAGGTGATCCACCCGCCTCGGCCCCCCAAAGTGCTGGGATTATAGGCGTGAGCCACTGCGCCCGGCCTAGAGTTGTATACTTTTAAAGGGTCAATTTTACATTATCTGTATTTTACTTCAGTGAATGGAAATTTAAGAAAAAAGAGCATGGTTCTATGCAGATTTCTTTTATCTTAAAAAGTTGCAACATGACCCAGTGTTTTTTTTTTTTAATGTGAGGTAGGATTCCTAATAAGTGAGAGACGTCCTAAGTCCCACAGTGTTCAGACATGAAGCTGATCTTTTCACCTTACATCTTAAATTCTAATGTGGCTGAGTACAGAATTCGGGATGAGCTCCAGGATTCCTGCAGTCTGTAACTTTTTCTGACACTTTACCATTCCACCCGTGATGACGGATTGTTCCTGACTTACCTTTGGAACATAAAGGCTCTTACACCACGTGTCTGGATCTGGTAAAAGAGATTACACGAGATTGAGAGCCTTACATGTCTCAGGCAATACTCATCCTCAAACCAACCCTGAGATATGGGTCATTATCTTCTTCTATAAGGAGGAAAATGGGAAAGAGGTGTTACATGATCAAGGTCAACCATCAGTAAATTCCACCCTCATGTCTTACATTAACACCTGTTCATTTCCTCCAGGGATCACTCTTGCCCAAAGCATGGAGACAGAATCCATGGTATCAGCTGAGGGCTGTGAGCAGGGAAGAAAAGAGGTAGTAAGGAAGGAGAAATGACTCAGATGTTTTGACAGAGAGTGACCCTGTTTGCCCCAAGAACACTTGCGGGTTACAGTCCTAATCTTACCCCCAAAGTGTTCCCAGACCAAACTGAGGGTGGGGCTGCTATTTCTCATGGCCCAATAATGAGATGCGGATGAACTGGGGAGGGAGAGAGTTTTTATTTCTGTTACCGGTTACAGGGAGAAGGCCTGGAAAACATTGCCAGACCAACTCAAAATTACAAAGTTTCCCAGAGCTTATATACCTTCTAAGCTATTTATTAAAAAATGCAGCTATTTTCTAAGCTATCTTCTAAGCTAAGCTAAGAAGATAGCTAAGCTTCTTCTAAGCTAAGCTAAGAAGATAGCTAAGCTTCTTCTAAACTATCTAAGCTAGATAAGCTTCCAAACTATCTTCTAATAAGTTTAGAAGATTCTAAGCCATTAAGCTACCTAAGCTATAGTCTTCTAAGCTATCTTCTAATCTAAGCTTAGAAGCTTAGCTATCTAAACTAAGCTAAGATATTCTAAGCTTCTAATATCCATCTTTCACATCACCCATTTCCTGCATGGGATATGGCACGCCAGAGACCCAGGGGATGTTTTCTGCATGAATCTAGTAATAAACAAATACCTGCATCCCTCAGGGCTGATAAAGAGTCTATAAACCTCAGATGGAGAGTCTAGAATGTTAGAACATAAACCAGGGAATGTGTCAGATGCCTAAGAACCTTCACAGCAATTCTAGCAATTCTTCATAAAAGCAGCTGTCATTTACTGAGCATAGTTCATCAGGTTATCTCTAGGCATATAATGAAAATAATAATCATAGTAAAAAATAGCCCACATTATTGAATGACTGCTAAGAACATGGTAGAATTTCACTTTGTACATCACATGTATTAACTATGTAGTTCCCCACCAAAACCATGTAAGGTAGATACTAGCACTATACTAAGTTTATATATGACACAATAGCAATGTGGGTAACTTTCCCTAACTCACGAAGTTAAAAGGGGCAGAGCTGTGATCAAATCTCAGGCTTCCTGGCTCCAGAGTCTTCCCTGTTAGTTCAACTGATTGCTTCCTATGAGAGGTAGAATATAATAATCTCTGATTGTCAACCCACCAAATATCCTTACAAAGAAGACATTTTTATTATTGCAATTTTATAGAAAAGCAAAGTGAGCCTCAGAGAGGCAAAGTGACTTTCCCAAGGAGACAGAGATAGCAAGAGGCAGATGTAGGTTTTGAAAGTACTGTGATGTAACTCCAAGCCTGTTGCTTTTTTTTTTTTTTTTGAGACCGAGTCTTACTCTGTTGCCCAGGCTGGAGTGCAGTCACGTGATCTCAGCTCTCTGCAAGCTCTGCTTCCTGGGTTCATACCATTCTCCTGCCTCAGCCTCCCAAGTAGCTGGGACTACAGGCACCCGCCACCACGACTGGCTAATTTTCTTTTTTTTTTTTTTTTTGTATTTTTGGTGGAGACAGGGTTTCACTATATTAGCCAGGATGGTCTCCATCTCCTGACCTCATGATCATCCCTCCTCAGCCTCCCAAAGTGCTGGGATTACAGGCGTCAGCCACTGTGTCTGGCCCCAAGCCTGTTGCTTTTTAGTCAATACCCTATAAACTGGTTTCCTGAACATGGTCTGGAAAGAGATGACCTGAGGTGGATGAGGAAGAGCCAACTCTAAATGCCACCCTGGGCCGTGCTAGTGGTTGTCCTGCTGGGTGAGCGGCTAACATCATAAGCTTCTGAATTCCATTCCTATTCAGAATCCATGGAGTGGATGTGTCTTTTTCCAATTTATTCTGATGCATTCGCTAAATATTTATTAGACACCTTCAGGGAATCTCTATTTAGGAGTCTCTAAGAGGGGGCCCAGCTCATACAAATGTATCAACTAACACACCAGAAAACAGTGGAAGCCTTGTTGCTTCCTGGACTCTGACCATGGTGCTGAAACTAGAGTTCATGGCAACATCCCAGTCAGTGCTGTGGACAGCGACCACAGGAGCCACTCTCCTGGGGCTGGGGCCTGATAGAGGAAATAGGAATGGTGTCTAGATACAGGGCCAGGTCTGTTGGAGACCTTGAATAGGAGCCAAAATTGAACAGGATGTGGGGAAGCTCAAGAGGTTGATGACGTCTAGCTGGACCATGGAATGTTGCTATCTAAATAGGCAATTATTTTTGTACTCTACACCAGGGTAGGCAGACAGGAAGCCAAGAGGGAAGCATCCTGGAACTTCCTTCGTCATACAGAATACTGAGTTTCCTTGGCTGCTCATGAGTGTATATTATGAGTGCAATAAAGTTTGAGTGCGATTATCCCTTAGACTAAAATCTGTTTTTGCAAGAGTTTTCTTCAGAGAAATGGAACCAATCAGATGTTTATTTATGTATATACCTATCCTCTGTCTATCTAGCTATCTGTTTATTTCTCTAGGAATGTGCATTATGAATACAATATGGCCCCTCTTACTGTGGGCCAACGTTTGTTCCATGTTTTAGCCAATGAACCAGACAAACTGTTAGAGCCATGTCTAGCTCACTGAGATGCAACATTAAATGCAGGATCTCTCCTTAGTAGGTCCATATCAATAACATTGGCCTGGCTCAACTTTATCTTCCTTTCACCATTATCCAACACCCTTAATGTCCATTCGCACACATGTTCCCTAGATTTCTAGGTGTATAAATCAGAAGAACTTAGTAGTCACTTTGGAGTGTAGCACATTTCCCCATGGATCACACATTGAACCTATGGCTTAGAAGCAAAGATGGGTAGTGGGGGCGGATCCTGAGGAAAATTAGCACTGTCTTGCATGGCAACTGCCTCCGCGGAGGCCACTATTGTTTCCTCAGACAGTGCAGGGTTAATCTCCTCAGATGCACGGGGAGAGAATGCTTCCATTGTCAAAGAGCATGATTAAGGAACTCACTGTCCTTACCTTCATCAGTGTCTTTCACACATCCCTATTCCAAATGTCAAGATTCCACACCTTCCGAATCAATACCCTTAAAGTAGACACCCTTTGAGGCTGGGAATTCCATTTGTATTGTAATTTAGCCACTTGAAGGGTGAGTTTCTGGGTTTGCTTTTTCTTTTTCTTTTTTTTTTTTTTTGAGACAGAGTCTTGCCCTTGTCCCCCAGGCTGGAATGCAATGGCACGATCTCGACTCACTGCAACCTCCACCTCCTGAGTTCAAGCAATTCTCCTGCCTCAGCCTCTTGAGTAGCTGGGATTACAGGCACCAGCCACCACACCTGGCTAATTTTTGTATTTCTAGTAGAGACGGGATTTCGCCAAGTTGGCCAGACTGGTCACGAACTCCTGACCTCACATGATCTGCCCACCTCGGCCTCCCGAAGTGCTAGGATTACAGGCGTGAGCCACCGCACCTGGCCCCAGGTTTGACTTTTCAAAGGCCTCAGCCCTGTGGCTACAAATGATGAGTATCTTTTAGGGCAGATATAGAAGTCTTAGCTCATTTATGTTTGCACTTGAACTGAAAATTCAAATCTTTGAATTCATCCTCTTCTTTCCCCAACTTTGTCCAGTGACAACCCAGCCAATCTCATTATGCTCATTAGTTTTCAAAAACATTCAAAAGTATTATGTACATGATCACTCAGATTCTTTTTTTTTTTTTTGAGACGGAGTCTTGCTCTGTCGCCCAGGCTGGAGTGCAGTGGCATGGTCTCCGCTCACTGCAAGCTCCGCCTCCCAGGTTCATGCCATTCTCCTGCCTCAGCCTCCCAAGTAGCTGGGACTACAGGCGCCCACCACCACACCTGGCTAATTTTTTAGTATTTTTTTTTTTTTTAGGAAAGATGGGGTTTCACCGTGCTAGCTAGGATGGTCTCGATCTCCTGACCTCGTGATCCACCCGCCTCGGCGTCCCAAAGTGCTGGGATTACAGGGGTGAGCCACCGCACCCGGCCCACTCAGATTCTTATAAATGTTTGTTAGGCGTTTCCAATGATGACATTTGGTGTATCCCTATGGCCACATCATGTTATGCACTATCAACACTACTGGAAATGGAGTCATTAGTGTTTTTAAATCTAATCAAATTAGAAAGCCGATTTCAGAAACTTTGGATCCAATTCAGAAAACTCATCCTTAAAAATTCTGTTCCTTTGGAATCATCCCTGGAACCAAAATGATTTTTTTTTCAAGGGTTCTCCAGAGAAATTGAACCAGCAGAATGTTTATTTATGTGTCTATCTGTGTATCTATGTATCTATCTATGTATCTATCCATGTATCTATGTATCTATCTATTTATCTATCTATCTATTTATTTGTTTATCTATTCATTTACCTAGGAATTGGCTCATGTGATTGTAGGAGCTTGGTGAGTCCAAAATCTGCAGGACAGTAGAGTATCCTGGAGACTCAGGAAAGAGTTGTAGCAAACTAAAAAATCCAAAGACAATCTGCTGGAAGAATTTCTTCTTGCTCAGGGGAGCTCTCTGCTATTACTTTATTGTTATTTTGCTCACAAGACATGTATCATCCTATAACATATTGGATTTTCTATTAATTTTTGTTGTTGTCTAATATCCATCTTTCTCAACTATAATATTGATTCAATACAGACACTTTTTTAGAAGTCTTTCTGTCTTTTTTCTGATACATCTTATACACCAAGAATCACGTTTGACCCATTAGATACTTAATGTGTGCCCATGAAAACAGTGAATAAAAGTGTCTCCACTTCTTCCAAGTTTATTTTTAACACTGGAGCAAATGATTTCTACTTGATTCTCTCTTTTTTTCTCCCTTCCAGGCTGCCTTTAGTGCAAAGTCCTCAGAATGGAAAAATATTCTTGGGGGAGGCAAAACCTTAAGGTTGGCAAGAAACAAACCCCAGCCTTATCCTTACTTTCCTTCTCTCAGTTAGATCTCAATGTCCTTGGCTGCAATGCCGTCTCTACCTAGTCTACTTCAAGCTTCCCAGATATGATTTCCTCTCTAAGTTTCTCTGTCTCTTCCTGTCTCTGTCTCTCTATTGTTCTGTTTCTTTCCATCTCTCTCTTTCTTGCTCCAACTTTCTCAGTCGACTAAAACTAATAGCTACGAATAGCTTTCAGTAATTTGAACATTTCACGGATGTTTTTCTAGATCAACTGAAATCCCTATGCAAACACTGTCACTGTACTTGCAGATGAAATGATAATCACTTCCCGGCAAGAAAAGGATCTCATGGTAGTCTTAAGCCTTTATCTCAGGGTTAAGATGCCCCCTTTTGTGGAGGTGCTTAGACTGTGACTATGGCAGTTGCTTTCCCAGCAAGAAACTGCATTTGGTAAGTGGACCTTCTTTCAGTTAGAGAGCCATATTCTTAGAGATGTAGAATATTTGTTGCAACATATATGTGTGTGTGTATATATATATATATATATATATATATATATATATATATATGGTGTAAACATCCCGGTCTATTTCCCCTAAGGTCAAAACTGAACATGGAAAAGAAACATGGGGCAGGGGTATTTTCTGAGAGTTCCTGAGACACAGAACCACCCCAGCCTTCCCACTCAGGGCTGCCTGGCATCTCCTGTTTACCTTCTCTGTCATAGCCCCATCTGAAAGACTCTGTCTGAATAAATATACCAAACCTCATAGTCTTAGCTCTCCTCTTTGTACGAGGGGTAAGAGTGTGTTCAGGTCTTGGCTCCTGTTCACACACCTGTTGTCTAATGGCAACTGGTACTTAGGACATTTGAAATATCTCTGGTGGCTGCATGCTGCACTTTGGTTGGCAATGGCTGTACGTCTCTGAAAACCTTCTGTGATGATTGCAAAACGGTACACTTTCATCTCCTTTCTTATGGGTTCCGGGGAGCCGAATGCACTTGATTTCACCAGTAATATATGTCTATAGACAATTTCTCAGATCGGCGTGAAGAAGGTAAATTATATCTTTCATTTAGAAAAATATAAATCTCACTTTTACAAAACGTGACTAAGAATTGTCAAGGCTTAGAGAGCAGGAATAATCAGGGACTATATGGGTGTTCATGTCTAATAAATGCAACTCTGATCCTTAACCGTATTTAAAAGCGCTTTCAGAGTTCCGAAACCTTTTCATCTGCTCCAGATTCACTGGGTTCTGAAGCCAAAGCTTTCTGAAACTGTTCCTCCTCTCAGCCCCTAAGTGGTGAACGCTTGGTCTGTTCTGACAGCTGAGATCCTAGCCACGGGAGCGTGAGGTGAGGAATTTCCTGTCACCATCCCAGAAAGTAAAATATAGCCTCATTATTTCCTAATTGTGTTTCCATAAGAAAAACAAAGAATTCGATAAAAGAAACAAAGACCAGTATTTACTTTTTCATAAATGATTGTAGTTACTGAAGGACATATGGGGCCCGTAATCACAACGGGTCTAGGACTCACAGGTATTTTCTCGTCTCCATTATTTACCATAATTGTGTCATTCTCACTCCTGCTTACATGATTTATTTGGTATAATTTAAATGTATTTGTATGTTTTCTCTATGACTTAATGGGCAACATGCCCCTTTCTCTAACTTGTGTTTGTTGGTTTGTTGATCTCTGATACAAATTTGCTAAATATATTCTAGTTGTTGTTATAAAATATTTTCTTTCCAAGAAAATTTTTCAACAGGTTCATGTGCACACCATATATGAAATTCATATTCTTTTCTTATTCTCTTATTTTTCTCCCCATCCTCTACAACACTTGGGCCAAACTGTTATGGATTATTGTGTATCCACCAAGAAATGGCTTTGAGTTTTTAAAGTATCTATTTCTCTGAACTAATCTGTAATTTCCAAGAATCTAATATTTCTCAATTTTTAACACCAATTATTTTACTTTGTAATTTAACAACTTGTTAATTATTAAACAAGTAAAAAATGCAAAAATAAAAACTATGTTTTGATAGTTTCTAATTTATATTCTTTGGAAAATGTCTAAATTTTAGGAAATTAAAATTTTTTTCGAATTGAATGTGGCTAGAAATAATAATTTTTCACTGCATGGCATTACGTAAGTGTAATAGAATTCTACTCTCATCCTACTTTAGATAATGCCAAACTGAGAAACCATTATTAATTTATTTTGTTTTTGTCTAGACATGAAAATGAAAAGTTGCCATCAGAAGAATCATTATGGAAAGTGAAAATATGGTGCTAAATTAAATATGTGGCAAATAAATGTGTTTTTTTAACTTTTAGGTTCAGAGGTACATGTGCAGGTTTGTTATATAAGTAAATTGTGTGTTACAAGGGTTTGAAGTACACATTATTTTGTTATCCAGGTGATAAGCATAGTACCAAATAGGTAGTTTTTCTGTCCTCACCCTCCCCACTTCCTCAACCCTCAAGGAGGTCCCCCTGTGTGTGATTACCAAGGAGGCCCCACTGTGTGTTATTACCTCCTATGTGTCCATTATGTATTCAGTATTTACTTCCAACTTATAAGTGACAACATATAGTATTCAGCTTTCTTTTTCTGTGTCAGTTCTCTTAGAATAATGACCACCAGGTCCATTAATGTGGCTGAAAATGACAGTATCTTATTCTTTGTTTTGAGGCAGAATCTGTCTGTCACCCAGGCTGGAGTGCAGTGGCACTATCTCAGCTCACTGCAGCCCCCGCCTCCCAGGATCAAGCAATTCTTGTGCCTCAGCCTGCCGAGTAAATGGGATTACAGGTATGCACCACCACACCCAGCTAGTCTTGTTTTGTTTTGTCTTGTTTTTTGAGATGGAGTCTCGCTGTGTCGCCAGGCTGGAGTGGAGTGGCGTGATCTCGGCTCACTGCATCCTCTGCCTCCCGGATTCAAGCGATTCTCCTGCCTCAGCCTCCTGAGTAGCTGGGACTACCAGGTGCACACCACCATGCCCAGCTAATTTTTGTATTTTTAGTAGAGACGGGGTTTCACCATGTTGGCCAGGATGGTCCCAATCTCTTGACCTTGTGATCCGCCCACTTCAGCCTCCCAAAGTGCTGGGATTACAGGCATGAGCCACTGCATCTGGCCAGTTTTTGTATTTTTTTTTTTTAGTAGAGATGAAGTTTTGCCATGTTGGCCAGGCTGGTCTCAAACTCCTGTCCTCAAGTTATCCACCCGCCTCGGCCTTTCAAAGTGCTGGGATTACAGGTGTGATATATATGATATATATGTGTCCTCATGGACACAGAGAGGGAACTTCACACACCAGGGCCTGTCAGGGGGTTGGGTAGGGGGGTAGGGGAGGGATAACATTAGGAGAAATACCTAATGTAGACGACGGGTTGATGGGTGCAGCAAATTGCCATGGCACTTGTATACCTATGTAACAAACCTGCACGTTCTGCACATGTATCCCAGAACTTACAGTATAATAATAATAATAATAATAAAAAGAGTGGTCTCTGGGCTATAAGTTCCCTGCAGAGGATTGCATCATCTATTTTGTCACTGCCCCCACCCTAATGTTTGTAGGCTCATATATTATGCCAGTTAATATGCAAAGACTTAGGGATTCAGTACTGAATAAAAATGAGAATGGCCATGGCCTCATATTGCTTATGAGACTGCCAAAACCGAACGTGGTGTACATAATTACCCAGATGTATGGTGACTTCTTAAAAAATGAAGCATAGCCTTGCCATGTAATCTTGCCATTTTACTTCTGTGTATATATCCAGGGGAAGTCAAAGCAAATACTTGAGCAGATATTTATACCTCCATGTGCACAGCAGCATTACTTACAACAAACAAAAAGAATAAACCACCCAATGTTCATAGATGGATGAGTGGAGACATAAACTGTAGTGTAGACATACAGTAGAGTATGTATGTCTTACAAGGAATGAAATCATGATTGCCACATTCTACAACACGGGTGAAACTTGAAGATGTTATGCAGACTGAAATCAGGCAATCACAAAAAGACAAGTATTGTATGATTCTATTTATATGAAGTGCATAGAATAGGCAAACCCATAGAGACAGAAAGTAGAATATTGGCTTCCAGGGGCTGGGGTTGGGGGAGAGAAAATGGGAATTGGTATTTAATGCATACAGATTTTCAGTTTAGGATCATGAAAAAGATCTGGAGATGGATGGGGATGATGGTTGCGCAACGGTGTGGATGTACTTCAGCAAGGTGCTGTGGCTCACGCCTGTGTGTCTGCGTGCTAGGGTCTCGGGGGTTTTATAGGCACAGGATGGGGGCGTGGCAGGCCAGGGTGGTCTTGGGAAATGCAACATTTGGGCAGGAAGTGCCCGTCCTCACCTAGGTCTGTGAGGGTGGAGCCCTAGCCAGGGACCACGCCCTCCTCTGCCCAGCACTTCCCTTCCCTCTTCTGTATTATTTAAAGGGACTACACCCTTCCCTTCCCAGCACTTCTTTATCACCACTTAGAAAGGCCATTATCAAAAAGACAAAAAATAACAAGTGGTGGCTAGGATGCAGAGAAAAGGGGACTCTTGTGCACTGTTGAAGGCAACAAGAAGGAGTGTGGTCATTACAGGAAACAGTACATAGGTTCCTCATAAAACTAAAAAGAGAACCACCCTATGACCCAGCCAGCCCAGTTCTGGGTATAGATCGAAAGGAAAGGCAATCAGTATATTGAAAGGATAGCTTCACCCTGGTGTTTACTGCAGCACTATTCACAATAACCAAGATTTGGAAGCAACCTAAGTGTTTATGTACAGATGAATGGATAAGGAAAATGTGGTACATTTACACAATGGAATATTACCCAGTCGTTAAAAAGAATGAAATCCTGTCATTTGTGGCAACACGGATGAGCCTGGAGGAAATAAGTGAGATAAGCCAGGCATAGAAAGACAAAGGTAGCGTGTTCTTACTCATGTGTGGGAGTTAAAACAGTTGATCTCAGAAGCAGAGAGCAGAGTCGTGGTAACTAGAGGCTGGGAAGGGTGGGAAGAGGGGAGAGGGAAATGCTGGTTAAAGGATACAGAATTACAGCTAGATGGAGGAAATAATAAGTTCTGGTATCCTACAGCACTGTAGGGTGACTATAGTTAACAATAGTTTACTGTACAGCTAGATGGAGGAAATAAGTTCTGGTATCCTATAGCACTGTAGGGTGACTATAGTTAACAATAGTTTACTGTACAGCTAGATGGAGGAAATAATAAGTTCTGGTATCCTACAGCACCGTAGGGTGACTATAGTTAACAATAGTTTACTGTACAGCTAGATGGAGGAAATAAGTTCTGGCATCCTATAGCACTGTAGGGTGACTATAGTTAACAATAGTTTACTGTACAGCTAGATGGAGGAAATAAGTTCTGGTACCCTACAGCACTGTAGGGTGACTATAGTTAACAATAGTTTACTGTACAGCTAGATGGAGGAAATAAGTTCTGGTATCCTACAGCACTGTAGGGTGACTATAGTTAACAATAGTTTACTGTACAGCTAGATGGAGGAAATAAGTTCTGGTATCCTATAGCACTGTAGGGTGACTATAGTTAACAATAGTTTACTGTACAGCTAGATGGAGGAAATAATAAGTTCTGGTATCCTACAGCACTGTAGGGTGACTATAGTTAACAATAGTTTACTGTACAGCTAGATGGAGGAAATAAGTTCTGGTATCCTACAGCACTGTAGGGTGACTATAGTTAACAATAGTTTACTGTATATTTTCTTTTTTAGATGTTTTTATTATACTTTAAGTTCTAGCGTATCCTAGAAGCTTTATTCAGTACTGAATCCCAAAGTCTTTGCATATTAACTGGCATAATATATGAGCCTACAAACATTAGGGTGGGGGACAGTGAAAAAATAAATGATGCAACCCTCTGCAGGGAACTTATAGCCCAGAGACCACTCTTTTTTTATTATTATTATACTTTACGTTCTGGGGTACACGTGCAGAACGTGCAGGCTTGTTACATAGGTATACATGTGCCATGTTGGCTTGCTGCACCCATCGACTCGTCATTTACATTAGGTATTTCTCCTAATGCTATCCCTCCCCCAGCCCCCCAGCCCCAGACAGTCCCCAGTGAGTGATGTTCCCCGCCCTGTGTCCAGGTGTTCTCATTGTTCAATTCCCACCTATGAGTGAGAACATGCGGTGTTTGGTTTTCTGTCCTTGTGATAGTGTACTGAGAATGATGGTTTCCAGCTTCATCCATGTCCCTGCAAGGGACATAAACTCATCCTTTTTTATAGCTGCATAGTATTCCATGGTGTATATGTGCCACATTTTCTTAATCCAGTCTATCATTGATGGACATTTGGGTTGGTTCCAAGTCTTTGCTATTGTGAATAGTGCCACAGTAAACATACGTGTGCATGTATCTTTATAATAGCATGATATATAATTCTTTGGGTATATACCCAGTAATGGGATTACTGGGTCAAATGGTATTTCTAGTCCTAGATCCTTGAGGAATCGCCACACTGTCTTCCATAATGGTTGAACTAATTTACACTCCCACCAACAGTGTAAAAGATTTCCTGTTTCTCCACATCTTCTCCAGCATCTGTTGTTTCCTGACTTTTTAATGATTGCCATTCTAACTGGTGTGAGATGGTATCTCATAGTGGTTTTGAGTTTATTGTATGTTTTCAAAGAGCTAGAACTCCTGGGCTCAAGTGATCCACCTGCCTTGGCCTCCCAGAGTGCTGGGATTAAGTGCGTCTTTATTATAACTTATAATTGACACATAATAATTGTATATATTTGTAGGGTATAGAGTTGATATTTCAACACATATATATAATGTGTAATGGTTAAATAAGAGTAATGAACATATCCGCCATTTCAAACATTTATCGTTTCTTTGTGTTGAAAACATTCAAAATCCTCTCTTCTAGCTATCTGAAAATATACAATAAACTCTTAATGAGTCAATAGGTTGTCGTTGGTGGCACTTCTTGTGGTTATAGGGATTACTCTTTGCTGTCCGTGTTTGTTGAATGGTTCATTTCTTACACACCTAATTATCCATGGAAGGTAGTTCTTAGTGCTCTCCTGGGGGTCAGACTGAAAAAGAGGGGATTGTTCCAGCTATCCCTGCTGCATGATCTCAACTCCTCCAAACATATCATCTGCTTAGGGTTTTGCCCAGCACAGGAGGGTCTAGTGTGAACCTCACACTCACACGTGGGACAGACACCCATATCTGACAATGTCGCGGTGAATCTGTTTCACACAAACAAGGGAGATGATTCAGTGTGGACCACGGGCCCATGTCAATGAGCAGAGATATTTCCAGCGCCTGTCCACACACACAGGGGAGGAGGAACCACAGCTTCCAGCCTCACCCAAAGCCCTGACTCCTCCCTGCCTGTGAGGACCTGGGGTTCCTCTTCTGTCCCACACACAGAGGTGGAAATCTCCCCCACTAATGAGCCCTGGGTGGTCCCAGGCACCAGTGGTCCCTCAGCTCTGGTCTATGATCTGTCTTACGGCACCCTGTCTATTTCAGGAATTTGTTATTTAACTTTTTCTACATTAAGACCATGACTACAGGATTCAGAAATATCGTAACTAGGTTTCTCAGTGTTCAAAGTTGACGTCGGCTCTTCATGGGGGCATCAATCATCGTCCTCCACTGTGGAGCCCAACATCAGGATCCTCTCCCATCCCCACCCTCCTGTCTTAACTGGTCTAGAAATTAACCATGGCTGAGCCCCTCCCATGTCCTGGGCACCACTGACCCCCATAGCCACTGTGATGAGTGGGGATCATGACAACAGGCTCCAAACGTGGAAATTGAGGCTCAGGGATGGGATATTACTTCCCAAGGTCACACAGGCAGGGGATGATAATCAGGAATTAAATAAAAGTCACCTCCCAACCCAATGTCCGAAATCAGAGCTCAAACCTAACGTAATTGCTCCAAAAACCTTAAACGTGGATTAAGGCACAGAGGAAGGCCCAGGAAGTGAGGGGCACTGAGAAGGCAGGAATGACTTAGAGGTTTGTTCTCAGGGGTGGGGGGTGGATGCTGCTGCAAAAAGAAAGGAAGGAAAGACAGAGGGAAGGAAGGAGGGAGAGAGGGAGGGAGGAAGAGGACGGAAGGAAGGAAGGAAAAAAATAGGAAGTTTGGTAGAAAGGAAGAGACTGTTCTTGAAGGGACAAGAAAGGGACTGTTTGGCAGAAAGGAAACACACACTCCAGGGACAGAAAAACATATGTTTTATTCTCTTTATTCCCTGCATCTCTCTTGTGTTCTCACTGCCACATGCAGCTCAGCCTCGGCTGCACAGCCAGGTGTCAGGTGCGTCTCTGCTGATCTGAGTCTGCCTGCAGCATGGACCTGGGTCTTCCCTGAAGCATCTCCAGGGCTGGAGAATCACTGACCATGGTAAGGACCCCGCAACGCTGAGCTGATGGATGGGCTGAAGGAGGGAGGGAGACCCCATGGGGAGGCTCTGAGCGGGAGGAGGTCACCCTCGCCTGAAAGGGGCTGACTCCGGAAGGCATCAGGTCTATTTGCTGTTGTGTCCCGGCTCTCGGTAAGATAAAGACAGATCAGGCAGACAGTGGCCTGGGGGCAGGGAGACCCCATTTCTCTCTGAAATGTCTGCAGAGAGCCTGGTGCCCACCCCCATCTCAGCCCTGGGGAAATGAGAGCCAGCCTCCTGGGGAGGGCAGTTTCCGTTCCTGTGGGCTGCGGATGAGATAACCCCATGACAAGAAAGACCCAGCCTCTGAGGGGCCACACCCTGTGTGTCTCTCTGTCCTGCCAGCACCAACGGCTCATCCATTTGCAAAGCTGAAAGGAGGCAGAGGAGACGCCATGACCGCCGCCCTCACAGCCTTGCTTTGCTTTGCTTTGGTGAGATTTGAAGAGGAGAGAGGAAACCCCACAGGCCCTGGTCCATCAAGAGATCCCAGGGCTTTAGGGAGCTCCCAGGCAGGGGAGGACTTGCTCAGGCTTCACGGGGCAAATCCCTCACTGGGAATTCTCTTCCAGGGCTGAGTCTGGGCCCCAGGACCCGCATGCAGGCAGGTGAGTCTGTCCCCAGCTCTCCCAGGTCCCTCCTCCTCACCCTGGACAGTTGGGGATGGAGACAGCAGTTCTGGGCAGGCAGCTGGGATGATCTGAGGGGTGGGGAAGGTCTTGGGATCCAGGCTTTGATTTCCTTCCATGTACTCTCCCCAGGCCCACCCTCTGGGCTAAGCCAGGCTCTGTGATCAGCTGGAGAAGCCCCATGACCATGTGGTGTCAGGGGACCCTGGAAGCCCAGGAGTACCATCTATATAAAGAGGGAAGCACAGAGCCCTGGGACAGAACGAATCCACTGGAGACCAGGAACAAGGCCAGATACTCCATCCCATCCATGACACAGCACCATGCAGTGAGATATCAGTGTTACTATCTCAGCCCTGCGGGCTGGTCAGAGCCCAGTGACCCCCTGGAGCTGGTGATGACAGGTGAGAGGACACTCAGGGGTCCCAGCCCCAGGCTCTGCCCTCAGGAAGGGGGTTGGCTCTCAGGGGTGTCTCCCTCTCACAGCCCAGCCCTGGGGATGATGTGGGAGGTGGGAGCCCCATTTAACATGGTGCCTCCTTCTCTCCTAGGATTCTACAGCAAACCCACCCTCTCAGCCCTGCCCAGCCCTGTGGTGGCCTCAGGAGGGAAAGTGACCCTCCGATGTGGCTCACAGAAGGGATATCACCATTTTGTTCTGATGAAGGAAGGAGAACACCAGCTCCCCCGGACCCTGGACTCACAGCAGCTCCACAGTGGGGGGTTCCAGGCCCTGTTCCCTGTGGGCCCCGTGACCCCCAGCCACAGGTGGAGGTTCACATGCTATTACTATTATATGAACACCCCCCAGGTGTGGTCCCACCCCAGTGACCCCCTGGAGATTCTGCCCTCAGGTGAGGGAGCCACGGCCTTCTCTAACACACTTTCCGGACAGCTGACAGGTTGTGGGGAGTTTGGCTGGTGACTGAATCTGGAAAGGACCCACAGTGATGTGTTGATGGATGGGCTGAAGGCATGAGGGAGACCCCATGGGGAGGCTCTGACATGGGAGGACAGAGCTCTCCCCCTGTCCTGGCCCCTGGAGAGACCCTGACCCTCCAGTGTGGCTCTGATGTCGGCTACGACAGATTCACTCTGTACAAGGAGGGGGAATGTGACTTCCTCCAGCGCCCTGGCCAGCAGCCCCAGGCTGGGCTCTCCCAGGCCAACTTCACCCTGGGCCCTGTGAGGGGCTCCCACGGGGGCCAGTACAGATGCTCCGGTGCACACAACCTCTCCTCCGAGTGGTCGGCCCCCAGTGACCCCCTGGACATCCTGATCGCAGGTGAGGAGCCCAGCGGGTTCAGTCAGGGACCCGGGCTCGGCACAGGCATTGCCGGGGGAGCCCAGGTGGTGATGGCCGGGATGAGGGGTGGGGGTCCCAAGGGAGGGAGAGACAGACAGAGACAGGGGATGGGGGGAGGGGGAGACTCAGAAAACAGACACAGAGACTGAGGGTCCCAGGGAGAGGTCTGGGGAGGTCTCAGCTCAGAACAAGGTGGGGCAGCCCCTCACCCATCTGTCTTCTGTCCAGGACAGATCCCTGGCAGACCCTCCCTCTCAGTGCAGTTGTGGCCCACAGTGGCCTCAGGAGAGAACGTGACCCTGCTGTGTCAATCACAAGAGTGGATGCACACTTTCCTTCTGACCAAGGAGGGGGCAGCCCATCCCCTGCTGTGTCTGAGATCAAAGTACGGAGCTCATAAGTACCAGGCTGAATTCCCCATGAGTCCTGTGACCTCAGCCCACACGGGGACCTACAGGTGCTACGGCTCACTCAGCTCCGACCCCTACCTGCTGTCTCACCCCAGTGGCCCCGTGGAGCTCGTGGTCTCAGGTGAGGGCGCTGACCCTGTCCTCTCTGAGCTCAAAGGCTCAGCTCAGGCCCTGCCCCCAGCAGAGCTCTGGACACTAAGGAAAGAGGGGAGTGAAGGGAGAGGGTCCGCAGGGGAGGGTCCAGCCCATGGGAAGATGGAAATAGACAGGGACCTCCCACCCCTGGCTCCCACCCCTGAAGTCTCAGTAGAGTAAAGTGCAGGGAGGGCTGGGAGGAGACGGGGGGTGAACCTCAAAGGAGTTGAGATTAGACTGAGGGTGGAAGACGGAGGCCCCACCTGCTCCCATCCTGGTGTCTCCACCTCAGAATCAGAGCCTCTGTGTCCCAGTCCCCAACAGACGCCCTCCTGGAGAGAGAAGCATCCAGGCTGCCGGTGCCACCTGCATCCACCCCCGACCCCCCCCCACCCCGCCCCACTTCCTGCTTTCCCCTGCAGCCTCCCCAGCACTCAGCGCACACCTGAGCCTCACAGGGACTTGCACGTGCTCCCGCAGCAGCTCAGGGAATGTGCACCGCTCCTCTTCTGCGCCGTTGACATTTTTTATTTGGGTTTTTAAAATCTCATATTGGCCTTTTTGTCCAAGCTGGTGAAAGTAGATTTGCAGCATCACCTATTTTTATTCTCACCCGGTTTCGTAATAGCCCTGATCTCACGTGCTCCCTGAGGTTTTGTAAACTTCAGGTAGAAATGTGGACTTCCTTCGTTCTGGACATTTGCTATGGAGGGGGTAGGGCTTATCTTTTCAGAAAAAGTCAAATGACTGGTACCACTCCTTGAAACCCTACAGCACTTTCCAGACCTCAGAGGGAGGGAGAGAGAGGCAGAGACAGAGACAGAGAGACAGAGAGAGAGATATTGGGGCCGCTCTTTCCTGGCCGGTTCATCCTGGCCTATTCTCAATCCACCAAGGCCCCGAAGCTCATCTCCCCTCCTCCTCTGCCTCCTCCTCCACCCTGTAGACAAGCGGCCATTCCTTTCTGAAGAACAGGCTGAGACCTTTCTGGGACCTGCTCTTTCTGGAGCCTCTGTTGCTCCCTGTCTGGGTCTCCACACGCCTCCTTCCTGGCCCTTTTTCCTATTGAGGAATCAGCTTCAATGTCACCTCCAAGTGTGACCTTCACTGACGACACAGCTCAGCCCAGTCCTGCCTGCTTCTCATTTATGTCAAGTAATTAACCAACCTACACCATGCGGCTGAATTCCTTCTCTCTCTCTTCCACTCTCTGCATATACGTGTGTGTGTGTGTGTGCGCGTGTGTGGTCACACCAACATCTTACGTGACATTGAAACCTAGTTATCCGTATATCTATACAAATAATATATATTCACACATAAATATAGGTCTCTACCAATATATCTAAAACCATTGCTACGACTAGTAAATTTCCACTGCTGTGTTTCTATATGTTTGCTGTTTGTCTCCAGGTGAACCCACACTTCAAGAAGGCAGAGATAGTTTTTAAGGCCCACTATATATATAAAACAGATATATATTTGTGTTTGTGTTTTTCTGTGTGTGTATCACATTCTACCTGTTGCTGCCTATACGAATAATTAGCTACCTAGAGATTAAATGGACAATGAAACTCCAGGTGAAGTGGCTGAGGGCATGAAGGGGAGGCAGCCCCAGAATTTCACCCCTTTGTGCTTCTGACATTGAGGCTCCCCTGATGACTAACCCTCATCCACGGAGCCTGGGTCCTCAGCTGGTGGATCCGTGAAACTCTCATCTCCGGGGGAGTTGGCTCATGTTCTCCTGTGTCCCAGGCTGCACAGAGAGCACACAGGCCTTAGTGACCTCTGTACTGGGGACCACTTTCCTTGCAGATCCTGAGCTCTCAGGATGCAGGAAAACTCTCTCCCAGATGACTCAGGAGCAATGTTTAAATCCATAGAACACAGGAAAACTGAAATCGTTCAATGAGGAGACTAGAGGGAATCCTGCTAGCGGAGGAAGAGGTTTTTTTTTTTTTTTTTTAGAAATTCTGTAAAAGTCACATCATGAGACATTAAGTAATAAAAAAAAAATTGCAGAGCCCAGGTGAGAGGCTGGGCTCAGGTCTCTTTTTCTCTGTTTTGATTCTCTGGAGCAGCTGATACCCTCAGCCCATCACAAAACAAGTCTGACTCTGAGACTGGTATGTGAGGAGATACTCTCAGTGATGGGGCTGGCACTGAGGGTTGGGTCCTGTGAAGGGGAGGTGGGTGCCCTGGGTGGACAATCTGATCCACCCTGACCTCTGTGACCTCTTTGTCCACCATCCCCAGCCTCACACCTTCAGGATTACGCAGTGGAGAATCTCATCCACATGGGCGTGGCTGGCTTGATCCTGGTGGTCCTCGGGATTCTGTCATTTGAGGCTTGGCACAGCCAGAGAAGCTTCCCAAGATGCAGCCGGGAGGTGAACAGCAGAGAGGATAATGTACTTTATAGAGTCGTGAAGCCTCAGGAACAGATCTGATGATCCCAGGAGGTTCTGGAAGAAAATCTAGGGCCGATGCTATCTGGACTGTCTGCTGGTCATTTCCAGAGGAAGGAATCAATGTCCGAGTGCAGGGACATTTTCTGGGGTGATCCATGGAGAACCATTAAAATGTGATACCTTTCCTCTCCATTAATGTTGACTTTCCTTGGTTGGATCTGCCTCTTTTCCCACACTTAGACATGAGGCTCCATCCCACATGGCAGCGTTGGGTCCACACCTCTGCACACCTGCATGCTCTGGTCCATGGCGTGTCACACAGTCCTCTTCATTTCTCATTGCCACACTTCCTGGTGTACTTTACTGGGTCTTCATGTCTTCAGTTCAGAGTTCCGCACCTGGTTTAGGAACTAATTCAACGGGAGAAGATCAGAGTCCGACCAGGAAAAGATAAATGCACCGTGATGCCCTCACCTCCTGTGTGGACCCTATGAGCTCTTCCCTCCTTATCAGATGCTATCTGTGTAGTTTCTCCTGAAATATCACCACCTGGAATCAACACACTGGCATTTGAAGTCACGACCCAATGGTATGCTAATTCTGAAAAAGACATTTTTTGAAATGCTATGATTAGTGGCATTTACCAATTTCCTTGACGTAAATTCTTTTTTCATGGCCATAATCAAGATGCCAACGAGACATCCCTGAATGCAGGGTTGGGAAGCGTTGGACAGACTTGTCTTCACTCATAAGCACCAGGCATCTGATAGCTCACGTATACATCTTATTACCTTCCATTTTAGAGTGAATAATCATTTCTACTTCAGTATTTTGGCACAGGTAAAAGCAGTCCCATTACTGCGCGTATACCCAAAGGAATATAAATCATTCTATTGCAAAGATACATGCACACATGTGTTCATCGCAGCACTATTCACAATAGCAAAGACATAGAATCAACCCAAATGCCCATCAATGATAGACTGGATAAAGAAAATGTGAGACATATACACCACGGAATACTATGAAGCCATAAAAAGAAACAAGATCATGTCCTTTGCAGGGACATGGATGGAGCTGGAAACCATTATCCTCAGGAAACTAACACAGGAACAGGAAATCAAACGCTGCATGTTCTCACTTACAAGTGGGTGCTGAACAATGAGAATGCGTGAACACAGGGAGGGGAACAACACACACTGGGGCCTGTCGGGGGGGGGGTGGGGTAGGGGTAGGGAGAGCATTAGGAAAAATAGCTAATGTATGCTGGGCTTAATACCTAGGTGATGGGTTGACAGGTGCAGGAAACCACCATGGCGCACATTGACCTATGCAATAAGCCCACACATTCTGCACATGTACCCCGGAACTTAAAATAAAAATAAAAATTAAAATTAAATTATGACACCATGATCCTAGCATATCCAAAAAAGACAAAAATGCCAATATCAAATGTCGGAGAAAATAGGGCTGAATTAAAAATCCAATACAACGCCGGGCGCAGTGGCTCACGCCTGTAATCCCAGCACTTTGGGAGGCCAAGGTGGGTGGATCACTTGAAGTCAGGAGTTTGAGACCAGCCTGGCCAAACGTGGTGAAACCCTGCCTCTACTAAAAATACAAAAATTAGCCGGGTGTGGTGGCACTCGCCTGTAGTCCTAGCTACTAGGGAGGCTGAGGCAGGAGAATCACTTGAACCCGGGAGGCGGAGGTTGCAATGAGCTGAGATCATGCCACTGAACTCCAGCCTGGGTGACAGAGCGAGACTCCGTCTCAAAAAAAAAAACAAAAAAAAAAAACCCTCAAAAGCTCAGGCAGCAAAAGCAAAAATAGGCAAATGAGATCATAGCAAACTGCAAACCTTCTGCACAATCAAGGAAACAAACAGCAGAGTGAAGAGACCACCTACAGAATGGGAAAGAATATTTGCAAGCAAGAGATTAATCTCCAGAAAATACAAGGAGCTCAAACAATGCAGAGGTTTTGAAGGATGGTGATGAGAAGGTTCTGCTACTTACAGAAAGGAAGTTTAGGAGAAACAAAACCACAAACCTAGGTGGTGGGATGGCTTGATCTGCTTCTGTCTGTGACTCACTTAACAGTCTTAAACACATCTCCCTAAGCCTCCTTCCCCCGGTGGGATTCCTGGGTCTTGTGAGGACCTCATCGGTCCCTCTGGTAAACCCAGGCACAGAGTGGAGCAGCTCTTGTTTTCTCAGGATCTTCCCCTTCACATACAATTAACGCACCCACACGATGCTACTCTTAGAACCCTTCAAATAAATGTTTCCCGGTTCATTCACTACCAGAATCCAAGCTCAGCTTGTTCCCCAGCTTAGGACTGAGTGGTATCTTGGAGGTAGTTTCCACCATAGCCCCCTTCCTCTGCTATAAGGCTCAGTGACACACCAGAGACACCCCCTCCAGCCAGGCTCCTGGAAGGTCTGGATGAAGACTGGGATGCTGAGGCATTGCTCAGCAATGTGGCTTAACTCAAACTTCTATGTGAAACTTCCAACCACTTTCAGCAAGGGGTCACTTCCAGCGTCTTGGGGTGTGAGGGCACTTTGGTTGGTCCCTGCAATATCAGACCCTATAAAGATCCTACAAACATGTTGCAGACTCTTTGAAGATTCTGGCACTTTCAGACATGCTGTTGGGAAATGGTGACACCCATAACCTTCTAGTTCCAGGACAGGGAGCCTTAGCCCAGGGCTATGTTTTCTGAGGGTCCTCAAAGTAAACAGTTCTATGTGCCAGGAGAACCCTAAATCTCATATGGTTCTAAGGGCAGAAAGCCACACACGCACCGGCAAAAAGCAAGAGATTCAAGGAAAAGCTGAGCAAAGACAGACAGGAAAACACACACATGATGAGCCAGCTTGTAGAGCTAGAACTGAGATGGAGAGAGGCACGAGTGGGTAACAGAGTGTGCTCCCCAGAACAGGTGGAGAGAATGCCTTTTTCATGCCCTGAGGATAGGCTGGGTAAGGCTTGTGCTCGACAGTCAAGGACTATTTTTTTCCCCAGGCGTCTACAAGAGACCTTCCTTCTCAGCTCAACTGTGCCCTGCAGTAAGTAATGATGGAGAGAATGTGACTTTGCTCTGCAGCTCTGGAAGCTCATTTGACCTGTGCCTTCTAACGAGGAAGGTAAGGCCCCTGGACACTGGCTCACTGGGGTGCAGAGACAGAGTGGGGCATTCAGGCCAACTTCTCTCTGGGTCTTGGGGCTGGTGATGGGACCTCTAGATGCTGCAGCTCTCTGTCGATGGCTCTGCCTGTGAGTGATCAGCCCTAGATGACCACTGTTACTGGGGGTAGCCCATGCCTGCTGCATGCCCTGTGAAACACTAAATCATATAGCCACGTCTGAGGGACAGCCTGCTGGAGACATGGGAATCTTAGGGATTCCAGACAAAATGAAGCAATGAGAAACACAAAGAGGAAAAGAGAGGTTGAGTATGACAGTGGTGTCAGGGTGTAGGGTGGTAGACAGGGCAGCTCCACACTCTCCACTGCTTCCTGTCTGGAGGCCCACTTTGGGGTCCTACTTATCCAGGTGAGTGAAGGAAGAGGTCAGGACAAACACAGGAGGTGAAGCCAGATACAGTGTGGGGAGATAAGCAGTGGCCTCAGCCTCTAGCCCTTTTCCATCTTCCAGAAGCCCCTCCTGAGCTCTCATCACAGACAGATTTCCCATTTGGAAACCCAGATATTTATCATGCCGGGGGGGGGAGGCAATGTCTCTTGATTATGGGGACTTTCCATCACCAGGCACCTGCTAGTCCTCTCTATACCTTCCCTTCAGGAAAGGAATTGTCCCTCATGGGATTCCAGGGAAGAGACCCCAGGACCCCTATCAGTCACTAGGGAGATGACAGAGTAGAGGAAGTCAGGGGACCAACCCTCCACAGAGAATGGTCCTACTTCAGTGGGGTGAGGGAAACTCTCACTCATCCATTTGCTGTCCTGTTACCTCGGAACCCTAAGAGAACTTGTTAGTCACACACAGAATCTACCCCTGAATGTGGTGTGCAAAGTGGGGCTCTTAGCCTCCAGTGTGAAGTCCCTGGGAAGATGGAATGTCCCTGTGTGAGTGAAGGCTGTGCCACCGCCCAGCTATGTGGCCTTGGGCTAGGCAACCCCTCCCAGGTCCCCAGTTCCCCATCTGCATCGGAGACTGTGGCCAGTGCGGGAATCCACAAGGCCCTTCAGCCTCCAAAGCTCTGGGACAGAGGCCTCGTCCACAGGGAGGAAGGGGTCAGAGTGACCTGAGTCCCTACTCAGGAGCGAGTCTAATCCACTCTCCATCGGGGCCTGTGGGGAAGGGAAGATGAAGAAACGGAGCCTGCACCTGGCTATGTGGGCGCAGTAGATTAAGGGGAGGATGAGGGTTCCTGAGAGTGTGTCATGTGGCAGAGACCCTGCAGCACACTCAGGAAGGGCTCTGGAAGGATCCAAGGAAATTTTCCAAGAAGAGGGCAGAGTAAGTGACAGAGACCCTCAACCATGGATTTCACTGAGGTGCCCATGATGACATAGGGAGAACGGGGGTGTCTGGGCAGGAAGAATATCGTCAGGGTGAAATGAATGGTGATGAGCTTCGTGTCAGAGCTCCTGTGGAGGGAGGGGCCTGGCCCACATGAAAAGGTCTCTGATCCTACCCCAGCCCCCAGCCCCTGTTCTCCAGGATGACACTGTGGGAATTCCATCAGGAGGGGTGTGATAGGGCTGGTCTTCCTGGCTCGATTCACAACACTGGCTGGGGACTGGGAACCCATGGGGAGCCACAGGTGGAAAGGGAGGAGCCTCAGTGAACCCAGCAGGAACAAACATAGGGTCTGACATGATGGAACTCACTTCCTGGAGGCCAAGAAAGACACTTGCGGGACAAAAGGGAAAGAGCGGTGGCTTGCTTAGTTCCATTCACTGACAACCCACAGGAGATGTCCAGTCCTTTTTTGATTTATTATTTTATTTTATTATATTTTATTTTATTTTATTTTATTTTCACATGGAGTTTTGCTCCTATTGGCCAGGCTGGAGTGCAATGGCACGATCTTGACTCACTGCAACCTCCACCTCTCAGGTTCAAGCGATTCTCCTGCCTCAGCCTCCTGCATAGCTGGGATTACAGGCGACTGCCACCACAGCCAGGTAATGTTTGTATTTTTAGTAGAGATGAGGTTTTGCCATCTTGGCCAGGCTGGTCTCAAACTCCTGATCTCATGTGATCCGCCTGTATCAGACTGCCAAAGTGTTGGGATTACAGGCGTGAGCCACCACACCCAGCCTTTTGTATTTTTAGTAGAGATGGGGTTTCACCATGTTGGTCAGGCTGGTCTTAAACTCCTGACCTCAGGTGATCCATCCACCTCGGCCACCCAAAGTGCTGGGAGTACAGATGTTAGCCACCGTACCCAGCGAGAGTTTCAGTGCTCTATCGGATTCCCTGCCTACTCCATGTTGCATGTAATGTTCCACCTCAGGGATGTTTCTCTCCTTTCTGTCTCCTTCCTCTTCTCCTTCTCCTTTTTTCTTTCTAATTTTTATTTTTTTGAGACAGAGCCTTGCTCTGTTACCCAGGCTAGAGTACAGTGGCACGATCCCAGCTCACTGCAACCTCTGCCTCCTGGGTTCAAGAGATTCTCCTGACTCAGCCTCTCAAGTAGCTGGGATTACAGGCACCCGCCATCACACCCAGCTAGTTTTTGTATTTTTAGTAGAGACGAGGTTTCACCATGTTGGCCAGACTGGTCTTGAACTCCTGCCCTCAGGTAATCCACCCGCCTGTGGCCCCCCAAAGTGCTGGGATTACAGGCGTGAGTCACCACTCCCAGCCCTGAATGATCTTTCCTCTTTAGTGTGTTCTCACAACCACCTCTCACTGAGCTTTCTTGTTTTTTGTTTTTGTTTTTGTTTTTGTTTTTGTTTTTGGCAGAGTCTGGCTTTGTTGCCTATGCTGGAGTGCAGTGGTGCAATCTCAGCTCACTGCAACCTCCGTCTCCTGGGTTCAAGCGATTCTCCCACCTCAGCCTCCTGAGTAGCTGGGATTACAGGCACCCACCACCACACCCAGCTAATTTTTGCATTTTTAGTAGACACAGGGTTTCACCATGTTGGTCAGGCTGGTCTCGAACTCCTGACCTTGTGATCTGCCAGCCTCAGCCTCCCAAAGTGCTGGAATTACAGGCATGAGCCACCACTCCCAGCCCTGGATTATCTTTCCTCTTTAGTGTGTTCTCACAACTACCTCTCACTGCTGGGTTTTCTCTCTTTCTTTTTTTTTTTTTTTTTTTTTTTTTTTGAGACAGTCCGGCTTTGTTGCCCAGGCTGGAGTGCAGTGGCGCGATCTCGGCTCACTGCAAGCTCCACCTCCCAGGTTCAAGCGATTCTCCCACCTCAGCCTCCCTAGTAGCTGGGATTACAGGCGCATGCCAGCACACCCAGCTAGTTTTTGTATTTTTAGTAGAGACAGGGGTTTCACCATGTTGGTCAGGCTGGTCTTGAACTCCTGACCTTGTGATCTTCCTGCCTCGGCCTCCCAAAGTGCTGGGATTACAGGTGTAAGCCACTGCACCCAGCCAGCTTTCTCATTCTTATCCCTTAGTTCTCTGCCAGGGAATAAGATAGAAACCATTCCCTCAACCACATTCTAGTCATGGTCCCTATTCTCATGTTTCCACTTCTCTCTCTTTGGTAATAAATCAATTAATTGAGAAACAAGTAGCTAAATGTTCATCTTCTGCTAGTCTGCATCCCCTTATTTTCCCAGAGCCTCCCCTAATGAAACTGACTTTATTTACTGAACGCAGGAAATGGGTCTCTCCAGATCAGGATGACTTTCTGCTGGGAAATATTTGTCTTTGCATCAGTGGGGAAAAAGAAAGCCGATGTCATGAGTGGAGGCTCTGAGAAAATAAGGGCTGTGTTTTCAGTTTAGACCCAGCTAAGTTGGGAGCTGACATAGATATGATGTTGGGTCCACCCTCCACGGGCAGGTTTTCAGACAAAGGATCCCTGGCAATCAGGGGACACCTCAGGTCTGGGCTGAGATGTGTGCAGAGGGCCTGGGTCCTCCTGAGCCCCTGCACTGGGGGGGGAATAAGAGACAGGCCCAGCAAGGGGCTGTCCACTTCCTGTGGGTTCACAGCTGTGGGGACCCAGGCAGGCGGCAGCAGGCTCTGACTTAACCACATCCGTGCATCTGTCTGTCATGGAGGGCCATGTGGTCACCTGTCCCACAGCTGGAGCACGCAGAGCAGGCATCATGGTGTCCATCCTCACTGTTCTTCTGTGCCTCAGTCAGTGGTGGAGAGACGAGGGACAGGAGGGGCACTGGGCTGAGGTGGGGAGGGTCCCACAGCAGCCTTGTTCACCAGAGAGCCTCAGGGCTCCAGTGGCTACTGGTGCTCCAACAGGAAGGGAAGCAGCCACACCTCTGTGTTCCAAATCCCCCACAGGAAACTCTTCTCCATGGCTGAGTCTGGGCCAGAAAGCCCAAGCACTTGCAGGTGAGTCTCTGCTAACCTCCCATGCCTGACCTCACACTCAGCACCTGGACTCTCATCTCAGGGGCTTCTGAACTGAGGGTGAGAAAATCAAGAGGGTCTGTGACCTGAGCTGGGAATGAGGAGCGGGGGAGGTCTGTGGACCCCAGCCTGTGGTTTCTTCCAGGGACCCTCCCCAAACCCAGCCTCTGGGCTGAGCCAGGCTCTGTGATTACCTGGGAGAGCCCCATGACCCTCTGGTGCCAGGGGACCCTGGATACCCAGGGTTACTATCTCACCAAGGAAGGAAACCCCATGACCTGGTACCAACAGAGCCCACCAGAGCCCAGGAACAAGACCAACTTCTTCATCCCATCCATGAGAGAGCACCATGCAGGGAGATACCACTGTCACTATCTCAGCCCTGCAGGCTGGTCAGAGCGCAGCGAGCCCCTGGAGCTGGTGGTGACAGGTAAGAGGACACTCAGGGGTCCCAGCCCCAGGCTCTGCCTGCAGGAAGGGGGTCAGCTCTCAAGGGCATCTCCGTTCTAATAACTCAGCCCTGGGGGATGATGTGGGACGCGTGAGCCCCATTTAAGACAGTGTCTCCTTCTCTCCTAGGAGCCCACAGAAAACCCACTCTCTCAGCCCTGCCGAGCCCTGTGGTGACCTCAGGAGAGAACGTGACCATCCAGTGTAGCTCAAGGGTGGGATTTCACAGGTTCATTTTGATTGAGGAAGGAGAAAACAAGCTCTCCTGGATGCTGGACTCACAGGAACTCTCCAAGGGGCTGTCCCTTGTCCCTGGCCCTGTTCCCTGTGGGCCGTGTGGCTGCCAGTCACCGGTGGATGTTCAGATGCTATGGGCATTACACGAACTTCCCCTGGGTGTGGTCGGAACCCAGTGATACCATGGAGATCCTGGTCTTAGGTATGGATGTCTTCCTCCTTGCCCTATTTATTTTTGAGAACTTACTCTCACGGAGCCCCATGTAGGAGGGTGGAACAAGGGAAGTTTGGGACTCCTGAGCCCAGAGACACTGAGTGTGAGAGACAGTGAGACCTGCAGGGCCAGGAGGGGAGAAGGAAGGGGTGTGGGAGGAACCAGCCCTCCTAGTCCCGACTCTTCTTTCCCTCCAGGCGTGTCTAGGAAGCCCTCCCTCCTGACCCTGCAGGGCCCTGTCGTGGCCCCTGGGGAGAATCTGACCCTCCAGTGTGGCTCTGATGTCGGCTATGACAAATTCACTCTGTACAAGGAGGGGGGACATGACCTCGTCCAGGGCTCTGGCCGGCAGCCCCAGGCTGGGCTCTCCCAGGCCAACTTCACCCTGGGCCCTGTGAGGGTCTCCCACGGGGGCCAGTACAGATGCTACGGTGCACACAACCTCTCCTCCGAGTGGTCGGCCCCCAGTGACCCCCTGAGCATCCTGATCGCAGGTGAGGAGCCCAGCAGGTTCAGTCAGGGACCCAGGCTCCGCACAGGCCCTGCTGGGGGAGCCCAGGTGGTGATGGCCGGGATGAGGGGTGGGGGTCCTAAGGGACGGAGAGACAGACAGAGACAGGGGATGGGCGGGGAGGGGGAGACTCAGAGAAAACAGAGACAGAGACACTGAGGGTCCCAGGGAGAGGCCTGGGGAGGTGTCAGCTCAGAACGAGGTGGGGCAGCCCCTCACCCATCCTTCTTCTCTCCAGGACAGATCCGTGGCAGACCCTCCCTCTCGGTGCAGCCGGGCCCCACGGTGGCCTCAGGAGAGAACGTGACCCTGCTGTGTCAGTCACGGGAGCAGTTGGACACTTTCCTTCTGACCAAGGAGGGGGCAGCCCATCACCCACTGCGTCTGAGATCAGAGCACCAAGCTCAGCAGCACCAGGCTGAATTCCCCATGAGTCCTGTGACCTCAGCCCACGCGGGGACCTACAGGTGCTACAGCTCACGCAGATTCTTCCCCTACCTGCTGTCTCACCCCAGTGACCCCCTGGAGCTCGTGGTCTCAGGTGAGGCCGCTGACCCTGTCCTCTCTGAGCTCAAACCTCAGCTCAGGCCCTGCCCCCAGGAGAGCTCAGGACGCTAAGGAAAGAGGGGAGTAAAGGGGGAGGGTCGGCAGGGGAGGGCCCAGCCCATGAGAGGGTGGAAATAGTCAGGGACCTCCTAATCCTGGGCTCCCACCCCAGAGACCTCAGATGGGGCTAAAGGCCAGGGAGGGCTGAAATGAGATATGGAGAAACCTTGGAGGAATCATGCTTAGGCTGAGGGTAGAAGATGGAGGCCCCACCCACTCCCCACCTGGGCTCCCCTGGCGGCCCCAAAATACTCAGTGCATACCTGAGACGAAGGGGAGATCATGCACCTGCTCACTGCAGCAATGCAGGCAAATTATTCAACAGCAAACCTCGTGTGCAATTCCTTTCTGTCCTTTATTTTTTATGTCCACATATCTAGTTTCTCTTTCTGTTTCTGAAGATTTCAAAGCAATGCTGGCATTTATAATTTACACATTTAATTTGTTAGGTAGCGTTATGATGTAAAATAACTGTGCTCTGATTTTCTTTGGGATTAAATTAAATATGTGCATTCATGATGGAGAATAACTTCTCATTAATAATGTCTTTGTATCCAATACATTTAAAATTAAACTTTATACAGTTAGCAGATGCTTGAAGTTGTATTCATAAAAATTGTGGACATTGTGAATTTTAAGCATTGTTTTACTACTTGAATAATTTGAAAGTCTTTGATTCCTTTCTATTTTCTAAAATTAGTTACGTATGGATGAGAAAGCTATTGGTTTGGGTATGCTAATTTTAGTTCCTATTAACTTACCACAGACACACTCCCTTTCAATCCTTTCCGAAATGATCTCTTCTGATTTATTGATAATAATTACATTAACCACAAGAAAATGGAGGACAAACTTGTTTGTTTCTAAATTATATAATACTCTTCTCACTTCAAATATATATGTATGTGTTTATATATACTCACACACTATTATATATCTTATAATATATATTATGTATTATATATTTATATATACACTATTATATATCTTATATATTATGTATTATATATTTATATATACCCACACATTATTATATCTTATAATATATATTATGTATTATATATTTATATATACCCACACATTATTATATCTTATAATATATATTATGTATTATATATTTATATATGCACTATTATATATCTTATATATTATGTATTATATATTTATATTACCCACACATTATTATATCTTATAATATATATTATGTATTATATATTTATATATACACACACTATTATATATCTTATTATATATTATGTATTATATATTTATATATACTATTATATATCTTATAATATATAATGTATTATATATTTATATATACACACACTATTATATATCTTATATATTATGTATTATATATTTATATATACATACTATTATATATCTTATAATATATTATGTATTATATATTTATATATATACACTATTATATATCTTATTATATATTATATATTTATATATGCACACACTATTACATATCTTATTATATATTTATATGTATACACACACTATTATATATCTTATTATATATTATGTACTATATATTTATATATACTATTATATATCTTATAATATATAATGTATTATATATTTATATATACACACACTATTATATATCTTATATATTATGTATTATATATTTATATATACATACTATTATATATCTTATAATATATTATGTATTATATATTTATATATATACACTATTATATATCTTATTATATATTATATATTTATATATGCACACACTATTACATATCTTATTATATATTTATATGTATACACACACTATTATATATCTTATTATATATTATGTACTATATATTTATATATACTATTATATATCTTATAATATATAATGTATTATATATTTATATATACACACACTATTATATATCTTATATATTATGTATTATATATTTATATATACATACTATTATATATCTTATAATATATTATGTATTATATATTTATATATACACACTATTATATATCTTATTATATATTATATATTTATATATGCACACACTATTACATATCTTATTATATATTTATATGTATACACACACTATTATATATCTTATATATTATATATTTATATATACTCACACTATATCTTATAATACATATTATGCATACACATATGCATAATACATATTATCTATACACATATGCATAATACATATTATGTATACACATATGCATAACACATATTATGTATACACACATATTTACACCTATGCATATATGTATGTATGTATGCGAATGTACCTCTGCCACGGCAGGGAAAGGTTCTATCACACAACTACAGAGCAGTTAGGAGAAGTGTAGACACAAAGGAATGCAGCAACTGAGGGACATGTTGGCTTAAGTCTCTTCAACTCCTCACACACCTCCCCCTTTTTTGGTTGATTCTCAGGAGCAGCTGAGACCCTCAGCCCATCGCAAAACAAGACAGACTCCAAGACTGGTGTGTAAGGAGATGCTCTCGGTTATGGGGCTGGCACAGAGGGTCAGGTCCTGTGAAGGGGAGGTGGGTGCCCTGGGTGGACATCCAGGGGTCCCGGGTGATGTTGATCTGCCCTGACCTCTGAGACCTCTTGGTCCACCATCCCCAGCCTCACACCCCCAGGATTACACAGTGGAGAATCTCATCCGCGTGGCTGTGGCTGGCTTGGTCCTGGTGGTCCTCGGGATTCTGCTGCTTTAGGACTGGCACAGCTAGAGAAGTCCCCAAGATGCAGCAAGGAGGTAAATACATGAGAGAACAATGCACCCTTCAGAGTGCCAGAGCCTTGGCAATGAATCTGATAGTCCTAGGAGGTTCTGGAAGAAAGTCTGGACCATCATTCGGGAAACCGTCTACTGAGAAAGTCGAGAAGGGGAGGCTTGGGTCAGGTTCAGGAAGATGTCTGGGTGCCTGTAGAGAACGCTTCCTCCATTAAACTTCCATTAAATGGCAGTGCTTTCAGTCCTGCTGTTGTGGATCCTCCGTGTCTGCCCCTCCCTTCCTTTCGCTCTCTGTGATGTGAAGGCACGTCCCCCATGGTGGGTTTGCATCCACACCCCTGCGATCACGTGCTCTGGTCCACTGTCATGTAATACATTTGTCTTTGTTTCCAACTACCGCATTCTCTAAAGTGAACTATTGATTCTCCATCTTTTCAGTTCTGAGCATAGATCTGGATTAAATAACTGGAATAGGTGGGCAGATTTGTATTTGGGACTTTGAAACATGAGTCTGAGGCCAGGCACAGTGGCTCACACCTGTAATCCCAGCACTTTGGGAGGCTGAGGTGGGCGGATCACTTGAGGTCAGAAGTTCGAGACCAACCTGGCCAACATGGTGAAACCCTGTCTCTACTAAAAGATACAAAAATTAGCTGGGTGTGGCAGTGAGCACCTGTAATCCCAGCTGCTCAGGAAGCTGAGGCGGGAGAATAGCTTGAACCCGGGAGGCGGAGGTTGCAGTGAGCCAAGATCTTGCCACTGCACTCCAGCCTGGGCAACAGAGCAAGACTCCATCTCCAAAAAAAAAAAAAAAAAGGGAAATATGAGTCTGAAATGATGCCCTAGCACCCTCTCTGGACCCTGAATTCCCTTCACTCTTCATCGGATGATACCTGTGTACTTTGTCCAGAAATATCATCTCTCAGAATGAGCACACTAACGCTCGAAGGCTCAGCCTCATGGTATTCTGTTAAACTGGCTCTCTGAAAAAATTATTTTCTTAAGAAAACTCTGAACATATAAAGCCCCAGATTTATGGTATTTGCTGATTAGTGTGGTATAAATACGTCCTTTATGGCCAACTTCAGGGTGCCCATATGACGCCATTGAATGCACAGTTGGGAAGTAGTCAAAAGAATTGTCGTTCACACGAGTATGAACCAGTTGTAAAGTTTATTTAAAGGTTATAATAATTTCTGCTTCATTCTTATGGTGTAGTTTCAGTAAAATTGTAATGTCAAAAATCATAGCACAATGGAGGGAAAAGAAAAAAATAGGCCGGGTGTGGTGGCTCATGCCTGTAATCCCAACACTTTGGGAGGCCGAGGCAGGAGGATCACCTGAGGTCAGGAGTTCGAGACCAGCCTGGCCAACATGGTGAAACGCTGTCTCTACTAAAAATACAAAAATTAGCCAGACATGGTGGCGCCTGCCTGTAATCCCAGCTACTTGGGAGGCCAAGGCACGAGAATCGCATGAACCCAGGAGGCGGAGGTTGCAGTGAGCCGAGATCACTACAGCCTGGGTGATAGAGCAAGACTCAGTCTCAAGAAAAGAAAAAAGTAGCAAAATCATTTTTTGGAAAGAATATTGAACATGTAGAATTTTAGTACATTAATAGTAAGAGTACAAATTGCTTTAATCAATTAAGGAAGTGTATTGGAATTATCTAGTTAAAAAGAGGAGGCACATGGCTGTGACCCTTCTTAATTATGTACTTAATTATGTACCCTAGAGATAAATGTCTACTTATGTGTCATGATACACTCACAACTGTTATAGGAATGCTGTTCCTATTAGCCAAAGCTATAAAATACCAAAGTCCACCTACGAAAAAAATAAACATAGTGTGGTAAATAGACTCAGTGGAATATTACAAGGTAGTAAAATGCATAAATGAAAATAACAAACAGCACCATACTTCAATTTTCAAGCATAAAGTCAAGTAAATGAAGTATTATTTGAAAATGTGTGCATGGTTATTTCATTACATAAAGGTCAAAAGGAGGGTACATTTATTATTTAGGAAAACACACCTAAGATATCTTTGTAAAATCTGTAAAATCAATAGTACTGTTTCCCCTCTTTCATTCCTTATCTTGAAAATGCTTGTCTCTTTTTCTGCCATGGCTTTCTACCTTGCTTGATATATTACAATTTTGTAACCTGCTTATTTCATCATATGTCATAAGTTCACATGTATATCCCATGAATTATTGAGGGTCTTATTCATTTCAAGTGGCATTTAGGTTTTTAAAAATATCTTTTGGCGACCAGGTGCAGTGGCTCATGCCTGTAATCCCAGCACTTTGGGAAGCCAAGGCAGGTGGATCACGAGTTCAAGAGACAGAGATCATCCTGGCGAACATGGTGAAACCCCGTCTCTACTAAAAATACAAAAAAAAAAAAAAAAATAGCTGGGCATGGTAGAGGGTGCCTGTAGTCCCAGCTTCTCAGGAGGCTGAGGCGGGAGAATGGCATGAACCCGAGAGACGGAGGTTGCAGTGAGCCGAGATCGTGCCACTGCACTCCAGCCTGGCAACAGAGTGAGACTCTGTCTCAAAAAAAAAAAAAAAAGAAAGAAAGAAAGGAAGAAAAAAAAATCTTCTGGCATTAACTATTAAGAAATTGCACTATAAAAAGAGAATATAATGCATAAGACGGCAATTTGAAAAGATTCAGATATAATTTTTTCTTATCTAGTAAATACTTAGTAATTTGTCTAATGCATGCCTTAAATACATACCACTTTATGCAGAGGTTGCCATGAGCCGAGATCGCGCCGTTGCACTCTAGCCTGGGTGGCAGAGCAAGACTCCATCTCAAAAAAAAAAAAGAAAATCTCACAGAAGGAGACCCAGAGCTTCCAGCCTCGCCCAGAGTCTTGGCTCACTCCCTGTGTGTGTGGACCCTAGGGAGCCTCTTCTGTTCCCCACAGAGGTGGAAACTTCCTCCTTAATAACCCCTTGATGGTCCCAGGCACTGGTGACCACTGAGCTTTGCTCTCTCTTTTTTCTTATGGTTCCCTGTCTACTTCCAGGGCTATCACTTTACTTTTTGTGCATTAGACCATGAATAATGTTTTAGAAACATTCTATCAAATTTCTCAGTGCTAGGAACAACTGAGGTTTTTGATTGGGTGCCTCAAATGTCTACCCTTACTGTGGAGTCCGACAACAGGATTCTAACAAGTCCCAACCCCTTCATGCCTTAACCTGGTCTGGAAATAAATTATGTTTAAGCCATCCCATACCCCAGCCACATCAAGCCCCACAACCACTCTGAGAAGTGAGATTTATAGCAAAATGCTCCAAACAAGGTAACTAAGGTTCAGACAAGGGATGTTAATGTGTCCATTTACATAAACAAAAAATGGTAGATGATCAGCTTTCCCTTTGAAATCAGAGTACTAATCTGACTCATTGTTCCCTGAATTTTAGAGGCAGGACCTCAGGAGGAGCTAAGAATCCTACCCCAGGAAAATTACCAATATCAGAAAGGAAACAATGACATCAGTACAGATCCTACAGAATTCAAAAGATTCTAAGTGGACATTATGAAGACATTATTCAGCTTAGATGAAGTGGTCACATATCACAAGAAAACAAACTGTCTAAAACAATCTCTGAAATACCTAGACATTCCCTGAATCATTGAGTTATTAAATAAAATACATTTTAAAATTAAACTCTTTTCAGGAAATAAACTTCAATGTCCCCTAGTGCACTCTCCAAAACATGTAGATGGGAATAAATACTGTTCTGAAAGACATTTCCCTGGAATTACAACCATTCAATATATTTTAAAAGGCAATCATAAAAATATAAAAAGGATATATCAGGAGAAGAAATGTAAATGGCCTAAATTCCCCACATAAAAGGCATAGAGTGGCAACGTGGATAAAAAGCCAAGAGCCAACTGCCTGCTGTCTTCAAGAGACCCATCTCACATGTAATGACACCCACAGGCTCAAAGTAAAAGGATGAAGAAATATTTACTAGGCAACCAGGAAACAAAAAAAAGGAAGGCATTCCTATTCTTATATCACATGAAACACACTTTAAATCAACAGCAATCAGGAAGGACAAAGAAGGGCATTACAAAATGATAAAGGGTTCAATTTGACAGAAGACTTAACTATTCTAAATATATATGCACCCAAATTTGGAGCACCCCGATTCATAAAACAAGTTATTCTTCACCTATGAAAAGAGTTAGACAGCCACACAATAATAGTAAGGGACTTCAGTATCCCACTAACAACGTCAGATGAATCACTAAAACAGAAAACTAACAAAGAAATTCTGGTCTTAAAGACAACACTTGACCAATTGGACCTCATAGACATCTACAGAGTACTCCACCCAACAACTGCAGAATATAGATTCTTCTTATCTGCACACACAAAAAACATATCATATTCTAAGACTGGCCACAAAGCAAGTCTCAATAAATTCAAAGAATCAAAATCATAACAAGGCACACAATAAAAATAGAAAAAAATACCAAGATGATCTCTCAAAACTACAGAAAAACATGGAAATTTAACAACTTGTTTCTGAATGAATATTAAGAGCCATCTATGACAAATCCACAGCCAACATCATATTGAATGGTCAAAAGCTGGAACTGTACCCCTTGAGAACTCTTGGGTGAACAATGAAATTAAAGCAGAAATCACAAAACATTATTTAAAATTAATAAAAATAGAAACAAACTTACCAAAACCTTTGGGATGCAGTTAAAGCAGTGATAAGAGGAAAATTTATAGCAATACATGCCTCATCAGAAGTTTAGAAAGATCTCAAATTAGTGACTTAACACTGCATCTAGAGGAACTATTAAAAAAAAGGAACAGTCCAAACCCAAGGCCAGCAAAAGATGAGAAATAACTAAAGTCAGAGAGAACTGAATAAATTGAGACCAAAAAGTCCATACAAGAGATAAATAAAACCAAGAGTTTTTCTTTGAAAAAAAATAAACAAAATTCATAGACTGTTAGCTAGATTAACAAAGAAAAAGAGAAAAGATCCAAATAAACACAAATAGAACTGACAAAACAATGTTACGAACAATCCCACAGAAATAGAAAAGATCGTCAAAGACTATTATGAACACCTCTATACAAACAAGCTAGAAAACCTAGAAGAAATGGATAAATTCCTGGTAACACAAAATTTATCATATTTCAACCAGGAAGAAAGTGAAAACCTGAACAGACCAATAACAAGTTCAGAAATTTAATCAGTAATAAAAACCCTACTAACTAAAAATAGCCCAGGACCAGATGGATTCACAGCCAAAATCCAACAGCCATACAAAGAAGAACTGATACCGATCTTACTGAAACTTTTGGAAAAAATCAAGGAGTGGGGGCTTCTTCCTAACTCATTCTATGAAGCCATCATCACCATGATACCAACATCTGTCAGAGACATAATGAAAAAAAGAAAACTACAACTAAATATCCTTAATGAACATAGACATAAAATCCTCAACAAAATGCTAGCAAATTGAATCTGTCAGTGCATCAAAAGTTAATTCACATGATCAAGTAAGCTTTATTTTTGGGATGCAAGGTTGGTTCAACCTACAAAGTCAACGAATGTGATTCACCTCATAAACATAATTAAAAACAAAAACTATATGATCATCTCAATAGATGCAGAAAAAGCTTTCTGTAAAATCCAACATCCCTTCATGATAAAAACTGTCAATAGGCATCAAAGGAACATACCTCAAAATATTAAGAGCCATCTATGACAAACCCACAGCCAACATCATATTGATGGGCAAAAGCTGGAACCATACCCCTTGAGAACCGAAACAAGACCAGGATGACCACTCCCGCCATTTTAATTCAACATGGTACTGGAAGTCCTAGCCAAAGCAATCAGGCAAGAGAAGGAAATAAAAGGCATTAAAATTGGAAAAGAAGTAGTGATACTGTCTCTCTTTGCTGATGAAATAATTTTATACATAGAAAACCCTAAAGACTCTGTCAGAAGGCTCCTGAAACTGATAAACAAATTCAATAAAGTTTCGGGATTAAAAAAATGTACACAAATTAGTAACATTTCTATGCACCACTAACATTCTAGCTGAGAACTAAATCAAGAACACAATTCCATTTACACTAGCCACAAAGAAAATAAAATACCTAGGAATCCATCTAACCAAGAAGGTGAAAATTCTCTACAAGGAGAACTACAAAACACTTCTGAAAGAAATAAGAAATGATACAAACAAATGGAAGAATATTCCATGCTCATGAATTAGGAGAACAAATAGTTAAAATCGCCATACTTCCAAAAACAAATTGCAGACTCAATGCTATCCATTTCAAAATGCAATGTCATTTTTCACGAAATTATAAAAATTTATTCTAAAATGTATTTGGCACCAAAAAAAGAGCCTGAATACACATAGGAATCCTAAGCACAAAGAACAAAGCCCAGGCATCACATTACCCAACTTCAAACTATACTACAATGCTATAGTAACCCAAACAGCATGATACTACTACAAAAACAGACACATAGACCAATGAGACAGAATAGAGAACCCAGAAATGAGGCTACATACCTACAATCATCTTTGAAAAAATTGACAAAAACAAGCAATGTGGAAAGTACCCTTTCTTCAATAAATAGTTCTGGGATAACTGACTACTCATATGCAAAATAATAGAACTGGACCCCTAACTCTCACTATATACAAAAATTAACCCAAGATAGTTTAAAGATTTAAATGTAAAACCTCAAAATATTAAAATTCTAGAAGAAAACCTAGGAAATATCCTTCTCAAGATAGACTTTGGCAAAGAATTTATGGCTAACTCCCCAAAACCAATTGTGACAAAGACAGAAATTGGGACCTAACTCAACTGAAGAGCTTCTGCACAGCAAACGAAAGTATCAACAGAGTAAACAGATAACCTACAGACTGGGAGAAAATATTTGCAAACTATGCATCTGACAAAGTTCTAATATCCAGAATCTATAAGGAATGTAAACAAATCAACAAGCAGAAAACCAAAAAACCTCAATTAAGTATGACATGAACAGACACTTCTCAAAAGAAGATGTACACATGGCCAAAAAACATATGAACAAATGCTTATTATCAGTAATCATCAGAGAAATGCAAATTAAAACCACAGTGAGATACCATCTCACAACAATCAGAGAAGCAGAAGCAATTACTAAAAAGTTTTTTGTTTTTTTTAATAACAGATGCTGACAAGATTGTGGAGAAAAGGGAACACTTATACACTCTTGGTGGGAATGTTAACTAGTTCAGCCAATGTGATAAGCAGTTTGGAGACTTCTCAAATAACTTAAAATAGAACTACTATTCAATCAAGCAATCCCACTACTGGGTATATACCAAAAGGAAGGTAATTAACTATGTCAAAAAGACACATGCACTAGTATATTCATTGCTGTGCAATTCAGAATAGCAAAGATTTGCAGTCAACCTAAGTGCTCACCAACAGTGGATTAGTTAAAGAAAATGTGCTACATATACACATGGAACATTACATGGCCATAAAAAATAATGAAATCATGTCCTTTGCAGCAACATGAATGTAGCAGGAGGTCAATCTCCTAAGTGAACTAACCCAGGAACAGAAAACCAAATACCACATGTTATCACTTATAACTGAGAACCAAACATTGAATACACATGAACATAAAGATGGAAACAACAGATACCGAGGACTACAGATGGGGGGAGGAGTAGGGAGGTATAGGCTGAAGAAACACCTGTTGGATTCTATGCTCATTGCCTGGGTGATGGCATTGTTGGAACCACAAACCTCAGAGTCACACAATATGCCTATGTAACAAACCTGCATGCATACCTTTAATCTACAGTAAAGGTTGAAGTTATTTAAAAATAGGAAGAAGAATTACCCTATACCTAAAGCTAAGATTTTTCCCTTTGAATATTCGTTTCTTCATCACTGTAGATAAGCAGGGAAAGAAAAATTATTATACTATACTAGCCTTTTATGTGACCATGAGGATTTGGGGTAGGTAGGTGGACAGCTTAGATAATTCACCAGGATATTGATACAGGCTCCATGGCTGGAAATAACCAAGGATGAGTGCTGTGTTTTGAGTGGTCTCCCCCAGAAACGTTTGTTGAAATCCTAACCCCTGGTATGTATGAATGTGAATTCATATTATATAAAAAGGAATAAATAGCCTGAGCACAGTGGCTCACACCTGTAATCCCAGCACTTTGGGAGGCCAAAGCAGGTGGATCATTTGAGGTCAGGAGTTCTGGCCAATATGGCAAAACTTCATCTCTACAAAAAAAAAATACAAAAAAAAAAATTGGCTGGGTATGGTGGCGCATGCCTGTAGTCCCAGCTACTCAGGAGGCTGAGGCAGGAATTGCTGAAACCTGGAAGGCAGAGGTTGCAGTGAGCCAAGATCATGCCACTGCACTCCAGCCTGGGTGAGACGGCAAGATATTCTGTCAAAAATAAATAAATAAAAAACAGAAGAAGAAATACAAGAATGACAGCAAACTTTGTATTCAAAACTATGAAAGTAAGAAATAGGTGGACCAACATTTTTAAAGTGCTACAAGAAAATATTTCAAACTAGAATCTTTCAACCTGAAAAGGAAAACATTTTCCTGCAATAAAGGTGCCATTAAAAATGTCTCACAATTTATTACATGAAGCATTGTTCTACAATAAATGTTAAGCTCTTGAAGCAAAGATTAATGATACCATTTAGTAACTTGAAATTCAAAAAAGTGGAAGTATCCCAAGAGGCAAATACGTGTGCAATTATTAAATGTTTCATATCAACACCCAACCTTATGCTGTCTACATAAGCTGCACTTCAAATACTAATCCACAAGATGTAAATATTGAAAGAATGACATTACATTGTCATGATAATGCCCAGTGCAAAATATGCTTCTAGTCAGTTGTATACATAGAATAGGTAAATGTTTGTAATAAAAAGTATTCCTCAATAGAAGTTTCTTAACTCAAAGAATGAAATATTTCACCATGCACATACAAAGAAGAGATATATGGAGATATGAAGAGGAGTACTTCATAATGACAAAGAGGCAAATTCATAAATAAGACATAATAATCCTAAATGCCTACACACCTAAAGCTGGAACCTCAAAACACATTAAATTAAAGGCATAATTCAAAACATAATCAATCACATCCAAATTGCAGCTAGAGATAGCAACATTCACCTCACTTCCAGAACAAGTACACAGAAAATTATTAAGCATATGAAAGACTTGAAAAACATTTGTGTAGGCGGCGGGTGCATAAGGTTGGGTGTTGATATGAAACATTTAATAATTTCAATAATCCTAGCACTTTGGGAGGCCAAAATGGGAGGATCACTTGAGGCCAGGAGTTTGAGACCAGCCTGGGCACCATAGTGAGACCCCGTCTCTATTTTTTTTAAATAAAGAAAAACATTTGAATGATTTTTTTCTTAACTGACATTTAGAAAACATCCACCTCAAATCTTCCTAATCCACAAACTTGTCTAGCACCCCTGGAACATTCACCAAAATAAATTTTTAAATGCTGAATCATAGGTAATATGATAGATGAAACAGTTGAATTAAATTATAAATGTACAACAAGGAAATGCTGGGGAAATTATCAAATATTTTAAAATTAATAAACACACATAGCAATAAACAATGAGTGGAAGAAAAACATTTCAAAGAAAGGTGGAAAATATTTTGTATCAATTAAAAATGAAAACACATCTCGGCAAATGACTGGGGATACAGATAGAACAGTGTTAAAGGAAAATAAGCCTCAAATGTCTGTGTTAGAAAAGAAGGAAGAGCTGAGTAAATAGGTAACTTTCGCTTGCAGAAATACTACACATCAGCAAATTAATTCCAAAGTAACGTCGAGGAAAAACATAAAATGGCAAGCAAATATATACGTGCATATGTACGTATATTCATAAATGACAAACAGGACAGAAAAATCAGTGACATCAATTTTGTTCCTTAGAAGAAACAGGAAAATTGACCCCAAAAAACTTTCCAGGCCACATTTGGTCATGATGGAAATATTTTGGCACTTCCTGGTTAAGCTCAACACCAACTTGCACCCAAAACCAATAATTTCATTCCTAGGTAAATATGTCTAATTAATTCAGCATATGTATGCAAGGGATCACACAGAAACACGATTATCAAGGCCCGAGTTATAAAAGAGAAAATCCGGAAACAACACAAATGTCCATGATAAAAAGAGTGGATAATTACATGTTGATAAAGTTATGTATGGACTATTAAACTGCAATCCAAAAGAATAAAATAGAACTATAAAATTCAATATGTATATGGTGTCATAGAAACACAAATGTGAGAAAAAGAAAGAAAAATACAAAATTTATATTTTTTAAAATTTGAAACAACTATATATGTGAGTGCTTAGGGTGTGTGTGTGTGTGTGTGTGTATAACCATATGTATATAAACGCACACATACGCACACATATAGAATGTCCCGGCCAGGCATGGTGGCTCACACCTGTAATCTCAGCACTTTGGGAGGCTGAAGTAGACAGATCACTTGAGGTTAGGAGTTCAAGACCAGCCTGGCCAACATGGAGAAACCTCCTCTCTACTAAAAGTACAAAAATTAGGTGGGCGTGATGGTGGGTGCCTGTAAATCCAGCTACTTAGGAGGCTGAGGCACGAGAATTGCGTGAACCTGGGAGGTGGAGGCTGCAATGAGCCGAGGTCTCACCACTGCATTCCAAACTGGGTGACGAAGTGAGATTGCGTCTCAAAAAAAAAAAAAGTTCTAAAAGTTGTGACTTGGGTGTGGCAGATTGTGACATACTGCCAGCTGCTAGAAATGCTGGGGCAGGAGGATTGCTTGAACTCTGAAGTCAAAGAACAGCCTGGGGAAAATAGCACATGAAGAAGAGTTTGAATCTCAGATAAAAACAACAAAAATACATCAAAAGTCTTTAATGTAAGCCAAGCATTCAGTCATCTCCTGTATGAGAGATTGGATCTGAGACGTGTTTTGAGTTGGTTATAGTGAAGGATGCAAGGTGTCAATTCTAGTTGGAACAATTTCCAGGAAGCCATGTTCCGCTCTTGACCAAACAGCCACTGGGCCTCATGCAAGGTAGAAATAGCCTGCATACGTCATCCTCCCATGATGTGGTCAGCATGTAAACTGCATGAGCCCCTCACAACATCCTGTGTGCTGCTGAACTGAGCTGGGGCGCAGCCGCCTGTCTGCACCGGCAGCACCATGTCGCTCATGGTCGTCAGCATGGCGTGTGTTGGTGAGTCCTGGAAGGGAATCGAGGGAGGGAGCGCTGGGGTGGAGATCTGGGCCTGGAGTGGAGATCTGGGCCTGGAGTGGAGATATGGGCCTGGAGTGGAGATATAGGCCTGGAGTGGAGATATGGGCCTGGGGTGGAGATATGGGCCTGGAGTGGAGATATGGGCCTGGAACTGTAGATATGGGCCTGAAGTAGAGATATGGGCCTGGAGTAGAGATATGGGCCTGGAACTGTAGATATGGGCCTGGAGTGGAGATATTGGCTTGGAGTGCAGATATGGACCTGGAATTGAGATACGGGCCTGGAGGTGGAGATATGGGCCTAGAGTGGAGATATGGGCCTGGAGGTGGAGATATGGGCCTGGAACTGTAGATATGGGCCTGGAGTAGAGATACGGGCCTGGAGTGGAGATGTTGGCTTGGAGTGCAGATATGGGCCTGGAATGGAGACACGGGCCTGGAGGTGGAGATACAGGCCTGGAGGTGGAGATATGGGCCTGGAGTGTAGATATGGGCCTGGAGTAGAGATATAGGACGGAGGTGGAGATATAGGCCTGGAGTGGAGATATGGGCCTGGAGTAGAGATATAGGACGGAGGTGGAGATATAGGCCTGGAGTGGAGATATGGGCCTAGAGGTGGAGATATGGGCCTGGAGTGGAGATATGGGCCTGGAGGTGATGTACAGATGGATCATCCATCATGATCTTTCTTTCCAGGGTTCTTCTTGCTGGAGGGGCCCTGGCCACATGTGGGTGAGTCCTTCCCCCAAACCTTAGGTTGTCATCTCCCCACATAAGATGATGCTCCTGAAACGGGAGGCAGGCGACACAGGGGGTTGACTGATGGGCTGACCATGGGAAGCCATGTGGGAATCTCTCATGAACTAGGAAAAGGAAGCCAGGGGAAGCTTCGCCACAGTTCTGTCCTAGCCCTCCCCGGCCTTTCTTTCCCTTGGCTGAGTCTGTGGGGACCCAGGGGGAGACTGAAGTGCTCAAAGGAGTGGTGTGCAGGGAGGAAGTGGTGTCACCGGCAGAGGAAGGGAGAGAAGCAGTGCAAGGAACAACAGGCCTCTGAGGACAAGAGCATAACTCACACCCTCCAGCGTTTCCATGACGGTAGGGGCTGCAATGTGGCTGCTGTCATTCTACCTAAGAGGTGGGGGAACCACAGTCATGACCCTGACATTCCAGATCTTCTAATAGGGGCTCAGTTGTTTATTATGGTTCATGCATTAGCTGATCATGCCCTCCATCCTGTGTCTACCTTGTGTTCTTTTATGTAAGTAATTTTGCAGTGTTAAAATCTAGTAAGAGTCGCTTCTTCAGCACCTGCTCAAAGTTCTCAGCTGACACTTGCTGTAGGGAGACGCCATGTCTATGCGGGATGGGTCCTTCCTGTAGCCCTGGGCACCCAGGTGTGGTAGGAGCCTTAGAAACGTGGAAATGGGAGAATCTTCTGAGCACAGGGAGGGAGGGGCGGCTCCACATCCTCCTCTCTAAGGTGGTGCCTCCTTCTCCCCCAGGTGGTCAGGACAAGCCCTTCCTCTCTGCCTGGCCCGGCACTGTGGTGTCTGAAGGACAACATGTGACTCTTCAGTGTCGCTCTCGTCTTGGGTTTAATGAATTCAGTCTGTCCAAAGAAGACGGGATGCCTGTCCCTGAGCTCTACAACAGAATATTCCGGAACAGCTTTCTCATGGGCCCTGTGACCCCAGCACATGCAGGGACCTACAGATGTTGCAGTTCACACCCACACTCCCCCACTGGGTGGTCGGCACCCAGCAACCCTGTGGTGATCATGGTCACAGGTCAGAGGCTTTCTGTCTGGGCTTCTCACTGTCCCACCTCCTGAATCCCAGAGCTTCTGGTGGGGGCGTCCATCAGGGTCCAATCATCCAGGCCCCGACTGTATTTGGGGTAAAGGGGGATTCAGTACAGAGAAATAGTTGCTGTGGTGGGAAGAATAATTGTCCCCAGTGATGGCTACATGGTAATCCATGAACCCTGTGACTATTTATGTTATAGGGCAGGGGACTGAAGAGGAAGATGGAGCTCAGGTTGTTGATGAGTTGACCTTGCGATGGGGAGACAGCCTGGACTGTCCTGCTGTGCTCAGAGTAATCACAAGGGTCCTCATGAGAGGAGGAGGAAGAGGAAAGTGGGGTTAGAGCAACGTCGTGGGAGGGAGACTCCATCAGCCACAGCGGGCTTTGAAGATGGGGGAAGGCCATGAGCCACAAAGGCAGGTGGCCTCTAAGGGCTGGAGAAGTCAAGGGAACTGATTCTTCCCTGAGTCTCCAGAGGAAACACAGCCCTGCAGATGCCTTGATTTTAGCCCAGAGAGAACTGGGTCCGATTTCTGTTCTCCAGAAGTGGAAGAGGTCATTGTATTCTCTCCTGCCCCATGTTTGTGACAATTTTCTCCAGCAGCAACAGGAAACCAACACAGGAACCCAGGTGAAGCACAGGTTAAGAAACCAAACAAGGAGAAGGTTGGCTACACTGATTTTAGCATGGGTGGGATACTGATGCTACCACCAGGCTCGATCCACATAGGGAGGGGTTGATGCTCCTGGAACCAGCACCAGGGGCCACCCTATGGAAGCTGGGGCCATGGAGAAGGCACAGACATGAAAGGAGAGGCTCCCAATCCCCATCAGGAACAGGGACACTGATGCCTGCCTTACTGATGAGTTCGTACCTCCTGCCGGCCTTTCCAATCTGTCCAAAAGAGATTGATTCAGGCTGCTAAGAGCCTGGACATGCAGCCTGTCATGGTTCCTCTTCCACCCCCACATAAACACCAGGAAAGAGATTAGTGGGAAACAGATACAACAGCCTAAGAGGTGACACTGAGCACAGTGGGAAGGGAATCAGGGCTACTAGAGACAGAGAGACAGGGAAGAGGGAGGGAGACAGATGGAGGGACCTGCAACAGGGGTTATGGGCACAAAAGAACACGGAGACACAGACAGGAAGGAGAGAGATAGACACCATGGAGGGGAAGCCTCACTTATTTCAGGTCCCATGAATGGGATGAGAAAGGGAGACGCCTTCTGAACTCACAACCTCTCTTCTTAGGAGTCCACAGAAAACCTTCCCTCCTGGCCCACCCAGGTCCCCTGGTGAAATCAGGAGAGACGGTCATCCTGCAATGTTGGTCAGATGTCAGGTTTGAGCGCTTCCTTCTGCACAGAGAGGGGATCACTGAGGACCCCTTGCGCCTCGTTGGACAGCTCCACGATGCGGGTTCCCAGGTCAACTATTCCATGGGTCCCATGACACCTGCCCTTGCAGGGACCTACAGATGCTTTGGTTCTGTCACTCACTTACCCTATGAGTTGTCGGCTCCCAGTGACCCTCTGGACATCGTGGTCGTAGGTGAGAGAATACAGACCTGCCTCTCACCCTTGCTGGGAGATGGAGTGAATGATCTAGGACTGGAAGCCCCAGGTGGTCATGAGGAAGATGAGTGTGGGGTTCCTATGGAGAGAAAGTGACTTGGTGAGGTCTGTACCAACAAAGGCAGAGAAACAGGAGACACAAGTACAGACCTCATGTCATAACATAGAAGCCAGACACAGGGGCCATACAAGGTGTTAGAAAAAGAGATAAAGAGGTAAAGAAGACACAGAGAGACAGACATATCCCAGAGAGAGGTGTCCTTCTATGCTGACTTTGTTCAGAGACCAGGCACAGGTTAGAAGGTTCCATTCTGTTTTACCTCTACAAAGTGTTCTCTCCCAGGAGAACCCAAAGAGACACATCTATCTGGCCTGAGTTGGGCCATGTGGCCCCAGGCTGGTGGCACCTACAGATGTTGTGTTTATTCTTAAACCTCTGCCTTCCGTGCAGTGGAGCTGTCATCGTCCCAGGACACCATGGCCCCAGGTGAGGGAGCAGAACACCAACCCCTGTATGCTGTGAGTTCCTGGAGTCCCCATACTGGATTCTGAGGCTCATATTCAAATAGCACCACATGTTATAGGATTACTGAGAACAAAAGCCCACAGAGAGACACGGAGTGAAATCAGGGAAATCAAAAAGCAAAGACATGAACACACACACAGAATGAGCCAGAAGAAGGGAATTGAGAGACTCACAGACACATAAAGAGATAGAAAAAGAGGGCAGAGAAGTGGAGCGTATGATGGAAGGAAGCAGAGAAAAGCCCTAAAATCAGAGCCCTGAGGGAGGGGCACAAAGACAGGGAAAGATAAAGATGTGAGGATGGATTGCAGAGACTCCAAAAGGGAACTAGAGAGACTGAGAGGCAGAGAAAGACAAGGAGATGGAGAGAGACAGATGATAGATGGACAGATAGATATAGATAGATGAAAGATAAAAGGTAGATGATAGATAATAGAGAGACAGGTGATAGACAAATAGATGATGAATGACTGATAGATGATATAGATAGACAAGTAGAAAGACAGACAGATGATATATAAATAGATATAGAGAGATAGAAAGACAGATAAACACATGATGATAGATGGATAGATGCATACATACATACATTGATTGATAGATGATAGATAACAGAGAGATAGGTCATAGATACACAGATGATGATAGATGATAGATACATACATAGATAAATGATAGATCGATCAATAGATAATAGATAGAAATATGCAGAAAGTTATGAGCAAGACAGAAAGTGAGAGACTCAGAATTAAAGAAAGAGGAAGATCAAGTCAACCAGTCCAAGGAGGGTCAGAGAGAATAAAATGGTACAAAAAAAGAAAACATAGCTAGGGATGGAGAAGTGAGGTCAGAGACCTAGAGAGACAGAGAAGGTGGAAGGAGGAAATAGACATGAAGAGAGATGGGGGTGGAGGGTGAGAGAGAGAAAGAGAGCATTAAGTCATAGAGCAGGGGAGTGAGTTCTCAGCTCAGGTGTGAGGAGAGCTGTGACAAGGAAGAACCTCCCTGAGGAAACCACCTCTTCTTCTTCCAGGTCTATATGGGAAACCTTCTCTCTCAGCCCAGCCGGGCCCCACGGTTCAGGCAGGAGAGAATGTGACCTTGTCCTGCAGCTCCCGGAGCTTGTTTGACATTTACCATCTATCCAGGGAGGCGGAGGCCGGTGAACTTAGGCTCACTGCAGTGCTGAGGGTCAATGGAACATTCCAGGCCAACTTCCCTCTGGGCCCTGTGACCCACGGAGGGAACTACAGATGCTTCGGCTCTTTCCGTGCCCTGCCCCATGCGTGGTCAGACCCGAGTGACCCACTGCCCGTTTCTGTCACAGGTGAGAAAACACCATGCCTGTCCCATGTCTTGTGATCCTAGAGCCATAGCTGAGGAGCTTCCTGCTGATGATGGAGAGAAGCATGGACAGATGCCGAGACAGAACACACAGCATGGGTGTAAGGGCGGGGTCAGGGCGCAGGATGGCAGACAGGGCACCTCCAAACCCTCCTGTATGGCCTGCAAGGATGCCCTTGATCAGGGTTCCAGGCACCCAGGCAGATGGAGAAAGAGGTCAGAACAGACCCAGAGGAGGGAGACTGGGCTCTGCCTGGGGAGATCAGAGGTTCTCTCAGCCCCTCAACCTTACCCACTTCCCAGAAGCCCATCCTGGCCTGTCACCCACAGAGAGATGTCATCACCAGCAACGCCTACACCCTTTTCTTTTTGTTTGAAGAAATATTTATTGAGGTGAAATATACCTATGTAATTTACCACCTTTACCATTTTTAAGTGTGAAGTCTACTGTTCATAAATACATTTATAGGCTGGGCACGGTGGCTCACGGTTGTAATCCCAACACTTTGAGAGGCCAAGGCAGGTGGATCATTTGAGATCAGGGGCTCAAGACCACCCTGGCCAACATGGGGAAAATCCATCTGTACTAAAAATACAAAATAATAATTATAATGATAATAATTAGCCGAGCATGGTGGCACATGCCTGTAGTCCCAGCTACTTGGTAGGGTTGGGCAGGAGTTGCACTTAATTGCAGGAGGCGGAGGTTGCAGTGAGCTGAGATCATGCCACTGCACTGCAGCCTGGGCAACAGAGAGAGACACTCTCTCAAAATTAATTAATTAATTAATTAGTATTCTTTTTTTTTTACCCTCCACCCTTCCCTTCCTGGCCTCTGGTAGCCACCATTCTACTCTCTACCTTTGTGAGATCCACCTTTTAGCTCCTGCATATGAGTGAGAAATGGAAATACTTGTAATGACCTCCAGTTCCATTCATGTGGCTGTAAATGACAGGATGTTACTCTTTCTATGGATGAGTTGTCCCTATTGTGTGTGTGTACCACATTCTCTCCATCCATTCACCCACTGATGGGCAGGTAGGTTGATCCACATCTTGGCTACTGTGAACACTGCTGGAACAGTCATGGGAGTGCAGATGTCACTTCGATACGCTGATGTCCTTTCCTTTGGGTTTACACCCAGTCATGGAATTGCTAGATCCTCTGGAAGTGTCTTTTTACATTTTGTTTTATGGTTTTTGTTTTTGTTTTTGTTTTTTTTAGACTGTTTCACTCTTGTTGCCCAGGCTGGAGTGCAGTGGCGCCATCTGGGCTCACTGCAACCTCCACCTCCAGGATTCAAGAGATTCCCCAGCCTCAGCCTCCCAAGTAGCTGGGTTACTGGCTCCCACCACCACACTCGGCTAATTTTTATATTTTTAGTAGAGACAGAGTTTCGCTATATTGGCCAGGCTGCTCTTCAACTCCTGACCTCAAGTGACCTACCCACCTCGGCCTCCCAATGTGCTGGGATTACAGGCATGAACCACTGTGCCCGACCTCATTTTATTTTTTGAGGAACTTCCATACTCTTCTCCTCTGTAATGGCTGTACTAATTTACATTCGTATCAGCAGTGTACCAGATGCAACCCTGGTTGACTCAGCAGAGCAAGAGACGTGCAGTAAGAGAGAATTTAGCTTATTTATGCACACGACACTTCCACTCACTCACTCGTTCAGCCAATGCCCCATGCTCAGGCTGTGCAGTGTGGAATCTTTTCCTATTGTTGCCATAACAAATTTCCACAAGCTTCGTGGATGAAAACATGTTTTTCTTAATTATCTCACAGTGCTGTAACTCAGAAGTATGAACTGCATTTCACTGGGCTGATATCAAAGGGACAGTAAGGCTGGATTTCTTTTTAAGGTTCCAAGCAAGAATCTGCTCCTTAACGTTTCCCAGCTCCTAGAGGCTCCCACGTTCCTGGGCCCCTGGTCCCCTTCCTCCTTCCTCCTTCCTCAAAGCCCACAAAGGCTGGTCACGTCTCACATGGCATCATTCAGACTCTTCTTCTTTACCCACACCTTTTTCTCTGAATCCTGCTCTGCCTTCTTCCTCATCTTTTAAGGACTTTGGGATTCTATTGGGGTCACCAAGATAATCCATCTCAATCTCCCTAAAATCATCCAGCGTACCCTCTTTTTAAGTTCAGCTGATTAGCAACCGTAATGCCATCTGCAATCTTCATTCCTCCTTTCCTGTAAAATAACATATTCACAAGCTATGGAGGCTAAGACAGGGACATTTTGGGGGTGGGGCAGCATTCTCCTGCCTTCCACAAATGGTAAACAGGATGCATTTGGCCTCTGCTCTTGGGACGCTGATATTGCAGATGGGTAAATGCGAGGGCAGAGAATGAATGCACAAGGGTACCAATAAATGAATGATCCATTGGGAAGCATCTGTGCACCAAATCTGGGGTTTTTTGTGTGTGTGTGTGTTTTTTGTTTTCTTTTTTTTTTTGAGTAGAGTCTCTCTCTGTTCCACAGGCTGGAGTGCAGTAGCACAATCTCAGCTCATTGCAACCTCTGCCTCCTGGGTTCATGCAATTCTCCTGCCTCAGCCTACCGAGTAGCTGGGATTACAGCTGTGCGCCACCACACTCGGCTAATTTTTTTGGTATATTTTTTTAGTAGAAATGAGGTTTCACCATGTTGTGCAGGCTGTCTCAAACTCCCAATCTCAAGTGATCCCACCGCCTTAGCGTCCCTAAGTGCAAAGATTACAGGCGAGAGCTACTGCGCCCAGCCAGGATTTAAAATAAGTAATAGATAATGCTGAGTATATAATTTCAGGTGACAGAGAAGGTCTCACTGATCAGATAATATTTGTGACCTTAATGGAAAAAATGGATTCAACCCTTGGAAGATTGGCGGAAGGATTTTCCACACTGAGCTCTCAGCCGTGAAGGCACAAAGGTGGAAACATTCTTAGTTCAAGGAAGAGGCTCTGCCTCAAATGCTGGGAATGAGATGGGGAGAATGACAAGACAACTGTAGAGAGATGGAGAGCACACTGGGTACACAGGAAACTAAGGAGGAACAAGGAGCATGTTTTTGATACTCACAGCCCTTGGATTCAACTCAGAGCTAACTAGGAATCCCTACCTGATTAACAGTGACCGACATGAAAATAAGGGAGGCCCAGGTGCGTAACTGGAATCTAGGAGACCGTGGAAAAGGCAATTCCCGCCCCACTGGTGAAACGTAGGGTTGATTTACACACTAAATGAATGAAAGATGGATATAAGCTATGCTTGTGAGGTAGAATCATTTGCAGGGAGGGCTTGCTGGGTTTGATTTTTCCTAGTAGTTTAATCCTTGTTTCATTAATTTCTTTCTGAGATGTGTTTTTTTTCTACATCTAAATCAATACCTGGCAGAGGAGCGATAGACACATGAGGGGTGGTGCAAATGAAGGGACCTAGTATAATATAATATACAAGACTGTGGATGGGGGCTCACACCTGTAACCCAACACTTTGGGAGGCCAAGGCGGGTAGATCACTTAAGGGTAGGAGTTTGAGACCAGCCTGGCCAACATGGTGAAACCCCGTCTGTACTAAAAATACAAAAATTAGCCTGGTGCATTGGCACCTGCCTGTAATCCCAGCGACTGGGGAGGCTGAAGCAGAAGAATGGCTTCAACCCTGGAGGCAGAGGTTGAACTGAGATCGCATCACTGCACTCCAGCCTGACACAGGGGGACTCTGTCTCAAAAAATAAAAATAAAACATACATAATTATGACACACAGAAATTACAAAGGCAACTGGATACCAACCATCATTTTTCTATTTCTCTGTGTTTAATTCTTTGACCCTTTATCTTATCCATTAAACAATCAGGTTAAACCTCTTCCTTATTTGGCTTTCTGTGAGCTTGGGATCATATGGAAAATGTGAAAGCCTCCTGAACCCACCAGCACAGGTCCTGGAATAGAGAACGTGCTCTGTTCATGGCATAAAACTTGCCCCTTCACCCAAATCCCCCAATTCATCTCTACTTCCAATCACCTATGGAGATACAGATAGATCATGGGGAGGTAAACACTAATACTCTTTGGAGTGAGCTCAGATCTTGGACTCAGAGACCAGTGCCAGCACTAGCCCCTGGTCACATTTCGTACTAACTCACAGAAGGACAGGCTGTATTGAAACAATAAACGACGGAGAGGGCGGTCCTTCCCCGTGCTTCTCGGGTGGAATAGCAGCCTAATATATGTCTCAGCAGATCACAAAAAGTAGCATGTTGTTCCTGGGCTACATCATTATTTCATGGCTGTTTGATTTAAGTCAGTTCTACTTCACTTTTTTTATCTTGATTTCATTTTTTCTTTCTTTTCTTGGAGAATGTAATTTTTTTGAGTCAAGAGGGTTGTGGTGGTAGAAACTGTAAAGCACATTCGCTGTGTATCAATCCCAATCCAGTCTTCCCAGAGAAGATTCTAAACACCTCCTGGAATGCACCTGGGCCTATACCAATTCCTATCACTCACCGTCACTCCAGGGAGACAGAACACACAGAGAACACATTACACAGGCAGGTTCATTACTAACAGATAAGCAGCGAGTGACAACAGAAACCTACATTTCAATGTGAGCCAGTCCCTCAAGGCTCAGAAAAGCTGCTCGAGACATGTGGAGTCACCCCATATGCAGTGTATCTGGGGGAAATCAAAAAGCAGCCCAGCCTGGGTTTTGTACCCTGGAGCCACAGGAAGCACTCAGCTAAAGCACTGCATGACGTCCTCCTCCAGGAAGAACAGGAAGACAGCCCAGGCTGTTCTGGGATGTTCCTCCTGATCTCAGGACGTTGCTGTCTTAGTCCATTTTTGTTGCTCTAAAGGAACACTTGAGCCTGGGTAACTTCTAAAGACAAGAAATGTGTTTGCCTCACAGTTCTGCAGGCTGTACTGGAAGCATGGCACCAGCATCTATTTCTTGTGACGGCCTCAGGCTGCTCCCACTCTGGCAGAAGGGAAGGAGGGTCTGTCTGTGCAGAGACCACAGAGATCACACGGCAAGAGAGGGACCAAGGGGGAGGGGGAGCGATGGAGCTTCCAAGCTCTTTTAACAACCAGTTCTCCAGGAACTAATAGAGGGGGAACTTGCTAACCCCGTCTCCTTGGAACAGCATTGATCTGTTCATGATGGATCCACCTCCATGACCCAAACAACTCCCAAGAGGCCCAACCTCCCACTCTGGGGGTTACATTTCAATGTGAGGTTTGAAGGGGTCAAACATCTAAACTAAAGCAGTTGTATCCTCAGCACGTTCTATGGTTACTACAACTGAGAAAGCAGGAGGAAGCTAGGTCTCCCGCCATCTGGGTGCTTGTCCTAAAGAGACGTTGTATGTGGTTACCTGTCAATCAAGAAATGTGAGACAATTCATATAGAGGAACTGCTATGATTAGCTTCTTATTGGTGTCTTGTCTTCCTCCAGGTAACTCCAGAAACCTGCACGTTCTGATTGGGACCTCAGTGGTCATCATCCCCTTTGCTATCCTCCTCTTCTTTCTCCTTCATCGCTGGTGTGCCAACAAAAAGAGTAAGTCTCACGAAGCAGAAGCCAGAGAGCTCAGGGCCATGTGGGGAAGCAGGATGGGAGCACTCAGGTGTGTGTTCCTCACAGACTGGATGGTCCCTGGCCCAAGGCAGGAGCCACAGAGGCAGGACTTTCTAGAGAGAGCACCAGACTCCCTGCCTCTGCCTTCAGCTCACAGACCATTGCCTGATTCTGAACCGTATCCTCACATCCCCTGCAGCCACTCACATCCAGGAGAAGGTTCCATGACAGGCAGAAAGTGGGACACAGAATCAATAGGATGGGAACTCAGAGCTATACATGGGATGGATCCTTGAGCTCAGAGAGATAGAATGTCTGAGTCTGCTGTTGGCAACTGAGGGACCTCAGGCACCTATGGCCTCCCCCTGTATGTTGGTATCTGCTTATGAAATGAGGACCCAGAAGTGCCCTCCGAGCTGTTTTGACGACTTCCGTCTTCTACAGATGCTGTTGTAATGGACCAAGAGCCTGCAGGGAACAGAACAGTGAACAGGGAGGTAGGTGCTCCTCCGCCCAGCCTCGTGGCTAGTCTTATTCCCAAAGAGTCCTGGAAAATGTGAGCACCCTCCCTCACTCAGCATTTCCCTCCCTCCAGGACTCTGATGAACAAGACCCTCAGGAGGTGACATACGCACAGTTGAATCACTGCGTTTTCACACAGAGAAAAATCACTCGCCCTTCTCAGAGGCCCAAGACACCCCCAACAGATACCAGCGTGTAACACGGAACTTCCAAATGCTGAGCGCAGATCCAAAGTTGTCTTCTGTCCACTAGCACCACAGTCAGGCCTTGATGGGATCTTCTAGGGAGACAATAGCCCTGTCTCAAAACCGGGTTGCCAGCTCCCATGTACCAGCAGCTGGACTCTGAAGGCGTGAGTCTGCATCTTAGGGCATCGCTCTTCCTCACACCACGAATCTGAACATGCCTCTCTCTTGCTTACAAATGTCTAAGGTCCCCACTGCCTGCTGGAGAGAAAACACACTTGCTTAGCCCACAATTCTCCATTTCACTTGACCCCTGCCCACCTCTCCAACCTAACTGGCTTACTTCCTAGTCTACTTGAGGCTGCGATCACACTGAGGAACTCACAATTCCAAACATATAAGAGGCTCCCTCTTAACACGGCACTTAGATACGTGCTATTCCACCTTTCCTCAGAGTATCTTTCAGCCTTCTGTCAGCAGTAAAACTTATAAATTTTTTTTATAATTTCAATGTAGTTTTCTATTCTTCAAGTAAACATGTCTGCCCTCATGGTTTCTTCAATGGGACTCTTTTCTTGCCTAAGGCTTCCGGTGTTATCATTACCACGTCCACATAACCCCATCTGTTCTCCGCTGGGTTCTCAGCCCTGGACTCTGAGCTTCTGGAAGCATGGTGGAGCCTGAATTGTCTCTGAGACTCCAATTTCCATCCAAAGATGCAGCACATAGGAGGTTCCAAGGATGGTGAATCAGATGAACAAGTGATATTCTTACTCTCTGCAGATCTGGAAAGCTGGCAGAGTCATTCCACGATGAAACATTTGTAGAGTCATAGGCCTTGTTAGTCTCATCTCCACAGGGACACGTATCAACACATCATCTTTCATACTACTATAAATAGACAGTCACTCCTCCATATCTCTGGGGTTTACACATGTTTATTGAATCAGCAATAAATCAAAAATATTTTGAGAAAAAAAATCCCCGAAGTTTCAAAAAGCAAAAAACTATGTTGAATCGACACAAATTGAGTGGCGTGTAGGCTGTGTCAGGAATTATAAGTAATCAAGAGATGATTTCATGTATACAGGAGGATGTGCATGGGTTCTATGCAATTGCTATGCTATTTTTTTTTTTTTTTTGAGACAGTCTCACTCTCTCACCCAGGCTGGAGTGCAGTGGCGTGATCTCAACTCACTGCAACCTCCGCCTTCCAGGTTCAAGCGATTCTCTTCCCTCAGCCTCCCCAGTAGCCTCCCCTAGGATTACAGGCACGTGCCACCATGCACAGATAAATTTTTTTGTGTGTATATTTTTAGTAGAGATGGGGTTTCAGAATGTTGGACCAGCTGGTCTTGAACTCCTGACCTTGTGATCTACCCAGCTCAGCCTCCCAAAGTGCTGGGATTACAGGCGTGAGCCACGGTGCCCAGCTTCACTATGCCATTTCATGCAAGGGGCTTGAGCATCTGCAGATTTTGGTATCTGAATGGGGATCCTGGAACCAATCACCCAGGTATAGTGAAGGACCATGGTATATAATTTTTATTTGTCAATCTTAAAAATAAAGCATAAAAAATTTACAACAACAAGATAAAAAATAAGAAGTGTTTTTATAGTGTGAGGATAAGTTTAGATTTATTTTTTCCTACGTGTAACCCTATGGTCCTGTGTTATTTGTTGAGAAAATATTCTATTCCACCTTAAACTACATGGCAGCCTTTGTCAACTATAAAGGGACTGTGTATCCACAGATGTATTTTAGACACAGTTTTCTGTCCAGTGGTTCTCTGTATCCCCTCTCATGAGGATGCTGCATTTTATATAAACTTATAGAACCCCTTAAAATTTGGTAACCTGAGTCCTCTGATTTGTTATTATAGGTTATTTAGTTTGCTTTTTTTTTTTTTCTTGAGACAGACTCTTCCTCTGTCACCCAAGCTGGAGTTCAGTGGCTTGAGCTCAGCTCACTGCAACCTCCGTCTCCCAGGTTCAAGCTATTCTGATGCCTCTGGTTTAGTAGTAGAAACTCAAGCAGGAAAATTAGAATGGCTTCTTGTCACAATTACTCTGATAATGTTAATAATACCTGTTAGACATTTTGCACATTACATATGAAGAAGAGTTTGAATCTCAGATAAAAACAAAAATACATCAAAAATCTTTAATGTAAGCACAGAATTCAATCATCTCGTGTATGAGAGGTTGGATCTGAGACGTCTTTTGAGTCTGGTCGTAGTGAAGGACGCAAGGTGTCAATTCTAGTGAGAACAATTTCCAGGAAGCCATGTTCCGCTCTTGAGCGAGCACCCACTGGGCCTCATGCAAGGTAGAAAGAGCCTGCGTACGTCACCCTCCCATGATGTGGTCAACATGTAAACTGCATGGGCAGGGCGCCAAATAACATCCTGTGCGCTGCTGAGCTGAGCTGGGGCGCGGCCGCCTGTCTGCACAGACAGCACCATGTCGCTCATGGTCGTCAGCATGGTGTGTGTTGGTGAGTCCTGGAAGGGCATCGAGGGAGGGAGTGCGGGGATGGAGATCGGGGCCCAGAGTTGGAGATATAGGCCTGGAAGTGGAGTTATGGGCCTAGAGATGGAGTGATGGGCCTAGAAGTGGAGATCTGGGCCTGGAGTGGAGATCTGGGCCTGGAGTGGAGATATGGGCCTGGAGGTTGAGATATGGGCCTGCAGTAGAGATATGGGCTTGTAGTGGAGACATGGGCCTGGAGATGGAGATATGGGCCTGGAGATGGAGATATGGGCCTGCAGTAGAGATAGGGGCCTGGAGTGGAGATATGGGCCTGGAGTGGAGATATGGGCCTGGAGTGGAGATATGGGCCTGGAGGTGGAGATATGGGCCTGGAGGTGGAGATATGGGCCTGGAGTGGAGATATGGGTCTGGAGGTGGAGATACGGGCCTGCAGTAGAGATATGGGCCTGGAGTGGAGATATGGGCCAGGAGTGGAGTTATGGGCCTAGAGGTGGATATCTGGGCCTGGAGTGGAGATATGGGCCTAGGAAGGAGATATGGGCCTGGGTGTGGAGATATGGGACTGGAGAGGTGATATGGGCCTGGAGTGGAGATATGGGCTTAGGGTGGAGATCTGGGCCTGGGGCGGAGATATGGGACTGGATTGGAGATAGGGGCCTAGGGTGGAGATCTGAGCCTGGATTGGCGATATGGGCCTAGGGTGGAAATATCAGCCTGGAGTGGAGATATGGGCTTGGGGTGGGGATATGGGCCTGGAAACTGGGTCTCTGCACAGCCGACAGCCCTGTTCTTGGGTGCAGGTAGGCACTGAGGGTGAGTTTAACTTCAGCCCAGGAAGGGCCTGGCTGCCAAGACTCACAGCCCAGTGGGGGCAGCAAGGGAGGCCTGGTTTGCCTGCAGATGGATGGTCCATCATGATCTTTCTTTCCAGGGTTCTTCTTGCTGCAGGGGGCCTGGCCACATGAGGGTGAGTCCTTCTCCAAACCTTCGGGTGTCATCTCCCCACATAAGAGGATTTTCCTGAAACAGGAGGGAAGTCCTGTCGGGGAGTCTCTCATAAACTAGGAAGAGAGGACCCTGGGGTGCTCAGCCCACATTTCTGACCTCGCCTCCCTGGCCTCTCAACCCCTTGGCAGAGTCAAGTTCTGTGGGGACCAGGGTTAGACTGGGGTGCTCAAAGCTGGGGTGTGTGGTTGGGAAGTGGTAGGAACAGCAGATCCTCTGAGGACAAAGGTGTTACTCACACACTTCAGCGTTTCCATGATGGTAGGGGCTGCAGTGTGGCTGCTGTCATTCTACCAGAAGAGGTGGGAAACCACAGCCATGGCCCTGACATTCCAAATCCTCTGATGGGGGCTCAGTTGTTTATTTTCGTTCAGGCATCCGCTGATATCCATTCACAAAGGACATGCCCTCCACCTCATGTCTACCCTGTGTTGTTTTATGTGAGTAATCTTACAGTATTAAAATCTAGTAGGAGTCTCTTTACTCAGCACTTGCTCAAAGTTCTCAGCTGAGGCTTTTGTTGTAGGGAGACACCATGTCTTTGCGGGATGGGTCCTTCCTTCAGCCCTGGGCACCAAGGTGTGATAGTAGCCATAGAAACGTGGAAAGCGAGGAGAATCTTCTGAGCACAGGGAGGGAAGGGCAGTTCCACATCCTCCTCTCTAAGGCGGCGCCTCCTTCTCCCCAAGGTGGTCAGGACAAGCCCTTGCTGTCTGCCTGGCCCAGCCTTGTGGTGCCTCTAGGACATGTCATTCTTCGGTGTCACTCTTATCTTGGGTTTAACAACTTCAGTCTGTAAAAGGAAGGTGGGGTGCCTGTCCCTGAGCTCTACAACAGAATATTCTGGAACAGCCTTTTCATGGGCCCTGTGACCCCCGCACACACAGGGACATACAGATGTCGGGGTTCACACACACACTCCCCCAGTGGGTGGTCAGCACCCAGCAACCCCCTGGTGATCGTGGTCATAGGTCAGAGGGCTCCTGTCTTGGATTCTCCTTGTCCCACCTCCTGAATCCCAGAGCTTCTGTTGGGCATGTCCTTGAGGGTCCCATCACGCAGGCCCTGACTGTATTTGTGGTAAAGGGGGATTGAATACAGGGAAATGGGTGCTGTGGTGGGAAGAATAATTGTCCCCAGTGATGACTACATTCTAATCCCTGGAGTCTGTGACTATTTATGTTATAGGGGAAGGGACTGAAGGGGAAGATGGAGCTCATGGGGAGACAGCCTGGACTGTCCCACTGGGCTCAGTGTAATCACAAGGGTGCACATGAAAGGAGGAGGAAGAGGG